>NC_000016.10:82005682-82630682 GCF_000001405.40 Homo sapiens | reverse complement strand
TTTCAAGAACCTAGCTACACTTTAACCTAAACATTGAACTTCAGATTGAGGCTCAGTTTACACATCCAAGTGCTGATGCTTTTAGATAATGCAGTTATTGAGTATGTTGGTTTGTTGGGCAATTTCACTATAACACATAGAGGATACTTCTGGAAGTAAACAGATTTTACTTAACGGAAAACCCAAGGGCTAAAGATAGAAAAGGGGAGAAGGGAGGGAGGCAGAGTAGGAGCGATCAGCTAAGATGACTGTTGGGGCTTTTAGTATAGACTGTGGAATTACACAAATTCCAGATTACATACTCAGCTTTGCAGTTTATTAAACCTGTTTTGGGACTTGCTAAAAAAAAATATTCAGACAGGTGAACTCTATCACTGACTCCTTTCACTACATATTCCATTTCCCTAGTGCTCTGGAAATCTTACAGGCTGTCATGTATTGACCCTAGGGGGGGAGGGGGCAGCACCCTCTTCAACCCTGTGTCCTTTTCCTCATCCAAAAAGTTCTGCAAATAAACACTGCTCTTAAAACATAACACACAAATTTGCAGGAGCACTATAAGACACTGATTCTCATTGAAAATCCTGAAAATCAAGACTCTGACCCCTAGAGAGAACTCCCCACTTTATAGCGAAATCTCAGAATTCCATGGAACATTTTCAGTCACTCCCAAGCGACTGTCCTCCAAGCCTGAACCCCTCCCTAAATTCCTAATTCTTGGGGGATTACTCACTCATTGTTAGAACTTTTGGTTAGTTGTAAGTGCTACCCAAATAGGGAGGGGAATCACATTTACCATGGAATTTCTTGCTCATTTCTTTCTTGATTTGTTTCACAGTCATTACTTATCATAGGCAAATTCCAGAAGCCACTTCTGGGACAGACTTTCCCAAAACACCCCAGGGGATAGGAGAGGTGACTGTTCAACGGTGCCAGCTTCCAGTCATTGTTGCTTAGAATTCCTCACCTCCTACCAAAATGCCTAAAACAACAACCAAGCCAATAAGCTTACAGAGATTGATGGCTTCCAAAGCCAGACCCGATGCTTTACAACTGTGGTGGAAAAAAACATACAGGCTTGCCTGAACACCACCAGGGCCGAGTGACTAATTTGTTTTATTACATTGTTTTTCCCTTCTGTTTTCTCTCTGCCTCAGGAAAGTTGTGTTTTTGCTCGTCGACTCAAGGCCTCGAAGACTTTCCCCACTTTTTTCTATGGCACACAGAGTTCTGCACGTGAACTTCTTGCTGGTTAACTGGATTGCATCAAAATGATTTCTCTGTGAGGTACTATTGCTACCAGGATATCAATTACTATCCTAATGTGGACATTTGCTCTGATATGCATAACAATTGAAAATAGAAATAAGCCTCTCAGGGCAATCATTTCAATTCACAGCAAAATCTCTGCTTCCTTCATCTAAATAAATAGAGTGAGCCTTCAGAACCCACCTGTGCCAGCCTGGCCCTGGGTGAGGAGACACACCAGTTCATTTGCAAAAAGAACCGTGCGCAGAGCCCTTAGTGCATAAAAATCGATCCTGGGGCCCTGTCACGTGGTCTGTCTTGCTTTAAAGGAGGCATAACTTTGGGCAAGCCCTGGAATATGAACTGAGGTTGAAACCTGCCAAGAAAGAAAGAGGACTGTGAAGTCCTGGACAAGGCAATGGTAAGTGCTCTCAGACACCGACAGCTCCCAGACTGGCATGCATTGCATAGGACATCCTGTTGAATGCAATCCTATCCACTCAGCAGTCCTAGGAAGGCAGCAGATTATTTTACAATGGAGAACTTGGAAGCTCAAAGAGGTTAAACAACTTGCCCGGGTTGGTACCACTAGCAGATGGCAGGAAGGATCTGTCTGAATCCTTTCTGTCTGAGGCATGCTCCAAACCGCCTTGCTAAATTGGGGTATATGTACACACATACAGCCTTGGGGTCTCTAGGGTACAGGACATCTGGAAAACTGGTTCACAGCCAGGCTTGGGATCCATGGCAAGACTCAAGGCTGTAGGGACCCCAAGATAATCAACCAGAAAAGCCTGGTAGAAAAGGAGCTATAACTGGGCAGTCCTTAATCGGGACTGTATATCCAAGAAAGAAGTCAGGAGCTTGGGAGCGGGCTCAGCAGCCGGGCACTTGAATCTCCCCTGGTACTATCACCCATCACTGCATTTCTGAGATGTTAGCCCATTTCCAAAGTCTAAACCCAACATTGCTCTAACAGTGGTCTCCCTTAGAAGTCTGCACCAGTCTCCCCATCCCAGACAGTCCCTACCTGGGAACCCAACTCCCTTCCCCTGCCTTTCACCCGCAAACTCTCACCTGAGCCTCTACCCCGGCCAGGAACTCAACACTCATTCCTAGCACCCTGAGGCACTCCCTGTCTCTTTCCCTCCTTACTCTGCCCGGCCCTGCCCTGCCCTGGCTCTTATCCACCCACTTGCAGGCTGCCAGCTCACTCCAAGTCCCAACGCCTGCCAGAGAGGCGATGGGGGACTGGATCGGGGTGCTCTCCGAAACCACAGGCCCCTGAGCAGCGCAGGGCGTGCCCCCCGCAGCGGCCAGCACCCCAGGCCTGGCCTCGGAGCGCTGCTTTCCTGCACTCAAACTTCCCGAAATCTCTGAGGTGCAGAGGTGACTGCAGGCGGACCGCATCTCCCTCGCCCCCTCTCCTGGTTGGCGTGCCCTTCCCTCGCGCCGTGGCGCTCTGAGGGTTAACAAGCAGCTGCAGCCCGGGTGGGCAAGGCTTGAACTTTTCTCTGCGCTCCGCTCCCGCTCAGGGAAGGCAGCAGAGGCGGCAGCCCGGGATCTGGCCGGAGCTCCAGCTGGCTGGACAATAGGGGTGCGGGGGGCTGGGGCCTGCGCCCTGGCGGGGGACACGCTCCGGCCCTTTCGGGCCCGGGGTCTGGGAGCAAAAGGACCCCGATGCGGGTGCGGCCGGCGCCGGCGCCTTTGAGCGACAGCAGCAGCCGGGCTGAGGCTCTCTGCTGCCCCGAGGCGCCTTCCAGCGGGCAGCCGGGCTGTACCAGGGGGCCCGGGCGCCCTGGGAAGTCGGTGGTGCCTGCTCGGCCTCTCCAGCCCCGCATCCCGCAATCCGGACCCGAGCAGCGCTTCGGCCGCTGGGCGTTGGGCTGGGGAAAACCGCGGCTCGTTGGAGTCGCCTCTAACTGAGTCTTTCTCCAATGCACCGAGCCTCCGGAGGAGGGAACCAAAGTTACCCCACTTGATGTGGGCGAGAATGTCGCCCCTGCTAGCAAAAAAGGACTGGGAGCTCTCTCCTCCTCCCGTTAACGAACGTACACACACACACACACACACACACACACACACACACACACACACGCACGCCAGAGTGGGAGCCTGTGTGTGGGGGGTGCCTAGGATCTCTGGGCTCGGAATGACCTCCCTACCGAGCCCCGATCTGTCTTCGCCGCCGCGACCGGAGGCCCCGACCCCCCGAAAGCCCCCTCACCCTGCCCGTGCCGGGCGATCCGAATGCAGAAACGGGGCGCAGAGCGCGCCCGGCAGCCCCTCTTCCCTACCTGGGACAGGAGAACGCACAGAACGAGCGGAGTTCTCGGCTGCATTTTGTCCGACTAGAAGCGCCCGGCGGCGTTTTCATTCATGCACGCGGCTGCACTGAGCATATTTTCCGTGGGAGCCAGGCTTTGAGGAGAGGCTCTGCCTCGCCAGCCAGCCAACTTCCCAAATAGATCAGCAGCAGCATCACGAAAGCATTGGGTAGAGGCTGATGACCAGGACCAATGGCTTTACAAGACGGATTCCTTCCTAACGCTCCCTCGTTTTGCATGGCAGATACGGGGTGAGCACCTCGCGAGGAGCGAGCCCCGCGGAGGTGGCATCCCATTTGCTTCTTTGGACTGTTGGGGCTCAGCCTCACAAATCACGCTGGGCAATGCCAGCTGATTCCACTTTTCCAGAGAATGGAATTGCACGGGGGACTGGCGGCCACTTCCAGCCTAGTGCAAAAAGATTCTCTTTATTAAAATGTTAATAAGATCCACTCTATTTCCAATAAATCAGATAAAATGGCCCCAGCAGTTCCAGCCCTTTCTACGCCTGGCAAGGCTTGGCAGTGGATTTTTTTTTTCTTTTTTCCTTTTTTCCCCCCACTGTGGCCCAAGTCATGATGGTGTTTGGTGCTTCCCTGCCATCTCACAAATCACAAAGATGACAGATCAATTCGAGCTTGCAGAAAAAATTCCATTAAGGGGCAATAGATTTTATTAACTGCTCAGGTGAGAGTCTGACTAGCCACCTACTCCTCAAATGTGCATCTGGCACCAAAGCTGGGATCTGGATCGGAAGGAACTTCTTTTTGTATATGGATGTTACCTTTCAGAAGCTCTGAACTACCTCCAGGTACTCAGAACAGCAGTAGTCACTGCTTAAGGGATTTTATAAATGGGGGGCTTTGGGACTGAGGGTAAGAGGGACATCTAGGTCTGCCTTCCCTAATAGGAATCTAAGAAAATGCAGGGAAGACCTTACTGTATCATTTCCATGCAGCCTTCCCTTAGAAAGAATTTAAGGTGTTTTACAATAAAGGACATTTGTGCAATAGAATTTATGAACCAAAATAGAAAATCTGGGCCAGAAGGAAAAGTTCAGCAAACTGAAATGACAAGCCCAAATTCTAATGTATTTGCTCTGATTTGGATAAGAGCTTCCTGATAGCCAAAGCAATAAAAGAAACATAAGTTACATAGTTTTGTTGTAGAAACATGCATACAATGTCTTTCAGCATTATTTTCCATGGGCTAAATACCGGAATAAATGCATTATGTAACACGTAACATAGCAGGACACTGAGCAATGGACCATGCCAAGATCCAGTGGATGGGGATGTATTTCTAGCATCTGGCACAGGGCCTGGAACATGGAGACAGCAATTAGTGTGTGTTAAAGAAATAGATGGCTAGACTCAATCAAGATGCAGCAGAAGGCAGGGAGGGGCAAGGAGTCTGGAGCCACATTGTCTAGGCACAGCCCCCGGATCTGCCACTTACTTGTAAATTACTCAAACTCTCTGCCTCCATTTGTTCACAGATAAAATGAAAACACAAATTCTACTGAACTCACAAGGTTGTGGTGAGGATTAAGTGATGACATAACCACTGAATAAATATAAAGTGATGTGCCTTTTAAGATTCCTTCATTGGCTGCTGTTTGGTCAGAAGGTCACCTCCTGTGGTCCCAAGGTCATTGATAAAGATGCAGTGATGTCTGAAGCTTGGCTGCTGTAGCCAGCACTGGCCCAACAGATGGCAATGTTGGCAAAACAACCCCCAGATGAAACTGGGAAAGGTGAATCTTGCTGCTTCACCCACTCATTTCCTTGCCTAAATAGGGTCATCTGTCCCTGAGCCTCTGATCAATACGGTCCGACAGATGACGTCACAGATCATGACACTTTGGAATCCATGTGTGTGGAGATCTAGCCTCACGTTTCCCACAGGTGGGAGTAAACCAGAGAACTTTGGAGTCAAACAGGCTTCAAATCAAGGCATCCTGAAATATCCGGACTTTTCTCCACTCCAGGGAAGGTGCCATCTTGTAATTCAGGGCCAGCTAAACTGAGTCCATGGCTTAGCAACACAAAGATAGGGAAAGAGAGCAGAGGACAGCTTGGGAGGTGATAAACCACAGTGAGGGACTAGACTGCAGAAGATGAGGATCTAGCTAGGTTTCCATCTGCAGCAGCTCAGTTAAGGGAAGCAGTCCCTCAGAAGAGGGAGTTTTCAAGGCTGTGTTCTAAGGACAGTTCGGTGCTGTCAGTTTTACAGTTCTGCTGGCCTTCTGTGGTCTCCCCATTCCCTTGTCCTTAGTGCTGATGACCAAATATTTCCAATTTTTCCCCTTTTGGGATCATGGTGGGATTGCATTTACTGGCCCCCTTGTTGCTGGGGTGGGGCAGTGTGTGTACATCTAGCCAATGAGCCATGTGCAAAAGTGCCATGTCCCTTCAAGCCTGGAGCATTTAATTGCCAGTGTCAGGCAGATTGGTTTCCCTGGACGTGCTTTTTGCCCCAGTATTTCCCCAAGGAGGGGAAAAATCTTGGGTGAGACAGCTTGGTTTGGCCAAGGGCAATTCTCTGGTTTGTCCTCAAATTCATCAACTATATATAAAAGGAGGCCATTGGCAGTACGACCAGTAATGAGAGTCTGTGATGCCCAGGCCATAGAAGACCTCATGAGTCTGATGCTACCAATTAAGATGGATGTCGTTTGGTGAAAATCCTGCTGACTCTGTCCCCTGCAAAGTCCTGCTCAGGCATTTGCAAAGGTCCCAGGCTTTTTTCCTGGGCTGTTCTGCTGGCAGGCAGAGTGGCTCCAGTAAACCTTGCCTGATTCCAGGTGGGTGTGCCCAAAGGGCCAGTCTTCACTCCTTCCTCACCTCAATCCCCACAGATTGGCTTTTAAGGAATGAGAGGAGTTGTCTTCTGGAGTCTCCCTAGGCATTGAGGCTCACTTCTGTAATCCCACGAGGTTCAAAACATGCCAAGCCTACTAAGGTGGAAAAAGATTTGTCAGAAAGATTAGACCTGAACTGAGATCTTCAGATTCCACATATATGAGGCAAGTCAGTTTGGTACCCTAAGACTCAGTATGTCATCAATAAAATGCGAATGATAACATGATAACACTCCCAGGACTGTTGTAAATATTGATGTTTCTCTTCCCCTCTATCATCTATTCCTCTCGACTTTCAGAGAACGTGCACTTCAACAAAGAACAAGAGATCATATTTTGTCCAACAAAGACAGAAGAAAAATTATTTCATTCCAATGATAAAAGGCTTCTGAAGAAGAAATCCATTCTTCGTTTTGCTTTGCTTTTTATTCAGTTCCCTAATAAGGGTTTTTTGGCTGATTAATTGATTGATGTGGCAAATAAATACTAAAGTTGAGCCCTACGTATCCCCACTCCACCGCCTACCCCGTATCATCCCCCGACCAAGCCCCAGCTGCTGTAGCATCTGTGGGCTCCTCAAGAAGCTGTGTCTGCCTTTAGACACATTCGAGGTTCACACCCCTTTTCCAGACGCATCAGCCTAGCTTTGGCACGGAGGGAATAATCCAACAGCCAGTAGCTGCCTCCTGTGGGTGCCAAGGGTTGAGTTTGTTTCCTGTCCTTGGCTGATGTTGATGAAGGCATTCCACAGTGGGTGGATGTGGCTGTGTGAGTGCGTGCATGTTCCTGTGTGTATGCATATAAGCACATGGGTGTGTGTGTGCTGGGGGGAGGGAGTGACTGGCATATAGTCCGGCAGAGATAATGTATTCAAATTTTGTTATGCTTTCAATGTGCTGCTATGATGAGGCATTTGTATAGAGCGGGATTAATCCAGCTAGGAGCCCTTATGCAACAACCCAGTGATTAGGCGTGTCTGGGGACCTGGATAACAGAGACCCACTTGGACAGCATGCAGGGAAGCCTGTATCACACAGCACTGCAACATACCTTCATGCTAATGTCTCACTCCCTACAATGGGAACACCTGCTAAAAACACCCAAGATTAGGACAATGCACCGTCCTACAACAAGTCTCCCTGGCTACCAGAATGCTGACCAAAAGTAGCATTCCTGATCACTCTTAAGCCACAAACACTGCTTCGTGTTTCTTCCTGGCCCCCTATGTTACTTGACCTTCTGCTACGCATTGTTGCTTGCGTTGTCATCTCAATCCTTCACTCCAACCTGCATCTGTGCCCTTTGCCCCTTGGCCTTGGGTTTAGCCATGCAACTTCTGTGACAAATGAAATGAAGCAGAAGGGATGGGGTACCAGTTATAAGCTCAGGTCCCAAGAGACCCTCTGTGTTTTAGCTTACTCTCGCAAAAGCTCCTACTGATGCCTTGAAAAGAGCATTTGTGGGCTATCCCGCCGGTCCTAGGAGGAAATATGAGCCCCTCATGGGCCCACAGATGCTTGCCCAGCCAAATTTGCCCAGCTCAGCTGATCAGCAGGTATGTGACCTGAAAATAAACAATTGCTTTATATTTTGAGGTAATTTGTTTTGTAGCAATAATTAATGAGTGATTACATCTGTTGGCTTGTTGTCTGTCTCTTCCTCTGGAATGTAAGCTCATTTCTGTATTTTTACTGCTGCGTGCTCAGAACAGGGTCTGGAGCACGGCAGGTGCTTAGAAGACTTGGTTTGAGCGGGTGAATTAATTGGCTTTTGTGTTGAAAAATGTGTGATGCTGAGAGGCCCATCACATGTAGCTCCCTACGATGCAAGGTCTTCTCACAATAGTCCAGACCAGGACTAGACACAGTGAAGAACATGTGTGAGCCTGTGGGTGTCTGAAGATCTTTTGTGGAGGACACACAGGGTGTGATATCCTTCTGAATTTCCTCGATGTAGGCAGAGCCCACACATCTAAGAATAAGACAAAAAATACTCCTTCATCTTTTTAGGTTCTGCCCTAATACAGTGTCCTCTGTGAATATGTTTAATACAAGCATGACTTCCACACTAGCAATGGAGATGAAACCAGGGGTGACTTTTAGGCCATCTCAGTTAAATTGGCCCAATTGTCTTTAGTACTTCAGTCCCTCATGAGAAGCAAAACTGGGCATTCAGACACCAATTTTTATTCTCTGAACAAGAAGCAGTTAAAACCCCCCTCTAGGTGTCTCCCTTACCCAAAATTAGTGGCTGGGGTTATTTTTACACAGAGAATCATCTCAGTGCCAATTTAGTATGACAATGACGTTTACAGTGTGGCCCAAGACTGGCAGCATCAGTATCACCTGGAAACTTGTCAGCAATGAAAAATTCCCAGGCAGATCAGGCCCCTAGTTCTACTAGTTTGGAAATTCAGGGGTGGAGTCCAGCATTCTGTGTTTTACAAGCCCTTGGAATGTACACTTTGAAAACCAATGCTCCAGAGAGTTCTCCACTACTCACTCACAAATATTTATTTATTCATTTAAAAAGTATCCCTAAAGTGCCTATTGCATATTAGCCCCTGAGTTAAGCAACAGGGAAATAAATTATGATGCATGGTGTGTATGCTTAAGAAAATATGACTAATTGGGAGAAATTATGTTATAATGTGCTACAGGGGGTGCTGAAACACAGTCAAGGTAGCCAGAGGTATGAAGGATCAAGATGTGTTTAAGAAAACACGAGGGGGCCGGGTGCAGTGGCTCACGCCCGTAATCCCAACACTTTCGGAGGCTGAGGCGCGTGGATCATTTGAGTCCAGAAGTTCGGGACCAGCCTGGGCAACGTGGTGAAAACCCATCTCTCCAAAAATTACAAAAATTAGCTGGGCGTGGTGACACATGCCTGTGTTCCCAGCTACTCAGGAGGCCAAGGTGGGAGGATCACTTGAGTCCGGGAGGCAGAGGTTACAGTGAGCCAAGATTGTGCCATTGCACTCCAGCCTGGGTGACAGAGCAAGACCCTGTCTGAGGGAAAAAATAAATAAATAAAAAATAAAAAAGAAGAGACAAGGGATTCACTGCTGGTTTCTATTATGTGTCAAAAACCATCATGGGTCTCCACTTCGCAGATGTTGTATTTTTCATATCCATTGATGAGAAAAGAAATAACTGCAAAGGAAAGCTCATAATTCAACCCTTCCTTCTAGCAGAATTTGAAGTTCATTCTTTACAATCGCATCTAGGTGAAGGTCCAAAATGACAGTGCCTGTGTTTGTGTCAGGGGGTATTATTTATTCACTTGACAAGCAACGCTTACTGTGTATTTAGATAAGATCTCTTGCAATGACTTCACAGCCCTCCTGTCCCAATCTGCCCATCTCTGGTCCCCAAGTCAGGAATCATTGAGCTAGAACAAAGGGAAAGTGAAGAAAAAAAAGGCATTTGTGGAAGTGGCTGGTAACCAGAGGAATGGCAGAAGGCAAGGCTGGGCAGTTTAGGGGTTCAGATGAGAACCAGCTTAAGCATCAACCTTAGGGAGACTGAACTTTATCCTACTGCCAAGAGGGAATCATTTAAACTGCTTAAACAGAGGTTTAATATCTAATTTACAGTTTAGGAAGATCATTCCAGCCACATTGGAAGATGGGTTGAATTAAGGGCCAGAATAGAGGAAGAGAGACTTCTTAGCAGACTGTCGTACACAACATATAGAAGATAATGCGAGAAAGAACTCTTTTTATCAGGTTCCTAACTAGTGAGTGGTATAGGAATATGACATGGACATCTCTCCTGCTGCCCCACACAGTGTCTGGCATATAACATGAGCCTATGCAATAATAGATGAATGAAAACTTACTTATGAATATGGTAGATTTGCTTTGAGCCCTAATTCTTCACCTCTACCTGGATCTAATTCTTGCTTCATCAAAGGTGGAGTGAATATACTCCACTTTGACCTTGGGCTTGTCCGTTTGGCTTGCACTGGTGAATCAAATGAGATGGGGGTGGCAGTGTGCACTTCTAAGCATATGTCTTAAGAGCCCTTTGTTCTCTTATGCCACTGCCATTTCCATGAAAGGAACATTTCCTGTATGTCTTGCTGGTCCAAGAAAGTGAGAACCATGTGAAGCTGAGACACTCCATTCTATCTCAGACCTGCAGTGAGATCTGACTGCCCCAGCCTAGATCAGACCAGCAAAACCTCAGCCAATCCATTGGAATAAATCTTTACTGCCATATGACACAGAGATTGCTGTGGTTGTTTTATCCAGAAATAGATGACTTGTATATAAATAATACCCCTTCTTGGGACTATGTGTAGCTCAGGGAACGGGCAAAAAGCTGAATACTTAACATCTAACATAGATATTTACATAGGTATGGCCAACACTTAATGTCTATCACAAATTCAATTCCTTGATGATTCCTTGACTCACCAAATGGCCCTCTCCTTCCATCCATCTAATCCAAGCTGACTGTCACCTTACAAATCCCATTTCCTTCATCAACACTTACTACAAAGCTACTGAATCTCTCTCTGGTTGTTTTTCTTATGCCAACATGATTGTAAGGCCATCACTTAACAATCACTTGGGAAAATGTATTTACAATGCAATGCAGATTGGTGAATGTTTGCATTGGATAAATTTATTTACAATGTAATCCAAATCTGCCAATGCCTCTAGTAGATAAAACTGTGCTGCTCCTATAAAAAGCAACCCATCCGGTTAGTGGTTGCTATGGTCTTTTATGAATAGACCAAGGTCAGGACCACTATAATAAGTTGGGGAAAGTTAATCGGTGGAAGCAAGTTAAGCACAGAAAACTAGATTTTAATGATTCTGATTGTGTGACAGCTGTCAGAATTTAACCAAATGAGACCCAGAAAAGGCAAATCTAAGACTCTGTTGTTTTTTGAATCTGAGCTTCTGTGGATTTAAAATGACGGGCGTGCATTTTCCATTAGGTCGGGGATGATGTCTGTCCCTCTCTCTCGGATACTCATTGCCTGCACATTGCCTGGCACTGAGCAGATATTTAATAGACAGGAGTGGGATGCATCACTAAGAGAGTGCAGGTGCATCGTAGAGTTCTTCCTTAGCCCTGCAAGTCTGCTGTTTCGAATACTTACATTTACTGCAGCAAAACAAAATATCCAACAGTACATCTCTTGTACCTCAGCATCCATCTCCCAGAGCAGTGGTTCTCAAAGTGCAGTCCTCTTTTGCATCCCCATTCAGTCCCAACACTCCAAATGGACATAGAAATGGTCTCCGCTGGTCCTGTTTCCAATGCATAAAAGTTGAAAGTGAGTATGTTGACTCATTAAATTCTCTCCTAGCGCATGACAGAAAAGGGAAGCTCACCACGGCCCACAATGTCTTACAAAGTTCTCTCCTGTCTCCCTCTCCAAATTCATTCCATTTCCACTTCCCTCTTGCTCACTGCACTCTGCCCTTCTCTTGGCTATCAAATCTGTCAAGCTCTTCCCCACCCCTGCGCACATTCTAGTCTCTCCATCTGGAATGTTCCTTTTCCCAACTTCTAGGTCATTTTCATCCTCCCAGAATTTGTTTTGATGTCACCTCTTCAGAAGAGGTGCTGTCCCTCTCCAGTCACCCTTCATTGGCTTATGTCCTGGTTGTTTCCTTCGTGTCACTTCCTATCATTTGTCACCATTTTATTTGTTGTTAGCTTTTTATGTTTGTTTCCCTCACTAGAATATGAGTTCCATGATGGCAACTACATAGCTCTTAATTTATTATTGGACTCCACTACTTAGGACCATACCTGCTTCATGACAAGCACTTAATAATCTATTCCTTTTTTTGTTCTTTGAGATGGAGTTTCACTCTTGTTGCCCAGGCTGGAGTGCAATGGAGCGATCTCAGCTCACTGCAACCTCCACCACCCAGGTACAAGAATTCTCCCGTCTCAGCCTCCCAAGTAGCTTGGATTACTGGCATGTGCCACCACGCCCGGCTAATTTTTTTTGTATTTAGTAGAGATGGGGTTTCACCATTTTAGTCAGGCTGGTCATGAACTCTTGACCTCAGATGATCCACCTGCCTCAGCCTCCCAAAGTGATGGAATTACAGGCGTGCACCACCGTGCCTGGCCTAATCTATTTCTTAAGAAATAAATGAACAGATGGTCTTACAGCCAATGAGAGTGGATGGACCAGTGACTCTCTAAACGCATTAATCTCATCAGAAATACCAAGTGGCCCAACGCTTGATGATGGCAGGACACTGCCAAGGAACCTCTGTGCAAAAATATGGCCAGGAGTAAGCATGCATATTTATAAGGCTCATATTACATAAACCATAAGACCAAGGGCCCAGGGGCCCTGCAGGCAAGCCAAGTAGATTACAACCTATTCTCTTTGCCAAGACCAATCTCCTGTGGGCTGTGGGACATGGCCTAGGTGGACTGAGGACGCCACTGTCCCAAGGTGAATCTGGAGATACTGAGTTGAACCAGGGCACACCTGAACAAGACATGGTAGAGTATTTTCAACACTATTTTCTCTTACTTGACAGGTCAGGAATTCATCTAAAGCCTTTTCAGAGTGCCAGGTCCTTGTTCGTGTAATGAATCTATTGATTCACTTTTTCTCCCCAGGAGACTCCGAAGATCAGAGAGTGTCAAGAGAGAAGACAAAGAATTCTCGTTGCTTGTCATAGGGCTTCTGGGTGAAGAGACAGGTCTCAGCATATTCCCAGAAGATGTCCATGGCCCAGTTACTATTCTTTGGGGGTTAAATGGTTATTTATTCCAGAACTTACTTACTTCAGTACTCTCAGGTAACATTGCCTTGGATGCCCATAAACTGTCTCTCTCTTAACAAAGAAAGTAGACTATGACAACACCTTCTTCATTCATTCATTCATTCAGCAGTTGTTTTTATAAAAAGCAAGATATAGTAAAACAAAAAAAAAAAAGGAAAAAGAAAAGAAGTACATTTCTGGAATCAAACTAAATAATTGGTTTGTAGGTTGCCAGTCTCCCCAAACTCCTCAGTCTTATTTCCACATTGTTGCCAGGGCAATTTTTAATTCAACCAATAAATATCAAATGTCTACTATGATCCATGCATAATTTTACTCAGCAGTTAATAACAGCAAGTTTGTCCCTGGTCTTTGTGGTATCTATGTACAACCTTCAGTAGCCTCTCATTGCCCTTAGGTTAAAGTCCAAATCCCTAACTTGGCATTCGATGCCATGCATAAAGATCCTATATAGCTGTTTTTCTATGTTAATCTCCCACAACAAAGGTCAAGTACCAACCACAGAGAACATTCTCCCATTCATCCCACCTCAGGTGAGGCTACTTCATTTTCCTCAGGACCTTTGCACCTGCTGCTTCCTTGGAATTATCTGTATCACCTTTCTCCTCTGCAGGCCTAGGTCCACACAGTGGACCATAGCTCATCCAGGAAGTGCCACCTCCTCCAGGAATTTGCCCCTGATCTACCCAGCCTGGGTTAAATGCACTTACAACATGTTATTGTTCATTTACTGGAGTCCTTCACTGCACCATGAGCTGCCTGAGGTGAAGAAACAAGTCTGATTCTTATCTATGTCCTCAATAAGCCCAGTGGCAAGCACGCACAGCACTTCAAAATAGCACCTATGCATTAATAAATGCATGCATGAAAAGTAATCATGAGAGATGTGACATTTATTAAGTGTGAGACACTTTTCCAAGCACTTTACACTCATGCTTTTCTCATTGAATCATAACCAGCCCCATAGGAAATACGATTATCTCCTTTCACCAATAACCAGTGATAGGCAAACCTGCCCTGGGGTGAAGGAACCTACGTCATTGAGGACCAAGCATTGACCTGGGAGTCAGAGCGCCTGGATCCTGGACATGTTTCTGAGGCTTACTTTTGCTGCAGTGAAAACAGATCACTGTTTCTGAAGACTTGGTTTCCTTTCTTGCTAATAAGCACAGCCTTTGGAATCCAACAGCCTAGGTTTAAATTCCACTCTGTCACTTACTAGAGCCAGACTTGGGTGAGTTACTTAACTCATCACTGTTGAGCACTTGCCATCTGCCAAGTACTGTGCCACATGGTGGGAGTAACTACAGAAATAATAACAAACGTTAATTGAGAATTAATTGGGTTGATTATTTTATCTTAAAATTTACTATTATATTATTTTATTATTTATGTAAAATATCGTATTTTATCAATTATAATAATTATCATTTTAATTAACTAATAGCTAACAGTCATTGGTAATGTGTCAGCCACTGTTTTAAGCACTTGTTACATGTCAGATTGTTTACCACTTATGAAAATCTTAAGAGGCCAGTTCTATCACTATTCTCACCTTAAAATGAATAAACTGAGGCATAATTGCTAGTGGAAAAGGGGTGCGAATCCAGAGCTCCCAGCTCTAGAACACAAACACTTGACCAGCTTGCCATACTGCCTCTCTTCATCTGTCAATAGAAAGATGAACAGGCCATATCTCTAGCTTTGTAGAACTGCTAACTCCTGAATCTCAGATGCCCCTTCAATAAAAAGGGCTGGTGCCTATTTCTATTTCATAGACTGTTATACAAACTACATGGCTTGTTCATGTAAAACACATATTAGCCTGTATTATGACAGGGTTGAACTGGCTATTCTACAGATCCCTTTCAATCCTTATGTTTTATGGAATGTGCCAAAACTCAAGTACCTGTATTAGCTAGCAACGTAAGAAGTTCATAACTTAGGAGAAGAGAACGGCCACCAAGGATTTGGAATCAGCCCCTGGGTGGCAGAACTGGACACCTGCACAATTTATGGGACTGTTCACTGGACCCAATGTTTCTAAATATTTCAGACTCTGCCAATTCTGTGGAATCTAAGACAGGGTGTATACTAACAGTGGTAAACAATCACAAGATAGCAAAATTCTAGCTGATTCCAGGAAGTCACGACCAGAGAGTTACAGGCCTAGAGCCTGGCCACATGGAATGGAAAATCCAGGTTATCTAGTCTTAGTGAGATCCTTCATCTCTCAATCATATCAATCATAGTCAGATTCTTCACCATGGTCAAAAAGCCTTGGTGAGCACTCAGGTGTCATGAAAGAGGGGGTATACCACACAAAGCAATGATGTCGCTAACAAGTAACATGACTGAGCACTTTCATTGTGCCAGGCGGGGGCCTGGTATCATGCTCCTCTATCCTCAGAAAGCAGGTGCTACCATTTTTTTTTTTTTTTTTTTTTGAGACAGAGTCTCGCTCTGTCACCCAGGCTGGAGAGCAGTGGCGCGATCTCGGCTGACTGCAGCCTCAACCTCTTGGGCTCGAACAATCCTCCCATCTCAACCTCCCAAGTACTTGGGATAATAAGTGTATGCCACCATGCCCGGCTAATTTTTGTATTTTTTGTACAGACAGGGTCTCCTTATGTTACCCAGGCTGGTCCCTTGGGCTCAAGTGATCCTCCTGCCTCAGCCTCCCAAAGTGCTGGGATTACAAGAATGAGCCACCATGCCCCACCTACAATTAATATTATCATGCCACACTGCCACTATGCCCACAATATCTGAAAGGTTGGGCAGGGAGCCCATTATCACACAGAGCTGATCAAGAACACAAAGTACACAGGATAGTAATTCACATATTCTTTCATGTATTCATCCATTCAAACAAACTTTAAAAAATATCAGTTGGGTTCGAGCACTGTTCCAGGAAATAGAACAGGGAATATAGTAGCAAACAAAACAAATATCCCAGACAGCAAGTTTTCTGGTGAAACGCGGGCAGGAAAGGAGAAGAGTAGAACAATTAGATTTGGACAATTGCTAACGCTTAATCTGCGGTGGGCGTAACTGTAAGCGTTTTGTGTGTATGAACTCATGGAATCCTTCTAAGCCATCCGACAAAGTCAGTTCTATTATTAGGCTCACTTTGTATAGAGGAGACAATGAGGCACAGAGAGGTTTGATCCCTTGCCCAAGCTCACACAGCTCACAGAGGCAGAATCAGGATTTGACCCCAAGCAATCTGGTTCCTGAGGTTACACCCTTAGCCAACCAAGCTCCATAGAAGCCCAGGAACAGGATGGCTTAGCTGGCTTTTATTCAGGCCCCAGGGATTCCTCTTTGATGGTGTGGCAAGCCCCTTATCTTGTCTCTGCTCCCTTTTCCCTTTGCCTCTCTTTCTTCCTCCCAGCCTTCCTGCTTCATGCAGTTCCTCGACGCCCACGTGTCCTGCCCTCAGAGGCCACGCCCTGCAGAGCCGCCCTGCTCTTGGATCTTCACCTCCAGAGTGGGACACTACACACCAACCAACGTCCTCTTGCCACCACTGACATCTACCCTGTGTTAGGGTGCTAGGCTGAAAGTCTCCTATCCATCAGGGCTGAGAATGAGGATGAATGAAGGGCATTAGAGAGACAGAGACCCCCATCCCTCCACTGTCCCCATTAAGTTATATGACTTAAACATGTACACAGATGACACAGCTAAATGTAGGAAGAACTGAAGGAGCTGAGTTGGGATTTGAATTCAGGACTGTTTGGGCCCAAAGCTCTTAACCACTAGACTTCACCATTAATTTAAAAGAATAGCTCTGTGCCAGGCAGAAAATAGGTGCTAAGTTAAGTATTGGCTTAAAGAATGAGAAGCTGGATAAATCAGTGAAGAAAAGACCCACAGAAATGGGCAGGTGTACACAGGCATAAGAACTGAATAAAACACGAAAGGGGCATATGAATGGAAGTGTGTCAAGGACCAACACAATCTGGTGGATTCCCAGCTCTGGGAACACTCAGGACAAGACCCTTCGAAAGTCTGCAATATTGTCACCTTGCTTTTCAGCTGCAGTTTTTTAAGGGTCTCTTGCCGGTCTCATTTTTCTTTTACAAACAAGGACAAGCTGCTTTAGAGGACATCATTTGGAAAGGCACCTGTTCAAGCTGGGACCATTCCCTGGGGAAGGAAGAGTGTGCCCTCAGGAGAAGCAGCAGAAATGAGGAGGCGGTGGGAGAGGAGATTGTGCGGCTAATCCCTCACACCGTGACTTCACCAGCTTCTAATCGCCTAATAACAGGGCACATAATTGGCAGAAAAGATTGCCCTGCCCTTTTCACATGTGTCTGCAATTACTTTTCAAACTGGGGCGATAAGTGGCATGATTGGTTTCCTCATGCAGGCTTCAGCGCCTTGGAGACAGGAGGGCTTTCTTCTGAAGCTGTGGTTGGCGCTGTGTATCTCCCCATCACCAAGGAATAAATCTCTACCTCCTTGCTGTGGTCTGACCTCATCTCCTACCTCTCTGCCTTGCACACTCTGCTTCACACCGGCCTCTTCGCTGAGCCCATATCACTCCTGGCTTGTTCTTGTTGCCATCAGCCCTCCGTCTGCATCTCCCCATGTTTGCTTTAGGACTTGGCTCACGGGCCACCTCCTCAGAGAAATGTTCCGGGAACATCCTTCTTCAAAATATCCCTTTCTGACTCCCTAACCAACAGTCACATCTCTCATTCCTCCATATCATTCTCTTTATATCACGTATTGCAATATGATGCTCGGTCTTGCTTGTGTCTGTTTGTTTATTGTCTGTGTCCTAACTGGGATTGGAATTCCATGAAGAGACTTTCCCTGCTCATCAGTGCATTCCCAGTGTCCAGAAGAGAGCCTGCAATGGTGTAAATACTCAACAAATATTAGTCAATAAGTGGTTGCAGGCCCAATTATACTTGAACAGAGGGTAGATTCAACACTGCAACTGTTCCACATGCCACACAATGGGATTTCTGCTTTCTGAGTACAAGGAAAAGTACTGAGAACTGGCAGCTTGAACGCTGGAGGCGCCCGGCCCCAGGATTACATCCTGGTTCTGCTGTTTAGAAGCTTTGTGTCCCTGGACTACTCTTTTACCATCCTAAGCCCCAGTTTCATCATCAGTAAATTAGAGAGGGATATAGTAGCTCTCTCACTTGATTGTTGCCAGAATCCAATGAGACAGTGCTTGAACAGCACACGATCCCACAGCTGGCATATACATGATCATAGCTACTCAATAATGATAATAGATACTGGTGTTTCTGTTTGTATGATGAGTAAGCAAGGAGAAGGAACACATGTATTAGTTGAGAACCTGCCGCATGGCTGGTATCCCCCTAGGTATTCTTCCTCACAACAATATTTAAATAATTTTTTTAATTGTACATCTTCAAGTTACATAACTTGATGATTTGATGTATGTATTCATTGTGAAATAATCACCATGATTACAACAATTAACATACCCATCAGCTCTCATGGTTACATTGTGTGTGTATGTGTGTGCTAAGAACAACACATTTGAGCTCTCTGCTCCTAGCAGATTTCAAGTGTGAAACACTATTGTTAGCTACAGTCACCACGCTGTACATTAGATCTCCAAAACTTATTTATCCGGCATAGCTGAAACTCTGTGCTCCTTGAGCAACATTTCCCTGTATCCCTCTCCCTCCATCACCCCCTGGCAACCACCCTTCTACTCTCTGCTTCTATGAGTTTGACTATTGTACATTCCACATAGAAGGAAGATCATACAGTATTTGCCTCTCTCTGTCTCGCTTGTTTCACTGAGCACTTTTGGATATTTTTCCAAAGAAATTAAATTCAGTATCTCAAAGACTTATCTGTGTTGTTACGTTCATTGCGCCATTTTTCAGAATAGCCAAAGAATGGAAACAATCTAAGTGCTTCATTAATGAATGAAATGATAAAGAAGATGTATATACATCCATGTATGTAGAGTATGTATGTATGTATGCATAAGTGTGTATATGTATATATGCATATGTGTATATATGTATATGTGTGTATATATATGTATGTGTGTGTGTGTGTGTGTGTGTGTATATATATATATATATATGGGATGGAATACTATTCAGCCTGAAGAACAAAGGAAGTGTTACCATTTGGAACAACAGGGATGGAGCTCACAGGACCCTTCTGAAATAGGCATGGCGATGCCTGGTTTCCAGATGAGAAGACAGAGGTACCTCACTGGCTTGCTCAGCATCATGCAGTCCACAAGTGGCAGATTCAGACCTCAGTGTCGGGGTCTCTGTTTTCTCATCAAACCAGGTTGCTTCTCTTGAAAATGAAAACAGATCACAGAAAACAAACAGGACATGAATACAAGCAGCCCTTGGGCATGAAAAACTTAGTTTGAGACTCAGAGTTAAAATTTTCCCAGTTCTTTTTCCATGACAGCTCCAACGAAGAAGGATAACCCTCACCCTTGGGTCAAGTTGCCAGATACAATAAAGGATGTGCAGTTGAATTTGAATTTCAGATAAACAACAAACAATTTCCTGGTATTAAATATGTCACAACTATTAAATACTTATAATAACTTTCTTTTTTGCTAAATCAGACAACCTTAAAGCTTTGGATTTCTTATAGCCCACCGAAGTGTGTGTGGTTATAAGCTGGCCAGTGCTCCCCACCAGTGTGGAGGTTTGTAGTAGACATTTTGGAGTGTCTGCCTAGTACATGAACCTCCCATCTAATAATGACCCTTCCAACCCAGAGGAGAAGGCCCTGCCACCACTCTGTCCTAGCCTGCCTGCCTTGGAAGGATCCTGAACTGCTCTTGGCCAATCCAATTCTCTCTCTTGAGAATCTGAACCAAGAAATACGGAGAATGGAAGATGGCAGCTAAGCCAAACATCCAAAGCAAAATCCAATAAATTTCTTTCTTTTCTTTCTTTCTTTCCTTTTCTTTTTTCTTTTTTCTTTTCTTTTCTTTTCCTTTTCTTTTTTTTTCTTTTTTTCTTTTCTTTCTTTCTTTCTTTCACCCTTTTCTTTCTTCCTTCTTTTGTTTTTTGGGGGGGGTTATTTGTTTGGCTTTTGCTTGCTGGTTTGTTTCAAATCAGATTTTGGTTCTTGCAACCAAATCAGTCTTGTTTAGGCCATACCCTTCATGTATGTATTTCATGTGCCCATGAGAATCATAAAAATGACCCATATTTTTGAGTGCCTGGATGAAGACATTATTGCCTTTTCACAATTCTCTAACGTTATTTATTTTTTCAATTGGTTGCATTTTATTTTCAATCAGAAAAAGGAAAACACTATTAAGAGACCTAGGTTACTGGAAAGGTAAGCTGACTTAACGTCTTGAAAATAATAGTACTTCTAATTGTCATCAGCTTAGATGGGGACCTTTCTTTTCTTTTTGTTTTTTGTTTGTTTGTTTGTTTTTGTTTTTGAGATGGAGTATCTCTTTGTCACCCAGGCTGGAGTGCAATGGCACAATCTCGGTTCACTGCAACCTCTGCACCCTACCCCTGGGTTCAAGCGATTCTCCCACCTCAGCCTCCCGAGTAGCTGGGATTACAGGCATGCTCCATCATGCCCAGCTAATTTTTTTTTTTTTTTTTTTTTTTGTAGAGACAGGGTTTCACCATGTTGGCCAGGCTGGTCTTGAATTCCTGACCTCAAGTGATCCGCCTGCCTCAGCCTCCCAAAGTGCTAGGATTACAGGCGTGAGCCACCACGCCTGGCCTAGCTGGGCACCTTTCATCCAGTCATCCCGTATCGTTTGGACGACTCAGGCACATGTACTAGGACAGGGAAAAAAAAAAAAAAAACAGAAAAACCTGCCTTCTCCCAGGAAAACTGGAAATCCCACACTAGATTGCCTATGTACAGAAGGTGTGGAGCCCTCACTGCGAGAACCAGAATCCCTTGCATCCTGATATCTGTGGCCTCAACTTGACTCAGTCAATAGATTTTTTATATATCCCAGGAGTAGGCAAGCACTACCAGAGCCCTGTTACTGCCCAAGTTTCTGAGAATAGGACCAGAGAATCCCAGACTGGAGCAGGGAGTTGCTTATCCCAGTCATAGACTCTTAACAGTCCCTCTAAAAATATCTGAGCAGCCATGTTTGCAGCAACTGTCAAGCATCCTCACTTGGCTCTGAGCCCTGGCCCTGGCCACTCCGGCTCTGCCCTGCTCCTGATCCTTATGGTCTGGCTTTCATTTCTGGCCTCCTGCTGATGATAATCCACGGTCAGTTGAACTTCATCTCACGTATCCCAAAACTCAAAAATCTCAATTAATGAGAGAGTCAGAGTATTTTACTCTGCTGAAACCACACCATGACTGCTTTATAGATCTTCAGTGCTTTACTTCCTTGGACAAACACTACAACGCATTTGGAGATCCTATACGTTTTACTGAACAAATATTGCAACTTCTTTCAAAGATATGTTTTCTGTATGCTTTTCTAAAAGTCTGAATGAAGTTTGCTAATTTATGGCAAGGACCACCTTCCTCTCCCCCACTGCACATCACAATACTTCATCTTTCTCTTCCGAATGTCACAAGACCCCTTCATCCCCTGACAACCACAGGCCATGTTCACTGGGACTTTCTGTTGTATTCATGGATTCTTAAGCCTGTGACTTGATATGTTAAGGGGTGCAGTAGCTCCAGACCCCTGAGTGGTCAACACTTCCCTCCTTCCTGAGAAGCAGTTCTCATAAACTACAACGTTTTCTTAGAAAAATAAAATAAAAAGGCTTTTTTTCCTGCAAAAACTTTTACTCCATGGAGCAAAAGCAAAAACTGACTTCTCTAACTTGACCCTCAGCTCTCCCCGGCACAGAGCTTGTACCCACTATGTTAGTTATCTATCGCTACCCCAAAACTTGGTAGCTTAAAACAACAATAAACGTTTACTATCATTTAGAGTTTCAATGGGTCAGGAATTCAGGAGTGGCTTAGCTGGGCATTCCTGACTGGGGGGTGTCTATCAGCGGCAAGGACTTGGCCAGGATGGCAGCCACTTGAATGTTTGTCTTAGGAGGATCTTTCAGAGTAGCTGCCCACATGGCTGGCAAATTGGTGCTGGCTGTCTACAGGAGACCCCAGTTCTCCTTCACCTGGGCCTCTCCAGAAAGCTGCTTGAGGTTCCCCAGGTCATGGTCACCGGATGCCCTCAAACTAAGAGACCCAAGAGGCCAAGGTAGAAGCTGCCATGCCTTTTATGAAAGCCTGAGAGATTAACAAGCTGTAATCATGGCCATACTTGATAGTCTCTCTGAGTTACTTCATGAGCAGACTACACAAGGGCATGAACAGTAGGGGGCCAGGTTCACTGGGGGCCATTAGGGAGGCTGGTCCTCCCACACTAGCCCTCTGGCCCTTCCCTCCCCTCTCTGCTTCCGGTCACCACTTCACCAATCCCCGCTTAAGTTCCTGGAAACCCATATGGGATTGTCCACCTGGCTGGAGCCTCATCATGCCTGTTTAAGCCACTGACATTTTACATTATTAAAAAATATTAATTACAGAAAATTTCTTCCCTTATCTTAAATACAAAATGGAAAAATAGTGAGAGCCAAATTGGTACCAGCTCATAAGAGAAAAGATGCATGAGTTGACTGTAAGCTCCGCCAGCCCAATATAAAACACAGCTGGCAAAAAGAAATGGCCAGTGCAACTCGAGACGATATCAACAGGTACAAAGTGTGTTTTTCAAAGAAGGTGATCATCTTAGTGATGACTGAAATAGTTAAGGCGACTGGAACCTTGAGCTTAAATCTTTTATCATATCAAGAGGGACTTGGACAACCCTAAGTTCAGAGGTAAGGAAGAAGGGGTGAAATCCAAACTTAAAACATATGAAGGTCTGGGCACAGTGGCTCACATCTGTAATCTCAGCACTTTGGGAGGCCGAGGTGAGTGGATCACTTCAGCCCAGGAGTTTGAGACCAGCCTGGCCAACATGGCAAAACCTCATCTCTACTAAAAATACAAAAAAATTAGCTGGGTGTGGTGGTATGCACCTGTAATCCCAGCTACTCAGGAGGCTGAGGCAGGATAATCTCTTGAACCCGGGAGGTGGAGGTGGAAGTGAGCCGAGATCATGCCACTGCACTCCAGCCTGGGTAACAACAGAGCAAGACACTGTCTCCAAAATAAAATAAAATAAAATAAAACAAAATATATGAAGGATGCCCATTATCATGTCCAATGCACTGACCCTTTCTTTTTAATCATTGCATCCTCCCTTCCCTTCTTACCCAGCTTTTATCCCACTTGAAATTCCCTTCCCCATAGCCTCTCCCCTGGCCTATGGAAGCTTCCTAGTTTCACCCTCTTTTTTTTCTCAGTACCCCACGGTGGACCATCAGACTCATGGGTCACAGCAACGACAATGCTGCACACAGGCACAGCACTTTACAGTTTACCAAGTGCTTGCACATCTATTATCTCACCATCATTGGTGTAAGGCAGCTTAGCCTTGTCCTCTGGAGCCCCACAGGACAGAATCACAACCAATGGCAGGCACTTTCAGGAAGACAGTGGGAACTATGTATTTCTTTCTTTATCCAAGGAAGAATATCTTAACACATGGACTCATGCAACCTTGTGAAGCAGGAAGAACAAGCTTCTCTACCCAGAAGGAAACTGAGGCCCAGAAAGCTTCAGTCACATGATCACTGCCTCACAGTATGTTGGTGGCAAAGGCCAAACAAGGAACCCAGGTCCTGGGACTGGAGTCTGCTGCTCTTCCCCCCAAAGAAACTCCTTCATGGGGAGGCGGAGGAGACAGGAGGACCACAGAGAAAGTGCTTTGCCTGTCTTGGTGCAGAAGCTCAGGTGGTGGCACCCCTCGCCTGCTCCCAAGAGCTGAGGGAGATAATGGTTTGCTCTTATCAGTCCTCATTCATCTCCCCATCCCCCTGTGACACTCATTATTGAAAACACAGGCAGCAGGGAAGGGCAGGAGCTGGAATTGGAAGAATGCAGGGGCACCCTTTATAGCCCCTAGCGGCTTTCTTTTCCATTTATAATAAACTCTGTTAAAAGCCTGTGCCCGGGAGTGTAAAAAAGTGAAGTGGAAGGAACAAAGGCAAACATCTATTTTATTTGTGTAAGAAAGGCTCATGGGAGAAGCTGGCTTTAGCGTAACAACGCGCCTCTTGTCCGAGATGTTACAGGAGCGAGAAAATTCAAAAGAGCTTATGGAAAGACGTGGGATAAGTTGGAACCTTGGTAGCTTTAGGGAGCAGAATATGACAGACTCAACCCAGGTGAGGGGCCTAAAAGGGTAGAAAGGGTTTCAGAACTGGGCAGACAGAAGCACGGCCGCCTCACCCCCAGAGGCCCGGTCCAGGGGGAAGAGGGCTAAGGAGAGGTTGCCAGAGGAAGCAACCACCTGAATGTGGCCCTGAATTCATAATCCCCCAGTAAGGTGTGAAGTGGTTTTGTCCTTCCCGCTCCCATGACACGGAGTGGTAACTTCTCACATCTCAACACACAATCGCAGAGTACTCACCAGGTCCAGCAGTATAAAGGACTCTTCTAACAACACAGAGGAAGCAGCAGTAGGAAGATGGAGGAGTCCTCAGTCCCCAGGGCACCCATAGAAGAGGACCTCTGATGCTAAGGTGCCTACTTCTGCTCATTCCACTCCCTCTCTTCATGTCTGCAAAGAAGACCCAGGTCTCAACAGAGTTTCAGTTAGGATGAGTAAGTCAGTGCTTCCCCAAGTGTAATGAACAGCCTGGAAATCAGGGTGAAATGCAGGTTTTACTTTAGCAGGTCCAGAGTGGGGCCTGAGATTCTGAATTCCTAACAAGCTCCTAGGTGAGGCTGATGTTTCTGGTCCACGGACCATACTTTGAGTAGTAAGGCAATCAACTTCTGTTCTCCCTGCTGTAAAACAGATTTGATTAATAATGACTAATGTTTAGTAATGGTTAGTGATTAATATTTTTATAATACTGGTACCAGAAATGGGTCCCAATCTAGACCCCCAAGAGAGGGTTCTTGAATCTCATTCAAGAAAGAATTCGAGGTGAGTCCATACAGTAAAGTGAAAGCAAGTTTATTAGGAAAGTTAAGGAATAAAAGAACGGCTACTCCATACGCAGAGAAGCCCCGAGGGCTGCTGGTTGTCCATTTTTATGGTTCTTTCTTGATGGTATGCTAAACAAAGGGTGGATTATTCAAGCCTCCCCATTTTAGACTATATACGGTAACTTCCTGATGTTGCCATGGCATTCGTAAACTGTCATGGCGCTGGTGGGAGTGTAGCAGTGAAGACAACCAGAGGTCACTCTCGTTGCCATCTTGGTTTTGGTGGGTTTTAGCCACTTTCTTTACTGCATCCTGTTTATCAGCAATGTCTCTATAACCTGTATCTTGTACCAACCTCCTATGTCATCCTGTGACTAAGAATCCCTTAACTTACTGGGAATGCAGCTCAGCAGGTGTCAGCCTTATTTTACCTAGTCCCTATTCAAGATGGAGTTGCTATGGTTCAAACACATCTAACAATACCATCCTCACTCTCTCATCACCAGAAGTAACTAAAACACTGGTCCCAAAACTGAGGGGAAACTGTAAAATACCCTACATAGGTAGTTAATATTCCTGGGGTCCTCAGTGCACTGCCCAAACAGACTTGAAATCCAGAGAAATGTGCTGAAGAGACACAATGGCAGGGGGAAATGGTGGGCCACTGGAACACCTAGATGATGTTTCTCTCCATATACTGGAGGGGCAGATTTGGGAAAGAAATTCAATTCCACAATCCTGTGGAAATCCCTTTCTCCTTTTGCTTTTTTACTATAATTGTAATAGAAACAAAATTAATCATCTGTAGGGATTCACCAACTTTCTCCTTCCCCAACTCAGACAGAGCTTTCAGGTGCCAAAGATGATTGAACAGGGCTGCCCTGGGTGAGACAGGGCTAGGAGGAGTGTGAGACCACAGGCCATGTGAGAGATCCAGACACCAGAAGAAAAGACCGTCAAATTGACCATGGACCCTCAGAACAGAAGCTACCCCTTAACACCAATTCAGAGCATGCTGGCAGCTTCTTACTGCAGAAAACTGCAATAGATATTCTGCCTGATGGCATTCTCAGGCACAGAGAGCTCATTCCTTGGGTGCACAGAGCAGGCCAGAGGAGCCAGAGACTTGATGCCCCCAAAAGTAGCCATCAAACATTGACTGAAACATACGGTGCAGGCAAACTCCAGTTTTCTTGCCCTGCAGGTGAGACCACCAGAAGTGCAGTACTTAGGGCTCCAGGAGCCCCTCAGTTGCCCACAGAAGTAGCTGGTTTATTAACACACCCTCGATAACTTCCTTACCTTCCCTGTCGTATTAATTTCCTGTGGCTGCTGTAACAAATCCTCGTAAATGTGATGGCTTTAAGCAACAGAAATGTATTCCTTTGCAGTACTGGTGGCCAGAAGTCTGAGATCAGGATGTCAGCAGGGCTGTGCTCCCTCTGGAGGCTGGAGAGGAGAATCCTGCCAGCTCTGGCAGCTGTGGGGATTTCTTGATTTGCTTCTACACCACTGCAATCTCTGCCTCTCCCGTCACATGCCCTTCTTTTCTCCTGTGTCTCATCTCCCTTTTCCTCCTTCTTAGAAGGGTAAATGTGATTGTATTTAGGGCTCTCCCAGATAATCCAGATCATCTCCCCAACCTAAGAGCCTAATGTTATTATATCTGCAAAGATTTTGCAATAAAATGTAACACTCATAGGTTGCAGAGATTAGGACAGAGACGTCTTTTGGTGCCATTTTTTAGCCTACCACATCTGCATCACTCTCCTACTTCCCTACTGGAGCTTCCTGGGATTATTTCCCAAACAAATTCTTTGCACTCAAATCCTAGTCTCGGGGTTGGCTTCTGGGGAAACCAAATCAAGACAACCCCCCTCAGTTGCTTAAGAACATGAAGAGAGACTGGAATTGCCACCGTACTAGACTTTGAAAAATACACACTCGCCATGGGATTAGACCACATGGTCCAGGGCTTTCTCAGTGCCACACAATGAAAGAGAGACTCCTCACAGCAGAGGCGGGGTCTGCTGGCTCCCCTGCATGCTCTGGCCCTCCAACCTTCTCAGCATCCGAGCGGTCCTGAGGGTCTCCTCACTGTCTTGGTGTTCAGTCTTCTCTCTTTGCCACCTCCTTCTCCAGCAACCCACTCTCCTGCCTTTCCCATCTTAGACAGGAGGTGCCACCTGCAGATAGGAAGCAAAGGCAAACCAGGATTGAGGTCCAAGGGGCCAGGTGACAGCCCACTTCACTGGGAAAAACACAGCAACCTTACTTTTTTGCCCTTCCCTTGCCCTTCTCTCACTGAGAGAAATAAGGTAGAGAAGCTCAAAGGATCAATCTGGCCTCTCCCTTCTGAAGCCTTAAAGTATGACCCCACAGGGGATATCAACAGGGTTCTCTATTATTTTCCTCCAGAGCCCTCACATTTTCTTGAAAAACATTGTGAACCAAACAAGGCTTGCTTAGGAGGTAAGGCCTGGAAGGGCATCATAAAAGCTGCTGTTCTGCAAAGCACCTTCTCTGCCTGTCACATCCTTGGGGAGTAGTTTTATTTCTAAAGGCCCCATTATACACATAAGGAAACTGAGTCGTGTAGAAATTAGGAAATGAATTCATAGTCTTGCAATTAGGAAGTGAGGGAGCAAACATTCCAAGCAAGTGGTTGCGCTTCTGACCGCTGTTCCACACACTGCCCACATCGCAGGGTCAGCTCTAGGCTCAGGCTGTGGCTGCTCGGGACTGCCCAGGGCTCCAAGCTCAGCTCCACACCCACTACCAATCCCCACGTACTCACCCCAAGTCACCTCCCAGTGCCTCACTGGTTCTCTGAGCTGCCTCTGACTGTTTCCTGGAAATTGACATCAAGGTTGACTGATAGGGACAAGAGCTCAGCCTTGGCCAGAAGGAAAAAGAGGAGGCCTGACTGTAGCAAGGGAGTGTCTCTGACTCTCTTGGAGGGAGTCTGCCAGCAGGCACCTTATTATGCTGTGAGAGTACGCACAGGCCCCCCTCTGGCCCATTCATCGTTGTTCCGCAAAGTCCATTGCTTTGATGCAGTAGCCTTGAAGGTGGTTTTTCCTGCTGCTCCTGGCTTCAGCAATCTAGAAAGCGGGGCAATGGGTAATCAGTCTCACCGTCACTAGGCTGAATGGGAGAAATGCTCCTGTGGACATGGCCTCCCAGTGTGGGTGAGCAAAAGGGCAGGCTGAGGTTTTTAAATGAAAAGGCTGGCTTGTGAAAGCCTGTCTCCAAACAGAGGCAGCGTGAAGATGAATGGTGTAGCTGCCTGGAGCCCAGACAGTGTCCTTCTGCTCAGACTTTGTCAGAATCAGGGATGGGCTAGGGATAGGCTGTGCATGGAGAGCTCAGTCACTCTGGATGGCAAGAGAGTAGGCACTGGTTTCCAGAGATACCCATGAGAGGCTGCCTGGAGAAAGTTCTGCCACAGGTAGGACTAACCATCAACAGGAACCCAGCACAGTCGTTAGCACACAAACTCCAGAGTCCGGTAACCTGGGCTTCATTCCTGACTTCCCTAGTTTTCTAGCTGTATGATTTTGGCCATATTACTTGGCTACTCTGAACCCAAATTTCCTAAACAGTGAAAAAGACAAAATAAACATCACTGGATTTTTGAGGTTCACAAGGTATAATCCACATGCATAAAGCGTGCAGGACATAATAAGTCTTTGATAACTATTAGCTGTCATCAGCCTTATCATGGACAGAATATAGGGCTCACTCATAAGGATACTCTGGTCAGCCTTAAAGACGAGAAAGACATATTTGGGTCCTCAAATCATCACCATGTCCAAGCAAAGGCCCTGGAGGCATGGGAAGGTGAGAGAGTTTTATTATGAGACTAAAAAAATAATTAAGTGCTTTTAATCAGCATAGCACTAACTGCTCGAACAAACCAACCCCCAAATTCCAGTGGCTTAACAAAATATAAGTTATTTTTTACTCGTGTAACCGACCAGGTGTTCCCGGTTGGTAGGCAGCTTGGCTCATCTTTAACCCATGGCCCCAGCCCCACCCTGCTCGTTAGGACAATGAGCTGGTAGAAAGGGAGAGAGTGTTGAGGAGAGAGTGTGGGAGGTATGCATCAGCCAGGCCTGGGAATGGAGCGAATCCCATCAGCCCTCATTCCATTGGTCAGAACTCAGTCACATGACCTCATTGAGCTGCAGGGGAGGCTGGGAAATATCTTAGGGAGCATTTGGAGAAAAAGGAAGTGAGTTTGATGGACACATTTGATGAACAGAAATGTACAATTAGAGTATCACTTCTCAAGAGGCCAGGCCCACTGCTGGAGCCTTGTCATCCAGGTTAGTAAGGGATTCGGTGTGGGCAGGCACTACTGAGCCTCCATATCTTAAAATTTATCAGAGTCATGTGGCCCCTAGTTGATCCTTTCCTTTTTTGACCTCCCTTCGGATTCTGAGCCCATGCACATGGCAGGACAAATGTGGGACATGTCCTCTCCTGAAAGAGTAGCAATTACAGACATGACATCAAAGAGAAGTGAGAGAAGCTGACCTCTGTTTTTCTTGAGGATGAAAAGAAAAAGAGGGACCCAGTGCCGAAAACCAAGCTTTAAGAAACTAGTTGATACAAGAGACCATATTCTTTCATTTGAGTCCATGAGGTGACACATGCCCAGTCTTAGTTGGTTTTCCATTGCTATAAAAGAAGACCACAGACTGCATAATTTGCAAATAATAGAAGTTTATTTGGCTCATGGTTCTGGGTGCTGGGAAGTTCAAGAGCATTGCAGTGGCATCTGGTGAGGGTCATATCATGGCAGAAGGGCCGACGCAAGTATGCAAGACAAGATACGGGAGGAACTTGTATCACTCCTGTGATAACTAAGCCACTCCAAGGTAAGAGCATTAATCCACTGGTGAGGGCAGAACCCTCAAGAGCTAATCACCTCTTAAAATCCCAACCTCTTAATACTGTTACAATGGTAATTAAGTTTCAACGTGAATTTTGGAGGGGACATTCAAACCATTGCAAGTCCACATTATTTTGGGCAAGCTGACCAAACCAGACTCACTGAGATTATACTGACACTGGACTCTCAGTCATCTTGGTAGCTGGGAAAATGTGAGTCAATCCTTGAACAACAGATTATGTTTGCCACATTGTCACAGCTTGAAGCCAGAAGATGGTCATGGTATGGTCTCCCAAGAACAAGGCTTGGGTTTTAATGAACAGTTCACTGATTTTTGGAAAGAGAAAAGATTCAAAACTGTGTCATGTAATCCAGTCACAAGCTATCATCCAATTATCTGATGGTCATTTTAATCAACTTTCAACAGGTCACTATGTGGTCACTGACATCCAGGCATTCACTGAATGATAGGAGAGTCATTCTGGCTCTTTCATGAGAATAGCTATATTTGATGACCAAGTACATGGACATGCAACAGATAGCCTTGTGAATAACAATTTCATTGTTAATATAGTATGTTTTCTCTGAGTTTCAACTGTGAACTATTATACAGACATGGCATTGATCTCAATGTGTTTCAATTTGCACATCTAAAAAACAGAAATTTAATGTTACTCCCCATACAGATTAGCTTATTATTTAATAAATATTCACTCTCTTTCCCTAAACTTTATGGGAGCAGTGCACTTCCCTGTCACGCAATATTAGACTTGACCATGTAACTTGCTTGGGCCATTGGAATCTGGATATAAGTGACAGTACACCACTTCTGATCCTAGGTCCTGAGAAACATTGTGTAATTCCACTCACCCCTGTAAGGGCTTCCAACCTCCACCATAAGAAGGCCTTCCCTCTGCCCTAGATAAATGCTGCCCCTTCACCGTGGCCCCAGTAATGAAAATGTGTAGAACAGAGCCACTGATCCAACACCAGCTACCTCACAGCTGTATAAGCAAGAAATACTTATTGTTATATTCTGCTGAGTTTGGGGATGGCTTGTTATACAGCATTACGGTGGAAAAGGCTAACTGATACATTCTGCATATGGCGAGAATATAGCAGCATGGTCATTTTGTAATAGAAGACAACTTACATAATCAAGGCAATGATCGTGAGTTTCTTAAAAGCCCTAAGGTTGGACCGTGTCTTTGAACATGAGCTCTTCTCTATTGTCAGATCAGTTCTGTGGGTCAGGTACCAAGGAACTTGTTTTCCTTCCAGCAGGCAGTTTTGCATATGGCTCTGTCTTCATTTGCCGGACAAGCAAAGTCAGAACTCAGAGCTAATTCTGTTCTTCATTTGGAAAGTTTATCATTTTATTTTATATCTCCAAAGTCAGGTTGGCCACACAAATCCTGTTTTTGAGAGTGCAAATTTTCTCCTTTCCAAGGAAGGCAGAGATAACGACTCTAGCACAGATGGAGGAGATTTCTTCAGGGAAGGAAAGCAGCATTTAGGTTGGTTAATGCCTTCCCTGGTGAGCCATTGTATTCTTGTTTGGGGTTTCCCCGCCCTCAATTTGGAAACAGCAAGGCTCTTCATTGGAGATTTATGACATGGAAACAGTCAACAAGAGCACATGAATCAATCTGGGAAGCCATCTTGCCCTCCACATAGTACACTTCCTTCTGCTTCCCCCAAGTATTAACCCTTTTCTTGCAATCATTATTTATCTGATGAACCATATTAAAGCAGTTTCATGGGTATATTTAGACAAAGGTTATCACAGTACACGGGTTAATATGATTGCTGCCTTGCTCAAATATGTGGTTTTATTTATGATCTATTTTACAAAACATCATATATTTCTATTATGAATATGTGCTAGGGAATATCACCTTGGGTCCAGTCATATTCTACATTGCAGAGGGAAGTGGGTAACTCTGAAATCTCCTTAGTTGTTTATTCTTCACACCAATATTCTAGAACTCTTCTCTAGCCTGGGTTCCAAACAAGGAGTATTGTTAATGTTGGGAAGATCTACGTGGAATGCTGCCACTTCCCCTCTCCAGCCTGTGCTCTCCCCAATCCACATACCTTTCCTAGGTGATTTCATCAATTTCCATGGCTCGCTTATAGTTCGACCTCCAGCCAGAACACACCCCTGAGCTCCAAATTCACAAAAAACAACAGGATACTTGACATCTCCATTTTGATCACTTATAGACATTTCAAACATACTATATCCAAATGGAATTCTTAATCCACTCTCTCCACCCACATACAAACACCACATCTCCAAATATGATTTTCTTCCAAACTTCCCTACTTTCAGTAAATGACATTTTTATCCTTTAAGGCGATTAAGTCAAGAGTCTGGAGTCATCCATGCCCCTCTGAGCCCTGATAACTAATGTCTTACATACTGAGTCCTATGGAGTCTATTTTCAAAACACATGTAGAGTTCATTCACTTTTCTCCACCATCACCACTCCAGCCAAGCACCATTAACTCTTCAATGGGCTTTTACAAACTCTTCTACTTGGTCTTCCTCTTCTTATTCTCCCCATAGTCACCCAGTTATGTGTGTGTTTTTTTAATGTGAGTCGGTCTCTATCATAATTATCTTCAAAACTTTCCAGTGACTTCCTCTTGTAAAAAAAAAAAAAGTCACAGATTTAGTGGCTTAAATCAACAAAAGCTGATTATTTTACAGCTCTGGAGGTCAGAAGTTTGACATGCATCTTCTGAGCTAAAACCAAGGTATCAGGAGGTCTGGCTCCTTCCTGGGAGCTCCAGTTGGGGGATCAGTTCCTTTCCTTTCCCACCTTCTGGAGGCTGCCTGCATTCTTTGGCTCATGGCCCCATATCACTCCAACCTCCGCTTCTGTTGTCCTATCTTCTCCCTCACTCTGACTCTCCCACCTCTCCCTTATAAGGAAATTTCCCACGACATAGGGATCACCCTATGCCTAAGGACGTTTCAAGATCCTTAACTCAATCACATCTTCAAAGTCCCTTTTGCCGTATAACATATTCACAGGTTTTGGGGATTAGGATATGGGGACCTAAATGGGGACCATTATTTCATCTATCACATTTCCTATCTCACTTAGGACAAAATTAAGTTGTTTTCTTGGCCTATAAGACCCAACATAATCAGAGACCTTCTACCTCTCAAATTGCATGCCCTGGACTCGCTCCCTTATCCAGTCAAACTCCAACTGGTTTTCTCACCATGCCTCAAACATGTCAGTCCTGCTCTATCTGCTGTAGCTAGGAAGCTCTCCCAAAATACTCACACTTCCTCATGTAATCCAGGTCTCTGCTTAAATGCAACTTATGGAAAGGGCTTCCCTGACCAACTGTCTAATATAGAATCCCCAACCATACATGCACAAACACACACACACTCACATACATATACACACGCATGTGCACACATACCCCACAAATACCCCATATATGAACATACACACCACACAAACACATACCCCATCATTGTCCTCACCTAATCTTATTTTTCTTCTTTGCAGCTCATATAGTATTTATTTGTTTGATTCTTTATTTATTATTAAGTTCTTTCTTCCATGTGTAAGCTCCGTGAGAGCAGGGACTTTGCTTTTGTTCACTGCTCTTCATACAGCCCCTCAACAGTGCCTGGTGCACAGGAAGCCTTCAGTACACATGTAGTGAAAAAAAAAATGAAAGAATAATAGAATTTTATAGGTGCAGTGGGTTATATACAAGGGGTTTAGCTAACTATAATTGTTTAGAGTAAGATTTAATAGAGAAGGGAAAAGCTAGGCAAAATTTTGAGGGATAAATAGACATCCAGCAAGTGAACAAAACACTTATCAACCCTCCCAGGGTTGATACTCCCTCGGTGAAAGGAGAACATTGAATTTGTGGACCAAGAAGCCTGAAAACTCTTTTACCTCAAGGAAAGGAACCAAAGGGCTTCTTCTCTTGGGCCACATCTCTTGCTCAGATGTTCATTGGTTAATAACTGTTTTTTTTCAGTTCACCCAGGGCTGCATGCCAGTGCCAACCAAGGCAGGCAAATGAACTCAAGTGTAATTGGGGAAAAATATCCATACTGAGTGAGGCGCCAGGGCCTTTCTGGTGGGAGATTTTGAGAAATGGTAAAATGGAGTTTAGCTAGGCTGCATCTTGGGAATGCAGAATCTGTCATTTTCCACTGAATCACATACTGTTTAAGTCCCTATAATGTGCCACATATCCAGAGTGCAATTTTGGCCATTCCCCTGAGGTGCCTATGGTCTAGTGACCCTCTTCATGCTAGTTCTCTGCCCAGGGTGAGGGTCACGGGAGTTAAGATCTCATTCCTCCTGGAAAGGGAGGGCAAGCTCAGCCAGCTGGACTTCAGTTCGAAGTTAGACAAGGTAACTGAATATGGTAACGGGACAGTCTACAGAATGGGGGATTGTGTCTATATTGATTACATTAAAGATCCTACTTTTCCATGCCTTCCTGATTTTTTGGTAGTGTCCTCACACTGATTCTTGTGGCGTGCCTTGGCCAACTGGATCAGAGATTCGATAAAGTACCTGAGCAATCTGTTTCTCTCTTGGACCTGGTGCCACAGCTGTGAGACCATGCCCAGGTTTGCCTATAGGAGGAGGTAAGAAATACATGAGGGAAAGCTAATGTGTCCCAATAAAGATCATCCATCCTTAAACAACTGCCCCAAGCAGTTCTGCTAACTGACCACAGATATATTAATGTACCCAGCCCAGATCATCGGAGCCTCAACCAGATCAACGGAACTATCCGGTTGTCAGTTACTCATGAGAAATGGTAAACAGTTGTTGCTTAAGCCACTAAATTTGGGAGTGGTTTGCTATACAGCAATAGCCACCTGATACAGGGTAAAGACAGACAGATTGTCCTGTGAAGGGGCCAACACAGAGAAGTATGGTTTGGTTAATTATAACTGTTTAAAGTAAGACTTAATAAAGAAGGGAAAAGCTAGGCAAAATTGTGAGGGATAAATAGACATTGAGCAAGTGAACAAAACACTTATCAATCCTCCCCATGGTTGATACTCCCTCCATGAAAGAAAAACATTGAATTTGCGAACCAAGAAGGCTGAAAACCCTTTCACCTCAAGGCAAATAACCAAAGAGCTTCCGCTCATGGCCCATGTCTCTTGCTCAGATATGCTTGCTGGTTAATCACTTTTTTTCAGTTCATCCAGGGCCACTTGTCAGTGTCAACCAAGGCAGGCAAATGAACTCTGGTGCAATTGGGGAACAATACACCAGAGTTCATTTGCCACTGTGTCCCACGGCTAGGTTGCTGACTGCTGGCCCACTGGACAGAGTTCCCTGGCCACAGGTTCACATCTAAGACCTTCAAAAGGCAGGATGTGCCACTTGCCTGAGGGTGGTTGGCTTAGTTGTTGTGGTAGTTCTGCCCCCACTGTTCGGACTGGTCAGCCATATTATTTTAGGCATCTAGAAAAACAAGTCTGGGCTGATGCTGGCGGCCTGTGAGAGGCTCAGGAAAAGAGAACAGAACAAAAAGAAGTTCTCTCTCTACCCATAAGGAAGGATGCTCCTTAGAAATCAATGGCAGGGTGTGATGCTTAAGTCACCCTCCCCTGAAGACTCAGCTGCTACCCAGACATGACCTTGAAGAAGCAACATCTACAGCAAAACAAGCACAATTTCAGCGATTCCCACGACAGTTTTACCAATGTTTGATGGACACAGATAGATATTCCTCAGACAGCAGAGATTTCTCTCTCAGACTCGCCCTCTCCTTGGAAGAGAATCAGCTGGACAGAATTTTTTTTTCCCAAATGTAAAACATCGTTTCCCAACAAAAGAAGTGAGATGTTTTCTACAGCTGCTCCACATCCATTATGCGTTTGCAGAAGCATTGTTTGTGAGGTTTTTATGATGCAAAAAAATAATTAAGATGAGAGGCACTTCTTGTCTCTGAATCTTTTTTGTTTAAACATGTTTTGCAAATGGCCAATATCTCCTGTTACTTAGGTTACCTTCCAGAAAATGTTAGCACTTGATTATAAAATCAGCAGCTAATGTGCTTAATGACATTCCATTATACCCAACAATAGCTGCAGTGTGTTTTAAAAATTCATTTGCATTCATACTTCTTCAACCTATCCATCAAAACATTTAGACAACCGTGCTCTAACCGTTTACTAATAATTGCCCTGGTTAACCTGGGGGCCTTCCGTGTGGTGTACCCAGAGAGGGAAGAAAGTGCTTTCTGGAGGGAAGAGCAGGACTTGGCTCACAACCCAGCTTTGTCTTTCAAGAGCCCAGAGCCTATGTGTTTAATATTTAATAGGATGCTGGGCTCCCCACGAGCTAGTGAACCTCATGTCTCAATGGGGAAGGTCACAGGGAAAAGGGCCAGGATTGGTGCTGAGGGGAGCCCAGTAAAGAGGAATGGAAGATCTGGATGTTGACGGGTGCCTGGGGGCAGAAAACAGAGGAATGAATTCTATTTCCCCAAAATTCACATGCTGATGTCCTCACCACCAGTACCTCAGAGTGTGGCTGCATTTGGAAATAGGGGCAGGAGAGAGGTAATCAACAAAAAATTAAGTCATATGTGCAAGTCCAAATTTAGTATGACTGTAGTATGACTGCTGCCTCTCCTTATAAGAAGAGGAAATTTGGACACAGACATCTACAGAGGAAGAGCACACGATGACATGAGGAGCAGTGGCCAGCTATCTGCAGGCTAAAGACAGAGGCCTAAGAAGAAATCAACCCTACCAACACTTTGATCTTGGACTCCTGGCCTCCAGAACCATGAGAACATAAATTTCTGTTGTTTAAGCCACCCAGTACTTTGTTATGGTAGCCCTAGCAAACGAACACAGGCAGACTCTTATAACACCCACATCACAGTCCAGACGCTGAGTGGTTTCTGATGGTTTTCAATACCTGTATTCACCAGTGTGTTTCCTTTATAAGCTTCGCTACCCATTTCCATAAAACAAGCTACATGCAATGGGGATTCAAGCTCTCCTTAGAACCACTAGCCCCATCCCATCCCTCACATCACAGTCCGTCCTGTCTTCCGTGCCCCTGGCTCCTCCCAGGACTGGCCACTTATGTCCTCTCCTGCCTTGTCTTCCAGACCTGTTGCTCTGTACTCAGCTAGTTTGTGGCTGTACCTTTCCTCTCTTGCCATAATTCCATAATCGCTTTTTGGGCTTTCCTTCCTCACACCATATGTCCTGTTTGTTCCAAACTTGGCCTTTCCCATTCCAGGGCAGGCCCATCAGCAACGTTGCAGACACTCAAGCACAAGCAAAGTAAGTTTTGTTCTAGCACAGGGCTTCTCAAACTTTAATGTGCATGAGACACCTGGGGATTGTGTTAATCTTGTCAAAATGCCAATTATGATTCAAGGAGGCCTGACTGCAGCCTGGGATTCTGCATTTCCAAAAAGGTTGTAGGTGTCTCTGAGGCTGCAGGTATAAGGATCACCTTTGAATACCTCTAGCTTATGGCTTCCCAACCTTAGCACTATTGGCCTTTGGGGCCAGATAATTCTCTGTGTTAGGGGCTGTCCTGAGTATCGTAGGATGTTTAGCAGCATTCCTGCCCTCAACCCACTGGATGCCAGTAGCACCTCCAGTTGTGACAACCAAAAATGTCTCCAAGTATTGCCAAATATCTCCAAGCGGGAGGTAAGGGGGAAATGGCTTCTCAAACCTCTATGCATAATTTCTAGTGTTACTTCCTGAAGTCTTCTGACCATAGTGTCTATTGAAAAGGAAAACCAACAAAGAAAGCATCCATGATGTACCAGGTAACTGAGGAGGTAGCTTGCTGCAGAAAATGACCACTCCAGGGACTTCAGTGTCCCAGACCCATGATGGCTACGAGGAGCAACTACTTGATTTGTGGGCCCCAGTGCAAAATGAAACTGTGGGGCTTCTTATTCATAAATTATTAAGAAATTCAGGATAGCAACAGCAGAGCATTAAACCAAACGCTGTGTGACTATATAGGTCACACATATATAGGTGGCACATTCATAAAACTGGCCCTGCTGGCCATCCTGAAGGCCAACGGAGGGATTCATACTCATCACCTCCGCTGGGTGGGATGATCTCCCACAAAGCAATCTCTCTCCCAGTAGTGTTAAGATCACCAGTAGCCTGGTGCAAGTTTGATGAGCTGAACATTAGAAGAGCAGCTGTTTTAAACCTATTCTGTTTTGTTCAATTTGTGGTTCAATATATTTCCCACCAAGAAGGTGGAGGACTTGACTCCTTTGTAAAAGCCCCAATTGGTAGGAAAGGGCCAAAGAAGGCTATAAAGATGCTGAAAATGCTCACTCTTAGCAAAGCTATTTGATACAATGACAGAGGGGCCAGTGTGGGTGAACTGAGAATTGAATTCATTGACATATTGTGGTAAAAGTTTCCCAAGTCAATTTCTCCTGAATAAGAGGAGACTTTCCATGTATTCTCATTGTTTAGCTTCCACTTATATGTGAGAACATGCAGTATTTGTTTTCTGCACATGTACCCATGAGCCTTAAATTAAAGAAAAAAAAGAGAAGGAGACTGTCGTGGAGAACTCAGGCTACCAGCATAAGTAGAAAGCCTTCATTATCTCTTCTCACTTTGCTTTAACCAAGATGTATGGAAATCAGAGCCAGGATTTAGACTAAGGGGCAGCCAAAGAAGGACGCAGAAAAGCCAGGTGCAAATATTTTCTCCCATTCTACAGGTTGTCTGTTTAGTCTGCTGATAGATTCTTTTGCTGTGCAGAAGCTCTTTGGTTTAATTAGATCCCATTGGTTGATTTTTGCATTTGTTGCAACTGGTTTTGGCATCTTCGTCATGAAATCTTTGCTAGATCCTATGTCCAAAATGGTATTGCCAGATTGTCTTCCAGGGATTTTATAGTTTTGGGTTTACATTTAAGTCTTTAATACATTCTGAGTTGGTTTTCGTATACAGTGTAAGGAAGAAGTCTAGTTTCAATCTTTTGCATATGGCTAGCCAGTTATCCCAGCACCATTTATTGAATAGGGAGTTCTTTCCCCATTACTTGTTTTTGTCAACTTTGTCAAAGATTAGATGGCTGTAAGTGTGCAGACTTGTTTTTAGGCTCTCTACTCTGTTCTGCTGGTCTATGTGTCTGTTTCTCTACCAGTACCATGCTGTTTTGAAAACTATGCCTCTGACAAAGGTCTAATATCCAGCGTCCATAAGAAACTTCAATTGATTTATAAGAAAAAAAGGGCCGGGCTTGGTGGCCTACACCTGTAATCCCAGCACTTTGGGAGGCCAAGGCGGGTGGATCACGAGGTCAGGAGATCGAGGCCATCCTGGCTAACACGGCGAAACCCGTCTCTACTAAAAATACAAAAAATTAGCCAGGCGTGTTGGCGAGTGCCTGTAGACCCAGCTACGCAAGAGGCTGAGGCGGGAGAATGCCATGAACCCGGGAGGCAGAGCTTGCAGTGAGCCGAGATTGCACCACTGCACTCCAGCCTGGGCGACAGAGCGAGACTCTGTCTCAAACAAGAGAGAGAGAAAGAAAGAGAGAGAGAGAGAGAGAGAGAGAGAGAGAGAGAAAGAAAGAAAGAAAGAAAGAAAGAAAGAAAGAAAGAAAGAAAGAAAGAAAGAAAGAAAGGAAAGAAAGAAAGAACCCCACTAAAAAGCAGACGAAGGACACAGATAGGTACTTTTCAAAAGAAGACATACACACGGCCGACAAGCATATGAAAAAAAGCTCAGTACCGTTGATCATTAGAGAAACGTAAATCCAATCCACAAGGAGATACCATCTCACACTAGTTAGAATGACTATTACTAAAAAGCGAAAAAATAACATGAGGCCAGGCATAGTGGCTCACGCCTATAATCCCAGCACTTTGGGAGGCTGAGGCAGGTGGATCACTTGAGGTCAGGAGTTCAAGACCAGCCTGGCCAACAGGGTGAAACCCTGTTTCTACTAAAAATGCAAAAATCAGCAGGGTGTGGTGGCATGTGCATGTAATCCCAGCTACCTGGGAGGCTAAGCCAGGAGAATTGCTTGAACATGGGAGGTGGAGGTTGCAGTGAGCCGAGATCACACCACTGCAGTCCATCCTGGGTGACACAGTGAGACTCAGTCTCAAATAAATAAATAACAAATGCTAGAGAGGTCATGGAGAAAAGGGAACACCTATTTACTGTTGGTCGGAATGTAAATTTGTTCAGCCATTGTGGAAAACGGTGTGGCAGTTCCTCAAAGAGCTGAAAGCAGAACTACCATCTGACCTAGCAATCTCAGTACTGGGTATATACCCAAAGGAACATAAATCATTCTGTCATAAAGACACATGCACATGTATGTTCATTGTAGCACCATTCACAATAGCAAAGACATGAAATCAACCTAAATGCCCGTCAATGGTAGACTAGATAAAGAAAAGTGGTACATACACCATGGAATATACACCATGGAATATACACCACGGAATACTATGCAGCCGTAAAAAGAATGAGATCATGTCCTTTGCAGGATGGATCTGGAGACCATTATCCTTAGCAAACTAACACAGGAACAAAAATCCAAACACTGCAGGTTCTCACTTATAAGTGGGAGCCAAATGATGAAAACACCTGGACACAAAGAGGGGAACAACACACCAACACACACTAGGGACTACCTGAGGTGGAAGGTGGAAGGAGAAAGAGAAACAGAAAATATAATGAATGAGTAGTAGGCTTAGTATCTGGGTGACAAAATAATCTGTGCAAGCAACCCCCCGTGACACTAGTTTCCTTATGTAACAAACCCGCACGTGCACCCCTGAACCTAAAAAAGACAAAAAGAAAAATCAGATGCCCTAGAAGAGCTGGTAAGCAAAAGAGAGCTGGATCATCATCACTCACAAGGCGCCTGCTGCCTCCTGGCACAAGCCAGAGCAAACCATCAGCGGCGGGATTCATAAATAAGCTCCAGTGAAGCCCCAGTGAAGGCTGGATGAAAGAAAATTACAAGTGGGTTATGAACGGGGGGAAAATAACTACAGCTCTAAATAGGGATAGGAAACAGCTGAATTTAGAGCAAAGGTAAACAGCCTAATCTCGATAGTCTCGTCTTTCTAATTTGGACTAGAATGCCATTTTCTTCTTTCTTTCTTTTTTGTTTTTTGAGACGAAGTCTCGCTCTGCTGCCCAGGCTGGAGTGCAGTGGCACGGTCTCAGCTCAGTGCAAGCTCCACCTCCTGGGTTCAAGCCATTCTCCTGCCTCAGCCTCCAGAGTAGCTGGGACTACAGGTGCCCACCACCATGCCCGGCTAATTTTTTGTACTTTTAGTAGAGACGGGATTTCACCGTGTTAGCCAGGATGGTCTCGATCTTCTGACCTCGTGATCCGCCCGCCTCGGCCTCCCAAAGTGCTGGGATTACAGGCATGAGCCACCGTGCCCAGCCCCTTCTTTCATTCTTACAGTAAACGTGTAAGTTTCATAGGGCTGCTACAGCAGTAACCCAAAACTGGGTGGCTTAAAACAATAGAGATTTATTCTCTTACAGTTCTGGAGCCCTGAAGTCTGAAATCAAGACGTCAGCAGGGCTCTGTTCACTCTGGAGGCTCTAAAAGGGAATCCATTCTTGCCTCTTCCAGCTTCCGCTGGCTCCAAGCGTTCCTTAGCTCGTGGCAGTGTCACGCCAAGCTCAGCCTCCATCCACACATGCCATTGTATTCTGTATCTTCTGTCTTTTATAAGGACATTTGTCACGGGATTTAGGATCTACCAGAGTAATCTAGGGTAATCTCATTTTGAGACCTTTAATTTAATTGCATCTGCTAAAGCCTTGTTCTAAATAAGATACCATTCTCATGGTTCAGATACTGATATGCATCTATCTTTTGGGGGCCCACAATGTAACTCATTACAGTACACAAAAATTAATAGCCTGATTTTTTGGAAAAATCCTTAATTTTAAGGAAAATATCTAGAAAGCCAGATTATGTGCTATGTTGAGGAAGACCCAATTCTCCTGCTTGCATGTTTCCATGAAGGGATTTCTATCCCATTCCCTAGAAGAGAGCAGGACTGGGTGCTTCTGGTCCTCTGCGTACCCCCTTACCCACTCATTCTGATGGGAGGGTCACAGGCTAATCTGTTTGGGAAGAGTAGGGAAGGTTCAACATCCCCTGGGCTGCTGACCAAGAATGGGTGAGCATTCAGAGTAACACCATTCCTCCCCCGGATGATGGCTCCCTGGGTAGCTGGAGACCCTCTGCTGTCTGGGAACTTGCTTGGACTAACTCCTGAAAACCAAGTTGCTGAAGATAGGTTCAAAGTCTAGATTTAAGGGTTACCTGTAAAAACACTCGCTTTGACCTCAGGCCTAAGCTGTGTTCTCCAGCACAGCTAATAGGAGACCCTAAATATGAAAGGATTGGACACTGTCCTTGCTCATTAATATAATACATCTGATGTTTCACTTGACAGTCCCCTGGTTCTTCAAGTCTGTGTTCAACTGGATAAGAGTTTAGAGGGGAGAAGAGGGAGGAGTAGAACTCTTAAATCTCCAAAATGCCACTTTTCTCTTCTTTTCTTTTCTTTTGAGACGGAGTCTCACTGTGTGGCCCAGGCTAGTGCCATGGCACAATCACAGCTCACTGCAACCTCTGCCTCCCAGATTCAAGTGATTCTTGGGCCTCAGCCTCCCAAGTAGCTGGGATTACAGGCATGTGCCACCATGCCCAGTTATTTCTTTGGTATTTTTAGTAGAGATGGTGTTTTGCCATGTTGGCCAGGCTGGTCTTGAGCTCCTTACCTCAAGTGATCTGCCTGCCTTGGCCTTCCAGAGTGCTGGGATCACAGGCATGAGCTACAGTGCCCGGCCCAAAATGTCATTTTCATATTTTCTCCGATTTATGCATCCTTAAGCATTGCTCTCATAGCCAAGGCAGGGCCACTACTGCTTACGGGCTCTTAGCCATGAAAACTGAAGTTGTGTTATCTAGAAAAGATAGTCAACATTGATAGGTGTGGCCTTGCCAACTAAGACGGAGAAAGCGATAACACATACTATCGTAAAATCCAAAAGGTGAATTGCATAATAAAAGTTCCGGACTTGACAGCAAAATGTCAACATAAAATCTTAAATATTTACTCAGCCATATGTTGACTGTAAAATATCAAGCATTCCCTAGAATGAAAGACTAAAGAATTACCCTCATAATACTGAAAAACAAGAAACCACCTAAATGTCTGTCAATAACAGATGGTTAAATGAATCTGGCACCTCCATCCTCTGGGGTAGCATACAGCCACCAAGAAAAATAAGCCACGTTATGTAAAAAGAGAAGTTGTAGAACAATATGTAGCATAAGACCCTATTTTTGATAGAAAAAAGAAACCATATGTTTCTATATGTTCCTATAAATGAAATGGTAAGCAAAAAGCTACAGATATTCACACTGAGCTGATAGCAGTGAATACCTCTGGGAAGAGCAGATGGCTAGGTGGGAGCAGGGCATGAATGAAAGGAGAGTTTCACATTTGGGGAATTATTTAGATGTTTGATGATTAGAATGTATTCTCTTACTTCTTGAACAATTTAAATAACCATATCAATTAATTATTTTATTTCTTAAAAAGGGCAAGAGGCAGCAATAAATCTTTCCAGAGGCTGTATGAGTCAGGGTTCTCTAGAGGGACAGAACTAACAGGATAAATGTATACATAAAGGGGAGTTTATTAAGGTGTATTGCCTCACACGATCTCAAGGTGAGGTCCTACAATAGGCCGTCTGCAAACTGAGGAACAAAGAAGCCAGTCTGAGTCCCAAAGCTAAAGAACTTGGAGTCCAACGTTTGAGGGTAGCAAGCATCCAGCACAGGAGAAAGATGTAGGTCAGAAGACTAAGCCAACCTAGTCTTTACACGTTCTTCTGCCTGCTTTTATTCTGGCCTCACGGGCGGCTGATTAGATGGTGCCCACCCAGACTGAGAGTGGGTCTGCCTTTCCCAGTCCACTGACTCAAATGTTAATCTCCTTTGCCAATACCCTTACAGACACACCCAGGAACAAGACTTTGCATCCTTCAATCCAATCAAGTTGACACTCAAAATTAAACATCACAGAAGCTGTGTACAAGGATAGTTAGGTTTTATCTAAATAATAGATACTTTATATTTAATAATGATTTATTATTAAAGTAATTATTAAATTAACATATTAAATTATTATTATATGTTATATATTAAATTATTGTATATATTATATATAATAAATTAAATTATTATTATATAAGTTAAATTATTAAATTATTATTAAATTAACCCAAACTATATATCTATATAAGCAAATACATATATGCATATATATGGAATTTTATATATATAGTAAGAATTTATTGACAACCATCTAATTTCAATTTACAGATTACATGGAGCAACTCATGATTCTTTTTCAGAACGTTTTTTTTTTCTTTTTTTCTTTTTCTTTTCTGCTTCCAAATAAACCCAAGTTGCATTTAACAAAAGAGCAATTTCCTACTACCCCTCCATCCTGGCTTTCCAAGGCACGCCCCTGGATGCCGGTTGAAGTGAATCAGCTCTGTACCCTGGGAGGTCCCAGCAGCCAGACCCCCTTCATGCAATTGGTGTAGGTGGAGAAAGCTCTAGTCATGACTGTGGAATTGAAAGAGAAGGCCACATGACGTGGTAGAATCAGCAAGGATGTGGGAGTCAGATCAACGTAATTTAGGATTCGCACTCTGCCAACTTGTAATTAAATGACCTGGCAGAATAATTCAATCTCACCTATACATTGAGGGATAAAAATAAATACTTCAGAGGGTTAGCATGAAGATTCAAGGACATATAGCAAACATCCAGCTAGACCTGGGCCTGGCAAGAAGTCGGACTGCAAACGTTGTCCCTTGCTATCCACCACCTTTGGAGGATGGGGAAGTCTGTCTTGGTCTTTCATGAGTGAGAAGCTCTGTGCTTTGGGTTAATAAAAGGTGGCATAGAGTAGTAGGGATGGTTTACTTACTAACTTTGTGCCCTTGTGTGTCTTGACCAGGATCGGATATAAATTCTATTATTGGAAGTTTCCAGGACCCTGGTAGACACACACCACCTTCCTCACATCTCTCAAGGCTTTTGTGTGATTTAAAGTACCCCACAACCCACATGAGCTTCATTCTTTATTTAGTCTAATTAACGTATGCTTTCCTTCCTCTTATTTTTGGGGCAAGGCCAATTGCATGAAATCAGTTTCTAGAATTCCTTAAAGAAAAATACCTTCCATTCCAATTGGCATTTAATTAGTTTAAAATTATGATCCTTATTAGTAAGGTATCATTGTCGTTCTTCTTGTTTTCTTTCCCACTCCTCACTGATATCTTCAGCCGCTGGTCAGACCTTCCTTAGTATTCGCAGTTTCTGGATGCTAGGGACACTGCTCAAAATTTCCTTGGGTGAATCAGAAGCTAAAATTAGGGCAGCCACTCTTCCCTTACAAAACGCAGGCTCTGTCCCACCCTCTCATCTCTGTAGTTTGCTCATTTGCTGCCAGTCCCTGCCAGCACCTCCCTTTGCCATCTGAAGCTTCCTACGCACCCAACAGACCACGATGAAGAGTCGTGAAGTGGAAGTAAATATTCAAGTGTCAGGCGGACTTTGCTACGCTCATACCAGAAAAAATTAGAGGCAGAAAGGGCGGGTGAGTATTGGCTAGGCTTGCTGTGAGCATTAAATTACATAATGTACGTAAAGTGCCCAAGATAGCACCTGGCACGTATTGCTGGTGATGGCAATAACTTGTCTCCTCTTTCTCCTCCTCCCCACTTCTACTCCTCCCCTTCTTTTCCTCCCTACTTCTTCTTCTTCTCCATCTCCTCCACTTTCTCCTCCTCATTATTATTATTTTTACATTAATAGCAGCCATCCTTACTTACGAGGCTCTTATTAAGCTAAGTGTTCACCTACAACATTGCATTTAATCCTCAAAATCACTTGGCAAGGCATACATTATTGAGCATCTCCAATTATGGCAAAGGCAATAATTAATAGTTAAGACATTGAACTGCTGAGTCCAAACACCCAAATTTGAATCATCACTTAGCATTTATTCAATGTTGGGCTCTGAGCAAACAGTTTCTTCTCCAGAAGCTTCACCGGTAAAACAGTAAAATAAATACAGTAGTTCCCAACTTGGGCTGCCAAGAGGCTCACAGGGCAGGGGCCTAGCGTCTGGCAAATAGTAGGGTTCTCCTTGTCATGACCTTTTCTCCTTATCCCCTTCTACCACTCCTAAGTCTGTAGACCAGCACTGCCTAATGGAATAATAAACATCTTGCAATTATGTGTGTTGCACATACAACTTAAATTTTCTAATGGTCACATGAAAAGAAAATAAAAACAAACAGAGGAGATCAACTTTAAAAATGAATTTTATCTAACCCAATATATCCAAAATATTATTATTTCAACATGTCAAGACGTAATCCATGCAGGAAATTATTAATGAAATATGTTACATTCATTTTTTTCATCCTAAGTGTTTGTAATCAAGTGGGGACTTTACATTTGCAGCACATCTCAGGACACACCAGCCACACTGGCCTCATTTCAGCAGCTCCATCACCACATGTGGATAGCGGCTGGTTTAAAATTATGATCCTTATTAGTAAGGCCCTATTGTCATTCTTTTTGTTTTCTTTCCCACTCCTCACTGATATCTTCAACTAGTCATACCTTCCTTAATATTCATGGCTTCTGAATGCTGAAGACACTGCACAAAATTTCCCCGGGTGAAACTGTCAGAAGCTGGACAGTGCTGGACAGGACAGTAAGAGATGAAGAGGATGGAGACAGGTCATTATGTAATTAAGTGAACCCTCCCAGGCTACATGACTCACACGTGGTTCTTTCAGGAGTCAGATCATGTCTGTCTCGTTCCACAGGCTGCCACAGTTTCTTGATAGTCACACAATCCATTAGACAGTGGATCAAGGGCCTAGTTTTATTCCTTCTAGATCTCCAAGTGGAATGATAATTATATTCAAAGGGGGGTGGGAGAGCCACCCCTTTGAATCTGGCAGGCTGCACCCCATCTCTCCAGCCGGCTGCTGTCACGCTGATGTGCACAGGCCTTTCTGTTTGGAAGCCACCTATCTCTCTCGCCCTCTAAAGAAACAGAAGGTTAGAGATGCAGCTGACCCCCACCTCCCTCACCGTTCTCTGCCAGAGCTCACCTCTTCCCAGAGGCTGGTATGTCCTTTCCACTTAAGACCAGACTCATGTCAGCCTTGGCAAGTCTGAGAGATCCTCAGCACACTTCAGGGTGTGCAATGACTGATCGGTGCTGGTCTCCAGGGACAGCGCGCCACTTGCTTACTCACCACAGTGAAGGACACATAAGCCTCGGGATTTCTCTTCAAATCACTTTGAATTGCTTGGCTCAAGTTCATGCATCTCTATCCCACCACACATGCTCCCTGATCCTTGAACACTCTGAAAAGCTTGTTGGTCTGGGATGATCTTCAGAACAGGAGCCCTGAGGGGTCTGTCTTCACCCTCCTATCCTATTCACTCAGAGGAGGTCGCTGGGAGCCTTGGATTGTTCTGAAAGGTGACAGTTTCCTACGGTCTATACCAACAATTCTCAAGATCTGGTTAGAGATCAAATTTTTGTCCATCCTCAGCAAATGGACAACATTTCTAGTTCTGACATAGAGCTAAATTTATTCAGCATGCAGGCTGATCTTTTTCTGGTGTTCCAGTCACACACTCTTGATATGCTATTATCATTGCAACCAATGTCAGTTAGGTAGGTACCCGGATGGCACAGCCTGTGTCCCTTAAGTGAAAAAAATCTAATTATCTTCTTTCACATAGAACTGAGGATCCTGGCATCCCGGAAGCATGTATCTCAAACACCTGAGCTAACCACTCATGTTAAAAAGAAATGAAAAATCCACAACACTGCATGTAATTTTAGATTCTTCTATGAAATAGTGGAGAGAGTAGATGGTGGTGTGGTGTTTGTCTTTGAATGTCCTTAATTGGCATAAGTTGACAATTCTATTTAAGTTCTCCAGAGTTATATATGTGTAAGTGCCCACACACAATATTGTATTTAATCCTTAAAACTGATCTGCAATGTAGACATATATAGAGCTAAAAAATCTCCATGTCTGGGAAATACTGATTGGATACTTGCATAATGACATGAGATGTGGAAATTCTTGAAGACTAACAAGTAATGTACAGGTGAACAACTTTTTGAGGGGCAGCAGTAGAGGAGAGTGACTCAGCTCTGCTCTCCGGACTCATTGCTTATTTCCTTTTCTGAAATGGGTGAACTAGCTCCTTTCTACCAGGACAGCATCACATATAGCAGCTAACATTGTTTCTGCCAGGCATCGTGTAAAGGACCTGTGTGCATTACCTGTGCAAAGTGCCTGTGTGCGTTACCAACTTTTATTATTATTATTATTATTATTATTGAGACAGAGTCTCACTCTGTTGCCCAGGTTGGAGTGCAGTGGCATGATCTTGGTTCAAACTGCACCCTCCACCTCCCGGGTTCAAGCGATTCTCCCATCTTAGCCTCCCAAGTAGCTGCGATGACTGGGACTATAGGCATGCACCACTATACCTGGCTAATGTCTGTATTTTTTTAGCAGAGATGGGGTTTCACTACGTTGGCTAGGCTGGTCTCGAACTCCTGACCTCAAGTGATCCACCTGACTCAGCCTCCCAAAGTGCTGGAATTACAGGCATGAGCCACTGTCCCTGGCCACAGCTTGAATTCTTATAATAACTCTGTTGGATAGACAGAGTATTCCTGCTATGGCAATAAGAATATCAAGAGGAAGCAAGGGAAGGCAACTGATTCAAACCTGGGATTCAAATCCAGTTTGTCTGATTCCAGAGCTCATGTTCATACCTACTGTGTTATAATATATCGTGTAGCTATGTGGAAGTAAACATAACATTATGGGAATGAAAAGTATGTACAGTATCATGGATTTGGCATTTCTTTTTAACTTGGATGGTTAGCTCAGGTGTTTGGTATATATGACTTTGGGATGCCAAGATCTCCAGTTCTGATGTGGTAAAAATTAATTCGACTTTTGACTAAGGAGACTCATATTATACCATCCTAGGCACCTACCTAACTGACAGTGGTCACAATGGAAGCAAAGAGAGTGTGACTGGCTCGGGGCAAATCCATCCCAACCACTTGCCAGGATGCACAAAGCACACAGTCCATTGCAGAAGACAAAGAATTATCTCACCATCTCCCTGAGTCTAGCCTGAACTCTGCAGGCATGGTGTACAAGGATTTTCTGGGTACTTATCATTTCATCACCAACTTCTCCATGTTGCAGTCTTGCTAGAGGAGTTATTATAATGACACTAAAAGTATGAGGTCTAAATGAGATGGTTTGAAGTGGAGCCTCAATCTGTCAGAAGTCTTTACTCCTGCTTTCACTACTGTTTCTCCACACCCCTCTCTTCAAACTGGAATAGTAACCACCACAGAAATAGTCAGCAGATTTATAGTACCATGCTATGGAAGTTACGAATGCACTTGGCTGCAAAAAGGGGACTCAAGTGAACTCAACTAATCAACACGGCGAGCCACATGGCACATTTCTCCAATTTAGTTCATCACTCAGCCAGCTCCAGGCAGGACTTGAGTCCTTCATTGTAACCTAAGAAAATAGACTTGGCTCCCGTTATCCTGGAAGCAATCTCAGCCTGCTGCTGATCAAAAGCAGAACAACCACACATTCTCATCTGCACAACCTTTATGAGTATCTATCTATGGTTTGGTTCAGATCCAGGCACAAACTTGAATTAAAGGTTGAGATCGATGACTCAGAGCTTAGCTAGAAATGCAGGCGAGAAAATGGAGCTGTGAACTGGAAGGAGAATATGTCTGAGGGTGACAGGCAGAGATGGAAGCACCAAAAGCTCAGACCTACATCCCAGCTCATCTGCCCCAGGAGATCCCATTAAGCTGCGGTGCTCTGGGCAGCAGAGGGCACTATTAATACACTCTGAAGTAATTGGCACACTTAAGGAAGAAAGACGGGTTTAGAATAGGCTTGTGTGTGGCGTTTGGGTGGGGAAGGTCATAGGATTATCGTTTTCACCTTCAGTCTCTCTTGTTCTCAAATTCAAATATTAACAAGCATCTTAAAAAAGGCTACAGGGTAAAACTGACTCTTGAGTGGAACTTCAAGTTTTTAGGATCTAAAGAACACACACACACAAATCCACGTTAAATAGATCACTGCAGTCCAACTTCATGGGGCTAAATGCCTTGCATGCATTATCTTATTTATCTACAACTCTGTCTGAGTAGGGACTGTTTATTATCTCCATTTTATAACTGAGAAAACTGATACCCAAAGAGGTCAAGTGCCTTGCCCCTAGTTACCAACTCATAAGTGGCAGAACTGGAATCTAAGCCAACTTCAGATGCCAAAGTCCATGCTTGCAAACTCTGTGCTATACCTCCCCAAAGATATCTTTTCCGTAACGTGAGAAGAAAACATCACCTCCTTAACCACTAGCAGGAATGGAAGGTGAAGTGAATTCAGTGTTGTTACATCTGTGCTTCAGAAGTTAGGAAAGGCAAGGATACTTAAACCCTGCTGTAATCTGTCTTCCTCCACTAGCCAGCTCCTCAACTTGTTTTGACAAAAGTTGTGGGTTAGGAAGTAGATGGCTATGTCAGAGGTTAAACAGCCTCCAGATTATGAAAATCTGACTGTGGCCCGAGAGTTTTAACCTTAACACCAACCTAAAGGTGTGGAACCAATCAGGGTTTTGAGGTTGCTAGTCACAGAAGCCAAGTCAGGCCATGCTTAGAAAATCAAGGGGGTTTAGTTGGAGGAAACTGGTAACTCACTGAGCTAAAGGGGACTTGAGAGAAGTACAGAAACCAGGACCACACCGTCACCATAATGGCCAATCCCTTTGGACACAGCCTTTGTCCTGTGACCGGCCTAGCTTGGACCCTGTGCCCACTCCTGTAGTGGGTGGGAGTAAAGGGTGGACAGTGTGTGCATTCTGCTGTCTACAAGAGCTTCATAAAATGGTAGAAATTTCCTGAAATAAATATAGGGGCTTTTTTCCAGAAAAGAAAAGGAAGAAGGCTAAATGTTAGACAAGCGAAATCAATTAAGGTCCAAGGCAGATACCTTCAAGTGGCCCAATTACTCTGGAAGGCATAAAGTTAGGAGTTGTTCATCATTTGATCCATCTCTATCTTGAAAATCTAGCACAGAACATGGCACATAGTAAATGCTCAATAAATGATGAAAATACACATTAATCAACCAACAAACCAACAAACTCAATGACAAGCAAGTGGCACCAATGAAAGAAACAGACTTCCTAGGTGATCGACTTTCTAGAGATATCACCAATGTGAACTTACAATCCTCCCACCTCTAAAATAGTCTATTTTGGAGCTCCTACTACACCTAATTTCTGGACCTTCCTGAAGCACTGCTCGGGCTAATATCGCTAATCACGTTCCCATGAAGTATTTAGATGAAGATACAGAGACCACTCATCTTGGTACTCTCATTGTTCACAGTGCATTGCAATTCTCTAGTTCAGTTCCCTTCCTAGGGATGACAAATACATGGTGTGTGTGCCCCCATCCTCCCCACTCTCCATATCCAGGACAGACCTTGTTAATGGATCATGACATTCATCCTACTGAGCCCAAACAGCCAGGAACAATCCATCAGGCTGGGCACACAAGGTAAAACCAACTTATTATGCCTGACTCAAGACATCTGGAATCACTACTTCAGCACACAGCCAAATGATGACCCAGCTCATGCCTGACCACCTTCGTAGATGGGAAATATGATCTCATGGAGACAGCATATTCCATTTTAAGAACTCTGTTAGAGTTTTTTCCTTTACGGACACTTCTGGGTGAACATAGAGACAACACACCTGGGCCTGCTGTGACTGCCTCTTCCCAAATTTTTATGAAATAATCCTGAAGATACAAACAACAGACTGCAGCTGGCCCTTGCAGAAAAAAAAAATGACAAAAATCCTGGGGAAATTTTTACTAACTGCACTGATGAAAGGCATGGATGGAAAGGCACAATTTTTGAAATACACACCATATGTACTACCCTTTCATTCATAACAGCATAAATGCCCTCCAACACACACAAAGGTAGGCAACACACCAGCCCCTCAGTCTGTTAAATTTTACTTCATGCCCTTATTCCTGCACTTCTCAGGAAAGAAATGGAAGCCAACCTCCAGGAACACCCTTCTGAGATACCCAGAACTAGGGTCAGGGCGGTCCCTTTCTCCTTCCCCATCAATTGCTCTTCCTTATCTCCATTCATTTTAAGAAAATAACACTGGCATGTGCTGTGATGATAATTAGGTTTCATTTTAAGATACTTCACTACCTGAGGAAAGGTCCTTTTGGTAGCAATGTGGTTTCTCATGCCCACATTGTACAATGAAAAACTGCAAAGAGTCTGAGAAACCAAGTTGAAGGAAGAAGCTTCCTCCTCACTGCAGGAGGGCTGTAGTAGAGCTACCTGCCTGCTGAGCATGAAAAGTGTGTTTGTGTATGGACACATCACTAAGATCTCATTGGAGACGAAGAAGTCAACACCTGTAGGGTGTTCTTCCCAGTCCCTTGAGAAGACATCCCTTACCCTCTAAGGAAAGACCAGTACGATCACACCAATACAATACCCAGAGCAAAGGGGTCACTAACAAAATAACGTGTTGAGCAAATGAATAAGAGAATGACCAAATGAATGAATGACAAAATGAACACACTTAAAAGGATAACGGGCATAGGGACAAAGAAAAACACACCTTTCAAAATTGTATTCTTTAAGAAATGAGCAGAGCATGGGTTTTGCAGAGCCAGGTCAGGGAGCTGCAGTGAAGGACAGGTGGAAAGGATGAGAAAGATACAATGCTGAGTTCACTACTGAAGCTCAATGGGAATCCAGATATTCAATAGCATAATTAAGGTTCTCCTTGGAGGCAGGGAAGAACAGAGCGGAAAATGTGAAAATTCAATTAGTATGTGTCTGTGAGAATGGAGGAGCTCCTAGAGGGACGAAGAAGCTGGGCCTGTTCCTGGGGGTGCCCTACCTCCCATCACTCAGATGTCTACGTGCAAATGTCACTTCCTTGGAGATGCCTTCCCTGACTATGTGAAATAGAGCCTCTCTTTTGCTCCCTGTTTACTTAATACGCTGTGCTTTGCTTCACATTTATTTGCACATATTTGTTGTCTGTCTCCCTGACTGGAAGTTCCACAGGGGCAAGGTCCTTATCTGCCCATGGGTGAATTAGCACCTAGAATGCTGGGGATGTAGGAGGCACTTAATGAGTATTTGTTACATGGATGCATGAATAAAGAAGGAAAGAAAAATTTGTTATAACCAAATATGGTTTACTCTTTCAGAGCAAGGGTGGATTAACCATAGGAAATCAACGATACAATGCATCATGTCAGTAGATATACTTGTAATTATCTTGTAGTCTTGTAAACTTGTGAAAGGGCAAATAGGACCATACTACTTTCTTATACAAATCCCATCAATGCTTACCATTGCTTCTAGAATAAAGATCCAAATCATAGCATAGCCTACATGGCCCCCTGTGGTCTGGCCCCTGCCTCCCCTGAACCTTATGTTCCAAGATGTGTTCTCCTTCAACAGGAGCCTTTCCCTCTACACTCAATGCGTCTCATTCTCTCTCACCTCATGTTTACAAGTGTGGTCCTTGTGACTTGGAAACTCCTCCTCTTCTGCCAAGTCACCTCTATTCTACCTGGGTCTGAGCTGAATATTCAGTTTCAAAGGAAAGTTCCCCTGGTCTCCCTGAATAGAAAAAAAAGTTCTCCTAGTAAAGGTTCTTTGAACACCATGGACCTTTCTGTCCTGGCACATATCACATTTTTAATTTTATATTTATTTGGGTGGTTATTTGATCAATATATCTCTCCTGCAGTCTGTGGGCTCTCAGAGAGTAATGGCCAATCTTTTGATGTTTGGTACTATAGACTATCTTGGACCATAGGAGATGTTAAATATTTTCTGAAAGAAGAAAAACTGCTCCAGCTTTCTTGGCTTCTCCTAAAATAACAAGACTTAAAGCCTCATCCATGTATGGTTTGCTAAGGCAAAGAGGTGAGGACATTCATATTTCATGATACAGCCGTATTACAGGATTGAACAACAGTGACATTACTATCTTCCAATATGGTGCCATTAGACTACATTGTCTCCAATTTTATTCTTATGTACTTACATTCCTGGACTCCAGGGTAAAATGTTATGCTTATACTTACCAAACTTCCTCTTCTTAAACTAAGCACAATATTTTATCCTTTTTATAATCTTTGTGAATCTGGTTTTGCCGAATTACATGTTTCCTATCATTCTTAGATTTATGTCACCCACAATTAGTTTCTTCTAAATTATTGATGAGCGTTGTAGAATTACAGTGATGATTATGAGGATATCTATCATTTCCTGAGTTGTTACTAAAAAGCACTGGATCCACGCAGTTCATTCACACATTGGATCCTGTCACCTTTGTAACAACACTGTGAGGTGGACATTCCATCTCAGTCTCTAGAGATGGTAAATCTGTGGATCTGCTCATCAGTTAACTTCTCCAAGATCTCATAGCTCATAAGTGGAAGGAAAAGGATTTAAATTCAGATGTTTATGCCCCCTTAGCCTCTTTACATTCCTCTAGTGATTTTCAAATTTTTCTCACCCATGAAGTCCATTGTTTCAGCTAAATCTTACATAAAAGCATGCAAACCAGTTAAAATCAGAATGGATCTCTTCCTAACACAGCTTCAGAATCACTAAAGCACATCAGGCTGATTTTCACCAAAGAAAACCTTAAGCCAGAAGCCTGGATAAACTCCTTAAAAGCCTCTGTTAGAGTCATAATATAGTAGTCACTTGCTCTAGAACATTCTAGAATGTTCTGAAATATTTTCGAATGCTTGAGAAAACTCTGTACTTATGGAAATGTCCCATGTTGCACTATCCAATATGATAGTCACTAGGCACATGGGCTGTTGAACAATAGAAATATGGCTAATGTAATTGAGAAACTGAAAATGTAATTTACATGTACATTTAAGATGAAATAGCCAGACATGGCTACTATTATAATGGACAACACATTTTTACAAATTATGAGTTGACTTTATTATACCAGCCTCTATCTCATACTTCCTTATTATCTTCAAAACACAATCGATCAGGAACAAAAACGTAATCTCAAGCTTCTAGAAATTTGGCACACTCACCAAAGAACTGAATACTCCTTTGCAGTCAGGTGGGGGCCATGCAACTACATAGGGCCAAAGAACTCGGAGTGGAAGTGACATGTGGATCTCTCAGGCTGAGGTAATGAAGACTTAGTGTGCCTTAACACCCTTCTCCTCTCTTGCAGACCATGTGTTCCAGACAACATAACTAGAAAGATGTGAGAAGGCACTTCATGTGGGAGATAAGCCTTGTTTTACTTAATCCACTGAGATGTCAGAGTTAATTGTTACAGCAGCAGCCTGTTGTATAGGCTGACTAACACATGGTAACTAACAGAACACTTTGGATTCTTGACAAAATAAGAGCAAGAAAGCAGCAGCAGAAGCAGAAATCAGAGGGGCGAGAAACCAAAAGCAACAGAGCAAGGTGAGCCATAAATAAATTCCACTAACAGTAGCACTGACTTTTTTGCCTTACCCTGGTGGAGGAAAGAGGCATTTTTACAATAAGCATCCTCCAGGTTCATGGTGGCAGGTGGTTAGGAATGGTAATCTCTGTTCTGTTATCACACAGCTTGCTTGTAAAGAAAAGTTGTCCACACTAAGCACCATTTTGCTTCTTTCCTTGGGAAACAGCCTTAATCCAATTATGTTACATGAGTGGAGATTATAAAACCTGCATTAGCAATGATTCTTCTGGCAGCCTGGTGTCCTGGGATCTGTCACTTGGAAATTGTTTAATGGGACATATGTGGACCTTTGGTATTGGGGGCAATGCGGGAAATAGACATTTATGGCCACAGCTTGTCAGACAGGACTCTTTTTTTGCTGGAGGCAATTTCTGATGGTGATGATGATTCTGCTAAGCCCCATCAGTTCTCTCTCTTCCCCAGCCTGAAAAGTCAGTGCCCAGTTTGTCACCGTTAGTTAAGATCCACTGAATTTTTTGCTAAAAATGTGCATTCATTCAATACATATTTACAGAATATCTTTTCTCCTAGATTTGCATGGTATTCAGAGATTTCTCTGTGGGAACTTCTTGGGTCAGAACATAATCCGCATATCCACTGTTATCTCCCAGACCCTCAATAGTGCAGGAAATCATGAATTGTAATTCTCAATGTCATTGAGAGTTGCAAGCCTTGTGAGAGTTGCAGAGCCTTCAGGACAGCATACTACCATGTAGTGTTGGGTGCCAGCTCTAGGCCACGTAGCCCAGCTGTGAATTCTGGCTGTGTGACCTGCCAGTGCTGTGACTGTTGGTAAGTGAGTTATTTTCTCTGTGGCTCAGGGTAGTGAATACTGAAGGTGCTGCCTAAACCTCCTTGAATAATCCCCTTAATCAGTTGGGTGTGTCCATGGTGCACCCACTTCAGCATGCTTTCACCTTATTCTCTTCTGAAGATCACCCATGGACTTCTGGAGCCACTTTGCTCAAACAAACAGAGTCTAGGAGTTTATGACCCCAGCGGCATCTGTGATCAGTGACTCGTGCAGGAATATCAATGTCCAACAGCCTCAACTATGGACAGGATAAAGTCTGCTGTGCAATTTACCTCCAGAGCTCCTGCACAGGTTCAGGCTGAGGCTGGGTCTTCACTCAAAATCTCACCCTGTTGTCCTGCCCTACTCTGTTTCTTTCACTCCCATACCAATTTCCTCGGGAAACACTTTCTCTTTTTTTTAATATAATAATAAAGTTTTCATTTTAGAGTAGTTTTATGTACAGAAAAATTTGCAAAGATACTACAAGATTTCCATATACTCCACATCCAGTTTTCTCTATTATTCACATATTTCATTAATAGGATACATTTGTCACAATAATGGACTCAATATTGATAGATAATTATTAAGTAAAGGCCATACTTTATTCTGATATCCTTAATTTTCACCTAATGTTCATTTTTTGCTACAGGAGTCCATCCAGGATCCCACATGACATTTAGTTATCAAGCCTCCCTAGGCTCCTCTTCGCTATGACATTTTCCCAGGCTTTCTTCATTAGGGATAACCAGTTTTGAGGTATACTGGTCCATTATCCGGTAGGATGCTCCTCAGTTGAGATTTGTCTAATATGTTTCTCATAATTAAACTAAAGGTGTGGAATTGAGAAAAGAAGACCACAGAAATAAAGTGTCATTTTCATTACAATATGTAAAGACTATACACTCTCTAAAGTTACTCTCCTCCCCACTCTCCATACTGTACTCTTCTTAAGGAAGTCACTACTTGTAGCCCACACCTAGGGAGTAGGGAATTATAATCCACGTCCTTGCAAGTGAAGTATCTATGTACATTATTTGGAATTCTTCTGCATGGGAGATTTGTCTCCTATTTATTAATTTGTTCAATCATTTGTTTATATCAACATAAACTCATACATATTTACTATATACTTCAGGCTATACTACAATGTACACCAGTTTTTGCACAAATTGTTCTAGCTGGGGCCATTGAGAACTCTTTCAGCTGGATCCTGTGCCCCTCAACATACCACCATCATTGTGCAGTTTTTACATTTTTATTTCCATCACTTTCTTATTTTCTGGCACAAGAAGCTGTGAAGCTCATTTGTGTAATGCTATCCAAGTCCTAGAATCAGCAATTTCTTCAAGGAGCCCTAGTTACTTTTATTTGAAAATTGTATTAGAAGCCAAGATCTGCGTGTTAGATGGCTACTGGGGTGTCATTACCCCTCAAGTGACAGATCAATATTGACAGGTTATATTGGATTATCAAACCCCACCTGAGAAGCATTCTACCAGATAATGGAGCAGTATACCTCAAAACTGATCATCCAAAACATATTTTTAAAAAATATATATCAGTATGTACGTATGTATATGCATACATATATATGTACATACATGCATACATGTGTACATACTTGCATACATATGTATGCATACATATGTGTACATGTATGTATATACACTAATCTCTGTATACACATATATACACATATCTATATATTAAGCCAAGTATGTTCACCCTAATGTCTCTGACTCTAATTCACTATCTAATAAATCATTCTAGCCATCTTTCCTTGCTTGTCTATAACCTCCAGCACCAACAGTGAGAAATGATGGCTTCTGCTATCTGTCACTGATTTACATTTTCACTATCTATGAATAGAGATTTCAGAGTTGTTAACCCATACTCCTATAGGAAACAATTTTATCAACTAGGGGACAGTGCTTATATACTTAATCTTACAGACTCCACTCGTTTCAAAGTTACTTAGATCAGCAACTTTTTCTCTCTTTTTTCTCTCAGCCCCTTCAGTAAAGTTGGTTTATACATTTGTAAAACAGTTAGATTCTTTTGTTACATTCTACATTTCATCTTGGAATCTTACAACTTCCTAAATATTTCCATTTGCGTGCACCAAAGATCATTCTTTATACTATAAACTTATGAATTTTAATGAATGCATAGCGTCATATATCAACCATTAATGTACCATATAGAATAGATTCACTACTGTAAAAAACCTTTCAAACTTGACTTACACAACCCTTTCTCCTTCCCTCAAACCCCTGGCAATTGTTGATTTCTTTTTCAGTATTCTATTGGTTATTCTAGGTCTTTTGCCTTTCCTAATAAACTTTAGAATTCTTTGTCAATGTCTACAAAATATGTTGCTTGAATTTGATTGAGATTGCATTGAATATACATGTTATGTTGGGAAGAACTGACATTTTAAAAATAGTCTTCCAATCTGTGAACGCACAATATATCTCAATCTATTTAGATCTTCTTTGATTTCTTTTATCAGTGTTTTACAGTTTTCCATGTATACAGCTTGTACTTATTTTACTTACATTTAAACACTTCATTTAAAAAAATTTAATGCTATTGTAAATGAATCTTATATCTCACAACGTTACTATAGTCACTGATTAGTCCCATGACTGATTTTTCTTTTTCGTGGATTCTTTGGGATTTTCAGACAATCAGATCATCTGTGAATAAAGAGCTTTATTTTTCCCTTTCAACATGCATATCTTTTATTTCATTTTCTCGTCTTATTGCAGTAGCTATAACTTTCAGTACAATGCTGAATAAGAGTGGTAAACAACGGCGTTCTTGCCTTATTCTGTTGAAGGACAATGTCCAATTTCTTACCATTAAGTATGATATCAGCTGTAAATAATTTGTATATATGTTTTATTAGTTGAACAAGTTCCCCTCTATTCCTAGTTTGCTTAATTTTTTATTATAAATGGGTGTTGAATTTTGTCAACTGCTTTTTGTGTATCAGTTGATATTATATAATTTTGCTTCTTTAACCGATTGATATAATGGATTACAATGATTGATTTTTGAATGTTGAACCAGCCTTGCATACTTACAATAAATTCTACTTGGTTGTGGTATTTTTTTTATAGATTTTTATATTTTATTTCCTAATATTCTGTTGAGGGTTTTTGTTCATGAGAGATACTGGGTCTGTAGTTTTCTTGTAATGTCTTTATCTTGTTTTGGTATTAAGGTAGTGCTATTCTCATAGAATGTGTTAGAGAGGATTTCATTTACACCTGCTTGAATTTTCTGTAAGAAGTTCTAAAGTATTGGTAACACTTTTTTTAAATAAACCACATAAATCTAGTCTCAGGATCTGTCTCTGAGACACACAACCCAAGATGTTGCCTCATCTGTAAAATGATAATTATAATGACTTCTTCCTCATAGGATTGTTATGAGATCATACAAGTTAATGTAGCAGATGCTCTGAGCACCCCACCCAGGCCCCTTTACTAGTCAAGTGAAGTTGCTATGAACTCTGGCTGCTAACAGCTCACAGGTGCTCTCCATTTCCATCATATGCCCTAGGAGGACAAGAACTGTTTCATCCAAAGGAAACGCCATTGACCAGAGGCAGCCCACAGTTCATGACTGGCAATCTCCTTGCTTCAAGTAGCAAAGACAACTTCATGGGGCAAATTAAGGCAGGAATACCCCCATGGATCAGGCCAAGACTAGACTTTACCTGTGATTACATCTTTACTCAGCATTTCCCTTCCCTATCTTCATTCCCCTTTTCCCTCAGTTATTTCTTAAGGGCATTCTCTCAACAAATTGCATGTACTTCAATCCCTGATCAGACTTGACCTCTGGGAAACCAAAATTAGGGCAGTTAGCAAACAGAAGCGGTCCTGGGAAAAATAAACGAGAGTCTACTGTTGAGTCATTGCCAGCTGATGGACAACAAGGATTCACATGATTAGAACGATGTGGAATACTGATCACCCTGATGGGTGAGGAAAATGCAATTGCAGACTTTCACATATGGTGAGTTGAAACAGGCTACCACCAGGTGCGGTAGCTCACGCCTATAATCCCAGCACTTCGGGAGGCCGAGGCGGGCAGATCATCTAAGGTCAGGAGTTCGAGACCAGTCTGGCAAACATGGTGAAACCCCATCTCCACTAAAAATACAAAAATTAGCCAGGCATGGTGATGAGCGCCTATAATCCTAGCTCCTGGGGAGGCTGAAGCACGAGAATCACTTGAGCCCTGGAGGTGGAGGTTGCAGTGAGCCGAGATCATGCCACCGCACTCCAGCCTGGGCAACAGAATGAGACTCTGTCTCAAAAACAAAATGAAAACAAAAGCAAGCAAACAAAAAAAGAAATAGGCTATCAGTGGTAGGGAATGCACTATGTCATGCAATATCACTGATGTTTGAGAGGTGAGGGGTGGGGGGAGTTAGTATGCACAAGAACAGTAGAATTGAGCGGTTGTTGCTAAAGACAACATTTATTGAGGCTTTGATGAGAGAAAATGACAGAGAGAAAATGCATCTTCAAATCTCAGGAAGAAATAGCCTAGAATGTAACAAAAGGAATTCTTCAGATTCTCCTCCAGATTATCCTATGATGCTCTAGGAAGACATGCCACCTAAGTGGGTTTCCCCAAATGACCCTGTGGCCTTTATATGTGTGACATCAAAATTTCTAGCTGCTAAAGCAAACATATTAAAAAAGAAAATCAGTCAAGTCAGTCATTCAGCCTTATGGACCTAAACAAAAAGGATATTGAAGAATCTTTGACTTTACAGCATGTGGTTTTGTCAAAGAGATAGTTCCACTGTCACGGGGCTTACAGCTTTTCCCAATTCAATTAATTGGAACCTCACAGAAAAGCAAATGCTGTAAAATAAAAGATTCAAACATCTGGGACCTCATGCACAATCCAGTGGAAATCACTAATATGATGCAGTCACAGCTTGTGGATGGGAATTTTAAGAGCCTTTATTTCTAAGAACTCCTGCTCAGAGAGAGTGTGGCTTCTTTTTATAGCTAGTGCACAAGGCAGGTTTAGGTGGTGGTTCTTCTTAGAATGCAATTTAGTGAGGCATCCCCAGTGTATTCCTTTGATAGAAATATATTTATCAAGCACCTCTTTTGGGCCAGACACTGTGCTGGGGTACAGTGGTGAACAGAGTAGACACTGGTGAATGTCTCCTCACAGAGCTTAGAGTCTAGCTTCATTCAAAAAACTCATGGTCCAGCAAGACAGCATCATAGAGAAAAGTTGCTCCCGACCGGACATGTGACATTAAGTCAAAGGACACAGTCAGCCCAAGGTACCCTCACCCTCTTTGCTCCATCTAGCGTTCTCCATTAGCCACCTAACTAGAAGCAGGGGGCCCAGGAGCCCCGGTGAGGCAGTCTGTAGCCTCCAAGGCACTGAGCAGCAAGAAGGGAGCAGAGTGAATCTCCAGGGCAATGAAAGATAATGGCACACAGCCATGACCCGGTGATGATGAATAACTATTTTCTCAGCAAACTACTCCCCTCTAGCCATACAGGCTCCAGGATACTCTTATGGTGTCACTTGTATATAATTTTTCTCTCACTTAATTCTAAACCAAATAATCTGCTCTAATAGATAGAACTAATTTTTGTCTTCCTATATACATAGCTTCTTGGAGGGTAATGCTCATTCCCCTTCTCCCTTTATGTGACCTAGTTCTTTGGAGAAAATTAGTCCCTTTGAGAACTCTCAAATTCCTAAAAGATCCTATTTAGCCTTTTGGTATAAAAATATTGTTAGAGATAAAATTTGTAAAATCCCAATTTGACTGCCAATTTCTGTTTGGAGCCACTTTCATGTGAGAGCTCATGAGATTGTTGAAGAAAAGACAATCTAACACGGTAAATATATGCCTAAAGAGTAATGGTGCATGATCAGAATTGTTATTATTAAGTGCTCACTTGGTATCTCCCAAAAGAGGAGCTTTATCGCATAGGACAACCTTGACAGCAACACGTTCTAACAGTGAGGAGATGTGTGGTAATACAATGTCAATAATATTAACAACAATAACATTGGAGTGTATTTTTCAAGTGCTTATACAAAGTGTCTGACACCATACTCAGCCCTTTACACATATTATTTTACTTAATATTTGATTGATAGCATTAATATTCATTTTATACTCATCCCATTCAATACTCAAATTGCTTTTATTATTATAGGGTTTGTGTTTTGTACATTTTATTGGACTCAATACTTAGTTGATATTATTTCAACATTTTTATTCACATAATTTTATGCATTTTTATGCTTTTTATCTCATTTAATACTAAAATTGTTATTATTCTAGGATTTTTATACATATTATTTTATACTTTTTATTACATGTACTACTCAAATTGCTATTATCACTCCAGCTTTACAGCCTAGGGAGTATGAGCGATCACTCAGAATCACGAAGCTGATGAGTAGTGGAGCTGAGCTGAAACAGTCTGTCTCTCTCTCTCCAACACAAATAAAGTGCCTCCCTCTAACTGGAATAGCTGACGCGCAGAAATCCTCACTACATGCCAAGGCCAAGTACTGTGATAACTGTCCTTGTATGCACTTTTTGCATTTGATCTTCACTACAGCCCTATGAGGTGGGTTCTATTTTCAATCTCTATTTTGGGGATCTCAAAAATGGCACCCAGACAAGTTATGGTAATTAAGAGAGACGTCTACTATCCAGACATCTGCTAGGAATCTAATTCAGCTAAAAATAGAGGGTCTGGAGAGTTGCTACGTTGAAGACTGTTTCAACCTCTTGGTGCCGATGAACCAATAAAGCAACCTGTGACTGAGGACTAAGCCTGGGTTTGAAAAGAAAGGCGTTAGTAGTGACAGAGGGGCAGTAGGCCATAAAAAGGTAACTCTACTTTCCTGAGATTTTTAATAATAAGGGAAGAAAAAACACCAGCACTGGAAAGCTACAACAACCAAAAAAACTACTTTCCTAAGAAATTAGATTCTTTTAAAACCGTGGTATCAGAGTCCTATGGTTGTAAGTGACAGAAAGTGACTCTGGCTTCTTGAGCAAACAACAACAGAGAAGATAAAAGTACAGCTGTCTACACAGAGAAAGTATGGGCATGATGTTTGGTAGGCTAAATAGTTACACGACTTAGAAGGGCCAGAAGATTCTGAAGGAGGATTGCTGAGATGAAATCACAAACTACTCCAGGGAAAACACAAGAATTGAAGCCAGAAAGGCAGCACCATGGCCCTCAGAAGCCATCAGGTCTGAAAAGGTCCCATAATAAAGGCAGAGCATGTGATCAGAGACAAAGATGGGACATCCATGTTGACCTATAGGAATGGCTTGAGGCAAGGCAAGCCCAGAATGAATGTAGGCAACAGCCAAGGGAAAAAAAAAAAAAAAAAAAAAACAGGAATTCACAGCACATTTCTTGGAGAGGACTGAGCAGGGAACTAACATTTGTTGACCTTGGTTATTGTGAGTTTGGGTTCTGCAGTCTGACAGAGCTGACTTGGAATCCTGGTTGTGCCACAACCAAAGCTAGTGACACTGGAAGGCTCTTCTCTCAGATGTCTATGGGGCTGACTTCCTTGTTTCTTTCAAGATTTCATTGATATCATCACCTTCTCAATGAGGCCAACCCTGATCACTTCTTCCCTCCCCCAACCTATCTCCAGCACTTTCAGTCTCCCTTTCCCTGTTCTACTTTCATTTTTCCATAGCAGTAATTATCTTCTAATATATTAAATACATTTGTTATTATTGTATGTGTTGTTTATTGTTTGCCTCCACTCTCCACATATATGAGGGTAGGGACATTTGTTGGTTTTGTTCAAAGATGTATCCCAAGTGCTAGAATAGTACTTGGGATATAGTACCTGGCTTATAGTAGTGCCTAATAAATACTTGCTCAGATTTCCCCTTCTTTGAATTGATTGTTTTCTGCTACTGAGTTGAATTTCTTATATATTTTGCATATTAACCTTTTATTAGATGCATGATTTGCAAATAATTTCTCCCATTCCATAGGCTATCTCTTCACTCTGTTGACTTTTTCTTGGTTATGCAGAAGTTTCTACTTTGATGTAATCCCATTTGTCTATTTTTGCTTTTGCTGCCTGTGTTTTATGGGGGTTAGATCCAAAAGAACTAATGCCCAAACTACCATCATGGAGCTTTTTCTCCATGTTTTCTTCTAGTAGTTTTACTAGAGACAGGGTTTTTTAGTACAGATGGTGTTTCACCATCTTGGCCAGGCTGCTCTTGAACTCCTGACCTCGTGATCCACCCACCTTAGCCTCCCAAAGTGCTGGGATTACAGGCATGAGCCACCGCGCCCGGCCAAGATTAACTTTTTAATGTACGTTGAGATTATTTTTTATATGGTGTAAGGCAAGGGTCCAATTTTATTCTTTTTGATATCCAGTTTTTCTTTTTCTTTTATTTTTATTTTTTTTTATTTTTTTGAGACCCAGGCTAGAGTGCAATGGCACAATCTCAGCTCACCGCAAACTTTACCTCCCAGGTTCAAGTGATTCTCCTGCCTCAGCCTCCCAAGTAGCTGGGATTACAAACATGCACCACCATGCCTAGTTAATTTTGTATTTTCAGTAGAGATGGGGTTTTCTCCATGTTGGTCAGGCTGGTCTCAAACTCCCAACCTCAGGTGATCCTCCGGCCTTGGCCTCCCAATTTGCTGGGGTTACAGGCATGAGCCACTGCACCCAGCTGGATATCCACTTTTTCTAACAACTTTTATTGAAGAGACTGTCTTTTCCCTAGTATGTGTTCTTGGCATCTTTGTCAAAAAATCAATTGACCATTAATGTGTAGATTTATTTCTGGACTTTCTATTCTGTTCCATTGGTCTATGTGTGTATGTTTTCATGCCAGTACCATGCTGTTTTCATTACTATAGCTTTGTAGTATATTTTAAGGTCAGGTAATGTGATGCTTCAAAATTTCTTTGGCTCTTCAGGATCTTTTGTGATTCCATATAAATTTTAGAATTTTTTTTCTACTTCTGTGAAAAGAGTCATTGGAATTTTAATAGAGATTGCACTGAATCAGGAGATCAGTTTAGGTAGTATGGACATTTTAACAATATAAATTAGTTCAGTCCGTGAACACAAGATATCTTTCCATTTATTTGTGTCTAGTCCAATTTCTTGCATCAGTGTTTTATAGTTTTCAGTGTAGAGATCTTTTACCTCCTTGTTAAATTTATCTCTAAGTATTTTATTTTTTGTAGCTATTGTGAGAGTGTTTTCTTGCTTTCTTTTTTAGACAGCTCATTGTTAATGTATAGAAATAGTACTGATTTTTTTGTTGATATTGTATCATGCCACTTTGCTGAATTTTTATATTACCTCCAACAGTTTTATTTGTGGAGTCTTTAGGAGTCTTCTATATATAAGATAATGTCATCTCTAAACATAAATAATTTAAGTTCTTTCTTTCTGATTTAGCTGCTTTTTATTTCTTTTTCTTGCCTAATTACCCTGGCTAGGACTTCCACTACTATGTTGGATAGACATTTCTCAAAAGAAGACATAAAATGACCAACACATGTATGAAAAAAAAGCTCAATATCACTAATTATCATGGAAATGCAAAGTAAAACCACAGTGAGATATCACCTCACACCTGTTAGATTGGTTACTACCAAAAAGATGAAAGCTAAGTGTTGGCAAGAATATGGAAAAAAGTGAAACTCTGTTGGTGGGAATATAAATAAAGCCATTTATAGAACACAGTATGGGGTTTCCTAAAAAAAATAAAAATAGAACTACCATATGATCCAGCAGTGCACTAATGGGTATACATCGAAAGCAAATGAAACCAGAATGTCGAAGATCTATCTGCACTTCCATGTTCATTGCAGCATTGTTCACAACAGCCAAGCTATAAAACCAATCTACATGTCCATCAATGGATAAGTGGATAAAGACAATGTGGTATATATACACAATGGAATACTATTCGGCCTTAAAAAAGAAAGAAACCCTGCCATTTGTAACAACATGGATGGACCTGCAGGACATTATGCTAAGTGAATTAAACCAGGTACAAAAAGACAGAGGCTACATGATCTCACTGGTATGTGGAATCTAAAAAAGCTGAATTAATAGAAGCAGAGAATAGAAGAGTGGTTACCAGGGGCTGGGGGTGAGGGGGTAATGGACTGCAGAGACGTTGGTAAAAACATACAAAATTTCAGTTAGACAAGAGGAATACATTCAAGAATTCAAGAGATCTATCATATAACAACGCATTGTATATTTAAAAATCAGCAAATAGATTTTAAGCATTCTCACCAAAATAAATATGTGACGTAATTCATATGTTAATTCACTTGATTTAGCTATTCAACAATGTATACATATTTCAAAACATTATGTTGTACACCATGAATATATACAATTTTTGTTTGTGAGTTAAAAAATGAATAATAAATAAAATGAATACTTGCTTAAGGGACAAATGAATATATCTGTATGTTGCCTGTAAACTGGGGGCAATTTTCACTATGTTTTATGAGAATTAAATGAGATAATGAAAGTTAAAATTTCTTGGCACAGTGTCTGCAAAAAGCATTCACTAAATGTTGGTAATTATAGTTATTTTTACAGCGACTAATTATCTCATCTGATCCTCATATTAACTCTGAAAACTAATATCTTATAGATGACAAAACTGTGATCCAGGGAGATAAAGCCAACCATTAGCTTAATCTAGCACCAAAGGGTCTCCATTTGTGGGAATGGGATAGAGAAGAATGCTAGAGAAGTGAAAAAGAGGTTCACTCCTCATTTTTTCCAAGTCTTTTCCAGCACAGAATGGTTAACCCCAGGCTCACTATCACAGGGATAGAATTCCCAAAACAAGGATCACATATATGTTCAGTGAACATTTTGTTTCCTAATGTATTGATCACTAGAAATCCGTTGGGTTCACTAGAGGCATTTGTACTATAAAATTGCACTTGCCTCCTTGATAATGTTACTTCAATGACAGAGGTAAGAGCACAATGTATCTTGATTTCAACAGGGCACATAACAAGGCTCAGGGGAGGCCTTATGCACAAGACGGTGGCATGTAGTTCACTGTTAGATTTATCATCTAAATCAAGGATTGATATGGTTTGGGTCTGTGACCCCACCCAAATCTCATGTTGAATTTTAATTCCCCTTTGCCTCCTGCCACAATTGTACATTTCCTGAGGCCTCCTCAGCCATGCTTCCTGTATAGCCTGTAGAACTATGTATGAGTCAATTAAACTTCTTTTCTTCGTAAATTACCCAGTTTCAGGTAGTTCTTTATAGCAGTGTGAGAACAGACTAATACAAGCATCAGCAAAATTTTTCTGTAAAGGACCAGATAGTAAATATTTTAAACTTTACAGGCCATATGGTCTCTGTCACAACTATGACTCGATTCTGTCATTATAGAATTTCACACAATGAGGTGTGAAAGCAGCCACAGACAGTATGTACCACATAAATGTGGCTGTGTTCCAATAAAACTTTATTTACAAAAACAAGCTGCAGGCCTGATTTGACTCATAGGCCATGGTTTTCCAATTCCTGGCCTACATGGCTGATTGTACCCCTAAGTAAGCCATGGACTGAGCCGGCAAAAGTCTCCATTACAGTGATATGAGGGAAGATTGGCTACGTTTATGACTGATACAAAGCTAGAAGAAATATCCAGTATGATGGATGACAAAGTCAAGTTTTAAAATCATGCTGAGGAGCCAAAACTATTAGTCTAAATTAACTTATATTGTTATTTGATTAACAAAACATTATCACAACCAAGCTAAGCTACATTCTACCAAAAAAGTAAAGAGTAAGTTGGATTTAGCAATAATTGCTCAAAAACAACCTGGTGTTGGCAATATGCTTCACTAATTATTCATTCACTAATTCATTTATTCATTCACTCAGTCACTTAGTTTTCAACACTAAGCCTTAATTGTTTAGTATGATCTCTGCATAGTGCTGGAGTGATTTTGATGATACATAAAACAGCCTTAGTCCTTGAGGACACATAATATGGTCTATTGGACAGGACTGGTGCCTTTTATTTCATTCATTTATTCTTTTTCTTTTCCCAGCAAATCAATATTACAGCCAATAATGTGGCAAGTCCAGAATGTGGTGTGGAAATGACAAAGGCAAATGAGACTTGATCTGTACTTTTCAGGAACTCAGGAAATAGTCTAGGAAACACACACACCTATGTAAACCGATAAATTACAGTGCAGCATGGTGCAAGCTGTTTCAGAAATACTAATCAAATGTTGCGAGAATAGAGAGGATGAAACAGCTAATTCACTAGGGGTCCATGAAACCCTAATATTTGGGCTGTTTTTAGGAAGTGGATTAGGAGTTTGACTATCAGACATTAATGTATTATCCAGTGTATAAGAAATGTTTGTGCCTGGTGACAAACAACTGTGAATTCCTGTGCTTTGCTTAGCGTTCCAGTTAATAAAATTATCTGTTAGATCATATGCAATTTTTTAAAGACAATATTTTCTTGATAATTTAAATGTTGCTTACAAATTTTACTATCAACCCTTAAATACTAATTATGCCACGGATACAAATATAATCTCTTAGCTGGGGTTTCTCCAGAAGCATTCTCTGATAGGAGTTTGAGAATATAAAATATATTTGGAAGTTGTAGGGCCATCGGCAAAGGAATGGGCAATCAATTTGAGGAAAGAGAGTCAGCCCCTACGGGATCTGTTATCAAGCCAGTAGGTGACTGACAGTCCTGTGAGGAACAGATGGAAAGCCATGCCTCAGAATTATCCTGGCCAAGAAGGCAAGGGAGGTGGGGTTTCTATACCCCTACACCTGTGAGTCATTGGGTAGGGCTGCTGTCCCGGGTTGGTAACGAGGGCAGTCAATTCCAGGGCACTTCCAGCCCACCCTGTGCTCATATGTGGGTGTGTCCTGGAAGCCTGTGGGTGGCCCACGGACAAAGATGCAGTTCAGCCTCAGGGAGTCAACTGGAATGCACAAAAATAGGGATGTGAAGGCACAAGGCTAGAACATCAGCACCAGCAGGAGCTGCTATGCACGCTACATCTGAGTCTTTTGAAAATTTTAGGCACCTTCAAGAGCAGACAAAACATACAAATAATGCTTGCAAATGTACTAAAACACACTAAAACCGGTTCTAAAATAGCATTTCATTCATTGTTTCATTATATGTATACTTGAACGAACTTTTAGTTATCTAGAGTTATTGCAATGCAGTTTGTATTACTTCCTAGAGTTTTCATTATAATATTTTGACAGTTTCCTTGATTGCATGTATCATAAGCATACCCAAAGTATAAGAATAACTTCTCAGACCAGCTGAGGTTAAAAATCCCCTAAGGTAATGCAAGCCTGGCCATTAGGCTGAGTAAACCCCAAACAATACACCCTTATGATACAACTTCCTAGGTACAACTTTTCACATAGGTTTTCTTCTTGGCAGCTTTGGGATCTCACGACAAACTGTGTGCTTTGAACATCTTGTTGGGCCGGTATTACACCTCTTTGCCGCTTATGCTGTCATTTTAATTTATTGCTCTGGTAGGCTAGCATTATTAAAAATCCACAAATTTCTATTCAAATTTTATTATAATCTGTACAGCTTTCCAGAGGTTTCATCTCCTAGTAGATGAGCAATTGGGTCTGTGTACTTAGTGTGAGTCTCGAGGACTTTTGGCTAATTAATCATTTTGGAACATCTCCTTCTACTTGGTCATTTACACATGACCATCAGTGCTGACCTGTCCTGCCTGAACTTTCAACATAATCTGCTTCGTTATTTTTGGAGTTATTTGACTTATGCACATTTGTCTAGCTTATTCTTTCTTAATTACTCTGATAAAAGCAAGTACATATTTCTATGTCATATTCAAGTACTTGATTGAAGAAAATAAAAATATTCATTTGTGTGGGAAGTGCTCTAGTTTTGTAATAAAAGGACAGACCCTGGAGCCAACAGCCTAGGTTCAAATTTAGGGTCCCTCACTCACCAGCTGTATGGACTTGGAAAAGTCACTTAATCTCTATGAACTTCTATCACCTCATTTGTAAAATTGGATTATTAGAGCCTATTGGGGATTTTTTTGTTTTGTTTTATATTATATGAGTTATTTGATGTAGGGCACTTAGCATGGCACCTAGTGATATGGGTTGGCTTTGTGTCTCCACCCAAATCTCATGTAGATTTGCAGAAGAGGGGCCTGGTGGCAGGTCATTGGTTCATGGAGGCAGATTGCCCCCTTGCTATTCTTGTGATATTAAGTTCGCATGACATCTGGTTGATTAAACGTATGTAGCACCTTCACCTTCACTTTCTCTCTCTCCTGCTCAACCATGTGAAGACATGCCTGCTTCCCAATTTGCCTTCCACCATAATTGAAAGTTTCCTGAGGCCTCCCTAGCCATGCACCTCTACAGCCTGCAGTACTGTGAGCAAATTAAACCTCTTTTCTTTATAAATTACTGTATTAGTCTGTTCTCAGGTTCCTAATAAGGACATACTTGAGATGAGGTAATTTATAAAGGAAAGAGGTTTAATCGACTCAGTTCCACAGGACTAGGGAGGCCTCAGGAAACTTACAATCATGGCAGAAGGGGAAGCAAACACATCCTTTTCCACAAGGTGACAGGAGAGAGAAGAAGAAGAATCAAATGAAGGGGGAAGCCCTTTATAAAACCACCAGATCTCATGAGAACTTACTCACTATCCCATGAATAGCATAGGAGAAATTGCCCCCATGATTGAATTACATGCCCACTGGGTCTCTCCCATGACATGTAGGGATTATGGGAATTACAATTCAAGATGAGATTTGGGTGGGAACACAGCCAAACCATATCATTCTGCCCTTGGCTCCTCCCAAATCTGATGTCCTCACATTTCAAAACACAATCATGCCTTTCCAACAATCCCCTAAATTCTTAACTCATTCCATCATTAACTCAGAAGTCCAAGTCCAAAGTCTCATTTGGGACAAGGCAAGCCTCATCTGCTTATGAGCCTGTAAAATCAGAAGCAAGTTAGTTACTTACTAGATACAATGGAGGTACAGACATTGGGTAAATACACCCAAATGGGAGAAACTGGCCAAAACAAAGGGGCTACAGACCCCAGGTAAGTCTAAAATTCAATACGGGAGTCCTTAAACCTTGAAGTTCCAAAATGATCTCCTTTGAGTCCATGTCTCATATACAGGTCACGCTGACGCAAGAGGTGGGCTCCCATGGCCTTGGGCAGTTCTGCCCCTGAGGCTTTGCAGGGTGTAGCCCCCCTCCTGGCTGCTGTCACAGCTGGCATTGTCTGCAGCTTTTCCAAGTGTGCAGTGCAAGTTGTTGGTGGATCTACCATTCTGGGGCCTGGAGGACAGTGGCTTTTTTCTCACAGCTCCACTAGGCAGTGCCCCAGTGGGGACTCTGTGTGGGGGCCCCAACCCTACATCTCCTTTCCACACTGCCCTAGCAGAGGTTCTCCATGACGGCTCTGCCTCTGCAGGAGACTTCTGCCTGTACATCCAGGCATTGCCATACATCTTCTGAAATCTAGGTGGAGGTTCCCAAACTTCAGTTCTTGACTTCTGTGCACCCACAGGCCTAACACCACGTCTAAACCACCAAGGCTTGGGGCTTGCACCTTCTGAAGCAATGGCCTGACATGTACGTTGCCCCTTTCAGCCACAGCTGGAGCTAACACAGCTAGGACTCAGGGCACCATGTCCCAAGGCTACATAGAGCAGGGGGGCCCTGGGCCTGGCCTACAGAACCATTTTTCACTCCTAAGCCTGTGGGTCTGTGATGTGAGGGGCTGCTGTGAGAGTCTGTGACATACCCTGGGGACATTTTCCCCATCGTCTTGGCTATTAATATTTGGATCCTTGTTACTTATGCAAATTTCTGCAGCAAGCTTGAATTTCTCCCCAGAAAATGGGGTTTTCTTTTCTATTGCATCTTCAGTCTGCAAACTTTCCAAATTTTTATGATCTGCTTCCTCTTGAATGGTTTGCTGCTTAGAAATTTCTTCCACCAGGTACCCTAAATCATCTCTCTCAAGTTCAAAGTTCCACAGGTCTCTAAGGCAGGGGCAGAATGCTGCCAGTCTCTTTGCATAACAAGAGTGACCTTTACTCCAGTTCCCAACAAGTTCTTTATCTTTATCTGAGACCACCTCAGCCTGGACTTCGTTGTCCGTATCACTATAAGCATTTTGGCCAAAGCCATTCAACAAGTCTCTAGGAAGTTCCAAACTTTCCCACATATTCCTGTCTTCTGAGCCCTCCAAGACTCTAGGAAGTTCCCAAATTTCCCACATTTTCCTGTCATCTTCTGAGCCCTCGAAATGGTTCCAACCTCTGCCTGTTACTCAGTTCCAAAGCCACTTCCACATTTTCAAGTATCTTTATAGCAGTGCCCCATTCTCTGCAATACCAATTTACCATATTAGTCCATTCTCACATTACTAATAAAGACATGCCCAAGACTAAGTAATTTATAATATTAAAAGAAAAGAGGTTTAATTGACTCACAGTTCCACAGGGCTGGGAAGACCTCAGGAAACTTACGCTCATGGCAGAAGGGGAAGCAAACGCATCCTTCAAAACGTAGAAGGAGAGAAAAGAATGAAAATTGAGCGAAGGGGTAAGCCCCTTATAAAACCATCAGATCTCATGAGAACTCACTCACTATCATGAGAATAGCATGGGAGAAACTGCCACCATGATTCAGTTACACTCCCACTGGGTCCCTCCCATGACACATGGGGATTATGGAAACTGCAATTCAAGATTAGATTTCAGTGCGGGCACAGCAAACCAAATCAATTGCCAGCCTCAGGTAGTTACTTATAGCAATGTGAGAATGGACTAATACAGAAAATTGGTACTGGGAGGTGGAGCATTGCCATAAAGATAACTGAAAATGTGGAAATAGCTTTAGAACCGGGTAATGGGCAGAGGTTGAAACAGTTTGGAGGGCTCAGAAGAAAACAGGAAAAAGAGAGAATATTCAGAACTTCCTGGAGACCTTTAAATTGTCGTAACCAAAATGCTGATAGTGATGTGGACAATGAAGTCCAGGCTGAGGTTGTCTCAGAAGGAGATGAGAAATTTATTGGGAACTGGAGTAAAGGTCACTTCTGTTATGCATTAGTAAAGAGTTGGTGGCATTCTGCTGCTGCCCTAGAGACGTGGGGAACTTGGAACTTGAAAGAGATGATTTAGGGTACCCGGCAGAAGAAATTTCTAAGTAGCAAAAACGTTCAATATATGGCCTGGCTGCTTCTAACAGTGTGTAGTCATATACTTCAGCAAAGACATGACCTGAAACTGGAAATTATATTTAAAAGGGAAGCAGAGCATAAAAGCTCAGAAAATTTGCATCCTGGCCATGTAGCAGAAAAGAAAAACCCATTTTTGGGGGAGGAATTCAAGCTAGCTGCAAAAATTTGCATAAGTAAAGAGAAGCCAAATGTCAATAGCCAAGACAACAGGGAAAATGCCTCAAAGACATTTCAGACACCTTCATGGCAGCCCCTCTCATCATAGGCCTGGAGGCCTAGGAAGAGAGAATGGCTTCCTGGGCCAAACTCGGGGATCTGCTGCCCTCCACAATCTCAGGACACTGCTCCCTGTGTTGCAGCCACTCCAGCTCCAGCTGTAGCTAAAAGGGTCCCAAATACGTCTCAAGCCACTGCTCCAGAAAGTATAAACCATAAGGTTTGGTGGCTTCCATGTGGTATTAAGCCTGTGGGTGCACAGGGGGCAATATTTGAGGCTTAGGAGCCTGTACCTAGATTTCAGAGGATGTAGGGAAACACCTGGATGTCCAGGCAGAAGACATGGGAATGTCCATGCAGGAGACATGGAAATCCTCTACTGGAGCAATCTGGAGAGAAAACGTGGGGTTGGAGGCCCCACACAGAGTTCCCACTGGGGCACTGCCTAGTGGAGCTGTGAGAAGAGGGCCACCATCCTCCAGACCCTAGAATGGTAGATCCACTGACAGCTTGCACTATGTGCTTGGAAAAAGCAGCAGGCACTCAACACCAGCTATGAAGACAGCCGCAGAAGCTATACCCTGCAAAGCCACAGGAGCAGGGCTGCCCAAGGCCTTGGGAGCCTACCCCTTGTGCCAGTGTGACCTGGATGTGACACATGGAGTCAAAGGAGATTGTTTTGGAGTTTTAAGATTTAATGACCGCCCTGCTGGGTGTCTGACTTGCATGGGGCCTGTAGCCCCTTTGTTTCATTTGATTTCTGTTTTTTGGAAAGGGAATATTTACCCAATGCCTATACCCCCATTATAACTTGGAATCAACTAACTTGTTTTTTATTTTACAGGCTCATAGGTGGAAGGGACTCACTTTGTCTCAGATGAAACTTTGGACTTGGACTTTTGAGTTAATGCTGAAATGAGTTAAGACTGGAGACTATTGAGAAGGGATAATTGTATTTTGCAATGTGAGAAGGACATGAGACTTGGGAGGGGCCGGGGGTAGAAAGATATGGTTTGGATTTGTGTCCCTGCTCAAATCTCATGTTGAATTGTATTCCCCAATATTAGAGGAGGGGCAGGGTGGGAGGAGATTACATCATGGGAGCAGATTTCCCCCTTGCTATTTTCATGACACTGAGTGAGTTCTGATGAGATCTGGTTATTTAAAAGTGTATAGCACCTCTCCATTCACTCTCTCCCTCCTGCTCTACCATGTGAAGACATGCCTGCTTCCCCTTTTGCCTTCTGCCATGACTGAAAGTTTCCTGAGCCCTCCCCAACTATGCTACCTATACATCCTGCAGAACTGTGAGCCAATTAAACATTTTTTCTTTATAAATTACCCAGTTTCAGGAAGTTCTTTATAGCAATGTGAGAATGGCCTAATATATTTGGCATGTAGTAACTCCTAGATAAGCATTTGCCATTATTGTTTTGTTTATTCACCTGTTCACAGGTATTTGAGTGGCTTCTACCTCTTGAAATATACTTACTATAATACCACTTTAAAGGGTTGAGAGAGAAAAGGAAGGAAGGAAGGGAGGAAAGAAAGGAAGGACAGATAGATGGAAGGAAGGAAGGAAACTGAAAGAGAGTGAAAGGTAAAAAGGTGATGTTCTAGACAGCAACTAACAACCTACCCAAGTGGTGAAACTCTGAGATGCAGTGGCCCCCTAGACCCACAATGAATAGAGAACTGATCCACGCAAGCTTCATCCTTCTTGCTCGTCCCTTAGGGGCAATAATGGTTTTGAAAGGCTGCTTCCAAGATGCCCAAAGTCCTATGTGTCTGATGGCCTCCTTTTGCTGAGAGGTCTGCAACATGGGCTTTTGTGCACTCTGGATTCAGAACGTGAGTAAGTGCCCTAAAATGCAGACATGCCAACTCCCACAGAATTTCCAAGAGCTCCATTTCCAAATCCCCATTCTTTTCCTCTGGGATATTTCCAATCTGTGAATATGGAATGAGGCTTGTGATTATAAGTTCTGGTGTTGAGATCAAACAGACCTAGGTTTGCAAACTGGCTTCTGCCTTCACAATCTGTGTGTGTTTGAGGAAGTTAATTGATTTGCTTGAGCCTCAGTTTCCTTGGCAATGAAATGAGAATAATGTAAGTTCTCTCTTGGTTCTTTTCTCCAGATCTACTCTCTACACATCGACATCCTGCTCTCTTCCAGGGAGAGTAACCTACATGAACCATACCAGTGGTTCCCATCCAGGACAGTTCCCACTCACCTCCCCATGGACATTTGGAAATATCTAGAGACATTTTTGCATATCACAAAATGCAAAAAAAAAAAAAATGTACCCTGCAAAGCCACAAGAGCAGAGCAGACCAAGGCTTTGGGAGCCTACCCCTTGCATCAATGTGGCCTGGATGTGAGACATGGAGTCAAAGGTTTTCAGTGTCTGATGGGTAGGGGCTAGGGATGCTGTTAAACATGCTGCAATGCATAGGATAGTTCTCTACAATAAAGAATTATTCAATCTTAAACGTCAACAGTTCAGAGGTTGATAAACCCTGGACTACCCCAGCAGGTTTTCTTGCCCTCTGGATTCTGGTTGACTTCAGCCAGTGGGTAAGCCTAGCAGGAATCAGCAGAGGAAGGAGAGGAAGGTTAAGCTATTGATTCCCACTGCTCCCACTCCAAGGTGTTACCTTAAGCTGCCTGTGTACCCCCATCAAAGACCCCTACTCTACCCGAGGCAGGCTCTTCTCCTTCTGGGTTCTGGCAACTGCTACCTCTCCTCATGTTTTTGGCTTAGGGGTGGTAACATCTCTGTTGCTACCTTTGTAAAGAAGGTAAAAAGTGAAAACGTGATGTTCTGGACAGCAACTAACGGTCCACCCCAATGCTGAAACCCTGAGATGCAGTGACCACCTGGACCCACAATGAATAGAGATCTGATCCACCCAGGCTCCACCCTTCTTGCCCTCCCTTAGCAGCATTAATGGTTTTGAAAGGCTGCTTCCAAGATGCCCAAAGTCCTGATGGCCTCCTTCTGGGAGGTCTGCAACATGGGCTACTGTGCACCCTGGATACAGAATGTGACTAAGTGCCCTAAAATGCTGACATGCCAACTCCCACAGAATTTCCAAGAGCTCCATTTCCAAATCCCCATTCTTTTCCTTTGTAAAGAAGGTAGCAACAGAGCTGTTACCACCCCTAAGCCAACCATTTCTTTTTTGTAAAACATAGTACCCTTTCAAAGTAACCCTCCTCTAGTTATCATAATTTTACTGTATCATCTGTTTCCATGTAGGATTCTGAGTGGTATCAGTACCAACCTCATATGGCTGTTACAAGCTTTCAATGAGATAATAGATAGAAACGTTTGGCACAGAGAGAGGCCTGTTGTAAATGCCCGGTAAATCATAGTCTTCTCACAGGTCCACTTTGGGCATTGCTGTGACTCTGGGTCCTCTTGACAGATGGTCCTCCCTTTACGTGAACCACCTGAAAATTTCTTTTTTAATTTGCAGCATACTTAAATCTTAGGAGTAGATCAATTTTTTTTTTCACAGCTGTGCTCCAGTGTCCAGAGAGAGCCTTTCTGCCATAGAGCTCAAATATGGCATTAAAATATGTTGTGAGTTGGAAAGCCTTTGCAGAAATTCCAGGCCTATATCTGCTGTCAGACGGCAAGACATTATTTGTGTCCCTGCCACATAAATATGGGAGCCCTGTCCACGCTGGCCTTTTTCTCTCCAGGTTTCCTGATTCAATAGTAAAAATTGATGAGCCCAATTTTTATTCCTAGTGCCAGGAGGAAAATGGTAGGGTTATAGCCTACTGCAGATATAGTTGGACAAGATTCAAACCAGGCAAGGGAAATTGCCAGGCTTCTGCCCAAGAGAGCATGAGGCCTCGGGCAGCTTCACCGTGGGTGAAATGCAAGACCAGAGTCCAGGCATAGAGCCTGTTTGAGAAAATGGAGGAGCCTATCGGGCAACTCATTCCTTCATCCCAATAATATACATTGATATTTTAGAGTACTTCTGATGCTTTGGCATTTAAGCTTCTTCCACACTCTTACCTCCAGAATAGAGAACAATAATAATTATAGATACTATTCACATTCACATTCATGGTCTCATTTAGAACTTGCAAAAGCTCTATGAGTTAGGTGTTCTTATTGGCCCATTTTAAAGATGAGAAAACTGAGAACTGGGGAAGGTAAATCATGTACTCTAGTTTAGTGGTGAATTAGGGTTCACGTGCAGACAGTTGGACTCTAGGGTCAGACAGACCAGTATGAGCATAAAAAAGTTACTTTGCCTTGCCGACTTTCTGTCTTCTATGTCACAGAGATCATGGTACCCACATGACTGTCCCGTCTATAGCCAATACTAAGGACTGGCAGTTAGCACTATTATTAATAAGTAAGGAACTTTCAGTCTGTCATCCCTGAGTTCCAATCCTGATCTGCTTCTTAACAACCATGCCCCTAGGGCAAATCATTTAACCTACCCGGGCTCATTTTTCTTATGTGCAAAATGTCCGCCTTACAGGGTTACCAAGAGTACTCAGAAATCAATAAAAAGCTCTCCAAAGTGGAGCGCACACACTCCAAGGTGGGGCTCGTGATGCTCCACTGCGGTACAGAAAGAATTAGAATTTCTACTTGTAATTGATTTGTCTCCAAAGAAAATTAAGCTTTCATAATATTTATGTATATACAGACACTTGCCACCCACTTTTTTTTTTTTTTTTTTTTTGACATAGGGTCTCACTCTGTCACCCAGGCTTGATTGCAGTGATGCAATCATGGCTCACTGCAGCCTCTATCTCCCTGGCTCAAGTGATCCTCCTACCCCAGTCCCCTAAGTAGCTGGGACTACAGGCATGTATCACCACACCTAGTTAAATTTTGTATTTTTTATAGAGACAGGGTTTTGTCATGTTGCCCAGGCTGGTCTCAAACTCCTGAGCTCAAGGGATCTGCCCACCTCAGCCTCCCAAAGCGCTGGGATTCCAGGCATGAGCCACTGTGCCCAGGCTTATATTTGATCTGTATGTCAACTTTTTTCTTTATTTTACAATGCAAAGTAGCTGCTGACACCCCCTCATTCATTCACTCGTTTTTAGTGAATTGCCTCGTATGGCAATTTATATGTGCCTGGGTAAGTTTAAGGGTTATAATACCAAGTTTTATGACTTAAAAGACATTCTTGCTAAGAATCTATTTATTAAAGTACTAATAGATAAATATAAGTGAGCAGCCGAAAAATGATGGAACTCACCCTTCTTCCACTTCTGTTTGGTTTCTTCATGCACCACCTTAAAAGGCAAAATAAATGATGATATGATCCATGCTGACAAAACACTGCCCACCACCCATTCAAAGGAAATTATCATAAAATGGTTTGGAATATGGATTTATACCCATTCTTATTAATCAAAATTTTTTCTCTATGTCTAACTTGTACCTGGAGATACCATCTAATGATAGTACATGGCCACCACAATTAGCAACACATCAAATATTGTTTATTGTAACTTAATTTCTTCCTTTAAAAATTGCTTAAAAATTGTGTATGCTTCATAAGATACTCAAAACACACCGTTTGACATTGTGTAAGTGGCTAATCAAATGTAATTCTATCAGTGGCATATGCTTCAAATCACTTTTGTAGATGGGTGTACAATTTTAAAAGTGTAGGGACACCTAAGCTTATGTATATAATATACTAATTAACTCGAAATCTGCCATGCAGTAGCTTCTCAATAAACAGCAACTGTTATTAACAATTTCCTATTTATTGGGCATTTACTGCATATAATTTTTTTACAAATCTTAAAACACTTTTGTTATGAAAAATTTCAAACATCCAAAATATAGAATCATTTAATGACCCTCATGTACCCCAAACCCAGCTTCAGCAATCAACATCATTTTGCCAATGTTGTTTTATCTCTTCCCGCACTTATTTTTCCAAACTATTTTAAAGTAAATCTTAGATCCTTTCCCCTGTAAAGAGCTCTGCATAGAGCGCTAACTGATAAAGACTTTTGTTTAACCACCTTCCCATTTTCACACTAAAATTATCTTAATGTTACATTATGCATTGTAACACACACACTAATTATCTTAATGTCATCACTGTGCAATTATTATTATTATATTTTGAAAATGCAAGTATGATCAGATTCCTCCAGGTGTACCCCATCTTCTCTCCTTCACAACCATACCCACTCTCTACACAGAGGCAAAATGTAATACCACCTGCTCCTTCCGCCCCCACCCCCAAACCCCTGCTTTTTCCTCCACGCTCTGGGCACATTCCTTCTGGAGTCCCTGAAATAACTTCCTCAGTCCCTCCCTGCTCAGCACTCCACCTGGCTGGCTCCTTTCCCTGTTCTCCCCAGAGCCAGCTCCTTCTCAACCTTCAGGCCTCAGCTCTAGGTCACCTTGGCAGAGGGGCCTTTCCTGACTGTCCACGCAGGACCCTAGCTGCCATTTTTGCTCCTCTACTGTGATGAGTGCTCATATGTCTCTGAGCACTCATCACAAAGCTGAGGTTTGCAGCTTGCTTCTTGCCTGTCCCCATCATTGACCGGAAAGAGCTGGGTCTGTTCTATTCACTAGCCTTGTCCTGGGGTTGAGCTCAGGGCTTGGGAGACAGCGGCAGCCCACACATATTGTTGAACAGAAAGGAACAATGAAACCATGATCTTACCCCCTGCTTCCTGCTCATTCCCATCTTATCTTCCAGCATCTGTTCTTGCTTCTCCTCCAAACTGTACGGTCTTTCACCTCCCTCTCAACGGCCCACCTGTCCTTCACCACATCTTCTCCATCCCACAAGATTCAGATAAGGTGAGCCCTCCCTTGGGAAGTCTGAGCTGCCTCTTTCCTCACTTCCCTCACCAAGTTCATTGTATCATTCGTGCATCTCTCACCCTCATGACATGCTGTGCTCCTTGAAAACCCGTGTTCCTGTCCTACTCATCTTTGTAGTCCTGCACAATGCCTGGAGCACAAGCCTGGGATCTCCATCAAGTTTTTAGGACCAAACCAAGGAATTATTCAGGGTTGGAAGGCAGAGTTAAGCCTAAAGGGCCAGGGAATGCAGAGTAAATAATATAGCAGGGATCAAGGACAGGGCCCAAGGACATAATGGAACGTCATACCAGGAAGGTTTGGATCAGTTATTGAGATCTAAATGCTGAACAAGTGAGAAGCTCCCAGGCTTCCATTTAAGGATGTGTCACATGTGATCTCGGGGAGATGAAACCCTTGAAACAAACCTAGAATAATCAGAATATAAGCTCCACTAGGAAGAAGCTTCTCTAGGGGAGGAATTTTTATCTGTACCATTCACTGCTGTATCTACCATGCTTGGTACATAGTAGGTGCTCAACGAAGATTTCTTGAATGAATAAATAAATGGATAAATAAACTCAGGGCTGGATGAAGACAAAGCAGAGATACAAACTGGAGACAAACAGAGGCAGGATAATAGCTATTTCCTCAGCAGCCATGGGAAGCGCCTAAGAAACAAGACACAAACCTGCCAACCCTATGATGGTCAATATCAAACCTACTTCATTTAAACTTGTATTTCCAATACCCAACAGTCTCTGGCTCCGAACAGTGCTCAAAAATTTGTTGTGGAATACATGGCTGCTTTTGCAAGATGAATGCCAGCATTATTTAGCTTCAAATGAATTAGAGTTTTCAATGCTCTTCATGTCTTTAGTGAAAATTCTATATTAGTTCAATTTCTAAGTTTTTGTTAGCTCCGTTTTTAAGTGTTGGATCAATTCCAACTTATCAAGGTCAGAGTTGTCATTAGAGCATCTGCTTTGCTAACATGAGTGTGTTTATATTTTATTGAGCTTTCTATTTTTACAAGCCTGACATACTAGTACATGCCAGGCCATGTCCAGATCAAGAAACTATAAATGCAACAGCAGCATCTTATGAGCTATTAATAGATTGTCAATGAGGAAAGAAGAGAGGTTTTGAAGATACATAGATTTGGCAAATTTTACATTAAACAAAGAATTATTCAGTGCAGGATTGCTCAGAGCCTTTGTTGTATTAATGTGAAATTATGATTCCACAAAGAGAGGGTGTCAGAAGATGTAGTTCTCCAAGTTGTTTATTGGCAGAACCCTATGTTAGGTGTTTTTCATGGGACACCATTTAGCAATTCTGAGGTTATTGTTCCCAGAGCATGGCTTAGAAAATGCTGTTTTCCCGAATACCAAACCATGAAGCTTTTTGCATTTTCCAAACCACTTAGTTTGCTTAAATAACTGTTCTACCATAATTAAGGGAGGTGTGCAGTTATTCACACTTCACACCCACTCCTCTTAAGAACAGAAGCACAAGAATCCAGAGAGATTGGGCTTTGATATGAGCTTGACTTAGTACAAATTACAGCTTTCCCACTTAACAAATTGTATAATATCCTACAAATTAATTACTTCTTAGCTTTAGTTTTCTCATCCATAAAAATAAGAACAATGACAGCACAGTAGACAGATGCCATAGTCATCATGGTCAGTGATATCTTTGACAGGGTATGGCAAGGCCTGGCACAGAGGAGGTAATAATTCATTCATGGAGTATCAGGCACAATGGACACTCTGGATGCAGCTATAAACAAAACAGACTGAAGTCCCCTGCCCTTGGGAGATACTAGCCCAGCAGTGATAGATAGAAAGGTAGACAGAGGTGGACAGGACTCCCCAGCTAGTCCCCAAAGTGCAGCCAGGGTGGACACCAGAACTCTAGGGCAACATGGGAAGTCTCTGGCCAAGTTCCTGGTGAAAGGAAAGCTATGAATTGTCCTGTTGCCAAGACCCGCCTGAATGCTGCCTGTGCACTGTCGCTATAGCCTAATTAGTGGCAGAGCATGCCTTGATCCCTCCCGCTCCCCAGTATGATGGGGGCTCAGAACAGCAGAACAGCTGTGCAGCCTCACACTACAGTGTCTTTGGACACACACGCCAGCCAGCCCCATAGTGAGGACCAAAGACACAAGGAGATCATTTCCGGTCAAATTCATCAATTGTAATGAAATCTCCACGTTTGCTGCTAGAGACTGATCCCACAGATACTTGCAGATGATAAAGCCAGACCAGGAGGCTAGAGCCCCGTTTATTACGAAGAGGCTCCTGCAACTTTTTGAAACGGCAACCCACACCTCGATGAGCAGATGCTCTATGCTGTTTTGTACTTGTCTCCCAATGATGGAGCCAAATGATCCACCGAGCTGCCTGTATCTTCTCTATTACCTGCCTGCCTGGAAGATGGAGAAGTTAGTCTCTAACTGCACTTGATTTTTCTCCTTCTGCTTGCCTCCCTCCCATGGCAGCTTTCTTACAGGCACTGGGCATTTAATTGTACATGCCACTATTCGTCGTGCCCAGAGCTCAAGCAGGGGCTGCTGGCCCTAGCTTCTTCACGCTACAGGCTGAGCGTGCTCTCATTCCTGTCCCATCGGCTTCATGAATCATAGTTCATGTTCTCATAATTATCTCATGTTTTGGGCTCAAGAGGGAGATCCTAGCAAGCTCAAGAAGAAGGTGAAGTTTTTAGTCTGCACCAAATGAGGAACACAACTGTGCATACTTCCTTTGTATGTCAATTAGCAGCATATGGTGAGAGCCAAACACACTAATAAAGTTATAAAGAAATATAGGGGTTAGGGAGACAGATGCTTCCTCATAGGTGCCGGCAAGAGCGCATGCTGTTAACGTTGCAATTTCCCAAACAGATTGTCTGAACACCTGCAGATGTTCAAGAGCCCTCCTACTCTCAAGAACTCTCCTTGGTGTCTCTTTCAACAAGATCATCATAATTCAGGGAAGGGTATGGTGTTTAGGGTGGAGAGGCTATGTGACAAGTTTCATCTCACACCTGGGGTTGGCTGGAGTGCTGTGTTGAGAAGGATTCTGAGGCTGCACTTGGGCTCAGCGGGAACAAAGACAGTGTTCAGTTATTATGTTTGTCACAAAGGGGCACGGAGCAGGAAAACGCATGTGCACCCATTGGACCTGTCTGCGAATGGAAAGAGCCCTCACTGAGAAACTGAACATCTTGCGGTCCTGAGGAAGTCATTCCCTTTCCTCAGCCTTGGTTTCCTGATCTGTAAAATCAAGATGGTGATAATATTTCCATTACGGTGTCATGGTAAAGATCAAACCGATGAAGTGTGTAAAAAGTCTTTGAGAACTAGAAGGCATTATGCAAATAGGAGGTAATATACTTGTAAAAATATCTATGTATGCACCTGAGTGTATGTGTGTGCTTGCTTTTCTAATGCTCTAGAGAGAGGTTCTGAACCTTGGCACTTTGACATTTTGTATTGGATCATTCTTTGTTAGGAGGGGCTGGCTTCTGCCTTGGCCTCCACCCACTCAATGCTGGTAGCACCACACCCCTCAACAGTTATGACCATCAAACATGTCTCCCAGACATTGATTACCAAATACCTGCTCAAGGAAAAATTGCCCCCAGTTGAGAGCCACTGGCCTAGCACAGTAGTTTCTCCTCTGGCTGCACAGTAGACTGACCTGGGGGGCTTTTATAACTACGTCAATGGCAGGCTTCAAGCTCCAACCAGGAAGCTGGTATTTTATTGGCCAGGGATGGGTGGGGCATCAACAGTTATCCCAAGGTGATTCCAATACACATTGCAGAATGGACAGCCTTTCACAAAAGAAGGAAGGAATCCTTTCTGAGAGAACATAGGTTCTCCTCTCTGGAAAGCTACAATCCCATGGGTTCCCCAGCTGTGTCTAAGACTCGAAGCCACATGCTCTTCTAGGGAAAGGCCAGGGGTCCTTCCTGTGGGGAGAAATCAAGAAGGTTCCCCATGCCCCAAACCAATATGCAATGTCCTTCCTCCATTTAACCACAAGAATTTTATTTTTTTTTAATGAGTCTATGAGCAACGTATTCTTTCACAGATGACTGAGAGAATGTGACAAAGAAGATAATGAAACAGGATGGATATCCATGCACATCCATCTTGAAGCAACTTTTCAAAGACAATGGAAGCCCTAACATCCCTTTGATGAAACGAAGCTACACAGAAACACAGCAAGTAACATATGACTGGGTACAAATGGTAAAATTAAAGGCAAACATTGTTGATGAGCTCACTAGAGCTTGAAGTATGGAAGCACAATATTAGCCTTGGAGGAAAATAACTTCATTGAAATATGTCCTTCCTGCCACACAGCTTTGCTAAGATTCTGAAAGCATTCTGTCTCTTTCAGCCTCTGGCTGTCTGTCACTAGGCATTTTCAATACAACGAACAGAGAAGAGAGTTTGGGAATGAAAGTAAAGGATAATTGAAGTCTTGCCTTGATCTATTGTTACAACCGAATAAGCAGAGACAAATACACGGTCCCTGCTTAGACCCTCATGGAAGCCCTTTAGCCCCTGGGGCCAGTGAAACAGTCAGTCCGTCAGCATATACATACAGGACACCCACCATAAATAAGTCACCACGCTACGCTCTCCAGGGGATACAAAGATGGATAAGATGTAGATCCTGACTTCTAGCTGTTTGTAGTCTAGTTAGGGACCTATAAAGACATAATCAATAATCCTGCACGGCCTGAGCTTAAGTCCAAATGAATGACATCAAAGAGAGACACCAAGCTGGGGGGTTTCACAGGAAACCAAGTAAACATTGGACATAGAGACCCAGCAATGCAATCAGTCCCTCGGCATTTTTTCTCATGAATTGATGTGCACGGGGCTGTTAGTCTCCTGAATGAAGGAGGAAAGCACCCAGCCGAGAGTCATGTGACAGAAAAAGCTGGAATGATGCCTGTCTCCTCCTTGGACACAGCAATCAGCTGTGTCCCTGTGTAAGAGATGGTGGGGGTGGAGGAGGCACAGTCAGAAGCAAAGGGGGTGAGACAGAGGGTAAGAGGAAAGGGTCACCTCCTCTCTCTGAGTGGTGAACAATGGCGAGACCAGCAGGGACTTGTGGAGGGTGCAGAGAAGGTGAAGCTCTTGTCGTTTGCCATGGAGCAGAAGCAGGCTTCGAGGCAGACCTTGATTTTTCAGCAGAGAAAACAGGATCTCAGTATGTGGCAAGGATATGACCAGGGTGCTGCCAGGAAAGCAGCATGAGACTGTACATGTGTGGATCCTGTGTGTCCCCTTTGGGGATTGCTGGACATATTTGGCTTGTCTTTTAGGGATCTGTCAGCAGATACCTTCATTCTGAGCTTGGGAGCTGGGGGAATGCTCTATGATACTAGTGGATGGGCAAAACGAAGGTAACTAAGCAGAAAACACATAGGAGGAAAGCCTGCTTTGAATATGTTTGCCTGTAAAACTATCTGTGAGGCAAGCAGTACTGTAAATAATCAGCACTACACAGGCTGAGACCAACATGTCACTAGGACCAAGCCCCTGAAATCTCTCTCGGCCAAGGAGGTTGTGCTGGAATCATGACCCCTAGCCCTGGGGGTGTCAAGGAGCCTGATCTGGTGCCTCCTGTCACCAGTGAGGCTTCGCTTAGGCCACTTGAGACTCCAGGGGGGACTTTTGGATTGTTGCTATGGGGTTACCGCGTAGTCTAAGCCCCTTTGTCCACTTGGGGCTGCCACTTAGTCCAGGCCCCTTTCTCCACTACCTCTTAACTGGTCTTCTTGCGCCAAGAGCATATGCTTCACACAGCAGCAGAGTAAGCCTTTTGAAACTCCAATTAGACCGCAGCACTGCCCTGCTCAAAAAACTTCCAGTGGCTTTCCTTCTTACTTATGGTGAAATTCACATTTCTTTCCACACCCATTTGCTCCACAGCGTCTACCCTGCTTCCTTCCCAAACTTTTCCGAACTCTGTCTTGCTCATTTCACTCCAGTGCCAATGGCTCTGGACCTCTAACCCATTTTCTACCCAAGAGTCTTTGCACTTGTTGCCAACATATTATTCCCCATATATCTTATAATTGTTCCATCTCCTCATTCAGGTCTCTACTCAAATATTATGTCTCCAGCGAGCCCCTCCCTGACCAAGTTCCCTAAAGAAGCCCCATTGCTTTCTAGCTCTTTATCCTAATTAATATTTCTTCATAGCACTTACCTCCCAAAATCACATTATAAATTTACTTAAGAGTTTATTGTTTCTCTCTCATATTAGAATATAAACTCCAAGAGGACAATCTATGCCCGGAACCTAGAATAGTGCCTGCCACATACTAAGTGCACAATAAATACATATTCAATGAAAGATTGAACAACAACCTCTTCCAAAACTATCAGACAAATTGCTGAGAGCTCTCATCCCCCTTTTGAAGGAAGCCACTAACATGCATTGAGCTTCGTGGCTACAGAAGCTCCCCAGGACTTTTGGTCCTAACTGAACAGTCCTGTTTGTTCCCCAACCATCCCAGCATGCATCAGCTCTGGTGGTTTATTAGCTATTTTTGTTTATTTGCTTTTGCTTCTCTCTGCCCAGGTGAGTATCATCCCCACAAAACAAGAATCCTGCCTGGTTTGTTAACTGCTACAACCTCAATGCCTGGCAAAGAACAGATGCTCAGTAAATATTTGCTGGATATAAATCCAGCTAAGCCAAGATTCCATTGGTTGGTTAATATTTTGCACCCAAGGGCCAGATCTTACATTTACTATTATTAAATATTATTGTGTTAGATTCAACTCATCATTCCTGTCCACTCAAATCTTTGAGATCCTGCTTCTGTCATTCAGCATATCACCATCCCTGGCTGTCTATGGAAACTTCATAAAGCTGCTGCCACATCTTTTCCAAGCCAGTGACGACAATAGCAGACAAGGGCTGTCTGTTCCTGCAGACAACCCTCTTCCTGCTTCCTTTGTCTCATTGCTGATCAAGTTGTAAAACTCAGGGTTTAGCCCTGGCCCCCTCCTCTACATACCGCCCTTTTGCTACCCCACTCTCCAAAAGGAGGAGGCACAAAATACACTATGGGCTTGGGAACAGGCTAGACCAAGGTTTGAATCCCCCATTCTTCACTTATTCGCTTTGTAAATGCTGTTAATTCCCTTTGCTTCTTGCATTTCAGTTTCCTTCATCTGATACATAGAGATAAACTTAGTACCTCTAGAAGTATTGTGTGGACTCAACGCAGTGACAAAAAGTACCCAGTCCCATGGCAGGCACTTGAGAACTGTGTGATCTATGTGAATTTAAAACAAAACAAACAACTCTGGCAGAGGACAAATTTGGAAACAAGAGAGGAGAGTGAAATCCAGATATTTCACTAAGACGTTTCTAAGACAAAGCGGAAAAAAAAAAAAAAAAAAAAAGCCCAGTACCTCTACAAAATAGTCTCCAATCAAAGGTCATGTAGACAGTTGTGGCCACTGGTTTAATGTTCTCATTAAAGTCCCCATGCATCCATGTACCTGAAGAAGGGTTGTGGGGCTTGCACATGGAGGACAAAAAAAAAGCTGTGAAGCGCATGGGAACACAGCCATACCGGTGGACAGGGCCAACTGGCAGGCCCGTGACTCCTCACTCCGCCCCGCCGTCCTTATAGCACCTATTCAGCACGCTCACCCACCTGGCATTTCTGCATGTACCTAAGACTCATTTAAATAATGGGGCAAACGGTTAAGATGGGGAAATAATCATTAAAAGCTCAGGGAAAGGTATGCAAATAGAAAACTCCACAAACGTGGAGGAGGCTGGGAGAACAAAGATAATCAAAAGCATTATGGACACACCCCAGGTGTGCGCTCACTGGGAGCCTGAGTGGGTGCCAGGAGGGGAGGAGGGGCAGCCCCTGCCTGCTCAGGGTCTTATATCTGATTTTATTTATAAGACTGCTGTCTCTCTTGAGCTCCAGAGAAGCCTGGCAGATGGAGCTCAGCCATCTTTGGGAGTGGACGAAAGTGTAAATTAGGTGTTTCCCATAATGTCTCTTCTCAATACCTTTCTGACACTATGTTCACCCTGATAAGGCAGCCCCAGAGATGCGTTAAAAATGACGTCAAATGTCACTGCGCCTCGGCTCAAAGCTCTCAGTGGCTTTCCCCTTCCTCAGAATAAAGGCTACCCTCCTTTCCCTCCAGCTAAGACTGGCCCTCTGACTTCAGCCCCACCCTCCTTCCTGGCTCTGTCTAGCCTATTCTGCTCTTTGCAGATCCATAAACCCACCCCCAGGGCTCTCATCTCAGCTCTTTGCTCATTTCTCTCTCTCCTCTTTCAGTCTCGGCTCAAATGTCTTGGTCTTTTAGAGCCTTTCTCTGTTCATGCAGACTAACTGCAAACCCTCCCTCCTCCTGACTCTCCCTTTCCTGGGTTTGTCTTTCTTGGCACTGACCACCATCTAATATAACTCATATTCTGCTTCTTACTTTCACAATCTCTCTCTCCTAACTAGAACGTAAGCGCAATGAGGACAGGGCATTTGGTCTGTATCTCCACTGCTATCTCCCTAGCATTGCCAACTTTACCTGGCACGTGGTGGGGACTTAATAAACAAAGATTTGTTGAATGAATGTCTTTTTGTGGAGTAAAGCTATACAAGTTTCTCCCTCTTTTTCTTTTTTCTATCTCATCACCTGCTGAGCTAAAGGAGCTAATTCCTGATGAAAAGCGTATGTGCTGCACCTGGCACAGGATACATACTTAACAATTATTGGCTGACATTATGACTGGACAAGTTTAACCTCTGTAAAGTGAGCATGGGTAGCAATGCTATCCTCATTGTGGTGCTCAAGGAGAAACTGAATGAAGATAGTGGCAGAGAGCAAGGCCCGGTTTGGTGCTACTGGCACAAGAAGGAACTGGGAGCAGGGCTGAACCAGTGGGTGGGACCCTCAGACGTCAGGCAGAAAAAGCTGAGAAGACAGATGGTACAAATTATAACAAGGGTGACTTACTCTAGCCTGTGGTCATTCAAACTACAGGAATAGCCATGCCAGAAGTTGCGTGCATCTTGGTTACAGCTAACTATAGATGGCGATCCCTTCCTACCTCCATCCCTGTTCCCCAAGGAAAACCGTTTTCTCATCACCCAAGTAAGTAAGGCCCAGTGCTGAGTCTGATTCCTACAGGGGCTCCCACTCTAGGCAGGCTACATGGATTGGCACATCCAATATGTTGAGCCACATTTCCCAAAGGGCAGCCAGTTGCATGCTATAGAGCTGACGGCAATAAAGGTAGGTGCATAAGTGGACACCAGCCCCTTACCAACACCGTCGTTATACACAGAACCTCGGACAGGCCTCACGGGCTCTGCATGGACTGGTCCCTGGCCCTGTTGCTCCCCTCCCTTCTCAGGGCTACAGTCACACTAGCACCTCCAGTTCTTTGAGGGCCTTTTGTCTGGACACTCTTTCCCCTCTCCGGCATCTGTTCACCTCCCTTTCCTCTTTTAGGTCACATGTCTAATGCCCTCTCCTGACAGAGGCTGTTTCTCCCTTTCCAGGGCTAAGTCTCCCACTTGCAAAACCTTCCCTTTGTTGCATCATATAGGCATATTGCAGGCAGTGTGTGTGTGTGTGTGTGTGTGTGTGTGTCATTATAAATTAGTTAATGAGAATCTCACTCATTGGAACCCATCTTCCCAGAAACAAGCCTAAATCCTCTCAGTATCATTATCCTCAATTTATCATCTCTTCTCACTCTGTTTTCAGGCTCTCCATCAAGACAACAGTGGGTCCCAGCAGTTACACTCACAACATGCTCTCCAGACATTTGCAGTCCTGATTTTTAGCCTTGCTCGAGTACCCAATATCTCTCTCCGAACTTACCTCAAAAGCATGTCTTTAGCAGTATCTGCTGACTACCCCATCTGCAAAGCAGTCCCCTTCCCATCATTAGCTGTAGCCTTCATAATCCTGCTAATCCTCAAAAGCTGGTCCTTAGACTACGAGCAGTAGTATCACCTGAGAACTTGTTAGAACTGCAAAACCTCAGCTTAACCCCAAACTGAGTAAGCCAGAATTTGCATTTTAACAGGGTTCCCCAGACCACCAGTATGCATATGAAAGCTTAGAAACAATTAGAGCACTTCTCACAGTCTATCGTTATCTAATTTATTTAATAGTCACCTATCTCACTTTCCACCAAAAGGAAAGTTCTATGAAGGCAGGGAATTTGTCCTGTTTATCATTGTATTTCCACTGCATAGCAGAGTAACTGACACATGGTAGGTGCCAAATAAATATGAATGATTTAACAAATAAGTAAAAGAAAGAATGACTGAATACATTTCCAGTTTCTTCAAACTCTAAAGATTTATGATCAGTGGCCATCTCTTTCCAGTTCCTTTTCCTTCTCCCTGTAGGCTAAGTTGAGCCCACCTGCCTTCATCAGGCATTTATATAACATCTCCTATGCCGAATGTCCTGTGTGTTGTTACTGGGAACAGCAAAAAGCAGTGCCTGCTCCACAAAGATCTCACAGTTTAAAAGCTTCGCTCAAAAGAAACAACTCCTTCCTTTTTTCTGACTACATCTTTGGTTTCTAACCTCCCATCTCCTGAAGTCTAAACAGTAGGTATATTTTTCAGTCCTCACTTGCCAAAGAATGGTCCACACTGTTTCTCCCCATAAAGCCTTTTTCCAACTAGATAAGTGGGTTTTTTTTTTTCAAACCTGTCACTCTTCATGCTTTTTCATCGCTAATGAGCTCTTAACCAGCTCCTGAAAATGCCGCAAGCTGTCCTGCCTCCATCAGAAAACATCAGAACCACTGATGCTTTCAGAACCACAACCTCACATATGCAATGAGCCACCTTGAGTCCCATGAACTTCCAGCCATCACAGCCCAAGCGTCCTCATTTGCTCATTTTGCGCGGCAGATTCCCTACCCTTCAGACCCTAGAGAGCTGTGTTTATGTCTAGCTTTAACCCTGGCTTCTTTGCTTTTTCTTAATTAATAGTTCCCCTAGCCCCTTTTTGCCTGATATACTCTTCTCCTTCCGTCTAAGGGGACTCCTCTTTATCCTTGGAGATACAATTTATAATGTAAGAAACTTTATTCCCACAATTTTTTACTTCAACAATAAATGAGAAAAACTATGATCACATTAGCAAAGGCTAAAACGGCATTTGATAAACTTTTATGGCCATATGTACTTTAAGTAAAAAACACAAAAAAAGTAGGAATCAAACGGAAATGTTTAAATATGATAAATACTTTTTAACAAAAAGTAACAACAAATATTAAAATAAGAATAACTTTTCATTAAAATCAGAAACTAGACAGCGATGCCCACTATCACTAACATATTAGCATGGTCTAAATGGTTCCAGCCAAGGTAATAAGATAAGAAAAATTAAATAAGGAGCCCAAAACTGGAAAAGAGGAGAAAAAATTCTACTTTTTTGGCTGATGATTTGATTGCATATGTAGAATGCCCATACAAGCTAACTTTTAAAATCCTATAATTAGTGAGAGTATTTGATAAGGTTTAATGATATAAGAAGAATCTAAGAGGAAAATAGATTCTCTAACTAGCAATAAGTACCTAAAAATGGAAATAATTTTAAAATTTACAACAGTGAAAAAATGATACAAAGGTAAATTGATGTATTTATTAATTATTGAGATGGAGTCTCCCTCTGTCGCCCAGGCTGGAGTGCAGTGGCCTGATCTCAGCTCACTGCAACCTCTGCCACCTTGGTTCAAGTGATTCTCTTGCCTAAGCCTCCCAAGTAGCTGGGATTACAGGCACCTGCCACCACACCTGGCTAATTTTTGTAGTTTCAGTAGAGACGGGGTTTCATCATCTTGGCCAGGCTGGTTTTGAACTCCTGACCTCGTGATCCACCCGCCTCAGCCTCCCAAAGTGCTGGGATTACAGGCATAAGCCACCGCACCTGGCCAAAAAGGTAAAATTTAACAAGAAAGCCATAGAACCTATATGAATAAAACTATAAAAGCTTATTGGAGGACATAAAACAGATTTTGAACAAATGGAAAGAAAAATTAGGTTCTTCATTAGGGAAATGTAGTATCATAAAAGTGTCAAAATTATACATATAAATATATAAAATTTAATGATACTCCTATTAAAACATGAATAGCATTTTTCTTTGCTTTGAAGGTAAAATTAACTTCAGTTCACATAGATTTGAAAATTGCTCAAGAATACTAAAATTTGCGTACACATATATAAAAGTTAAGATGAAGGATTTGCCTTACCAGACACTAAAACTCACTATGAAACCTCTCTAAACAAATCAATATAATAATAGCATAAGAATCAAAAAATTAATCAGTGGAAAAGAAGATCCAGAAATAGATCCTAATGAATATAAAGTTTCTAAATATGGCAACAGAGATATCTTCATCCAATGAGGAAAATGTAGTTTATTTAGTAAATAACCATGCCCAAATGGCTATTGGATTAAAAGAATAAGGAGGTGGACTCTCTCATACCACATAAAAAATAAATTCACATGGATTAAACAAAGCTCTCTCTATAAAAAGTTATACAAAAAATTGCAAAAAACTTATATTTACTTACACTCTAGGGGTGAAAGGCCTTCATAACCAAGAGGGGATCACTAAATTTTAAAGGGGAAACACAATGCACATGTCTATGTAAACATCAACCACAAACTATATATTATGTAACTATCAACCATAACTATATAAACATAGCTAAAGGTAACACTTTCCAAGTTAACAGAGAAATCAAAGAATTGGGAAACATTTACAATGCAGGTGGCAGATCACAGGTTAATATCTATGCTGTACAAAGAGCTCTTACAAATTGACAAAGAGAAACAATCCCACAGAAACAAAAACAAAGAATATGAATATGCAATTCACAGAATAGCAAACCCAACTCCCAATAAAGATATGAAAATATATTCAGACTTGTTGGTAGTCAAGAAATGCAAATTAAAGTAACGAATTATTATTTTGCACTCATGTCCCAGGCAAAAATTAAAAAGAGAGTTAAGACCTATTGCTGGTGGGGATGGTGGGAAAGTTCTTTTATCACTGGCAGAAATATGAAGCATTTCTGGAAACCATATGGATAAATGTATTAAAGCCAAAAATACACATGCCCTTCAACCCAGAAACAGCATTCTTGCAGTTTTGCTCTATAGAAATATTCAGAGATGTTTATTATTAGCATTTCTCAACAAGGAAAAAATATGGAAAATAGTAAACGTCCATTAGTAGTGGCATATTCATTAAGTTATAGTACATTCACACTAAGAAATATTATATTATATGATGCAGCCAAATAAATAAATAAGAATTAGAACAATTGTTGAGATTAGAACTATTGTAAAGCTCCAGATGCAAAGATGTATGCACATTATAATACCATGTTTTAACAAAACATTTTTTAAAAATCCTATGCGTGTTTGTATGTGTGTGTGGGTGTGTGTGTGTGGGTGTGCATAGATAAAAAATAATTATGTAAGAATGGAAAAAGAACAGAAAATATGCAACCGATTATAGCATGGGTTTATGGTGTGGTTGAGAGGGTCAGTTCACATGGAGTTGCAGCACTGATTAAGGTGGAGCTGAGCAGAGAGATGGCAGAGCAAAGCAAGCCCCAAAGAAAAAAAGACTGTGCTAACAAAAACATCAACAAACCAATGGGTATGATATGACTCCATTTTTGTAAAAGTGTTTGTGTATGTGTGTTGGAAAACAGAGACAGCACTTGATCTAATTTACTTCTTACAGCTTCATCCCTGCCTCGCAGGGTAACACGTATGTTATGATATTATTCAGCCAACCTAGAAACCAACTGACCCTTCTGTACTCTTGTGTATGGTGTGCAAGAGCCTGCATTCACATGTTGGTATAAAGAAAAGGGTGCGGAAATCTGTATAAACCTCAAGTGGGATGAGACAGAAGGATATAGGAAAGGGGGTATTGGTTGGGGGAGATGATTACCCTTTATGAATATATCTAGTGGTGAGCTCCTACTGACTCATAAGAGTCCATTGTTAAACACTCAGGAATTTTGCCAGACAGCTGTTAAACCTAGCTAGCCATTATAGGCTGGGCTCGATGGCTCACACCTGTAATCCCAGCACTTTGGGAGGCTGAGGCAGCTGGATCGCCAGAGGTCAGGAGCTCAAGACTAACGTGACCAGTGTGGTGAAACTCCATCTCTACTAAAAATACAAAAGAATAGCCAGGTGTGGTGGTGTGCACCTGTAATCCCAGCTACTTGTGAGGCTGAGGCAAGAGAATCACTTGAACCTGAGAGGCAGAGGTTTTGGTAAGCTGAGATCATGCCACTGCACTCCAACCTGGGCAAGAACAACCAAATTCCATCTCAGAAAACAAAACAAAAACCTAGCCATTATTAAAAATTAAATTATATAAACTTATAATAAATTATATTAAAACATGAGTCGTAAATAGGTAATACTTATGATTTCTTCATTATTTTACTATTTTTACTATTATCTGTGCTCTTGAGAATACTAAACAATGGGGTGGGACTGCACATCTTTTTCCAGCTCCGTGTTCCATAATGTCACACTGCTATTTTGAAACCAGCCATGGTGGGAGTATTTACACCACAGAAATTGGCAAGGACTACAAGCCAGGGATCAGCTTATTGTTTGGATCACTGCCTAGAGTTAAGAAGGTGATAGAGAAGATGTTCATAATGCAGATTAAAATTAAAAATGGGTGTGTCTGTAGCGGTTATATTGTGAATAGCCTAAAATGTTGAGAAAGTATTTTTCAGGTTATTAAAATTTACTACCCAATTCAGCAAAGCTGTGCCTAATGTCACTGATGAATAAGTAATGTTCTGACATGTTTCCATTGTTTCACTTTTGTCTTACATAATATTATAGCATTATCTTATACCTTTGTTAACCTAAATGAAAATATCAACCAACATTCATGTCCAACATATACTTGCTTGTTAATTGCAACTATCATTTGGCTATGGATGCAAGAGTTTGGTAAAAGTCAGCAAAAGCATTCTGTGAGAATTCAACTGTCTATACACATGGGATTTATAGTAAAGAATATTCGTATTTTATTTTTATTTATAAAGCACATGCTATATACATCCCCACTTATAATAAGCGATGTCTGTAAATATCTATTTTTCTCAGAGAACTGGTTGTCAAAAATTTACCAGCTCACCACTGCTTGTATCACTTATCATTATAAGCATGTGCACTTAAAAAATATATAAATAAAAGGAAAATCTTAAATAATTAAATGGCATCTCCTCTGAGAAGCTTTTCCTGGTTCCTTCAGTTCTCTGTGCTCGGTACTCCTGCAGCATCATTATGTAGCTCTTCGTCTGTTGCATTTGCCCTCGGAGTAGAGACTGTGTCCAGTCTTTTCTCTCACAGGGCCACCTCACCCAGAGTAGCTGCCTGGTACATGAATCCATCAATCAACTGGGTAATCAGAATGAGGAAGGTGCATATGACAGAGGTCCAGAGACCAGATTTGAACAGGGAAATGTGGGCCAGCTTCCCTCAAAATGCTTGCTTGGGACCCAAGGGGATTGGCAGCAATTGAACTTTCAACCAGAATTCTGTAGCTGAGCTTGAATTCTTTATACATTCATTGCATCAACCGAATTTTCAGCTCCTGCATTGTGAATATGCACAAGGATGTGTACACTGTCTTTGTTTCTTTACCTGCCTTGTTTTTATCATCCTCATTTTCAGGGTGTAAAAGTTACTCCATAAATGAAGATACAATCTCATATTCTTGACAGCAAAAGATCCTGGCCCCTATTAGGATTTATCTTATCTCTAGTTGATGGGTAGACTGAAAAAAACTCAGTGGGAAGGTACGTCTTGACCTCTGAGGGTCTGTGTGCTGCAGCCGATATAGGTAACCATGACAGGGAGTAGAGATAGGCTGAGAATTACATTCCTACAGAGAAAAAATAAACATCTTTATTTTTTCAAATGAAAGCATTCCTCTCAGTGTGGGGTGTAGTATTGTGCAGGGGCTTTGAGCCTGGAGTTGTCAGAAGGCTCTGCCCTCAAACATTAACCCTGCTGTCGATTAGCTGGTGGCCTTGGGCAGCGTAGTTGACCTTGGTGGACCTCAGCTTCTTCATCTATGTAACTGGGATTGTAATTGCATTGTGCCTTTCACTTGTTGTGAAGACTAAACACAGGCTGTGAAATGAAAGCCTATGTACACACAAAGACGTGTGCATGGGTCTTTGCAATAGCTTTATGTGTAAATAGTCAAATGCTGAAAACAATCCAGCTGTCCACCAACGTGTGAATGGATAGACAAATTGTGGTACATTCATATAATGGAATACTACTCAGCAACAAAGAGGAATAAACTGTTGATATGCACCATCACATGACAAATTTCAACATAATTATGTTGGGTAAAAGCAGCCAAACCAAAATTTTATCTGTATAATGTTCCAGAAAATGTAACTATAGTGACAGAAAGCAGATTAGTGGTTACCTGGGGACAGAACTGGGGAGTAGGGGAGACTGGAAAAAAGAAGGGAGTAGAAAGAGGTATAAAGAAACCTTTCAGGGTGATACATGTGTTCATTATCTTGATTGTGATCATGGTTTCATGGGTGATTTGTATGTCGATACATTAAATTGTATACTCTAAATATGTACAGTTTATTAAATAGCAATTATACTACAATAAAGCAGTTAAAAAGTTTACAGAGTAGGCACTACTCTGTAGTGTGGCACTGTGGCTCACGCCTGTAATCCCAGCACTTTGGGAGGCCGAGGCGGGCGGATCATAAGGTCAGGAGATTGAGACCATCCTGGCCAACATGGTGAAACACCGTCTCTACCAAAAATAGAAAAATTATCTGGGCATGCTGGCGCATGCCTATAATCCCAGCTACTCGGGAGGCTGAGGCAGGAGAATCTCTTGAACCAGGGAGGCGGAGGTTGCAGCGAGCCGAGATCATGCCACTGCACTCCAGCCTGGCAACAGAGCAAGACTCCATCTAAAAAAAAAAAAAAAAAAAAAGATCAACAAATGGTGGCTGTTAGGGTGCAGATGAGGATGAAAAATCTGACCATGATGACAATGACGATATTCCTGCTGTTGTCACTCCTGGGAGAGAATACTACTTCTTGACCACACTCTTTTTCTCTTCCTCCATTAATCACTTTGACCAGCTAAGGCCCATTGTCATTCTTATCTCCTCAGAGCTCTAGTAGGCATTCCGTTTTCTGACAGCCAATATCCTCTCTGGCTCAAGACACTTCATTGTACACCATTTGAAAGCCTTGACCAGGGGTTCAGGCAGACATGGGCTGACATTTGCTTTATTACTTGCTAACTTGGACAAGCCTCATCATTCTAGTCTGTGAACTGGGGATGGTAAAAGCAGCGATATTGTTGGCACACTTAGAGGAAGGAGCGCAGGGAAAGCCCCGAGACTCATAGAGTCAGCGTTCAATGTGTAGCACCTCAGTAACTTCTATTCCATCTCCTGTTGATTGGGTTATTCAGGAGCTGCTAAGCAGCATCCTCTTCTCCTCCTGAATTCTGAACAAATTGAGACATAAGATGAGGGAGAGGCAGATGGAAGGCAGCACATCGCTCTCATTCCCAAATAAGCCTAAACTGGAGGGCATTGTTGAGGTGAAAGCAAAGCTGATTTTTAGTGCAAAACCTCTAAATTTGACAGATTTATCCATGTACTAATGGCAACACTGAACTTGGGCACCCAGCCACCCAAAATGAGGGCACAGGATGTTCCAGCCTGGAAAAGAATAGAGGAATTATTCTTTTTGCAGCTCATGCACTCCTGAGAAAACAATAGGAAGTTTCTGAACGAAGAATGTTATGTTTATGACTCCTAATTTTTTTTTTTTTTAAGATGGAGTCTTGCTCTGTTGCCCAGGCTGGAGTGCAGTGGCGTGATCTCCGCTCACTGCAACCTCCACCTCCCAGGTTCAAGCGATTCTCCTGCCTCAGCCTCCTTAGTAGCTGGGATTACAGGCATGCACCACCATTCCCAGCTAATTGTTGTATTTTTAGTAGAGACGGGGTTTCATCATGTTGGTCAGGCTGATCTTAAACTCCTGATTTCGTGATCCGCCCACCTGGGCCTCCCAAAGTTCTGGGATTACAGGCGTGTGTCACTGCACTCTACAGACTCCTAAATTTGTATAGTGCAAAAATCTAGCCTCCCTCTTCCTTCAATGGTAGAGCGTGAGTAGAGGGGGAGAGAGAGCCCAGGGGTGTCAAACTACCATAGCTCCCTCCATGAAGCGAAACATCAAGAGTGAGGAGTCAACATCTGTCCTCTAAAATGCTATTTTCATTTGTGATTTTGTTGAGCAGAAGTACCACTTCCCTAACTATATGTTAAGTATGATGGCTGAGCACACAGGCAAACTAAATAAAGTGCTGAAATCAGCATTTCAAGACTCAGCACACAGAAAAGAACCTCCTCAGGGCAGCAGCCCTCTCTAAAACATCCCTGTCTGATGGCTAAAGTCACGGAGCTCACCACATCTCATACCAATTCACTACCCAGGTTGCAACCACTGTCCCAACAGATCATGTAAGTTTTATCTATAATTTCTGAATCTAAGCAAGAGTGTCCCATCTTCCATATGGAATACATTCAGTGGCCGAAGAAAGTTATCCGTATCACCCTGAAGTCTTCTGGGTTGTAGGTTACAAATATTCCATTGTTTAAATTTTTTCTCACAAATGATGGTTTCCAAAACTCCTTTTCACCTAATTCCCCTTCAGTGGGAACTCCCCTCCAAACTGTCAATGTCAATTTCCCTCCAAACTGTCAATAACCTTACAATTCTGTCACTGCAAAACAAAAGCTACAGGTGTCGTTAATCAATCAATCAATCTCAAAATAATTTAGATTTTTTTTTGGCCACCAAAAAAAAAAAAAAAAAAAAAAAAAAATTGCAAAAACCGCAATTACTTTTGCACCAACATACCACTGAATGAATCAGGTGCCCCAAATGGCGCTGTCCCAGTACAGAATCGCATGCATCCTTGCAAAGGAATGGAGGCTTACTTGGGTGTTCTGGGCAGCATCCTCACTCTGTTGACTCCTATTGAACTTGTGATCCAAAAAAAAAAAAAAAAGCCCTAAGGTATTTAATCACATCAATTACTGGCAAGCCAGGGTTTCCAAATCTTGAATTTGCACTTCTGATATTTTGAGTTGGAATTCCAGAATTCTATTTCACCCTATTACAATTCATCTTTTCAAGAGGTAGCCAACATGAGGGGATTAAGAGCACAAGCAGTCATCAGGCAGATGTGGTATAAGCTTTGGATATGATTCTATGAGCTTCTGTTTTCTCAACTGTAAAATGATAATAATAACAATACCCATGTCATGAAATCATGGTGAGAATAAAAATGAGACTATGCATGTAAATGGCTTAGCACAATGGCCGACACAAAGAAGGAAATAAATATTAGTTCACATTATTATTATGTTGAATACATAAATATTATCATGAGAGGACATGAATAAGAAGACACTTGATGGAATCACAATTTGAGAGGTGTTTATTTTAATCACTTTAGAAATGACTTTGGGGCTATGTGTATAAAACAATTGATATTCTGAATTTTTAGATAGTTTAACTGCACTTTAGGGGGTATTGTATTCTCCAGTGTACTTGAGAATTGACTAATTTGCAGATGTCACAGTGAGACAAATGTCTCCTTTCCAGTATCAAGGGTCGACCATTTAAAACCAACTACATTCAAATTAGTTCAACCATTGTGGAAGACAGTGTGGTGATTCCTCAAACATTTAGAACTAGAAATAACATTTGACCCAGCAATCTCATTATTGGGTGTATGCCCAAAGGAATATAAATCATTCTGTTATAAAGATACATACACATGTATGTTTACTGCAGCACTATTCACAATAACAAAGACATGGAATCAACCCAAATGCCAATCAATAATAGAGTGAATTAAAATATTGTGGTACATAAACACCATGGAATACTACGCAGCCATAAAAAGGAGATCATGTCCTTGGCAGGACATGGATGAAACTGGAAGCCATTATCCTCAGCAAACTAATGCAGAAACAGAAAACCAAACACTACACGTTCTCACTTATAAGGGGGAGCTGAACAATGAGAACACGTGGACACAGGGAGGGGAACATCACTCACTGATGCTTGTTGGGGGAGGACTGGGGGGAGTGAGAGAGAGCATTAGGGAAAAAAGCTAATGCATGCTGGGCTTAATACCTATGTGATGGGTTGATAGGTGCAGCAAACCACCATGGCACACATTTACCTATGTAACAAACCTGCACATTCTGCACATGTACCCCAGAACTTAAAAAAATACAAAATAAATTAAAAAAATAAAAACCAACCTACATTCTTTAGGAGCCCCTACCATTTTTCATGATGCCTCATAACCACAGTTCCATGGTCAAGTCTTTCAATGGCCTGGGTTTGAATTCCCATGGGACTGCAAATTCGGACTCTATAAAGAACTAGCTATGATTTCCCCATCCACTTGGCCCTAAGTTACATTTTATCCATAGTTGTAGTACTCTCTTTTCTGGTGTGAAGGCACTGGAAGGCCCTAAGTTATCTCTTATTCATTTTTGTAGTACTCTCCCTTTTCCAGCGTGAAGGCAGTCTTCCAAGCTGGAGAAAATAGAACTCAAATAACAGCTGGGTGGCTGAGCCTTCCCCAAGTTACACATCTCTCTCTTCCCTCTTCCTCTATCTCTCAACATTGCTATAAAGACCTTTCTTATTTAGATTTAACTTTATTGTCAGGGCCCAGCACCTTCTGGAGTATAGCCTTGGTAATAGTACAAATTGTAATTAACAAATGTGTTAATCAATTACAATTAGTCATACCTCTGGATACCCACACCCTTGGCCATGTAACTTTACAGGGTCCTCTCTATCTGGGCAGAGCAATCTGCCTGACCTCTTAATTCTGAGCTCAGCCATGTGATGTGCTTTGGCGAATGGGATAATGCAAGTTATTGTACCTGCAAGTACCACATGTACATTTCCCAGCTATCCCCCAGGAGGATGAAGGGCATCCCAATAAACTTGGCCAACCTGGCCAAGACTATCTTAGATCAACCAACAGCCATTCAACCCCCAGACAGGTGAACAAACCCAGCCAAGATCAGCAGAGCCGATTAACCAACCTGCAGCCAACCCCAGATACATGGAACACTCAAAATCAGCTAAGTCCAGTCAAGATCAGCTAATCCCTGCAGATTTCCAGGCTAAACAAATGTTAATGCCCTATGCTAATGATGCTTTATGGTTGCTTGTTACTCAGTTTTATTGTAGCAGTAGGTAACTAATACAGCCTCCCCAACACGAGCCTACAAGAATTGTGTTTAGAAGATTTGAGAGTGAAACAGGTAGGGAACCTAATTCCATTCTTATCAGCTACTCCTCACTTAAGCTTTAAGGTAGTAAAGAAAGCTAGGTGAGGCCAGTCGCAGTGGCTCACGCCTGTAACCCCAACACTTTGGGAGGCCAAGGCAGGCAGATCACAAGATCAGGAGTTCAAGACAAGACTGCCCAATATGGTGAAACCCTGTCTCTACGAAAAATACAAAAATTAGCCAGGCATGGTGGTGGGTGCCTGTAGTCCCAGCTACTGGGAGGCTGAGGCAGGAGAATCTCTTGAACCTGGGAGGCAGAGGTTGCAGTGAGCCGAGATGGCACCATTGCACTCCAACCTGGGTGACAGAGTGAGACTCTGTCTCAAAAAAAAAAAAAAAAAAAAAAAAAAAAAAAAAAGCTTAGTGAGGGACACTCTTGGTCCTCTTGGTCCTTCTGAATGATTAACATGGTTAAAAGTCCCATAAACTCAGTCCACAAGGAGTGGAATCTTGATGATTTCATTGAACATGAAAAATTATCCAATTTAACAAATAGACACCATCACTGGCAACAGAGACAACTCTCAATTTGACACTAATACACTCAAACTAGATGGCTTGTCTATTATCTGTCACCCAGAACAATTTTACCATTGTAAGCCTGCTTTTGAAATATGAAATCTTGGTAGAGTTACAACTTTCTTTGCAGCTTGGATGTTTTTTTTCTTGTGCAGAGAGCTATTTTAAATACCCCCAAACTTGTGTGGGAGTGCCAATCGGCCACATTTAATTGGCCAGATTGTTAGCCTCGGCGATGCAGCTCTCTTCAGAAAATTAAACATAGACACGATTGTTACTTTGCTCTGTTATTGTGGCTACAGAATGGCAAACCAATCTGTCGAAACTGAAAAATCCAGCCGCTCAATTATCTGTCGGGCTTACACAGCTAAATACCCCCAAAGTGGATTTTTTTTCCTACTTGAGGCACATTTTGAGTGAATATGTTGCTTTCTTGACACTGTGCATGGTCAAGGCTCAAGGTCTTCCTAACAGCCTGCCAACTGCTTAGGAAAAGGCTGGTCTTAGAAATATAGACTCTTATTCATTAATTTACTCATTTGTTCACTTAATCTGTAAGCACTGACACATACCTACTTTCTGCCAGAAACTGTGTTGGGTGCTGGGAATAAGAAAAAGTTAAATAACCATTAGTCAAATAAACAACCAGTCAGAGGTAAGGCAGGAATAGAATTTAGGTTTCTGACTCTAAAGCAATGGTTCTTAACCAGGAAGGCAATTTTGCCCTTTCCCATCAGGAGACATTTGCCAATATCTGTAGATATTTTTGATAATCATGACTGAGGTGGGGCAGGTGCTATTTGAATCTAGCAGGTAGAATCCAGGCATGCTGCTAGGCATCCTACAATGCACATGACAGCCCTCACAACAAAAGATTATCCAGCCCAAAATATAAACAAACTGGAGGTTGAAAATCCCTGCTCTCCAGCTATGCACTGAAGTAATTTCTTGAACAGCAAAGTCTCTATCAAATCCAACACTGTATCTTCTGCCTCAGCACAGGGCCAAGCACAGACATGTACTCCAGAAATGCTGGATGGATGATTGGATGAATGGATGGATATGGATGGATGGATGGATGGATGAATGGGATAGATGGATGAATGGATATAAGGATGGACAGATGGATGGATGGATGGATGGATGGATGGATGGATGGATGGATGGGTGGATGGATGGATGGATGGATGGTTGGATGAATGGATGAATAGATGAATGGACAGATAAATGGATCTCACACTCAAAGATACCATCAATAGATGTACACAATAGGTACTGAGTAAGTTGTTTAGGCCATCAGAAATTAAACAGATGTTCCTATTTTCCGCTAGAGTTTAAGTACCTTCAAGAAGGGAAACAATCTGGTAATTTTGACATGAATTTCACAGGTCTATGACTTGTGATGAATTTGGTGCTCCAGAAAAACCTCGCAGCTCTGACCTTCCTTAGCCATTTACCTCATTCCCTGTTAAACTTGGATAAGATATCCTTGGCTCTTTCTGCAAACCTTCCTGGCCTGAAATGAAGATAATCTGTCTTTTATTTTTTAACCACTGGAAATGAGGGTAGTAAATTCCTCACAACCAACATTCTATAGATTCATTTGGCCAATTCTTCTACTTTGGGTCTGAACTCATCCCTAGTAATGTACAATCTGTTTTAGATGTTAACTTTTAATGGTGTGATTTTGGCTTGTCCTTCAAACAACTTGAGTAGAAACACTGATTTAATTTTATCCCTTTCATCAATGCCAGGGAACAGAATAAATTACTCAAGAATATGTTCTTTCGCCTTTGCTTCCCCCCAACTATAAGAAATTATAAAGATATTAATAAACGTTCTAAGGTTGATCTTCTCTCTTATAGAGTGGCTGTGCACCCCCATTGTGAATAAGGTATGGGGTTGGTGCTGTGAAAGAAGGCATTCCAAGGCCACTAGGAAACTATCCCTGCCCTTTGAAAAGTCACAGTAAACAGGGGCTCTGTGAAGAGATGCTGGCAGCTGTACCTGGTGTCCAGGATAAAAAGTCAGGTAGAATCCTGAAAATTACTGACGTGTATATGACCCCTATTAGATCATACAATCCTTGGAACACAGACCAATCCTTCAATGAATATGCTTCTTCTATCCACCTTAAATTTGGTTCCTCGCTAGAAATCAGCCACGGAGAATTACATATTGGAGCAAGGGTTTGGAAAGTTTTTCTGCTTAAAGATCCAAATGAAACATATGAGTTTTGGTAACACAGGTCTGGCCAGCCAGGTTCAGCTTTCCAATTGCTTGCCTGGCCCCCTAAGACTGTGTGCCATACTTAAATAGTACAGTGTTTGGAAATTCACCAAACAACTGTCATCACAGCTGCTCTGGTGGGCCAGACAGACTTGGCCAAAGTTAAAAGAGGTGAGGAAAAAAAAAAAAAAGATTCCTTTGTTTGTTCAGCAAACACTACCATCCCAGGCAAAACGCCAAGTACAGAAGACACCAACCACCAGATAGATACATTCACTGCTTTCAAGTTGGCTCCACTCCACTGTGGGAGATGGGTAGAGGTTTGTTTTTGTTTTGAGTCCCCCTTTCTTTCTTTAATTCTTTAAAATCCAAAGAGAGATTCAGACCTCTTTGATGATATCTTTCTTTTTGGTTGCATTTATATTTCCTATCCTCTCCTCCAAATTTCTGGTATTATCCTTGAAAAGGCACAAAGAAGAAGTCTTGAGGTAGACCACTGGCGATGTTGGCTCATGGGTCACTGTCAGTCAAGGACAGGATCCTCTAAGATTCTTACTCTTTTTTCTGGTGCTCAGGGCCTCATGTTACAAAATGGCTGCAGGAGCTCCAGGCATCATGTCTACAGGATACAGGAAGAAAATGGGGAGGCAAAGGCTGATGATATATTCTGACTGAATCTGACCCTTTCAATAAAGAATAAAAAAGCTTTCTGGAAGGCACTGCCCACAGGTTTTGGTTTATACTGAGTTGTCCAGGACTCTGACACATGGCTACCTCTAACCAGAAGGTGGCATAAAAGAAAGAATTGTGGAGGAGGAGGGTCAGTCTAGCCAAGACAAACAGTCTAGAAAGCAGTCCATTTGGAAAATGTCACTGAAGAAACATATTTATAAAGAAGTCATACAAGATTTATCCTGCAGTGACCAACTAAATTTAGGTGCTACAAATACACAAGAAGTTCTTGAAATTGGCATTTTGGGAAACTACAGACGGGTTATATTGCCTTCAGTACTTTCTATTGTATCATCAAAATTAATCATTTCACCAGTTCTATGGAATAAATGTAATTATTAGCCCCATTTCACAAAGAAACTGAGGTGGAGAGTGGTAAAATAACTAGTCCAAGGTTATATATAGGTAGGAGGGGCAAAGTCCTCCTTTTCCTTGACTCTGCACTTGAGCATGGGTATGTGCATTATTACTCACTGAAGCATGAAAATGTGTGCACACATACCAAGCACTGATGTCAAGAAAGCTGTGACTAAAGGGTAGAAGTTTAGCTAATGGAAGTGTTTCCAGAGCAAGTAAGCTTTGAACCAAAAATTCCAGGGCAGCTTAAAGGCTGATTCATTCATTCCCTTATTCAAGAATGAACACCTACTTGATTATCCCTGGGCTGAAGACACAGATGAGAAAGACAGGACTCCTTTTTGCACGTGGATCATTGTCCAGACATGTCAATGAACAAGTGGTCATGCAGAGGGTGATGTGCTGCAAGAGAAGGACATGCAAGGCACCCTGTGAACCCACGGAGGTTTCCTTTACCCTGTTGCTTCAGAAAATGAAGCCTGGGGCAAAGATCAAAGAGAAGCAGATTGTTTAGAATGCGCCACCCCAGGTGGTCAGGTTGAAAAAGAAAGGGGGAAGTGAGGCAAACACAAACAAAAGCAACACAGTACAATGCAATGCAGTCCTGCACTGTCCAGAGCTTCACAGTGAGGCTCAGAAAGCCATCACAAGCTGTGGTCAGCTGAATGATGGTCTTCCAGAGATGCCCACATCCTAATCCCCAGAATCTGTGAAGATGTTACCTTATGTGGCAAAAGGGATTTTTGCCTGTGATTAAGGCTTTTGCAATGGGAAGACTCGTGCCATAGATTAGCCAGGCGGGCCCAGTGGAGGCACAAGGCCTCTTATAAAAGGGAGGGAGGAGGGTCAGAGTCAGGGGAGATGTGATGACAAAAGCAAGAGTTTGGAGTGATGCAAAAAAGGGGCCATAAGCCAAGGAATGCAGATGGCTTCTAGAAGCTAGAAAAGGCAAAGAAATGGATTCTTAAGCCTCCAAAAGGAATGCAACCCTGCCAACTCATTTTATACTTCTGACTTCCATTTTATACTTTCTTGTATATTCTATACAAGAATAAACTTGTATTGCTTTAAGTCACTAAGTTTGCGGTAATTTATTATTGCCACAAGAGGAGTCTAATAGAACAGCTCTTAGCAGGCACGTTCACTGGGAATCCAACACTTCTCTGGAAGGAGGTTATAAAGGGAGCTCATGGAGAGGGGGAAGGAGCAGGAACATCTACGTCTCCAATTGCCTCCAAATGCCTCCCATTCCCCTTCCCTCAAAGGGAGCTAACTCCTCACCCTTCCAATTTTCACCCTCCAGCCCCTTGGCAGCCCCTCGGGAATCCATATCCCAGGACCCACAGTGTGCTCCTCCTGCTCATCTAGACATGGAAGAACAAGAAGTGTGGGTGAGGTGTGACCATAGGGGAGAAAACAAAGCAGAGGTAGTCAAAAAAGAATCTGAGAGGGGTCAAGGTTACATCCAACACCGAGGGCGACCACCTGCTTGGGAAGAAAATCATCCAAACACTTGCCAGCTCCTTCTACAGACCTGGTGTCATCTCCAGGGACCAATTTTCATCTTTGCATGCCTAGCATCTAATTTTCAGTTCTCTGGGTAACTGCATCCTACTGTCTTAGGAAACCACCCTACCAAACCCCATCTATGTCCTGAAATGGTCTGACTCCACTCCCTCCACCACCATTTACTTCAGAAGGAGGCATGGCCTGAACCTGGTCAGTCAGAGCCAGAATTTCCTCACCACCCAATTGGCTCAGGGATGGGCACAGCTCTAACCCTGGCCAATCAGTAGATTGCATCTCCCTGGCCACAGCAATTGGTTTAGGGTAGATCATATTACCCAGTCAGTTCATGGGTCTCAGTTCCGAAACATGTTAGAACTATTGGGAATACATCATCTCTTTTTATCCCATTAGTTCTGGGATTGAGAGCATGGGAGCCTGAAATTTTCCAGGGCCCAGGGGAAAGGGCTTTCCTGGGCATGAAGCCAGCATGAAGAAGCCATCAGTTCGCTTTCTGGATCCAGCTGTACGTGAATATGAATGAACTTTACATTTATGCGATATATTTCGTTTTTGAACTGAAGTCAGCCTGAAGGGTGTTTCCCTTTTGAAAGAACCCCAGCACTTCCTCGGGGACACATTTTCACTTGCTGCCAACAGGAAGCCCCCTTGTTGTAGAGTTAGAGGCTTCCAGAGGCAGGGGGAGTTAAGAAAGCCGGAGGCAGGTCACAGAGAGGCAATAGCCCAGAGTTTCCTAAAGATTTCATGTCCTAATGGAACACCCCAGCTGTACCATGAAACAGTGTCCACTGTGCCCAGACCCTCCCCTAAAGGTACTAAATGCCGCCCACCCATGACTTTTGACACGGTCAACTCAACAGGCATCCTTGCGAAGTCGTTCTTTCCTCAACCACACCCCATTGTACAGAGCAGGAAAGCAGCATAAAATCTATTTCCTGGGGTGTGAACAACTCAATTGCAGATTAAAGGGATGTCTGACCTGTTTGCGCTGCCCAGCCCCTGGTGTAGTGATTCTAGTGATTAGACGTGGCTGATTTCAGCCTCCGTGAAATGGAAAATTGCTGCCAATTGTGAAGGATAGATCTGGCCCAGGCTGAATCCAACCTGCACACAGTCCCAAGCATGAAAGCATCTTTCCATTCTATAGCCGGACACACACCTCTCAGGAATGAAGAAAAGGCCATTTCCAAGGCAGTAATTGCATAATATACGGAATGCAACAAAAGGGAGACCCCCGAGCTCCATTACTTTGAAGGGTCTGTCAGTGTTTTCATTACACTCCATTTTCTGCTGTGATTTATCTTCAGCTGTGAAGCGGGGCTGACAGCTGGGGCATGGCACCCACAGGCCCAGCCCAGGAGAACCATGCAGGGTTTCATTTAGTTGAAATTGTTCAGCTAGCCCCATGTTGAGGACTTGCGAACTGTGAATTAAGTCCAAGTTTGGGTCCCCTGGCATTTTGGGGGCAGTTCTTGTTCCAAGCATCCCTGGTAGCTCACTGGCAAAGTGTGCGTTTCTGACAGGCTGAACTCTCTGAGGCCAGGAACAAAAGCAGGAGAGTCATTTTTCATACCCTTCAAAGGGCTATTTTTGGGGGGCAGAAGGGAGAATCTGCAGTTGAGATCCATGAACGTAGTTTATGCTTCTTTTCGAGTTAAAAGAAAAAGTGTCATGTAAACTCAGATAATCCTTTAAAAGGTGCCTCCTGTCTTCTCTCTGTCTACATGATCCTCACATGACCCCTGTTCCCAGCCTCAGGTACAGGCTCTGGGTCCTCCTGGGGAAGGTAGAGCATGATCTTCAATGCCCTTAGACCCAACACAGCTAATCTCTGTCTTTGGGAGTAGAATCCGAGTCAAGATCTTGGCACAGAAAAGTCCTAGAAATTAAACTTAGAAGGAATCCCAAAGAACAGCTCCCAGGTTGGCTGATGTCCAGTCTGGAACCTGGTATTTAATATCTGGATTCCAGCTCAGAGACTAGGATCCAGCCCAGAACTCAGCAGTCTATCTCTGGATTAAGAATAGGCAGGAGGAAGGTAGAAGATCAGCCTGATAAGGTTCTTTCCTCAGTGTTTCTCTCCCTTGCCCTCTTGGGCACCAATAGGAGAACCTATGAGCTTTCTCCTTAGATTATCTTCTGTAAATCAGATACGTGTCCACAAGCCCTGGGAGTTCTCACATCACTCTCTTCACCTTCATCAGCATCCCCACCATCAACCTCCATCAGTGTCAATTCCACCATCATCAGTCTCATCAGTAACATTTATCAACAGCTTATCTCAAGGCAGGCCTGAACCATGTGCTTTCCAGGTGGCTGTCAGTTGATCCTCATTACAAGCTTCTTTGCAGGTGTGGTTTTCATGCCCATTGTACAGGAGAGGAGACTAAGGCTTAAAAAGACAAGCAAACATGCCCAAGTTTATCATGTTGGGGAGCCAGAACAGACTGGCCCAACACTCATGTTCCGAATCACTGTAGGATACTACCTATCAGGTATACAATATCACAGCATGGGTTCCCGTGGAAGCCAACTCAGATATAGTGTTTGTAGGTTGGCATGTCTATTAGAGGGTGCCCTTGGGATCAAAACCTGTGGAAGCATGGAAAGAAGTGGGCAGAGGGAGAAGTTGAGCTTGGAAAAAGACCCAATAACTGCCCCGGCTCACTCCACAGGGTACCCTGGAGCCAGAATGGTCTGCCTTTTCGATCATCCTGCCTTGGGCTAGAATGGCTGGGCCTTTAAATCCATCTCCCATGGCTGCTATAACAAATTATCACAAACCCAGTGACTTAAAACAACATGAATTTATTTTCGTCCAGCTCTGTAGGCCAGAAATACAAAACGGGGCTCACTGGGCTAAAACCAAGGTGTCTGCAGGGCTGCACTCCCTCGGGAGGCTCTGGGGAGATCCATCCTTTCCAGCTTCTAGAGGCTGCCTACATTTCCCTTCCTCCATCTTCAGAGCACAACACTGCAGCCTCCACTTGCATCACCACGTCTCCTTTTCTGTCTCTGCCTCTCCTGCTTCCTCCTTACAAGGACCCTTGTGGTTACCTTGGGCCCACAAAGTTAATCCATGATAATCTTCACATCTCAAAGTCCTTAACTTCATTACAACTGCAAAGAGCCTTTTGTCATATAAAGCAAGATATTCACAGGTTCTAGGGATCAGGGTGTGGCTATCTTGGGGGCACCATGGCTCAGCCTGCCACACACCCCTCTCAATCACTCTTGTCTGAGGGCCCTCCTGCTGAGGCAACCCCCGAAGAACGCTGATCACCTGAAGGCTCTTTTGACCACACAGCTGGGGCCACCAATCCTTCCCAAAGCAGGCATTGGTGAGCAACTCCATGTCCATCACACGCCCTCAGAAAGTTCAGGTTTAATCCAACCCAGACTATCCCACCATTTGCCCCAAAGACCTACATTTGCCCAGCTTTGAATCCTAGCTCTACGTGCCATCTCAGACACCATTACTGGGATCTGCTGTAAACTTCCTCTCCTGTGAATCATAATACTTTGATGTTATATTTATAACCAACTGTTTAAAGTACTTCTTGAGTGTCTGACCACAGCTTAATTGTCCATTACTGCAATAATCATCTGTCTCTTTGTATTCAGAAAGCAGCACAGTCTAGGAAATGCAAAGTCTGCTTTTGGCATTGAGCTGTTGTGTTTTGGGGGCCGTTTCTCCCCCTGCTGTAAATGTGTTACACTGAAGCATATTTCTATCCATCTGCAGCCATGCCATATTGCAGGTAACTGTGAATAAAATAAGCAATAAAACTGCAAAGGGGCTGCTGCCTTTTCATATACATCGACTCTCAGTTACCTGTGTTAATAGCCTAGGCTCTTCTTCTTAGATTCCTTCCTTGCCAAGCAGGCCCTGTGACCAGGAGACACACAAAGTCAAGAAGGGAAACAAGAAAAGGCTGAGAGATGGTGCTTCTTAAAATTAAAATCAGGCCGGGGAGAGGTAAAGTCATGAACTCAGAGCCTCTCCTCTGATCCTGCCTTCTGGATGATCCCCTTTCTAGGATGTTCACCTTGCAGAATGAACGATGAACACCACTCCACGCATTAGAGTGGATGCTGGTTATGTTTCTGCCTATCTCTCATGCCTCTCACTGGGGACGTGCTAACTGACCAGTGTATGTGATTCTAGAGGGGCTGCCAGTAGAGAGATCCCTATCTCCCACACTTGGAGGGGTATTGACTGCCAGAGACCTGGGATTCTGGAAGCTGTCATTAGAGCCACCCAAGTAATCCATCAATCTCTATTTTTCTCTCTCCCTATCTCTTTCTATTTCTTTTGTTCACTTTCTGTCTCTTTCTCTCCCCCTGCCTCTACAAGTTTCTAGGCTGCTAGGATGTAAGTTTGGGGTAACTGGTGGCCATGATATCCTGAGCAGATATCATGGCCATCAGTTGCCTCAAGCTTATATCTCCTGGAGAAAACTGGAGACCTGGAGTCTTCGTTGAACCCCTAGATCCACAAATGGCTAAAGGCAGCACTACATCTTTCTCAGTTATACAATCCAACATATGCTCCTTTAAGCATGAGTTATTTTTAACGGGTTCTACCGTATGATAGCAAAAGTATCCTATTACCTTCGTTGTGTCTCCCTCTAGTAGATGTTTCACGAGCCTCAAGCTCAACATACTCCAAAATCAACTCAGCATCTTGCTGTCCCTATGCCCATGTCTCCTAACTTTGCTCTCTTTTCCCAGGATAGCTTTATTTTCCACATTCCAAGCCCCCAGGCCCTGCACATTCTGCAAATCTTTCTTTCTTTCAAGTCGCCCACCCATCTCGTTGCCTTCCCCTTGCTCCTGTCTGGATAACTCTGCCCAGGGTAAGACAGCAGTTTCCTGCATCCACCCTTGCTCCCCAATACTCCTTCCCAAATGCTGGTTTCACCAGGCCTGTCTCTGTGCAAAGATCCCAATGGTCCCACGGAGTACAAGATGGGCCCCAAATGTCCTTGCTTGAACTCCAAAGTCGGGGAGTAGCACACACAAGCTTGGATTTTACTGCCAGAGCAAGACTCAAATCTTAGCTCTGTTGCTCCTTGGCACTGTGATTTGAACAAGTTACTAAACCTCTCTGAGCACAGTGTCTTCACTTTTAGAATGGAGAGACTAGTACCCACCTTGTAAGGTTAGGGTGACAATGAAATGAGTTACATATGTCAAATGCTCAGCACAGAGATGGAAGCAGCCGCAGCAACCAACAATTAGTTTAACAAGTATTTATGGAAACCCTACTAAATATCTATTTAGGTACTATTCTTATGTCTGAACACACACACAGATACACAGACACACACACACACACACACACACATACGCAAGTAGAGTTTTAGTTCCAGCTCCCACTTAATCAGTGCCTTCATTCATTAATTCAGCAAACTTGTATATGTGCGTCCTGCATGCCAGTGCACTGCTGGACATTGACTATACTTTAGTGAAAAAGACGTGGCCCGTGACTTTCAGGAACTCACATCCAGTAGTGGAGACAGACAACAGACAACAGACGTGTAAATGAACCATGTCAGATACCATCAACCTTCGGATTTGTCACAGCCCCTAACAGGAGCTTCTAAAAACCTTTGTTTCTAAAATTCTGTGATTCTCTAAAAAGTAATTTTTCCTTTCCAGAAATAGAGACAAGAAGCTCTGTGGAATAAGCCAAGATGGCTAACCAAAGCCTCCCTCCATTACCCAAGTCCCAAATTAGACAATCTCCTCCGGTGGGGGAGATTCTTAAACCAATATCCAGGGGTTGATAGACGGCAGTGACGCCCCACTGGGAGAGAACTGGAGTCTGTAGGATGACTTTCAGGAGAACAGCTTGTCCTTACAGTCCTTGTGATGCCCCTTCATCAGAATATGTTCCTTCAAGGGACCCAGGCTTTAGTGGTTCTCCTCAGAGAGGTGTGGTCAAAACACTGGCAAGACACACCCTTCTCAGGCATCTCCAGAATGGCCCCCTGCTCCTGCCCAGTGTGCGCTGGCGAGTTTATGGGAAGGTGCCTGGAGAGGACACTCTGGGAACTGGGGCTCTGGGAAAGAGAAAGTGGAAAAATAAGGCAACTTCTGGAAGCATGGGCAGCAGGGAGGCTAACGATAGAGCAGGGCTTCTCAACTTCGGCTCTGCTGATATTCAGGGCAGGGCCACTCCTTGCTGGGGGGACTGCAGCTGTCGAGCAGCATCCCTAATCTCCATTCAGGAGGTGCCAGTAGCACTTCTCCCAAGTTGCACCAGCCAAACGTGTGTCCAATTATTGCCCCTGGTTGACAAAATCATCCCCAGTTGAAAATCATTGTTCTAGTGCCAATGCTTCCCGGAGGGGAAGGAGTACCCTCAAGTACAGAAAAAGCCCAATACAGAAATTTGAGAGAGAGAAAAATAAAGGAAATTCTGACAGTACAACCAGCAATATGAGAAGAATAAAAGCAGGTGCACACCTTGGCCCTAGAGTCAAACGACTGTGGAAAGCTGGGCTCCACTGAATGAATGACCAGGCCTTTGTCAGTGACTCAGTGTGGATCTATAGACAGAGGAATAAATCTCACACACATCTGGTCTTGAAACACCACCCAGTACATCTGATTCCAAAAGAGCCATGTAGCTTTAAGTCAGTCACTTGACCTTTCTGCCACATGAGTGCACTGGTCCAGGAATGGAAAATAGTTAGTTTGTTCCATGATTATTCCCCTCACAATTCCCATGCCTGTGGCAGACATCACTAATAAGTCACTGCACACTTTACTCTTGAGCCTGAGTGAAGCCTCCAAATCCTCCTTCACACAGTGCTTCCAGGAGCTGCTGCAGCCCTACTAGTTGGCTGTTGCTGTCAAATTATGTCAGCGTTGTTTACTATCCTTAGAGCAGTCAGCAATTTTCAAACTGTAGTCTCAGGGCTCCTCAGGAGCCTCCCCAGAACCACTTTAGGGAGACGGGAACAGGGGAGGAAAGTCTCTATGTTCTCAAAGTCCACTTCACCCAGAGATTTTATCTGCTTTCCATGATGGACTTATCAAATTTCATATGAACAAAGTAATCCCTCAGCTAACATACCAAAATATATATTTGTTTGCTAAGGCTGCCATAAAAGTACCACAAAATGAGTGGCTTAAACAACGCAGATGTACTGTCTCATAGCTCTGGAGTTTTGTTGATCTGAGATCACAATATTAGCAGTGTTGATTCCTTCTGAGAGCTGCCGGGATGAATTGGTTCCATGCCCCTCTCCCAACATCTGGTGGCTTGTTGTTCAGAGGTTGGGAGAGAAGGTTGGGAGTTTCTTTGATTTGAAGAAACATCACCCTGATCTCTTATTTCATCTTCATTTGATGTTTCCCCATGTTCATGTCTCTATCCAAATTTCCTCTTGTTATAAGAACGCCAGTCATTTGGATTAGGGTCCACTAATGACCTCGCTTTAACTTGATTCACTCTGTAAAGACCTTATGTCTAAATCAGGTCATACTCTGAGGAACTGGAGTTTGGGATTTCAACACATAAATTTGGTTGTAGGGGACACAATCTAATTCATAACATGCTGCCCTTTTACTCTCCAAAACTCATGTCCTTCTCATGTGTAAAATATATTCACCTCATCCCTGCATCCCTAAATTTCCTAACCCATTTCAGCTTCAACTCTAAATCCAAAATTGCATCTAAAATCGTCTAAACCATGTATGAGTGATACTTGGGCTATGAATCATCCTGGAGCAAAATTCCTCTCCATCTGTGAACCTGTGAAATCAGACAAAAAGTTATCTGCTTTCAAAGTGCACTGGTGGGACAGGCAGAGGACATACATAGTGTCCAAGGCAAAGGTCAAGTTTTTACCCTGGAGTCTGGCTATCCCAGAATCTGCCTTTCTCAGGGCCTTCCTGTGAGTGGTTTTCTAATGGGAAACCACACCCCTATTTGGTGCACCATGAAACAAGACTCTCCCAGGAATCACCAGTTTATGGGTCTGTTTCTCCCGAGCCAGATCAGAGGTCAAAGCTTCCCTGATGGCAGTAGAAATCTTGAGAATCAAGCACGTGGCATATGATGAGGCATGGAACGTGCTCCTCAAAACCCTAGTAACTGGCTTCTCACACTTTCCTTTCTTTTATTTTGTGTCTATGAAAAGGTAGCAAAAGAGATAAACTCCTGGCATTTTTTTATTTCTGGCTATATGAGGATCAAATATATGATGCAATATTCCCATTGTATATGAATTCACTTGGAGATGTCCCTATGCGTTATACCTTAGTGCTGGACTCGCCATGGATTTGATGTCCCTGGTATTCATTGTCTCACAGTGCTGTAAGGACAAAAGTCCTTGAAGATCAATGAATTTCAGCCATCAGAGATCTCAAGAGCTTTATTGCTCCAGTTGGATAATGCACTTAGGATTTTAATCAACCTTAACGTGTGGATTTTATACATTATTCAAGACCTCCTCGAGCCCCACATAGATCCTTTTGTTGACAAACACCCTGTTAGAAGCGTGGGTTGTCTCAGCACAGCGCCGGGACCCTGTTGGTATGCATGGCAGCAGCTCCCAGAAGGGCTGAAGTCAACACTTATCTGTGCTGGAACCTGATCTTTAGAAATTGGACATTTTCTGTTTTAGAGAAAACTCCCCGTGCTTTGGCATTAATACCAGCTTCAATGTAAATGTTGACTTTTATGGTGATCTAGAAGGACATATATGAGGAAGGAGCTCTGGGCAGGTTAAGGAAACGCCCCAAAGAGCCCACTGCTCCCATCATTCTGTGGGACAGGAGCCCAGTGAAATGGGGACTGAATCAGAAGTACCGATTTCTGCCTGAGACAATGGTATCCTAATGAGCTTTAATTGGCACCTGGTTCTCAGGCCTCAGGGTGCATTTAGCATCAGAGGTGGGCAGGAAAACACAGGCTATGCTGTCTATCTATCAGGACCTACTCCATAAAGCAGAGTGTGTAGGATTAGGATCCCAAGCTCTGACAGACCCCAGGAGGTTCAAATTTCACCCATTAATATTAGTATTGTCATTGGAAAATCACTTAACTTCCCTCATTTCCTTCATATACAACATGAGAAAAGTAGCTGCACCTACATCCTAACTTGGCTTAGGAACCAAGTGTGACTGTACACAAGGCAGTTTTCACTGTGCATGTTGTATGGGCCATGTTCAACCAAAACAGGTATTCCAGGGTCCACAAATCTCAGGGAATCACCTTTGTTCATGTCTCCAGTTGGGAGCAATAATAACAGAATTTTCAATGGTTATTATTGTAACAACTTCTAGCAGGAGCAAAAACAATGCATTTCTTAAAAATAATGCCAATCTTTTTAAATTTTTTTTTAAATGGAGTCTTGATCTGTCACCCAGGTCGGAGTGCAATGGCATGATCTCGGGTCACTGCAACCTCCACCTCCTAGGTTCAAGGGATTCTCCTGCCTCAGCCTCCCAAGTAGCTAGGACTACAGGCACGCACCACCACACCTGGCTAATTTTTGTATTTTTAGTAGAGACGGGGTTTCACCATGTTGGCCAGGCTGGTCTTGAACTCCTGACCTCAAGTAATCCACCTGCCTCGGGCTCCCAAAGTAGTACTGGGATTACAGGTGTGACCCACCATGCCTGGCCAAAATAATGCTATTTTTTTTTTTTTTTTTTTTGAGATGGAGTCTTGCTCTGTCACCCAGGCTAGAGTGCAGTGGTGTGATCTTGGCTTACTGCAAGCTCTGCCTCTCTGGTTCACGCCATTCTTCTGCCTCAGCCTCCCGAGTAGCTGGGACTACAGGCACCCACCACCACACCCGGCTAATTTTTTGTATTTTTAGTATAGATGGGGTTTCACTGTGTTAGCCTGGATGGTCTTGATCTCCTGACCTAGAGATCTGCCTGCCTTGGTCTCCCAAAGTGCTGGGATTACAGGCTTGAGCTACCACGCCTGGCAAATAATGCTAACCTTAATGGTAACAATAATTATGATGAAACAGCCAACATGTATTGATCCAGACCCTATAGTAAGCACTTTACAAGCCTTCCCTCATTTAATGCTCACAACAACTGTGACATGGGTACTGTATTTTCATCTTACAGATGGGGAAATGGAGGCCCAGAGGGGTGGAATAACATGCACAAAGTCACAACGCATCAGATCTGGATTTGAATCCAGGCCTGTCTGGCACCAGAGTTCATGAATCATATTATACAGGAGACACGTAGCGCATTATTTAACATCTCTGCATCTCAGCTTTAACTGAACATGATATTTCCTGATTCAGAGGGACTTGAAAGAATTGAACTGGGTGTGTCACATTTAAGGAAGATGCTTTGGGCGCACAGAGCTCTGGCTAGGAAGTTGGGTATCTGTTGCTGAATGCACCACAACCTGCCCTCCATGGGCCCACTGAGGATACTGTTACCCTGCAGCTGAGAAACTCACAGTATCTATTACAAGTCCACTGTGCAGAGAGGAAGAAGCAATGCCAGGAAAGCCACATCCTAGACACACAGGTAGGCCTCGGGCCAGAGAAAGCAGTTTTCTTACTAACCCAGTACAGTGTGGTCAGTAGAATGGGTCCCCAAAGATATCCATGTGATGTCCCTGTGATGACATATTACATGGCAAAGGGGACTTTGCAGATGTGATTCATTTAAGGACCTTGAGTTGGGGAGTGTATTAGTCAGGGTTCTCTAGGGGGACAGAACTAATAGGATAGATACATATATAAATGGGAGTTTCTTTTTTTTTTCTTTTATTATTATACTTTAAGTTTTAGGGTATAAGTGCACATTGTGCAGGTTAGTTACATATGTATACATGTGGCACGCTGGTGCGCTGCACCCACTAACTCATCATCTAGCATTAGGTATATCTCCCAATGCTATCCCTCCCTCCTCCCCCCACCCCACAGCAGTCCCCAGAGTGTGATGTTCCCCTTCCTGTGTCCATGTGATCTCATTGTTCAATTCCCACCTATGAGTGAGAATATGCGGTGTTTGGTTTTTTGTTCTTGCGATAGTTTACTGAGAATGATGATTTCCAACTTCATCCATGTCTTAAGGAGTATTAACTCACGTGATCACAAAGTCCCACAATAGGCTGTCTTCAAGCTGAGGAGCAAGGAAGCCAGTATGAGTTCCAAAGCTGAAGAACGTGGAGTCCAATGTCCGAGGGCAGGAAGCATCCAGCACAAGAGGAAGATGTAGGCTGGGAGGCTAAGCCAGTCTAGTCTTTTCACATTTTTCTGCCTGCTTTTTATCCTGGCTGTGCTGGCAGCTGATTAGATTGGGCCCACCCAGATTAAGAGTGGCTCTGCCTTTCCCAGCTCTCTGACTCAAATGTTAATCTCCTTTGGCAACATGCTCACAGACACACCCAGGATCAATACGTTGCATCCTTCCACCCAATCAAGCTGACAGTCAGTATTAACCATCACAGGGAGATTTTCCTGGATTATCTGGGTGAACCCAATGTAAGCACAGGGTGCTTGTAAGGGGCAGGAAGATTAGAGAGGAAAGGAGATGTGATGGCAGAAGCAGAAGTCAGAGAGAAAGAGATTTCAAGATGCTTCATGGTCAGCTTTGAAGATAGAGAAAGGGGCTGTGATAGTTAACAATGAGTGTCAACTTGATTGGATTGAAGGATGCAAAGTATTGTTCCTGGGCATGTCTGTGACAGTGTTGCCAAAGGAGATTAACATTTGAGTCAGTGGACTGGGACAGACAGACCCGCCCTCAATCTGGGTGGATACCATCTAATTAGCTGCCAGCACAGCTAGAATAAAGCAGGCAGAAGAAAGTGGAAAGAGAAGGCTTGCTGAGTCTTCTGGTCTTCATCTTTTTCCTGTGCTGGATGCTTCATGCCCTCAAACATCAGACTCAAAGTTCTTCAGTTTTTGGACTCTTGGACTTACACCAGTGGTTTGCCAGGGGCTCTCGGGCCTTTGGCCAGAGACCGAAGGCTGCACTGTGAGTTTCTCTCCTTTTGAGGTTTGGGGACTCAAATGGATCCACCACTGGCTTCCCTGCTCCTCGACCTGCAGACGGCCTATCATGGGACTTTACCTTGTGATCGTGTGAGTCAACTCCCCTTAATCAACTCCTTTCATATATACATATATCCTATTTGTTCTGTCCCTCTAGAGAACCCTAACATATGAGTCATGAACCAAAAGATGCAAGTGGCTTTTAGAAGCTGGAAAGGACAAGAAAATGGATTTTCCCCTGGATCTTCCAGAAGGAACATAGCCCAGCAACCCATTTCTTACTTCTGACTGCCAGAACTGTAAAAGAATCAAGGTATGTTATTCTAAGCCACTAGATTTGTGGTAATTTCTTACAGCAGTCATAGAAAACTAATTCATACTGTGTTCCCCACAGAGCTAAATGGACTTCAAAGCAACCTCCAACCTTTCTCCCAATAGGGAGAGAGAAAGACAAATTCCCTTCTACTTTGTGCCATTGTGAGACATCATGGTACAGCTGGGCTTTAAAACAGATTCTGTTTTGTTCAAAGCTTGTTGTTAAATATTCAGAAGGAAAAGAGACATGGCCTCATTCAGAAAAGAATGTCAGCATTTTGCATTTTCAGAAAGCCAGACTGTAAAACAGGATGATATGAAATATCTTTGTAAAATTTGAAGTGAGAGACACATGTAGTGGATTATTATTATCAATATGAATTTTAAAATCCCAGAAATGAGTTTCCAAAGTAGCACTCTGCAGGCTGTTCCACCACCCACCCATCTTTGGGAGCAGAAAGAGCAAGGAGAAGCTGGCAGCCGGGGCACGGTGAGGACCCAGCCTTGCCCGGGACTGGGAATAGCCAGAATTGTCTCGAAACTGGTCACATTGGATGATGAAGCGTGAATCACTGAACAAATGTGCAACAGAAAAAAACACAAAATAAGCCTAGAGACAGAATGCTAATAGTCAGGCAAATAAGGGGAGGCAGGTATTTGAATATTCATGAGCCTCTAATCAGAAGCTTTGGATGAATACAGAAATAGTCCCATTGGTGATAACATGCTCCATGGGAAGGAGAATCCTGCCTGAGAAAGGGCAAAGAAATGTAAACCCGGCCTGCCCCACAGCCGAGGACTTCTTGGGACCCCAACCTGGGACTTCATAGGCTGGACCCACGATCTGATTTCTCTCTCCATCTATCGCTCACACTACACTGTGTTTGGGCTTTTCTTGCCATAGAAAGTTTCTAAATTCAGAGCTAGAAAGGGGTAGATGGGGAGAATACGCACACGCCCAGAACATCTTCATGTACCAGACCTGAGCCACATTCTCTCATCTCACCCTCACAGCTACCCTTTCATAGGGATGTAACAATCCCAATTTACGGGAGAGGAGGAAACTGGGGCTTAGAGAAACTACTGCCTGCCAATTTCAGAAAACTAGCAATTAGCAGAGCTTAGATTTGAATAGCTTCTCTGTATAACACCAAAGCCTATGTTCTTTCCTCTCCATCATACCAGGTCACCAGGATTCCCTCTAGACCAGTGTCCTCATGAAATGTACATAAGCATTTGACTCTGTTCAGGCTAAAACACGGGATTTGGGGAGAGGAGTGGTGGAAGTCTGGGTGCAGTGTCTGCAGCCACAGAGGTAAGGAAGTGACTCAGAGATGAACTAGGATGAAGAATCCCCTCTGTAGTGGGGCTGAGAAATACCCAGCTGCCTGGGTACTGGGCAATCCCATGAGAAGATTCCTCAGAATCCACTGATGTGCTCAGAGTAGTGAGGACAGGGACCTCAGGCAATGCAAGAAGGGCCAGGAGTCAGTCTCCCCTGCCCCATCTCTTCCCCTTCTCCATAACTCCTTGGATAAATGGTGTAGGCCATAGAGACCACCTTCAGGAGGGTGAGATACCCAGGGAAAGCCCTTCTAGGCTTGCCTGAGCACACGAGCAGATTCCGAGGAATCTTCTCATGGGATTGCCTCATACCCGGGCAGCTGGGTACTTCTCATCTCCACTGCAGAGGGGAGTCTTCTCTCTTGTTCCTCTCTAAGCCACTTCCCTGCCTCTGTCTTGCCATGGCTGAATCCTGATGCCCACAGCTGAGCCATGTGCCCCGCTGAGAAGAGGATAAGCAGGAGGAATCCAGCAGGGTTCCAGGTAATAGGCTGGGGTTTCGAGGTAGGAGTCTGTTCCTGGTGGGGAAGAACTAGGCTACTTAGCTGGGAACATGATCTGTAACTAGGAGGGAGACTGAAACAGATGCTGAAACCCAGGGCTACTATGACCCCGTACTTACTATGCAACTGTCTGGCATGCTCTGCACAGATTATCACATTTATTTCTCATTACCTGTCTCTGAAGTGGATGATATTTTCTCTGCATTCATTTTCTAATGTGATCGCAATTACTACAAACTTAGTGGCTTAAAACAACATAAATGTATTATCTCACAGTTTCCATGGGTCAAGACTGGGGTGCACTTTAGCTGGGTTTTCTGTTCAGGGTTTCACAAAGCTAAAAGCAAGATGTGAGCTGGGCTGTGTTCTCATCTGGAGGCTTGACTGGGGCAGACTGCTTCCAAGCTACCCAAGTTATATGCTGAATTCACTTCTTTGTGGCCGTAATACTGGGGTCCCTGTGGTCTTGATGGCTGTTGGCTGTGGACCACTCTTGGCAAGCAGATGTCACTCTCAGGTCCTTGCCATGTGGTTCCTCCCATCAGCCCTCTCATAGTTCCAGGCTCTCCAGTTTCAGGAAGGGGCCAGTCCCATTTAAGGCCTCTCTTGATTAAGTCAGGACCACCCAGTTAATCTCCTTGGTTAATTCAAAGTCCTATGCTATCACATTCATTGGTTCTGCCCTTACTCAAGGGCAGGGGATTATACAAGGTGTGCACACCAGGGGGTGGTCATCTTGGGTCCATCTTTGAGTTATGCCTGCCAGAATTCTAAGAACAGTAACTGATAATATTAACAGCCGCATCTTCTATGTGCCAGGCATTATTCAAGTGACTTAATATGCAACTGGCAAATTGTCACATTTTACTGTAAAAAGTACTCCTTCTTAAAATGATGATACAGAGGTCAAGGAGCTAATAGCTTGGCAAAGGACACACGGACCCGGCAAGGAGAAGTTAGATTTGAACCCAAGTCTGTGCCATGCAAAGCCCACCCTGCCCTTTATTTCTGCTGTAGTAAAGCTTATTATCTATGTACCTGCCAGAAGGTCTTCCTCTCTCCGAACAGCTGGGTCCCAGAGGCCCCTAGAGGGAGCCCCTCTGACTTCCTGTAAGCCTTGGATGGATATCCCAGGATTGAGAAAGAAGGGCCATTTGAAGGGACTGGGAAGTGTCCACCGTGTAGGGCCACACAGATATCACAGGGATCCTGGAAACAGCATCACAGCCACAGCAGCCCATCTACCAGATCCCAGTGAGGGAGAACAAGGCAACTGGGGCCCCAAGCCGTTTCCACTGGGAACAGAGTGCTCCTGTAGGTCTGAGGAGCCTCAGAAACGTCCAGGGTGTGCAGACTTGCATTGGGAAGCATCTCTCAGACCGACAGGGGCACAGCTGACATGGACACCTACCCACAGCTCCATGGAGCCCACACTGCACTTCCCGGGCCTCCAGACCTCCCCCATGACAGAGTCGGAAGCAGATGGTCCGGAGTCACTCCAGTGGAAATTAATGGAGTCAGACTATCCACACTCTTTTCAACCATAGAGAAATATTTTCCATGAGTCAAACACCAGATGTGTTTTGTTTATGGGGCAATTTAGCACTTGCGAGGGTAAGACACTGAAATTGGAGAAGAGTCGAGCTTGCGTTCCAGGCAGAGCCCAAGCACACTCCAGCCGCCTGCGGTAAAACTATGGAGTATCATTTCTGAAAAGGAGCCCGGCCCTTGAATTCAACGCTTCAATACCTCCCAGAGAGAAAACACACTGCTTCTGCAAGCGACTCGATGTCTTTTCCTAGGGGTTCAGTTTGTGACTGTGCTGGTTGAATTGGCAGGGGCCCTGGAGATGGGGAGGGGCGAAGGAGGAGGGACGGTAACACTAAAACAATGGAAAGGTTCTTTGGGTTCAAGAACAGCCAGAAATGAACTAAACTGGCCTGCACAAAATTCTCTAAACCAGTGGTTCTCGACGTGTGGCTCCCAGGCCATCAGAACCCAAACAGAATTTGTAAGAAATGCAGATTCTCAGGCACTGCGCCAGACCCACTGAATCCAAATCTCCAGGGGTGGGACCCAGTGGTCTGGGTTTAACACATCTCCAGGGGAGTCTGATGTTCCGTGGAATTTCGGAGCCACCTCTCCAAACAAACCCCAGAGGTATACTTTACACATAGCTCTTGCATAGCTTTACGCAAGTTAGTTAACCGCCCCATGACTTGGTGTCCTCATCTATAAAATGGATTAATGGTAAGACTCACCCTCTTCTTAATTTATTGTGAGGATAAAATGAGGGAATTCAGCTAAAATGTTTAGAACTGCAACTTGCATGTATACAGCATCAATAAACTTTTGTTGCCATCACCTTTATTATCTGCCTTTATACTTCCCATCAGCTGTGACACTAGCTGGTAACACTACTATGCACTGCACTCTGTACACTTGTTATGTGCCAGGCACTGTTCATGTGACTTCATAGGGTAAATGGATAATGTTGTGATTGTAAAAAGTCCATATTTTTAGTACTCATTACCTCCATTCATTCACTTACCCATTCATTCCTCACTGTTCGAGACATGGATAACAAAGCAGACATATCAGAGCCTTCATTCAAATCCCCACTGTGATGTTTATAACCCAAATCCACCAAAGTCCCATCACCTCTGGTTTCTCCTGTGCACCCTCAGGACCCCACCCAGCTCCTGTACCTGCCAGGGCCCCACCCAGCTCTGCATACCAGCTGCCACTCTCCGCTCAGAGCCTGCCTTTGCCTCCTGCCTCTTCTGAGTCCCTCCTTCACCCCCGACCCTTCCACAATGCTCACCCTCATGGGAACACGGGTACTCGTTTCCTGGCCAGCAAGGCCCACTCCCTTCTGGAGCTAAGAGCTGCTTCCCTTGGCCCCGAGTTTCTTCTTGACAGGGGTCTCAAAGCAGTGCTGCTTGACCTTGGGGAGTGGCAGGATGGCTCTTTTCATTCTCTAAACAATAGTTTTAGGCATCTCCATGCCACTACGGTGTGCAGCAGGGTAGATTCAATATGTTAGTAGGTAGTCGGGGTATAAAGACATTATATTAACAATTCAAAGGGCAAGCTATGCATGCAAGTGGGAAAATTTTAGACCTTCCAGCCTCTCATTCACTCTCAGGGGTGACATGATTCTAAGGCCTAACATCCTAAATGTCCAAACACCTACACAGACTCTTATTTACACAGACTCTTATTTATCCATTTGATCAGCTAGTTTGCATATCTTTCTGCCTGTAACCGGAGAGTCACAGGTATGTAAGACAGGCCATTTGGAATCTGCGAAATGAAGTGTCAGTGTTGTCTCCAGACACCCACTAATGCAGATAGTGTAGAACAGGGGTTTGAGAACCGAGCCCAGGGGCCAAATGCAGCCTAGCGCCTGTCTGTAGAGAGTTTTACTGGAACACAGCCATGACCATTTATTTATTGATTGTCTCTGGCTACTTTTGCACTACAGGGGCAGAGTTGCGTCATTTTGAGAGAGACCATCTGGCCCACAAAGCCCAGAATATTTACTATCTGGCCCTTTAAGAAATAAGTTTGCAAAGTCCTGGTCCAAAAAACAGACATTATTCAGCCTGGCTTAGATGAAATCCAGCTGGGCGTTGTGGCTTATGCCTCTAATCCCAGCACTTTGCGAGGCCGAGGTGGGCGGATCACCTGAGGTCAAGAGTTCAAGACCAGCCTGGCCAACATGGTGAATCCCTGTCTTTACTAAAAATACAAAAATTAGCCAGGTGTGATGGCACGTGCCTGTAATATCAGCTACTTGGGAGGGTGAGGCAGGAGAATCGCTTGAACCCAGGAGGCAGAGGTTGCAGTGAGCTGAGATCACACCATTGCACCCCAGCCTGGGCAACAGGAGTGAAACTCTGTCTCAAAAACAAAAAGAAATCCAGCTTAGCCTTTTCACCGGTCTGGTCGATTAGTTAAGTTACGGAACAAAAATACCCTCTTTAGTCTATCTGGGCTGAGACTCAGCACAGGCGTTTAACTAATTGTATATACATAATTGTACCAATAACAAAACAATTTAAAAATTAGCTAATGAGTATGCTGCTTACTGAAAGCCCAACACAGCCTCATTCAATGTCAAAGAAATGCAAATTAAAATTAAAATGAGATTCTATTTTTCACTTGTTTGGTTGACAGACAGCAACAAGTTTGTTAATGTATAGGAGGTGAATGCCAAGAAGTAGAGATGAAGAATTCACACTTAGCAATGGGAGTAAAATTGGTGCAGCCTCTGTGGCAAATAATTTGCTAATATCTTCCAGAGCTGTGAATGCACCTACTTTCTGACATTGGGATCCACTTCTAGGAATTTATCCTATAGACATGTTTTCAAATGTGTTCAATGTCATCTAAATATATTCATTGTGGAATTGTTTACAGTAGCAAAGACTTGGGTGAGGGGGGAAGTTATCCAACAATAAAGAAGATATAAATAATTTCTGCTGTGTTCATATGATGAAATACTATACCACCATAAAAAAGAATAAACTAGACCTAATCCATCTCCTGAGGTGAATAAAAAATGCACTAGCTCGAATGGAGGCTGTATAGAATATTCTCTAAGATAAGTCATTAAGCAGAACAGAAAGGCATGATGTACGTGTGTGTGTGTACATAGTCAGTGCCCATTGGTATAAATGACGGACACACACACACACATGCAAATACTTGAAAAATGGGTAGAAAATCTGGATATTCTACAAACAGGAAACTCACAACTATGGTTGTCCCTGGAACAGGTACCTGACGGTCTGAACTAGACAGGACACTACTTTTTGACTTTATACTCTCTTGTTCTGCTTGATTTTTTTAACAATGTGCAGATTTTGTCAGTTTAATTAATTAAAAAATAAGAAATTAAAAATTTCTTAATTTTAAAGGAGAACCTGTGGCTCTAGGTCTAACAACAGTACACCCCAAAACCGGAGTCCTTGTGTGTGGGTGGGTGGGGAGGTATAATGCCATTGCTGTTAGCCTGAATCACCTTTCCCAAGACCCCAAGAAAACAGCAACTCTAGCCAGGAGCAGGCCAGCAGGCTGCAGACTCTCTGGCCACTCCCTAACTTACAAACTCTCAAGCCACTGTTTACGAGAAGCCAGTGTTATTAAAAGAAAAGAAAAATCAATTAACCATCATGGTGAGGGCTTTGGAGTCAGCCTAGGAAGCTCTGGATTCTGGTGATGCCTCCAGCAGCTGTGAGATCGCCAGAAGAGTCATATCAAAGCCCCCACATCTTGTTTCCTCACTAGTGAAAGCAGGGATCACACTGCCCCCACTCACAATGGGCTGGGGATGGGCTCACATTTATCCAGCACGGATCCTGTGCAGACTCTGTGCCAAGCACATCACAGGTCACAGGCTCTACCGCATTTAGTCCGTAAGGCAGCTGAACTGTTATTGTCATCTTTCCGATGGAGAAATTGAAGCTTAGGGAGCCATAAATCAATCATCCAAGGTCACAGGGTTACTAAGTAGCCGTCAGTGCACAAATCCAGGTCTGTCTGTTTCAGCCTGCAACAACTATTATATTCTGCCTTTAAATTAAATGAGATAGAATGAGTTCATCCACCTAAAATGCCCTCTTAGATAGTGGTTACTCAACACATGCCATTCATTTCAATGTGACACAGACTCCCGGGGTGCCAGGGTAAAGGTGGCCAATGGTCAGGACCCACCGGGCCCAGCTTCCACGTAGCCCCGTGCACTTCCCCCACTGGTATGGCTGGCTACAGTAGCCTAAGTTGCCTGCTCTTGGCCCACCAGGCCCTTCTCAGACAAGTAGAGCATGCCCAGCTGAGGACCCTGGGCACTGCAGCAGCGCCCTTGTGCCCCTTCTTGGCCTGACCATTAATTATTCTAGCTCTTCTACCAGCAAGCAGAGGCCTCAGCTTTAACACCCACGCCAATTGTTCCTCCATCCTTTCTGTATACAGATCTGCAGTCCCTCTCCGTCTATATCTATCTCTGTGTGTGGGCGTCTCTTTCTCTGTCTCTCGGTCTCTCTCTTTCTACCTTCTCGTGCTGTTTGTCTGTGCTATCTCTATCTCCCTGTGCCTCTGTCTCCAATTCTGTCCCTCTTTCTTATTCTCACACGTGCACACCTGTGTGTGCATATGCGCACGCACACGTGCACACACACACACACACACCAGAATCAGAAGAGAGATTTCAGTCACCTTGCTGAACCATATCTGGCTTCCCTCCCTCCAATCTGGGAGCTCAGGCCTGCTCTGGCCAACAAGAAAGAACTCAGCCCAGGATCCATTCAGAAAGAACCAGATCAAAGTTAAGGATTAGACAGGGGGTGAATGTGCAGAACTAAGAGATCACATTTCCTCAGAGAGAAAGAGAAGGAAGGAGAGAGGAGACAGACAGGGAGGAAAAGGGCTTACAGCTCAACTTCTCCTTTTAGTCTCATGTGATTCTCCCAATATGTTTTGCCACAAATCCCCTTTACTCAAGTTAGGTCAAAGGGTCTTTTTTTTTTGTCTTGAACTAAACCACCCTTGACTATGGAACGAATTAAAAAAAATTAAAGACTCTCAGCCTTATTAGTTGTTCGCAAGACAGTTTTGTGGAATGACTGGGATACCCACAATGTTACTGGGTTATTGCTAAAAAGCAATTGCGCTTAAAAACATAGCTTCTAGTATTCTAAAATATAGAATAAAATGTATGCACAGTTTATTTTTTAAACACAGCCATGTGTATATGTGTGTATATATATATACACACACACATATATATATATAGTATTTAGTGTACCTGAGGATACATAGGAACTAAGGCAGTCATTTCAGTTTCTCAGTTTAAAACCAATGCACCAGGTCCTCTCTTGAGCTCTTCTCAGTGGGTGCAGCTCTGTAAGGGCACACAGAATGGCTCACTGCTGGTCCTAGAAGGAGCCTCACACACTCACAAAGTACACATATACAAAGCACACAGACACACAAATTATACCCAAGCACACACACAGTTCCACAGAGAAAGTACATACATACACACACAGAGTACACACAAAGTAAACATACACGAAGTATGTATGGTCATTCCTCAATATCCGGGTGGGATTGGTTCTGGGACCTCCTGCAGATACCAAAATTCACAGATGCTCAAGTCCCTGATATGAAATGACGTAGGATTTGCATATCACCTATGCACATCTACCCATAAACTTTAAATCACCTCCAGATTACTTGTAATGCCTAATACAATGTAAATGCTGTGGAAATAGTTGTTACACTGTATTATTTAGGGAATAATGACAAGAATAAAGGTCTGTACACATTCAGAACAGGTGTAATTTTTTTTCTGTATATTTTCAATCTGCAGTTGGTTGAATCCACGAATGCAGAACCCACAGATGCCAAGGGCCAACTATATGTGTGGACAAATTACACACATGCACATAAACACACACAAAGTACCCACATACCACATACATGCACACATATGCAGAGAGATTATTAAAAAGTCCCCAGGTACCATTCAAGGTGTGTTCACACCTGCCATAGTAGCAACAATTTAATGAGTGCTTATCAATTTTCCTAGCACCCCTAGGAGGCATGGTCTCACCAACATTCCCTTTTTTTTGAGATGGAGTCTTGCTCTGTCGCCCAGGTTGGAGTGCAGTAGCGTGCTCTCAGCTCATGCAACCTCTGCCTCCCAGGTTCCAGCAATTCTCTGCCTCAGCCTCCTGAGTAGCTGGGATTACAGGCACCCACCACCACACCCGGCTAATTTTTTTGTATTTTTAATAGAGACGGGGTTTCACCATCTTGGCCAGGCTGGTCCTGAACTCCTGACCTCGTGATCCACTGGCCTCAGCCTTCCAAAGTGCTGGGATTATAGGCATAAGCCACCACACCCATCCAACATTCACTTTTTTTTTTGTCTTATTTTTACTACTTTTTTTTTTTTCATTATACTTTAAGTTTTAGGGTACATGTGCACATTGTGCAGGTTAGTTACATATGTATACATGTGCCATGCTGGTGCGCTGCACCCACTAAGTCGTCATCTAGCATTAGATATATCTCTCGATGCTATCTCTCCCCCCTCCCCGCACCCCACAACAGTCCCCAGAGTGTGATGTTCCCCTTCCTGTGTCCATGTGATCTCACTGTTCAATTCCCACCTATGAGTGAGAAGATGCGGTGTTTGGTTTTTTGTTCTTGCGATAGTTTACTGAGAATGATGATTTCCAGTTTCATCCATGTCCCTACAAAGGACATGAACTCATCATTTTTTATGGCTGCATAGCATTCCATGGTGTATATGTGCCAACATTCACTTTTTAAAGGGAAGCACCTTACCTGGGCCACACCTCTAGGACCCAGTGGAGCCAGATGTGAGTCCATTTCTGTTGAACACCTTCCCTCTTTGGCCAACTCCAGGCTGTTCTCCGCAGGTGAATGTGTCTGAGCAAGCATGCCCTGTCACAGACAAGCCATCTTATATATGCGTGTCTCCCTGCGACAAGATCTCAGCACATTGTACATCTCAAGGTATAGAACAGTGCTCTCCACACTCCAGAGTGCTGACACCATTCCAGATTTATTGCATTTATTTAAAAACAGCAAACATTCTCAATTATTTCTATACTGTTTGGGGCCATAACTTACTCAGAGGTATGAGCTTTCAGGTTTCTCAGGCATTGCTTCAAAATGTCAGATCTAAAAGATGACTCCCATGTTAGTGAATATGAAACACCCATTTGTATTTTTCATTTTTATTTCGATTTAATTTTCAGACAATTCAACTTTCTCCCCATGCCTGAGTGCCTAAATTCATTTCACTTGTCAAAAGAGACAAATTTTCATAATTACAAAATAAAACATGGTGGCCCTTCTTTGGTGACCGCCTATTTCACGTCAATTTTTTTTTTCTAAACGAAAATGTCTTTCCTAGTCTAGTTGACTTATTTCTGACATATTTTTACTCCGTCTCTGCTTAGAACAGACAAGGGTGCAGGCTAAACATTCACTCATGTTTTGTTATGTTAATGAACATCTGTAAAAAGGCAGATGAAATTTCCCAACCCAGTCTGTGATGCTCACACCTTCTTTTCTATCATTTGCACTAAAAAAAGTCAATGTTCTGAGATTATGAGATGTAACCTGAAATATGCCCTATTCCCTAATGGTTCTTTCTGCCTTGACCAAAGCACCTTAAGTCCACCTGCTGAGCCCTGTCGAGGTGTTCATTTCAGAGAGGTCAGAAACATTTAGGGTTTTCTTACCGTCGCTGCCAGGCACATGAACAGGATATAGTGTGTGTGTGTGTGTGTGTGTGTGTGTGTGTGTGTGTGTCGGGGGGGTGGGGGGGAGGGGGAGGGGAGGATTCTTAATAAAATGTCACTTTTTCATTTATAAAAATAATGTATGTTCTGCATATGAAAGTTTTGAAAAAAATGACCACAGGAGCAGTAAAAACCAGAGAAAGACAGCCTATAGCCCCGCCATCTAAAGCAAAACACAGCCAACATGTTGAAGTGAATTCAGATTGTTGTTTCAAAATTAAAATGTGCTTTTGACTCAGTTGGGCTCTGGAATGCTTAAAATGAATGCTTTATCATTGGACGAAAATGAAGATGGAAAGAAAACACTTTCATTTTTGAGCCTGTTCACTGGCACTGCAAATTTCTAACTCACAAGTTGTTGAGATGTCCAGTTAAGTCACCAGCCCCACTCCCCTACTCCCTTCCCCCCAAACCTGGACACAGACCACTTCCTAAGGAAGGTGATGGAATTTAAAATTCAGCAGCCAGTAAAGGCTGACAAGGCCAGAACATGAGGAGAAACTATGGAATGAGGAGAATATGCAGGGCAAGGTGGGACACTGGAGGGTGGGCACTTTCAGGAGCAGACTTAAAGAGACAGAAAATATTCTTGATGCACCTGCACACACACACACATGTTTACACAGACACCCCCTTTGTCTTACATCAGGGCCCCTGAGAAACAGACTCTGAGCCGGAGATGAGCATCTGGGAAGCTTCTTAGCTAGTGCTTCTGGGATTGCCGCCTGTGAGGAAAGGCATGAATGCAGGATCAGGCGTGAAGGAAACTGAGCTGAGAGGGTCTCAACAAAGCCTCAGTGGACCCCACAGGGAGCTGTGAACCCAGGATGGCTCTTCAGCATTGTCCCAAGACAGTGTGAGAGGCCAGGCCTTTCTAGCTCGTGCATCAACCAGTTATTGGATGTGAACTGTCCTGGGTGACATGGTGCTCTTCAGCCCAGGCAATTCCCGAAGCCTGCTGACGTCCACGGCTGGTGTCAGCAGTCCTTCCAGCATGCTGAAGCACCTGCTACACTAGTAGCTCACTGGGGGCAATGCCCCCTTCCCTGAATGAAAAGACACACAGATCATCACACCTTCAAGATGCTGCTACCAGATCATGCCCAGAGCTCAGAGGCAGAAATCAGCAAGAGGCCATAATAACAGAGAGACCCAAAGGCTTGTACTCACAAGCTGCCAACTCAGCCCAAAAACAAAGGGGAAACAAAGGAAAGAAAAGGCACAGGCCACATTGCACAATGCCTAATACTCTAATCAACACGGTAGTTATGTACAACAGGAGACAGCCTTGTCTTGGGAAACCCTAAATTTACATTAATCCAGAACTCCCATGTTCACTGCCACTACAGCTACACTGACAAATCTGTGGCTGATAAAACTCAATATTTCTCAAAAATAGTCACTGAAAGAGCAGACCTCTCAATCTCCTCACTGACCAGACTCTCATTGCCCCCAGCAGGGTTCTCAGCTGACCGTGCTGCACTGTTTATCAGAGGTTTCGGGACATTAGGCCAAGGAAGAACTGTGAGTAGGCACCACATGCTGCCAGATATCACATGGAACTCTTCTCTCCCACTCTGTCACTTGACTGCCTTCTTGCCTGATGAGGTATGCACTATCATTCCCACTTTACAAATGAGAAAACAGAGGCCCAAAGTCTTGTCCAAGATCAGCTAGAGTAAGCAGCACCAGAATTTGCACCCTATCCAGGACCCAGATAGCATGATCATCAGTTAGGCCATGCTTACACCCGCATTGCCAACAGTGTTGCTTCTCTGCTGTCTGAGCTGTGGCCTTATTTTATTACAGTCATTATTGTCTATTATAGAGGGCACGACTTTCCCTGCGAGCCATGAATTGTAAGTCTGTGGTTCCCTAGCAGGGAGGGTTGCTCAATCTCTAAAGAATGACAATGCATAGCAAGACACGACATCTTACTTCAGCTTTGGAAGAATGGTTTCTGCATCATTTGGCAACCTAACTCTAAGGAAAGAATAGTTACCTTAAACCCCTTCTCTTTTGCCTTTTACAAGCTGAAGGTGTCCTTTCAAACCTGAATAATGGTTCTTTTGACAGATTACTACAGCAAAGATAAGGGGAAAGGAATAAAACCTCACAAGAATTCCCTGTCGACCTAAATGCCATTCCTCTTTCGAGGCCAGACCCAGACTATAGCTGGGTGTGACACTGTCGATGTTTTAATAATATCAGGAAAACACGTTGTAAGTACTGATTCTTCATTAAGTTAATTCACCAGACTGAGCCTCAGTTTTCCCATCTGTAAAATACAAGGCTTGGGCTAGATCATCTTTAAGATTCTCTCCAATACTGGAATTATACGATCAGGGTACACAGATCCCTATCTTATTCCACTTGCCTTGGAAAAAAGTGGAAAAGATGTAAAGCTCCCACCACCATAATAACATCACTACCCAAAACAACAACAGTGCTAAGCTTCCCTGTGGTGTTTGGTGCCCCACAATAGAGCACATTTAGAAAAATGCTTATGTCAGAAGTTTTTAAAAAAATGTTCTTGTTTCACTATAGATGCAGTAATAGAAACATTAGCAGACAAAGACCCAAAGAAAGCTGCAATACCCCCCAAAGCTCATTGCAATGTTTAGACTATAAATTGAAATTAGAATTACAAAAATGACACTCTGGAAGTTATTTTTAAAACTAAAAACAACTAAAAAATAGAAATGGCATGCAACTCAGCAGTTCTGTGGGCACCCCCCAAGTTAGAATGTCTCAATTATGGCAACATCGTTGTTACCCTCTCAACTGAAATTGCATGTGAGAGTGATATGATTTACATATGTAGTTTATAAAATAAATTAGGCATAAAACAATCTCATAATCTCAAATACATTTAGCTTACCAGATTTCATGAAGGTAAATGGACGTAGCATGTGATTCTTGAAGCAGCAAACAATAATATTAATGTTTCATTAATATGTTCATTAGCAGGACTTTGATAAATGCATGGATATTCTCTGCCAGACATCACTCAGGCAATGAATTAGCAAAACTCTCTAAGACATGCCCCTTCCCAAAATTACAGGCCCTTTGAAAGGAGTGCTAAGGAGAAGACTGACAGCTAAGTTGCTAGGGTTACTGACCTATATACTGTTTTTCAGTATTATGCACACTGGCTGAGTCACGAAGTCATGAAGTCAAGGGCATTGCATTTAGAGCCAGGCACAACAGGTATGTTTGAACCAGTGCTTTGCCTTGGCCCAGCCACCACCATCTTTTGGATAATGGATTGACTTATCCATTGGATAATTACCCACTGCTTGGATTTCTGCAGTGGCTCCCTACTGCTCCCTCTGCTGCCCTCCTTACCCTTCCTCCACCCTTTCTCCATACAGCAGCCAGAAGGATGCCTTAAACATGCGCCTTCTTTCAGCTTCTCAGCTTAACTCCACTCACACAGGCAACACCCTCAAGGTCTACATGATGGGGCTCCATCTCATCTTTCTTATTTCTTCTCCTATACCCTTATCCCATCACTCATTTTGCTCCAGCTACATGGGCCTCTTTGCTATTCCTGGAACTTTCCAGAAAAGCTCCTTCTTCAAGGCTTTTGTGGTTTCAGTTCTCTCTGCTCTTTTTTCATACATCCGTGCAGCAACCTCCCTCATTTCTTTGAAGTTTTGACTACTAGGTCACCTGTCCTGACCACTGTCCTTAATAACATTACCTGCCACCCTCCCCCTGGCACTCTCACACCATATTCCCCTAGGTGACTCTTTTGTCTAATAAAATGTAAAGCTTCACATACTATTTACTTATTTTTATGTTTGTTACTTAATATCTGTAATCCCCAGAAGGGCAGAAATCTTTGTTTTGTCATGCTGTATCCTCAGGCCCTAGAACAGCATCTGGAGAGAGTAGACACAGCATAAATATGGAAGAGAAGAAAGGAAGGAAGGGAACAAAAGGAAGGGAAGGGGAAGAAGGGAAAGTAAGGGAAAGAAGGAAGGAAGAAAAGAGGGAAGGAGAATAATAATAAAAAAGAACTGTTACATCAGGATGACAGAATTTTATTTTTCTCTATAATACTTTACACTATTATTAAATCATATTGCAATTTAATTTCAAAACATCTATATCACAAATTATTTGCATTTTTAGGTGGTATGTCTTGAATTTTTTTTTTTTTTTTTTTTTTTTGAGAAACAAAGTCTTTCTCTGTCACGCAGGCTAGAGTGTAGTGGCACATTCGCAGCTCACTGCAACCTCCACCTCCTGTGTTCAAGTGATTCTCCTGCCTCAGCCACCCAAGTAGCTGGGACTACAGGCACATGCCACCATGCCCCACTGATTTTTGTATTTTTAGTGGAGTTTGGGTTTTGCCATGTTGGCCAGGCTCATCTCAAACTCTGGACCTCAGATTCCAGCCTCCCAAAGTGCTGGGATTACAGGCATGAGCCACCGCACCCAGCCTTGAAAATATTTTTTGTGTTCAAACTGGGGACTCAATTTCAGTGTGTCATTGAGAATTGTAAACAAACACGTTAAGTACAGTATACCCTTGCAATACGCAGTTTTATAAAAATGTAAGTCAAGAAATCCTACAACGTTCAATTCCACATTGATAATAAACACAGGGAGAGGGGTTATGGATGACTGTGTATGGGCTCTGGTATATTTCCTCCCTTCTCTTTTTACTCCTCATTCTTGTTGTCCAATCAACTTGGAACTGTGGATGAGGACACTCCTGAGCCAGTGAGCAGAAATGTTAGAAAGAGCTCTGCCTGGCCGGCCTTCCCTCCATGCTCTAGGACTTCAAGTCCAACAGGTGATCCATCTTCCTAATCCCGTTTTGCCGGCCTGTTACTTATGAACTCCTCTTCTCTTCTCTTCTTTGTTTGTTTGTTTGTTTGTTTGTTTGTTTTCTCAGACAGAGCCTTGTTCTGTCACCAGGCTGGAGTGCTGTGGCACGATCTCGGCTCAGAGCAACCTCCGCCTCCCGGGTTCAAGCCATTCTCCTGCCTCAGTCTCCTGAGTAGCTGAGATTACAGGCATGCAGCACCATGCCCAGCTAATTTTTGTATTTTTATTAGAGATGGGGTTTCACCATGTTTGCCAGGATGGTCTTGATCTCTTGACCTCGTGATCCGCCCACCTCAGCCTCCCCAAGTGCTGGGATTACAGGCGTGAGCCACCATGTCCGGCCTATGAACTGTTCCTTGTACTTTCCCCAGTACTTTTGAACTTTATAAGTCTAGATTCCAAGGTCTAACGTTATAGTTAATTTACACAAATTCAAATATATGCACCCGACCAAAGAGGAAGGAGAGAAGAGGGGTTGGAGGGTTGCAGGAATGGGGAAGAGGGGTTGGAAAATTGCAGGAATGGGGGACAGGGAGTCTTGGGGGAGACAGAGACCCTGGAGGAACACTGGTTGGGGACGGCTCATTGGGAAGTGTCATGTAGTTTCCCAATGTGCTCAGAGGAGGTGACATATTCAGAACTCTGTGAACAGTTCAAAGGATTGTCAAGGGTCATTTGGACTCCATGTGATATCTATTTTGTGCTCTGATTTTAGACCCTAAGGTGGGGTTTGATTTGGCCCCACAGTCTGTTTCATTTCCCAAGGCCATCTAGCCCTGGATGTATTTCAGTGCTTTCACCAAACCTACTGGCTCATATCAGTGCCCCACATCCAGTCATTGTTACTGAGGGCCCAGCCCACTCTACACACATACACACTTGCTCACCACCAGTCTGAAGTGGGTGAGGAATTCTAGGTTGTGAGGAAGAAAGAATAGACATTGGAAGGTACCAGATGGGCAATAACTGGCCAGGAAATCCTTAGTATACTTATAATAAAAGTACATAAAATAGAATAACTTACTGAAGCAACACATCAAAGAAGCACCTGCTCAGTACCAAAATTCATGAATGTGTAGAACTAGTAAGTGAAGGATAAATAAATGAACAATCAATGAATAACAAACAGGGTACGCTTTTTAAAAACTGAGCTCTATAGCTTTCAAACCTGTTCTGGTTCATTCAAGTGAGTTCCAGAACCTCGAGCCAATTCTAGTGACTTTGGAGATGCAATAGCATCCACCAGGTTCCTTGGCAAAGCTAAGTCAGTTTCCATGTCCTGGCCGCAACAACATCCAGGAAGAATAGCCTTTTTCATTTATCTATTTATTTATTTATGTACTCTATTCAGGATGCAATTACAATTTAAACTCCAACTCATTTTGATGAGCTGATTTATTCAACAAATATCGATAGAGCAGTAATTTTATGTCAAGAACTTGTGCCAGAACTTCTGTTCTGTGCAGAAATCCAGGCAATTTCTTCCACGGAGCGCAAAAGCATGGTGACGGCACATCAGGACACGTGAGAGTAAATCCAAACTCCACTGCACACTCTTGAATCTCCACATTCTGTCCTCTTTTTCCCATTTAAAAAAAAAAAAACAGGGAAATCTCCTCTTCAGAACAGAAACACCAAGAGGCGACTACCCACATGCATAAATCCCCTTGCTTCTCTGTTTCTCCCTTTCCTGTCATGCATTTTTGCTTCTATTTATAAGAATTCAAATTAAAAATTGAAGGTCAAAATGAAATGTGACAGAGAGACATAAAAATTCTTAACTAGTTGTGTGGAGATGATGCCTATGAAATACCCAAGGGACATGTTGCATAGTTTTAACTTGCTATTAGGACCTCTGAATTCAAATATGAGAGCTTACATACAGAAGATGAGACAAATTATGTTATATAAAATAAGAAAGGTGGGTTTTTTTGCAAAGATGAAAGATGCTTCCCTCCTCCAATGAGTTAGGAATGACTCATCTACTTTTGGGAAAATCCGAAGTGGCTAGTGATTTGATTACTTTTTCTGCTGCAAACATATCCAAGAAGTGAAGTCCAAGAGATAAACACTAAAGGACCCTGTGAAATTCAAATAATTTCATTTCTTTCCAAAATGACACTGCCTTGAAAATAATTTTTAATGTGAAACATGAACTCTCTTTTATATTCGAAATAGCAGGTATGGCCACTGAGTCCAATTTTGGTCAACTACAAATTGTGTTAGCTCATTCACAGGATTCCCCATAAACATTAGTCCATTTCAGTCATTTTATAAATGAAGGTCACAGGATGAATTGCACATTTTCTTATTTCTTACTGATAAGACACCATTCTGACTTCATTTCTGTTTCTTTTTCTCTCCAGAACCTCTAACTATTTTGATAACTCACAAAGCTAAAAAATGTTCCATGTTTAGCAAAAACGCCAGAGAACTTTTTGAAATTCATGGTACCCCAAAGGCTGACAGCAAGAATATACTTTCGGGTACATAAGAAAGAAAAATGTATTTGGTATGACTGGCTGTTAATATGTCATGAAGATAAATCATAAGTCTTATTCTTGGGAATCTTAATAAAAGAAGCCACTTTGAGACATGGAAATATAAAAATAATCACCAGGAGTCTCTACCTTTGACTAGAACCTGGGGAAATTTTGAAAGTGTTCATTCACAGAGACACTAAAAATGATGTTGCCCAAATTTATCATTGCCATTAATTCTTGGTGACTAAAAAGTTTCCTTAGAGTAATTTACAATGCCCATCATAAAATACTTCATCAAAAGGAAATGCTTAAATTTAATACAAAACTGTAAACTCCCAAGGACTCTGGGACAATGGTCTCAGCTAGTCTCCCGAGAAGATGAGGTGATCTATGGCTCCTGTGTGCCTCAGGACTTGGTCTCACCCTCGACTAACGTTCCTGCCTTCTGGGTTGTCACACAACTAGGGAGTGTTTGTTTCCTTCTGGGACTCCAGAAAGAAATGTACTTTGAAACAACACTCTGGTCCTTCATTGTCTATCTGACAGGAGCAAGGGCAGGAAGAACGCTGTCTCCTGGACACCCTACCTGGGTGATGGAAAGAAGTAACCATGATTAGTAAAGCAAATACCCTGCATCCACATTCTAGCCTTGGGGGTGGAAGGAAGCTAGTCCTCTCTAAATGTTTTTGGGTGCCTCAGTCAATCAAGGTAATTGGTTTCACTTTGTCTTCAGGCCAGGAAAGCTGTCAGCTAATGGGGCCCTCATAAGATAAAAGAAGTCTATACACTAAACAACAGAACCACCAGCTTTCCATCTTTCTGCTATTCTTCCCTACAAGCTCCAAAGGCAATTAATCCAACCTCTGGCACCAACCCTGATGAACCGTTGTGCTCCAGCTCTGCATTCCTACTGCTGTCCACTCCTCCTTCCAGGTGCTCTTGCTTTTAATTTCTTTTGCTAAAGTAAAACTCATTGTCTTCCTCCATAATTTTTCTGTTCAGTAAAGGCTTCACCATTTACTTGGATTCAAAACCTCTCTCTACCTGACCATCCAAGTTGTACACATCCAGCTTCTTAAATACCCTCACACTCTTCCCGTGTGCAGTCCCATTTCCAATGGGCTGGGCCAGCCAGATATCTCACCTTACTCTCGAGAGTCTTTAATCTACTTTTGGTCTCTACCTGGAAAAAAACTTCTGCACAACATTACCAAATAAATCTGCCAAAAGCACAGCTCTGCTGATGTCACTCAGACACTCAGAATGTCTCATAGTTTCAGATCTTCTACCAAAAGTAGTTCACACTTTTTATCTAGCTTTGGCCTTCGTTGTGATAACTAGCTATGCAGCCTCACTTCCCACTATTTCAAGCTGCACGTGGATGCATGAAATGTCCCGACATTACACCTTACAATCACTCCTGTTGCCATTGTTCCTGCTCCTTCCTTAGCCTGGAAGGACCTGTCTCCACTGCTACCAGTTGAAATTTCACCCATTCTTCCAGGTCAAACTAAAGTGCCACATTCTCTACCAAGAACTCCTTCCCCACTCTCGCCATCAGAAAAGCTGTTTTGTTTTTCTATGGAATCTTGATCATATGAGACTGACTGCATTTTGCAAGGAAGCCAATCTGAGTCCCAAAGCTGAAGAACTTGGAGTCCAACATTCAAGGTCAGGAAGCATTCAGCATGGGAGAAAGATGTAGGCTGGCAGGCTAAGCCAGTCTAGTCTCTTCACACCCTTCTGCCTGCTTTTTATTCTGGCCATGCTGGCAGCTGATTACATGGGGCCCACCCAGATAAAGGATAGGTCTGCCTTTCCCAGTCCACTGACTCAAATGTTAATCTCTTTTGGGAACACTTTCACAGACACATCTAGGATCGATACTCTGCAACCTTCCATCCAATCAAGTTGACAGTATTAACCATCACAAGAACTGAGGCTAAAGATGTGGAGAGGGCCATTAAATATTGACAACTATCCAGAAACTACTCCCTTGAATAGTTTCACACTTCTTGCCTTAGCCTACTTTGTTCCCCTCGGAGATTAGGTATTCGGTAGAGTCAGGGAGCTCCGTAACCAGGAGGGCCATAGCCAATGAGCACTGGTCACGACCAGTGAGAACAAAACTGAACCAAGGGTTCAAAAGGAGCTCTCTGGGGGCACTGCAATTGAAGTTGGCATTAGAATGGTTGTAGGATTTTACTAGGGCATTACAACTAGAGGCAGGTTGGGGAAAACAGTACCAAAAACAAAGTTGGTGAAAAAATACATTCTCGGCCGGGTGCAGTGACTCACTCCCGTAATCCCAGCTGGTGGATCTGGGAGGCCGAGGCAGGTGGATCACGAGGTCAGGAGTTCAAGACCAGCCTGGCCAAGATGGTGAAACCCTGTCTGTACTAAAGATACAAAAAAAAAAAAAAAAATCAGCTGGTCGTGGTCACACACGCCTGTAATCCCAGCTACTCAGGAGGCTAAGGCAGGAGAATCAATTGAACCCGGGCTGCAGAGGTTGCTGCGAGCCGAGATCACACCACTGCACTCCACCCTCGGCGACAGAGGTAGACTTTATCTCAAAAAAAAAAAAAAAAAAAAAAAAAAGAAATACATTCTCAGAAGCTGCTAAAAGCAGTCAGAATCACTGCAGTCTGAGCTTCACTTTTCTCTCAGGAAAAGTGGAAATATCCTGCACGTGTACCCCTGAACTTAAAAGCTGAAGGAAAAAAATAGTGGAAATAGCAATAATGACAATGACACGATAGACACAGCTTGGATGCCTATTAATTGTCAGGTACAGAGCTAAGCACATGGTAAGGAAATTTTTCCCCACAGCAGCTATAACTGGGAGGCGTTATTATCCATGTCTAATAAGTGAGGAAACTGAAGTGTATATGGATTAATAAAATTTCCCCAGCCCCTATACATAGTGATGGTTGATCTGTGTTTCAAACCCAAGCAGAGGCAGGCTTCAGGGCTCCACCGCCTTTATTCCCCTGTTCTCGGGGCTCATAAGGGCTTGACTCCAGTGGAGTTTACACAAGGCTGGTCTGGGTCACTGCAAGAATTGAAAAATCAGGCTCATTGGGAAAAGAGAAATTAAAAGGCTATTCCTACCCAGGCCCTAATTACATACAATCAGGAGGCCGGCGAGTTATCCACAGCCCCAGAGTGCCTCCTAAGGCTAACAATCAGGAGGGACAGAGCCATAAATAAGTCCTTGCAGTGACTACAGTCATTATCCTGCCCTTCAGTAAAAATAAGAAATCAATGAATTACAGCAAGGCCAGCAGCACACTTCTCTATAACCCTGCGGCCCAGAGAGCCTAGGGAGAAACTTCAGGGGCTGCATGCAGTTCCCAAGGAAAGGACCCGGCAGTGTTGAAGTAGGAGGGAAAGAGAGGCTGAGGGTCAGACAGCCAGGCCTGTTGAAAGTAAAAATACTGATGGGGTTCTTCAAGGGAGTGGCAAATGTGGCACAGTATAAGGGCCTCAAAGCATTGCACAGAAAGAATGAAGAACGTGGACGAAGCAACAGCAATCTTCACAGCAACGCTGACCACACAAACTGCAGACAGCTCAGAACCAGAGCTGCAGCCCACCCGAGCACACTCGCAGTCCCTCTGCATGGTGATGGGCAGAGACCAGTTGCCCAGGTCTCTCTGCAAGGCAGGATTTGTTGTCCCAACTGCGATGAAAGCTGTCAGCCCTCAGTCCTCAGCTGTCAGCCCTTTCAGGATTCTCCTCACTCGAGGTCACCTGCTTCCCTGGGCGACCCCCATCAACAACAGATGGAGGCAGAGGGATAAAGGCCAAGCCATTTTGTCCCAAAGAAAGACAAGACTGATGGGACATACGGGCTCCAGAGCTCCTGCATCACAGCTGGGCTTGCCCTCTGCCCATCCTTCTTCCTCCCTCTCCCTTCCATGAGTGTCCATCCAAAACATCCTTGCCAATCAGCATGCTACGTGTCAACTCTGTCTCAGACTGCTTCCCAAGGAGGACGGCCTGCGACAGGCACATGTCCTGTGTTTTAGCCCTATCCCTGGGTCCCTCCCGTTTTCGTCTCTTAATTATAAGCCCTACACATCCCTCTGTATTTGGCCAGATTCGGGGATCTTCTGTGATTAAAAAAAAAAAAAAAAGACTAAAGGGAGGATGGGGAAAACAAAAAGAGAGGCTAAACAACCCACTTATAAAGGGCTGAAAGGAAAGAGGAGATGAAAAAGTCCTGTACAGACTGAAAGTTGGGGGGAGTTTTCGAAGCTTGATGGATGCCAGTATCTGGGCAAAACAGGATTGCATTGGTGATAAACAGCTTTTGAGAGGAGTCACTAAAATTATGAGTCATATCCCCATTGGCATTTTTCAGGAGACACAAGTAAATATTGGAATCACTTTTTAATTACTCCGGAGTACTGGACTGTGCATTTAATATTCCACTTCACATATTAATAGAATTTGAGACCCTGACTTTATTGAGTGTATTGGTAAGGGTAATTACCACTAGCTGCTTTAACAAACAACCCCAGTTCTCAGAGTCTTAATATAATGAAGGTTTATTTCTCACTCACATCGTGGTCAATGGGAGCTTGGGCAGCATCTTTTGGCAACTCTTCTCCAAGTAGCCCATCTAGTGATGTTGCCATTTTAAACATGTCTCTGAGATTGTCACCCAGTCGCTGGGTCTCTCTGCTACTCAAATAGCTTTCCATTTATTTCCACATCCCCCTTCCCTACCCGCTAATTTCTGATCAACCTTTCCCCACCTTGCCTTCTGCTCTGCTAGGCTGATCTGTATGGATTACAGAGCAAAGGGACACTTTGCCATACAGTCAACGTTCTGGCTTCCATTGAGTTTGGGCACTGGGATTCAGGCAGGAGATCAGGGGAGGAGGAAGGAGAGGAAGGTGGATTTCTCCAGGCTCCCCGCTGTTGGGTCACCTTGCCAAAGCTGGGACACTGGACTGAAGGTCACAGCTCCTCTCCAGGTGGTTCTCTCTACACATTCCCCACCTCTCCACAGTCTTTAACCAAGTCTTTCACTTGCCCCTTCAAGCCTCGGATTAGTAACAACCCTGTTATTTTGTAATATCCGTTGTGATCTCCCTACACCCTTTAACTAAACTTCTTTGGATAATACTAATTTGAATATATCATTTTTTTTTTACTCACAACTCTTGAAAAGGAGCTGGGAATTATGGTATTCCGTGTGCCCCGGAAAGAAGAATATGAACTGGAATTTGGTACACAGTATTTTCTCCATCCCCTCCTTCCCAGGTTCTTTTGTTTTGTTTTGTTTTGTTTTGTTTTGTTCTCTTCCGGGAAGGAAACACTTTACATTTAGAGATAGTGTCCATGGTCTTTTGACTAAGTTTTACACTGTAATTATACATGACATTTGCCTGCCCTTTTATTTACTTATTTTCATTCATTTTTTATTTCCCTTGAGACTTCTCTTTGACCCTTAGTTACTTAAAACTGTTGTTAATTTTTATGTGTTTGGAGATTTTCCTATTATCTTTCTACATTGATTTCTGGTTTGATTCCATAGAGTCAGAGGATGTCATCTGTATGAGTTCAGCCCTTATAAATATGTTGAGGTCTTTTTTTATGGCCCAGGTTATGAACTCTCTTGGTAAGTGTTACTTGGGTACTTTAAAAGAATGTGGATTCTGCTGTTGTTGGGTGGAGTGTTCCATAAAAGCCATTTGGACCCTGTTGATTGATGATTCTTCTATATTCTTGCTGATTTTTTAATTGTTCTATCAATGTTAAAGAAAGGGATTTTGAAGTCTCCAGGTACAATCATGGGTTTGTCTGTTTCCCTGCTCAGCTCTATCAGTTTTTGTTTTGAATCTTTTGCAGCTCGGTTGTGAGGTACGTACACATTTAGGGTTGTCTTATCTTCTTGGTGAACTGGCCCTTTTATTATTATGTAATATTTCTCTCTGTCCCTGGTAATTTTCTTTGTTTTGAAGTCTATTTTATCTGATTTTAATATAGCCACTCCTGCTCCACTTTCTTTTGATTAATGATGTATCATTTGCCATCCTTTCACTTTCAATTTACTTATACTACTCCATTGGAAATAAGTTCTTACCTACAGCATGTAGTTGTATTATGTTTTCTGCCTGCTGTCAACCTCTGTATTTTAACTGGTACATTTAGGCCATTTAAATTACACAAATAATAAACGTTTGATTGGATATGATAATTACTCTGATCTGATCACTATACAGTATACGTATTAAAACATCACTATGTACCCCATGAATACACAAAATTACTACCTGTCAATTAAAAAATAAATAAATAACATGTAAAAATAAAAAAATTGCTGGCTTTTTTGTTTGTTTTGTTTTTGAAAAAAAAAAAGAAGTTAATATTTTTCATTTCTATTTTCTCTTTCCTTCATGTGGGTTACCTGAACATTTTTAAATCCACTTTGATTTACCTGTAGTGTTTTTCCGTGATCGTTTTGTATAGGTTTTTTAGTGGTTGCTCTAACCACTAAAGGCCACTATACAGTAGGCCTTTCATATCCATGGATTTGAATCTGTGGATTCAACCAAACTGGATAAAAAGTATTTGGAAAAAAATATTATGCTTGTAATGAACACGTACAGACTTTTTTTTATCATGATTCCCTAAATAATACAGTGTAACAACTATTTACATAGCATTTACATTTTATTAGGTATTATAAGTAATCTAGAGGCAATTTAAAAACATAGCAGAGGAGGAGCATAAGTTATATGCCAATACCACATTATTTTATAGCAGGGACTTCAGCATCAAGATTTCTGGTATCCACAGGGGGTCCTGGAACCAAGCCCCCCACAGATACTGAGGAACAACTGTACACACATAATTTATCACAGTCTCCTAGTATTGCATGCACCAGTTCAAGTGACATGTGAAAACCTTACCTCCCTTTAAGTCCCTTTACCCTCGCACACATATAACATTACATATTACTTCTATATACATTGAAAAGCACAACAGGCAGTGTTATAATTTTTGCTTCAGCTATCAGATGTAATCTAGAAAACTGAACGGGAGCCAGGTGCAGTGGCTCAAGCCTGTAATCCCAGCATTTTGAGAAGCCAAGCCTGGCGGATCACTTGAGGTCAGGAGTTCAAGACCAGCCTGGCCAACATGGTGAAACTCCATTTCTACTAAAAATACAAAAATTAGCTGGGCGTGGTGGCGGGTGTCTGTAATCTCAGCTACTTGGGAGGCTGAGGTACGAGAATCGCTTGAACCCAGGAGGTGGAGGTTGCAGTGAGCTGAGATCATGCCACTCCACTCTTGCCAGGACAACAAGAGCGAGAGTCAGTCTCAAAAAAAAAAAAAAAAAAAAAAGAAAAAGAAAAGAAAAAAAATCAACAGGAAAAGGAAAGTCCACTGTACTTACTCACATTTCTACTCTTTAAGTTTTCTTTCTTCCTAACTGAAGTTCCATGATTCCTTCTTTTATCATTTCTTTTCTGTTTGGGGAATTTCTTTCAACCATTCTTTTAGGGTAGGTGTGCTAGTGACAAAGTCTGTTAGAATGTCTTGATTTCTCCTTCAGTCCTGAAGGATATTTGCACGGGACATAATTTCTGGATTGACAGATCTCTTCTTTAACCATTTGAAAAATACTGTGCATTTCTTTTTGGCCTCCATGGTTCCTGAAAAGAAATCTGCTGTCATCCAAATTGTTTTTCCCCTGCAGGTAAGATATGATTTCTCCCTGGCTCTGTTCAAGAAGTCTTCTTTGACTCCGTTTTCAGAAGTTTGGCTATGATGTGTCTTGGCATGGATTTCCTTGGGATTCTATTTCTTGGGGTTTGCTCATTTCTGGAATCTGATGTTTATGTCTTCTGCAAGATTTGAGAAATTTTCAGCTTTTATTTCTTCAAATATTTTTCCAGTGCCACTCTTTTCCTCTAGTCCTGCTGTGACTTCAACATGCTCTTAGTTGTAATCCCACAAGTCTCTGGGACTGCATTCATTTTGCTTCAGTCTATTTTCACTCCTTTCCAATTAACTAATTTTTATTGTTCCATCTTTCACTTCACTAATTCTTCCCTCCATTCCCTCCATTCTGCTGTTGAGCTCACCCACTGAGATTTTCTTTTAATTTCAGGTTTTGTATAAACTGGAAATTTACTTCTGAATATTCCATTTGGTTCTTCTTTGTAACTTCTGTTTTCTTTCCCCTGAGACATTTAATTTTTTTTTTGCTGTAGTTTCTATTCTTTCATTTGTTTCAAAAATGTTCATAATTGTCCACTGAAGCATTTTCATAGTGGCTGCTTTAAGATTCTTGTCACATAATCCCAACGTATGTGTCACGCAGGTGTTGGCATCTGTCAATTTTCTTTTCTCATTCAAGTCAGGATGTTCCTAGTTCCTGATATGATGGGTGATTTTCAATTGTATCTTGAAAATGTTTCTATTATATCATGAGACTCTGGTTCTTATTTAAATCTTCTGTTTTAGCAGGCACCACAACATTCTGACACCACCCCAACTCATTACTGCCAAATGGGGGTGAAAGTCCGAGTTCCCCACTCTGCCTTCATTTGAGAGGGCAGGAGAACCTCATTACAACTGGAGGGTGGAACTTCACATCCCCCACTAAGGCCTCCATTGATATCACACTGGCTGGTGGGGGTAGGGCTCCTCACTTCTTTATTCTACCACTATGGTAATATGCCTTGCATATTAAAAACATGCAAAACATTTTAAAAGGATGAAATTATTTTAAGTAATTTAAAACAAAATTCTAAGAATCATCTGTGCACCACACTGGAAAACACTGCTTGGACTCCATTCAAAGGGCAGAGAGAGAGGGTTTCCCTCCTGCTATAAGTCCTTGAGTTCTGCTGTGTTCCCCAACACCCCTGGGGGTCCTGTCTCCATGCTGTTTAGGCATGTATCCCTTCTGTGTGGCTCCTGAGCAGATCATGGAAAGAAGCCCTGGTGTGACCTTCAGCCCTGCAGGGGACCTAAGGAGGGATGGATGACCTGATCCTATTCAGGTTTAACACAGTCCCAAGGAGACCAGTCAGTTCTGTTGATTCATAAGATCCTGAAATGGACACAGATCACTTAGAGAAGCCTTTTATTTGGTGACTCTTTCTATGTAGTGCCCCATGTGTAGCTATAGTATTTAAAACTCAAAAATATCATAAAATTCATTCTCAAGCTTGGATCTTGCTGAGTCTCTGGCTTCTAACAGCTCACCTTGTTCCTCAAGAGTGGTGCTGGTGACAGCTGCAACATTTTGCATCTTTAATTGGCTTTAGGTGAAGGCAAGGGAGGCTGCTACCTATGGAGTTGGACTTCAAGCCAAATTGGAAGACTTTGTGGCCTCAAACTATTCTTCCAACCCTACTTCAGAGGACTGAAAGACTTGCCTTCTTCCCCTCATTCCCCTTACATATTCCCTGATGCATATCTACATATCTATATTGGGCAATGATTTATTGAGCTGTTACTCCATATGCGGCAATGTGTTCAGCATGGCTTTGAGAGAGATCACCAAATCAGACATGATCTTATTAGGTATAGGGAGAGAGGGATTCTTCTGCTGAAACTTGACTGCTTTAACTTTGTGGAAGGTGAATGCACAGTCTATATGCTCCCTGCTCCTCACCCTCAGCCGACAGCACTAATCAATCATGGCATGCGGCATGGCACGCCACCAGTGAACGTGGATTTGGCATCAGACTCCTTCTCAACACCCTTTCCCTGTAATAAGTACCAATCAATCCCAGTTGGCCCACAAGATGGGAGGTGTTTGCCATCTCCAGATTAAAGCTTTGTTCTCTGCTCCAGCTCTGTTCTCATTTAGATCCTTTGGATGGTTCATGGAGCATAAAGAGCCCCATGTTCCTGAGATTTGATGCTTATTTTCTAGACATGCTCTCATTGGTGGAAGCCATGTGCAGTTGATTAGGCTTTGTGTGAATTCTCCTCATAAACTGGTATTTTGTAAATCATGGAGCCAGAACATCTGTAAGGCAATGTTGTCCCTTCTTCCTCCAAGATATTATCATGAAGTAAACTACAAACTTGAGAACAACTCGGACATTTTAATGAATGGTTTTCTTCATAAAGACAAAACAAACAAACCAAACACTGTCTAAATGCACAGTTGCAGGCTCCCTTGGGAAAGCCTTACTTTGTCCCACGCTCAAAGATCTCATGGATGACTCAGCAAGTCAAAGATGAGCAATCAGGCATCTCACACGTGTGCTTTACCTCCATCCTGGGGGGGCTTGCTGTGTCTGAGGGATGGGCTGTACAATAGGGCTAAACTTCCTAATGACAGTTCCAGCCACATCTGCTCCAGAGAAACCCATCTTTGGGGTCTGTTAATATGAGATAGAACTACAGGAAAGACCAATTTGGACTCCTGCAAAAGCATGAAATCCTTTTCTCTAGTTCTCCCTAGGAACACAGTTGGTTCTCGCTACCTGCTGTAGCTATGATCTATGGCATCACAACAACGCTGAATTGAATTAGGGAATACTGAGCCATTGCTCTTGGAAAAAATAGAGGGTTTCCTGCAAACCTCTGCTCGCAGCACTTTTGTCAACCCACCAATTTATAGCCTTGTTTTGTGTCTGCTGTTGTTCAGAGATACCTTATTTAGTATATGTTTTGGACTCATTAACATTGAACTCACAGCCTACAGTGCTCTAACTCATGGCTGAAGGAAGCTTATCTCACATGTATTTTCTCCACAGGGCACATCACAGCCTTCTGTGCTTAGGAACACTACATAGTGCTTTAGTGCTACACGTGGGTTTAATTTTAAATCACCAACTAAAAACACAAAAATATGAAAAACACGGGAGGAAATAGATGGCAAAAAAGAAACTTGTTTGCAAGTTTGAGAGCTGAAACAAGAAGGCAGAACATGGCCCTGTGCAACCTCAGCTGGGAACATGTGTGTCAGAGTACTCAAATTTGTCACGGCCTTGTGCATGTCCACCAATGGCCATGAAAAGCCACAAGTATTGCTTTTGAGATTACAAACAAATTATAGCAAGGAGACAAATTTGCAAATTTGGAAACTATAAAAAAATGAAGATTTAATTTATACCTAATCTAATTATTTTTATTTATATTTAAGTTACATATATGCTTCAGTTTAAGCTATGTATTGTCTCACACTAGGTCAAGAGAATCTCCAGAGATTTCTATTTGAGGAAATTATTTTCAAATATTTGTTGCAAATACAGAAGAAATATAATGGAGTATTCTCACTTTAAGCTGTTGTGGATTTTTGTGTCTCCATAAACCACCCACTCCCTGCTTCCAATGTATTGCTAGGTTTAAATTGTTTTTGTAGCAAATGCCTACTTAGGAGCTCTTTGTAGATGGTTTAAACGTTACTTTTCCTTTCTTTCTTCCTTTTTTTAAAAGCCAGCGTTTAAGCATTTATATGGTACCCATTACCATTAATTTGTTTATTTCAACAGTTTTTGCTAGTTCAAATTAGTCAAGCTGAGTCCAGGGTGAGGTGAGAGAACTTCTCCCCACCAGACTATCTAAAATAAACCTCTGGTTCCCCCAGGTATCCCACGGCCCCCCCCTCCAACATCAGTCTCTCTTTTTTTCCATCTAAATTCCCTTTAACCCTGAGCTCCATGGGGTCCACGCCCTGCTTACTCTTCCCACCTCTGCCCCCGTGCTAGGCACAGAGTGAAGCCTCAGTGATCTAGGTTTTAGCAGCCTTTGAGAGAAGTTTTGTCCCATCTCGCTCCTTTCTCTGGAGGGGAGTTCTAGAGTTCCCTCATTAGAAGGACCCATTTGAAAAGAGAATGATGTCAGATGAGAGAGCAGTACCACGGAGCAGCAGGTAGGGATCCCTTTATCCTTGAACTTCTCAGGCCCCTATGACAGCAGAAAGGATCCTTCTATACTGTACTCTGGGGAAAGTCTCAGGATGGGGGCAAATGAGAATCTTCTAAGGATAAACGTGTCCCAAGTCCATGAGACTGTAATAGCATTCACTTAAGCTAGTAGGAAGAGGGGCTACAACTGTCTTGATAGCTGCAATAGTCCTGGCCAGGACAGTTTCTTCTTCATCTGTGGAGTATGTGGAACCAAGGGAAGTCAGAGCCTAGAAAATGAATTAATGTCATGCCAGGGTGTCCCCTGATTTACTGTTCAGGAAAGTCTCCCAACTGGGAGGTTTCATGTCAGCTGAAAATCCTACAAGTAACATCCCAAGAATAACCTTCCCACTGGGAGGTGATAATGGATGTCTGTCACTGGAAATCTGTCTAGTTTTGCTCTGTAGCACCTCAAGATCCATTCCCCAGATGATCCATTCCCTGTGGGAATGGTAGGAGGAATTTCATAAAAAGAAAACACAAAAGGAATTGTTAGACTGAAATATTTTGTGTCAGAAACCATGCTAGGCACATAGTAGACACCAGATTAATGTGTGGTTAATGGAATTGAAAATATCTATTAAGGGAAAACAACAACAGCAACAACAAAAGAGAAGCAGCCCCAGCAGTTTGCTACAGATAGATTCACACAACAGGCCAAGGGCTGGTGGGATCAAAACAATAGTACCAGCACTTTAAACAATTTGGGCAGGTATGCCTGGGCAGATGTTTGGGAAAAAACCCAAACATAGGATTATCTTCCTTTTGCTTCAGCCTCCATCCTCACCTACCTCCGCTCACACACACTAGACTTGTACAAAATATTGGGGTGGTCTGAGATGAAACACCAGAGTGGGAAGGGAGGGAGACTTTTGTATTAAGTGCCCCCTGAAAATGCACTGTGGGGTTTTCTTCCCTGTATTGGAAACATTTTATGCCCAGCTTTTCCTCATTTTCCATATTGACCTCATCTGGTTAGCTGTTTCTTCTTCCAGCTTTGTGTCATTCTCTTTGCCAGCTGCACAAAACAGACTTTTTCCAAAGTTTAATGAATGAGTTCACCTGGATCAGCTGTTGTGTGTTTTATTTAATGTCTCATTAAATCTTTTGGTAATGAAATTCCCAATGTATTGTTTTGAAAATCAGAGGAAGCCTAGTAAGTCTCAAAAGTTCCTTTATGCAAAAGATATTCCCAGCAAATATGCTTAACAAATGCCCATTAGTTAGATGCTCCATTCCAGATTCTGCTTGCATTTGTCATTTTATTTTTATCATATCGTCTGGCATGCAAAGTGGGTAGTACTACAGTATTTGTATTACTTTAAGTACTAAATGTGCAGTAAGTGTCCATACTGTGGAGTTGTTGCTCTTACAGATCACATATGAAATGGCTAAAAGTTAGTAGTTGGGAATTATGATAGAATGACCCTGAGAGTATAAACCATGTAAATTATAACACGTGAGCTGTCAAACAGTGTGAGATGTGTGTTTACTCCTACCAGCTGTGCAGAGCAATGGATTTATTTACATTGGTATGTAGTCTACTCACATTTTATTATCTAACAATTTTCTACAAAAATAGCAATTAGTGTTTAAACACTGCCAGGCTATTTTCTAGTGGGTTTGTATTTTTTTTTTTTTTTTTTGAGATTGTATTTTGTTTTTATGATTGGTTGCAGTTCTCTTTTTTTACTTCTATTTTAAGTATGAATGTACATAAAGTAGATCTGTACATGAAGCTGGAGTATTTAAAACCTTGCCTTTCTGGGAAAAGGAAGTACGAACTAAGTTTGTACATGACAACTGGCACGTATAAGAGGAGAAATTTGAAGAAAGATGCTTAAAGAGTGATATGGCTAGGTTTTGTGTCTGCACCTGAATCTCACCTAGAATTGTAATTCCCATAATCCCCACATGCAAAGGAAAGACTGGGTGGGAGGTGATTGGGTCATGAGGGTGGTTACCCCCATGCTGTTCTCACAGTAGTTTAATTGACTTAAGATAGTGAGTGAGTTCTCATGAGATCTGATGATTTTATAAGGGGCTCTTCCCCCTTTGCTCGGCGCTTCACCCTCCTGCCACCTTGTGAAAAAGGTGCTTGCTTCCCCATTGCCTTCTGCCATGATTGTAAGTTTCCTGAGGCCTCTCTAGCCATGCTGAACTGTGAGTCAATTAAACCTCTTTCCTTTTTAAATTACCCAGCCTTGGGCAATTCTTTATAGCCGTATAAAAACAGACTCATACAGAGAGGAATTCAGAGGACAATTGTCACGTTATGAGATTTTTTTTCCCCTATTGGGTGCATAATTTTAAATAAGAAAATTATTTCTCTCTAAACTAAGAGTAGGCAAAATACTAATAAGTTTAGCTTTGTGTTGTATGCTCCTTTAATCAGGGAAGATAATGAAATATAAAAGAAAAAACTCTCATGAAGTGTTTTATAAATAAATTTCTTACAAGGTAACTTTTTCTCTAGCTATGATCTTACCACTTCAAATGGATGTGATTTGAATACATTTTGTATGGTGAAGAAACAATGAAAATGATTTTTTAAAAAGCCTCAAGTCAAGCCGTCCAGATTTGATGGGGAACTCCATGGTCATCAGGGACTCAGCTTCCTTGTATCTTGATGCTCCATCAACCTACAGCTTCACTTCATGGTTTAATTAAAGTGGCTACATTGTCTGAGGTATATACCCTGGGGTTCGTTGCCTCACACCGGAAAAACTTAGGACACAGACACACATGAGGAGTTTAGGAGTGGAGGTTTAATAGGCAGAAGAGAAGAGAAAGAGAAACAGTTCTCTCTATGGAGAGAGAGGAGTCTCCAAGCAGAAAGGACTGGTGGGTGGCGGATGCGCCAGATTTTACAGTCAGGTTTGAGGAGGCAATGTCTGATTTACATAGGGTTCACAGGTTGGTTCGATCAGGTATGACATTTACATAGCACTTGAGGAAGGCTGGCTGCCCCACCCTAAACTTATTATGCAAATGAACTCTCCCGTTGACCAGTGCCATCTTGTCTGTTCCTTACTGTACACGTGGATGAGAAAGAGAAGGGAAGATGGTGCTGCCATTTTGAACATGACTGGCACAATTGCTGGCATCTATGTCTGCAGCTCTATTCTACAGGCTGCTCTTTGCTAGAAATGAAAATGAGTTGGGGCTGCTTTTCCTTAAAAGGAAAACCTTACTGAGGATTCTCATACCCCCACTATCTGCCTAAGTAATTTCTTCTTAACTCCTATATCATAATGATGGGTGCTCAAGTTTTAGCCATCATGTCGACAGCCCAAGCAGTGAAAAAGACAAAAGGGCCTTCTTCCACTGGAGTCATTTCCCGTCAGGTGGACTTGCCATGTGCTCCAGGCTGTAATTTACATCCTGAACTTCCTCACCTGGTCCCATTTAGCTGCAAAAGACGCTAAGAAATGTGGTCTCTCAGAAAGCTGAGCATGTTGCTGCTCTGAGAAAATTCATGGCTCAGTTATTAGAGTAGGAGGAAGGGTAAATGTAGGCCCATAGTTCGAATTTTCTGTTAGAAGGGCAGAAAAATGAGACAGAACCTCCCTGTCCTCATGCGGCTCACAGGGGAGATGCAAGTTAATGGAAGAACCACATCCACACAAATAAAATCAACACTAGGGTAAGTGGGATGAGAGCCTGTTGTAAAGAGATTTGGGAACTGACCAGAGATATAACTGCAGAGGAGGAGAAGGAGGGAGGAGGGAGAAGGAAGCACTTCCCAAGAGCAGAGAAAAGTAGGACTCAGACCAGACTAGTGGGTAAGTACCTGACCCTCATGCCCTGCAGGTGAAAGGTACTGATGCTCCTTGTAGCTCCATCTAGGAGTCATGGGGAACATTTACCAGAGTGGGGACAGGGATTCCTCATAGCTGGTTTCCACTTTGGAAACATTCTGGCTGTTGATGGGATGTGGAGAGGGGGCTTTCAGGTAGGGATAATTGCAGAATGTCATGCAAGAGGGTGGTTGTTCAGATTAGGGTAGTGAAGACAAAAATGAAGGAAAGTGGGTGGCTTCCAAAAACAGCCAGCCTGCCTTAAAACACTCAGGGCACATAGCAAGCACTTTCTCTTGAGAAAATCACACTGTGGGGTGCTTTCTTCAGACTAGGGAAACAATCATTTTCTGATTTCTAGTTCCACCTACCTACTCCTAGGTGGCCAGGTGCATTTCTGAGGAAATCAGGTGGCGTTTAGAGACATGGGCTCCCTGGAGTCCACAGCATCATTTAATAATGAATCTGAGGGTGGCGTTGGGAAGGAAACCAGCCTGGGTCTACCTGAGGCTTGTGGTTATTCTTTTTCAGGCCCCCAGCTGAGTTTTCTGATGTGAAAGGGAAGCTGAGGCTGCTGAGGATGCAGAGGCTGGCAGGGGTCTATGACTAAGGTGTCAGCAGCCGATGGGAGGTAAGGGGGTGGTGGGGACCAAAACAAAGGTATGCACACTGTTTTACCTGCAGCAGTCACCTGACCCAAAACAGGCCCTTGATATATTTAATATTTACTAAAATTATGGGTTAATGTGCTGGATGTTCTATCAGTGAACTGGAGAAGTGTTAGGGAAGAAAGAAAGGGAGATAAGAAGCCCCTTCCTGGCAGAGGGAAATGCTGGTCCCTAAGCCCTAATGCCTGGAGTTCCAGGATAGTGGCTGCATTATCAGCTACCACTAAGTTTGTTTTCTCCTGATTAATAAACAGTGATACCTGCCAGCGTTCTAAGTTGCAAGCAACAGAAAACAGATTTTGCTATGTTAAGCAGAGACATCATTTAAAGGAGGAATTGGGGTTCACAAGATGGATGAGAAGATGGAGAACCCAACTTAGAAAATGGTCAAGAACGAAGAGAGTCTCAGAGGACCAAGAGGCAGCATCTTCTGACACACAGGCCCGACCAAGATGTCACTACTTTGCTACCAGGTTCTGCTGCAGCTGGCATCAATGAATCCTCACTGTCGCTTTTTGCAGGCCCCATTCAATCCTGAATGACCAAGCCTAGGGCACTCTGCTTCCAGAGAATCTCCCTACTGTAGCTTCTATATTAGAAGGCAGGGTACCAAGTGCCACCAATACTCAAAACCTGGAGGAGGAATTGGGTACTGGATGGCCAGGAAAGTAGAAGCACACACGACGCATGACATCATCATGCCCTTGCAGGCACTGTGGCGCACGAGGGTGCGATCATGTTAGTATTCACTCATTTAAAATAAGGGTATTGTCTTGTGTTTTTTGCCTTCACAATCTTCTTGCCCCACACCCATCACATATGCAAACTGCACATCCCAAGTAAAGAGTAGTTGAATGAATAAAATTACTTTCATCTGTCATCATTCAAATGTGTTTATGGAAAAATTTTAAAAAGTTTAGATTGCTTTGTGACTCCATTATCTTCCCATTCCCTTCTCCCATTCACCTTCCAGATTTTGTTTCTCCAGGTTTATCCCAGTCCTAAGCCCTTTCCCTGAGGATCCCGTCAGCCTCCACTCAGGGGCTGGAGTGAAGTTCACAGTACTAAAGGACTCTCTGCCTCGGGCTCTTCCCTCTGCTTTCTTCCCAATTCCAGGATGCAATTCTGCCACCCAGTAATTTATCCTCTTTGTGTATGATGCCTGAATAACATGCCTTTTGAATGGTTCTGATTAAAGGATGAAGGAATTGCATTCTATAATTTGCAAATTCATAATATTCTCAAAGAAATAAACCTTGTGAAGTTAAAGTCCCATTAAAATATATACCCTGAAAGACCTACAAGTTACAAGGCCGATTTTGACAGACAGCTTCTACTGCCTTTGGCATTTCAGTAATTACCCTGGAACTGCCACTGACCTGCCTGCATGCTTGGTAAAGTGACAGTCTGTTCAGTTTCTTCCCCTATTAAAATGTAGTGGTGCAGGTGGGAAGGAAGAAAGGGAGGGAAGGAAGGAGAGTGAGGAAGAAAAAAGGAAAGTTAGGTGCCATACAGAAAATACCTCCTAAAGATGTTCACATATGAATCCTAAGAACCTGTGAATATATGATGTTATATGGCAGAGGAGAATTAAGGCTGCAAATGGAATTAAGGTTGCTAATCAGCAGATCTTAAACTAAGAGATTATCTTGGGTTGTCTGGGTGAACCTAATGTAATCACAAGGGTCCTTAAAAGTGGAAGAGAAAGAGCATCAGAGGAGATGTGACTACAAAAGCAGGATCTATGAGACATAATGCTGCTGGCTTTCAAGATGGAGGAAGGGGCCACAAGCCAAGGAATCTCAGTAGCTTCTTGAAGGGGAAGAAGGAAAGGAAACAGACTCTCTCCTAGAGCCTCCAGAAGGAACAAAGCCCTGCCAACATCTTGATTTTAGTCCAGTGAGACTCATTTTGGATTTCTGACCTAGATACCTGTAAGGTAATACATTTAGGCTGTTTTAAGCCACCAACAGCCTGTGGTAATGTTACTGCAGCTACAGGAAACAATACACAAGCAATAGAGAAGAAGGAAGGCAGCATTTCTTGGCAACATCTGTGGGCCAGGCACTGAGCTAGAAGAACTCATGTGAGAGCTTTACTGGGCTTTTGTGGAGCATTAGGGACATTTGAAGCATACTCTCTCCTAAATAACTGAGCTCACTTGGACTTCAAGGAAGGAATGGTCATCTTTACGCAGAAATGTGAAGCCAAAAGTTAGGGTGGGTATTCAGATGGTAAAAGGAGATCAGGGATAGAAAGCAAAAAATCCTACTTCTGAGGCAGGAGCCCAGATAGAGTGTCACTGGGAACAGCAAATATGGAAAACCACATCCTTCATCTAATCCACACAGGACTTGAGCATTTACTACTATGAGCTGGGCACTGGGCAAGATGTAGAGAGATGGGGTGCCAGACAAAGGAGGCCTGGGCGCTGTCCACATGAAAATTCAAATTTCAAGGGATGCTCAAATTCCAATCATGTCCCAATGAGACACCACTCCACGGCCACTAAGATGGCTGTGATTAAGACAGACAATGAGAAGTATTAGCAAGGATGTGGAAAAAATGGACCCCTCACATTGCTGATGGGATTGTCAAACGGTTCAGCCACTTTAGAAAATACTGTGGCAGCTCCTCAAAAAGTTAAACATAGAGTTACCCTATGGCCCAGCAACTGCACTATTAGGTCTGTACCCAAGAGAAATGAAAACACAGCCACACAAAAATATATACACAAATGTTCATAGCAGCACCGTTTATAATAGTTGAAAAGTAACAACAACCTAATTGTCCATCAACAAATGAATAGATAAATAAAATCTGGTATATCCTGCGTGTTGTCACTTATACATGGGAACTATGATGAGAACGCATAGGTACAAAGAAGGGACCAACAGGCACTGAGACCTACTTGAGGGTGGGAAAAGGGAGAGGATCAGAAAAAATAACTGTTGGGTACTGGGCTTAGTACCTGAATGACAAAATAATCTTTACAACAAACCCCACTGACACGAGTTTACCTATATAACAAACTTGTACGTGTACCCCTGACCCTAAAATAATGGATTTTTTTTTAAAAAAAAACAATCTGATGTATTTAGAAAATGGAATATTATTCAGCTGCAAAAAAGAATAAAGTACTGGTACATGCTACGACATGGATGAACCAGAAAAGCATTACACTAAGTGAAAGAAGCCAGTCGCAAAAGGCCACATATTATATGATCCTATTTATATGACATATCCAGAAAAGGCAAATCTATCGAGACAGAAAGCAGATTAGTTATTCCCCAGGGCTGGGGGAAAAGGATGAGGGTATTATGGGGTGGTAGTTAACGGTAAGAGATTTCTCTTGAGGGTTATGAAAAGATTCTAAATTGGTCGTAGGGATTGTTACACAATTCCGAGTACACACTAAACAAACTATTGAGTTATGCTCTTTAAATGCTTAAATTGTATGGTATGTGATTATTTTTCATACCTCCAAAGAAACATAGAACATAGGGTAAATATAGGCCAAACAAGTTACAAAACGAAAACCTAAGCAGGGCCAGCATAAAACACCAGAGCTGGAATCAAGGTCAAGCAGAGGCAAGCGGAGGCTGATGTTGGATGCCAGGAAGGTTTGCCTGGGTGACTCTTGCTACCAGGAATTGCTGACTTAAAGATTGTCATTAAGGCTGATAGCCGAACCCCAGAGAGCAGACCTTCTTCACCTTAACTCAAGCCATGTGACAAAGCTGAGGTCAATGGCTCAGAGACCTTCAGCTGCATGGTCCGCTTTGCAACCCCAGGCTTCTGTTAGTGCTGAGACCACAGCAGGTCAGTTCCTGCATGGCGAGAAATGGCTCTTAAGTGGGACTGTCCAGATGTACTTTGTTGCATGGCTGCCTTCAACCTCATCTAGAATAAGCTTCTCAATCTTTCAGTTATTCAGAAATAAGAGCTATGGAGGCTTTGTTGAAACGGGGTTAGGCTCACAGAGCTAGCAGAAAAAGGCAGTCTAGTGGCCCCTTTTCTGGCTACTTTGGAATTTCCAATGCTTGAGAACCACACAAAAAGGGGAAATCCAGGAGGCGGGGGAGAGGAGAAGGAGAAACAGAAGGAGAGAAGCAGGGGTAGGGGAAGTGAGGGAGAAGAGGGAAAGGAGAAGGAGAAACAGAAGGGGAAGGGGAGGAGGAGGGGCACTTGTCCCCTTGTCTTTGTGTTTGCACCACATCTGAGGGGTTGTTTTATCACCAAGGCTGCACGGAACTGCAAGGCCCTGGAAGACAGGCCATGCCCACACGCTCACTGCTCAGAGGTTAAGAGGCTGTCCAAGGTCACCTTAGGCTGCTGAGAATAATGGGTGAGCAGCTCTTTCCCAAGTGCTCTCTCCCGCCGCTTCGACAACTGCATGGGAATGATCTTAAAGCAATCACAGCTCCTGTTTGTCTCCTGACAGTCAGTGCCCTTTTGGACTTCACACCCATGAGTGGCAGTGTCATGCTACATTACTTCCAAATGTCATCAGCCACTCCGCCTGCCTCTAATTGTGTATGCACGTGTGTGTGTGTGTGTGTGTGTGCACGCACATGCATACAAGCACATGTAGTGTCATTGTGTCACTGACATCACAGAGGGGGCCTTCAACGCAGCAGACCACACACAGTGCTCTTTGGGAGTTTAACCAGCTTATACGGAAGCAAATATTTGAAGTTTACCAAACATAAACCAAGTAAAACCTAAGTCAATCAAAAGTGACTAAACACCACTTTAGTCCAAATACATGTTTCTAAAAGGTCACAGCTGGTGTAATTATCCATGCTAGACTTAACATGCATTCAGCTGTGTGCTTAAGACTGCCAAGAACTGGAATACATTTAGAATCCTTAAATAAGAGTCACCTTGTTTCAGAAAATGCTCGGTTAAATCAGGCTTGGTTCGGGGGCGGGGGTATTGGGGGAAGCCTATTAGAGTTTAATGACACTTTGAGAAAATGTATAGGGAAATTTCTTTGGAAAAGAAATAGAAATACATGTCAGAGCCAATTTCTCATAATATGTGGGTTGAAGCCCTTTTCCTTCAAAGAAAATAAGTCCTGACAAATATAACAACAAAAGAACACCGTGACAAAATGAGCAGCCCAGAAGTCGGGCAAACGGAGGAAAAAACAAATAACTAAATGCAGGCTCTACCTCAGCCCTCAGAAGCATGAGAACTGAGACCTGGGACTGAGGGGCAATTAGCAAGCAGTTTTTCCCAGTCCCCAGTGCTTTGGCACTTCAATAGGCAGAGCTCCAACCCAAAGTGCCCATCTCAGTAGCATGCGCCATGCGCAGTGACAGTTGCAAAACCATGTGACATCTGGGGATGCTGTGCAGGAGTCTTGGGAAGTACCACAGACCATGATGAGCCAAAAGAGAGCAAGGGGCTCCTCACTCTCCTGCCCCGCCTGTGCCTGGGCAGCTCCTCTCCTATCTTTCGGACTTCCACCTGTGATTCTGCTTCTACCCAGTGTGAACCCAGAAAATCTGAGACAGGCCTCAGTTAATTTAGAAAGTTTATTTTGCCAAGGTTAAGGACGCGCCTGTGACACAGCCTCAAGAAGTCCTGAGGACATGCCCAAGGTGGTCGGGCACAGCTTGGTTTTATACATTTTAGGGAGACATGAGACATCAATCAATATATGTAAGAAGTACATTAGTTCAGTCCAGAAAGGCAGAGACAACTCAAAGCAAGGCCCCCCGCTGAGGCCTTCCAGGTCACAGGTAGGTGAGAGACAAATGGTTGCACTGAGTTTCTGATAAGTCTTTCCAAAGGAAGCAGTCAGAATATGCATCTATCTCTGTGAGCAGAGGGATGACTTTGAATAGGATGGGAGTCTGATTTGCCCTGAGCAGTTCCCAACTTGAAAGGACCCAGGATATTTTCCTTTCACACCAATGTTGCGAAAACCCTCAGCTTTTTATAAAGTCTGAGGCTCATGCCTGCCTTCATGCTTAGATAAGTGTTTATACTCTGGCTCTTTCTGGAGAAGTGGAGGCCAGGATAAAAGAACCAGGGCTGGGCTTAAGAGGACAGCAGCCTACTCATTAGACTGCAGAACATGGAGCTTAGAAAAGTCTGAGAAACAGCAAGGGAGAGAGAACTAGAAGGAAGCTGGAGTGCAAGTACCCTGAGGGTAGGGATTTTTGTTTCTGATTCACTCACTGCTACATTGTCAGGGCCTAAGAGAGCACCTGACATATAGTAGATGCTCAATAAATGTTTGTTAGTAAATGAATAAGTGAGGTATCCAGAGATCAAGGGAGATGCCAGTGTTGAGGCCAAGGTCAGTAGCCTGAGAGTTAAGTGGAGCCAGCCAGTGAGGAGGAATAAATCAGAGCTTGGAGAGACCGCCTGAAGCCCTGGAACAGAGACTGGCAGAGCGGGGCTGCCACATTCTGTAGGACACTCAGCTTTGTCTCTGGGTGTGAATGAAACCATCTTTGCAAAAATTATAACTGAGGAAATTATGACAGTGAAAGAGATTAGACCTAATCGACTCCATCTTGCTTCTAACCTTTAAGCTGTCCTTGTTCATTCCTGGGTGTAGGCCAAACTAACTTTGGGGGACAATTCAGTTCATGGTTTGACTCTGAAACAAAATTGATAACAGCCCTTTCCTGAAAAGAACCCCTTCTTGCCTGGGGACCAGTGTGCCTTTGCAGGACTAACAAATTAGCTACAAGATTAGAAATTTCAGTTTAGGGGTCATTCAGCCTCTGGCTCCAAGAGTCTGAACCTCCCCAAATTGCTCCTGGGGATAACATCACTCTTGTAAAATCTGAGATCAGTGCTTGAGATATTTTGCAGACCCTGCACTGGATGGATCAGCTGACACCAGCCAGACCCGTAGTAGTATGGCTCAACTGTTCTGCCATCCCAGGCAGGAACAGTAGACAGCAAGAAAAACTCACTTCGATCCCCTATGATGCCATCTCCAACCTGACCAATCAGCACTCCCCACTTCCCAAGACCCTACCCACCAAATGATCGTTAAAAATTCTGATCCCCAAATGCTCAGGGAGTCTAATTTGAGTAATAATGAAACCTGATCTCATGCACAGCCGGCTGTACATGAGTTACCCTTTCTCCACTGCAATCCCCTTGTCTTGATAAATTGGCTCTGTCTAGGAAGCGGGTAAAGAGAACCCACTGGGCGGTTACAAGGAGGGAGCTGTTGAAGGCATCAATCTTCCCACTGAAGTCCTTTTTGCCTTTCTCCATAGCCAAAATGGCCAAGCTCATACAGAAAATGGTAACTTCTAGTATTAAAGAACCCAAAGATGATCCCCAAAACCTTCCCCTCAAAATTCAACCGACTTCGGGAGAATTGGCACCTGTATAAGTGAAAGTGGGGTCATGGGTAGGATACAGATAAAACTTTGTCTGAATCTGAATGTTTTTACCTTTTATAAAGAAGAAAAGAATGAACTAAAATCTGGAGGCAGTGTGCTTTGGTAGTGAGGAGCACAGATTCCCCAAAGCCAGACTTCTTGGGCTCACATCTGGGCTCCTGCTTGCTAGCTGCCAGGCCTTGGGCAAGTGACTTTAAGTATCTCTGAGCCTGTAAAATGGGGATAATAAGAGCACCTCTCTCATGCAGTTATGTGAGAGGTAAATAAATTATACCACATAAATCACTTACATAAACAATAGCTATTATTATGGAAATATGACAAACTGCTAACATTTGTTAAATATGAGGGTTGGGGCCCAGCACAGTGACTCACTACAGTATTCCCAGCATTTTGGGAGGATCAGGCAGGTGAATTGCTTGAGCCCAAGAGTTGGAGACCAGCCTGGGCAACATAGTGGCCCCCCATCTCTACAAAAATAAAAAATAAAAAAAATTAGCCAGGCATGGTGGCACACACCTATAGTCCCAGCTACTTGGGAGGCTGAGGTGGGAGGATCACTTGAGCCTGGTAAGTAGAGGCTGCAATGAGCTGAGATCACGCCACTGCACTCCAGCCTGGGTGACAGAGCTAGACACCTGTTTTTTTTGTTTTGTTTTGTTTTTAAAAAAGAGGGATGGCCAGCAGTGTTTAGTTTATAATTTTTTATGTTTGAAATAACTGAAGTTAAAGAGAAAACATTTTCCCCCACAAAAGGCATATTCTTCTGGTTATGTCCCCAACTCACAAGGAAATTTGTAAGATCTCCAAAGAAACAGAGGACAGGGTAAGTACAGGCCAGTGATTCTCAGAGTATGGTCCTGGGTTCAGCAGCATCAACATCACCTGGGAACTTGTTAGGAAATTGAATTCTCAGGCCCCACCCCAAGGAGCTCCTGGGCTGAGGCTCCGCAGTCTTGTGTTTTAACAAACACTCCAGGGAACTCTAATACACTAATAGAGGCCAGCATCCAAATGAAGAACCATGTGGCTTGAGGTCTCAAAGTAATTCTATATCCCTGAATGCCTCTGATATTGGTACTGCCATGGCTGGGGCATCTTTATTGGCATTGCTGGAGAATCCACTCTCCCTAATAATCCTATAATGCCACACATGACCTACTACCTTCATAGGAGTAGCTGGGATAATTAGTTTAGCAGAACGTCCAGAAACTACAATCTCACTCTTCCCGACTGATATGGTTTGGCTCTATGTCCCCACCCAAATCTCATCTTGATTGTAGCTCCCATAATTCCCATGTGTCATGGTCGGGGCCAAGTGAGAGGTACTTGAATCGTGGGGTGAGTCTTTCCTGTGCTGTCATCTTGATAGTGAATAAGTCTCATGAGATCTGATGGTTTCATAAAGGGGAGATCCCCTGCACACACTATCTTGCCTGCTGCCATGTAAGCTGTGACTTTGCTCCTCCTTTGCCTTCCCCCATGATTGTGAGGCCTCCCCAGCCATGCAGAACTGTGAGTCAATTAAACCTCTCCTTTTTATATATTACTTAGTCTTGGATATGTCTTTCTTTTCTTTTCTTTCTTTCTTTCTTTTTTTTTTTTTTTTTTTTTTTTGACCGTCTCACTCTGCTGCCAGGCTGGAGTGCAGTGGTGCAGTCTCCACTCACTGCAACCTCCGCCTCCCGGATTCAAGCGATTCTGCTGCCTCAGTCTCCCGGGCAGCTGGGATTACAGGCATGTGCCACCACACTCAGCTAATTTTTGTATTTTTAGTAGAGACGGGGTCTCTACTACCACGTTGGCCAGGATGGTCTCAATCTCTTGACCTCGTGATCCACCTGCCTCAGCCTCCCAAAGTGCTGGGATTACAGGTGTCAGCCACTGCACCTGGCCTGGGTATGTCTTTATTAGCAGTGTGAGAACGGACTAATACACTGACTCTAGCTGATGGGGTAGACTGGGCTTGACTAAGGTGGCAGGGATGGCTCTTGTGAATTTCTCTCAGTAGGACAGTATTTGACCATAACTCCAGAATGCCTCATTGCTCAAACACAGTGATCTTAATCTCTCAGATTCTCTCAGTGCCTCCACTCTCCAACCAAGGCATGCTACACAGATGTCTATAATAACCCTTGAGACTGAAAAGTAGCCCAGGGTGGAAACATCTGTCTTATCCTTGCCCAGACCCCAGCATTCTTAGGCAGGGAAATTCCAGTGGTGATTGTTAAAAAATATGAGAGAACTATCAAAATGCTATAAAAGCATCTTTGTAGATAATAACATAGATAAAAATAAATAGTATGGAATGTGTTCTACAATGGTATATACCTTGTAAATTCATCATCAGTCTAGACGTTAAAAACAAAGACAAACTGTGAGCATATTCTCCAGGGAAAAGCTGCATAGGGTTAGATGTAGAAGAAAATGATGGTTTGAGATGATTTAGTCATTTTATCAGTGAATACAGGAGTGATAATAAATATTTGCTGAGTGAATCAATAAAATGGGTCACTTACAGTACACACCCGTGTCTCGTCACGCACACACGTTAACAACGTTCTGTCAATCTGTCTACGCCTGGGCATTAGGTCATGTCCTTTCCTATGAAGATGGGCATTTTTAGATATCCACAAGCTGCTACTAAAATTTTCCAAAGAAGAGTACAAAAAAGTATGCAAAGATAGAAGAGCCAACCTCCAGAAAAGTAGAGAGGGAGGAGTATAAAAAAAAAGTGGTGCTCATTGAGTAATGATGAAACTTGACTTCCTTCTAATAAAATTAATGATAATGAACTCCTGAGCTAGAGAGCTGACTGCTTGTGTGCAATGAAAGGACTTAAGGGGTGGGAATCTCAAATGTCAGTGAAGTTAACTACAAAGAAGGACCTTAAGTGGATCAATCAGGGTTGAACTACTAGATAGAAGGATTAAGTGGCTAATAAAAGGGATGTTCTACTGACCTCTAATACAGGAGGGAGGAGATAATGAGATAAGTAAAGCTGGTGAGGATAATAAGACTGTAATTATGGCCAAGTTCAAACTACTGGGCGAGTGTACATTAGAAAACCATCCAGATAACAAGGAGAGAGAGGAAATCTTGGCCCCCAGAAGTTAATGCTGCCTCCAGTGCTTGAGATGCTCTCAGCTGCATGTCCATCTGACCAAGATGAAAATAAAACCATCACAATGGATGTTTCAAATCCATTAAATTGGTGGTGTGGCTCAATGTGCAGAAAAGAGAAGGCCAAAAGATGTAAAGCCTCATTACCGGGAGAAACCCGTCATGCTCAGAAATCACGCCATAGTCATTATTTTAAACCATGACTGCCACGGCCACCGCCCGTGGGCTTTTATTGAGTTTCTGCTATGTTTAGAGTGGTGATGTAGGCACTGTACATTCTGGGATGTTTGAGAAACACAACACATACCCTCTCACTCACTCCCTCACTCACACAGGGTGAGTTCCCCAGGCTGGAATAAAAAAGCTGGCAAATGTATAGGTTTATTCTTTCTCAATGTGAGAATTTAGAGTCTGTTGATAAAGCCGCAAAAACAAACGCACTAAAGGAAGAGCATTTGGTTGGGGACGAGCGCACAGTCTCCCTCTGCATCTGGAGCGCTGGGTTTTCTGCAGAATGTTTCATATAATTGTTTGCTTAATCTCCCGGGTGAAGTAAACGTATGGCAGTTTTACTACACTATTGATTCAAATGATTACTGTAATGACAGAGCGATCCAGGGAGTTGTCACTGGGCTTTGCGAGACGTTGTGATGGCTGTCATGTGCATTATTAAGGAGCACTCTGAAAAGAAAACTGTTCCCTGCATGTCCTGAGCCGGAATCACTGACAGCCCTGCTGGGCCTGGTGCTCGGGGCCCTGGACTTGGGCCTGGGCTGTCATAAACTGGAAGGGAAGTATTCGGTGGGTCTGCAACCATGAGGTCAGTGTGTTTAGTGGACTGACCCTAGTAAACTCAGCTTCCTGTTTCAGGATCTGCGGTCCTAAAGACATGATTGGACATTCGCAGATGGGCAGGAACAGTTTATAGGACAGGGTCCTTGCAGGAAACAGACACACTCCATTAGATCCTGAAAGGAATTGAAGGAAGGGCCTGTTTACAGGTGAGGGCAGGGTTAAAGGAACTAACAAGGGATAATGAGGCACCCAGGGAGCAGCCTCACAGGAACCAGAGGAAGCCATTTTGTCTCTAGGACAGAAAGGGCATGGGGAGCAAACCATGCTGTAAGAGCCTGCTGGCACTGGCACACAAGGGCACATGCAAAGAAGTGCACCACTCTCCCCTCCTGCCTGGCCCCTGCCAGTGCCTCTCCAAGGGCCGAATCCCAGTGGAGGCCAGAGGAGTCCAAGGGCTCAGCTTCCTGGGACATGGAGGGCACAGTAGACGAGGGCAAAAAATAGATCTGGGCACGCAGAGAACCAGCCCCCACACAACTCGAGGGCTCAGCATGCAAAAGAAGAGGTGAGGGAAGGCCTGAATGGCTGGTACACAATACAAAGCTACGAGGTGCAGTCGCAGCATCATATGGACGTCCTACCGATGTCCTGATACCAGCATGAGAGACAATGAAGAAGACTCTTCCCATTGCGGAAGGGAGAAATGGCCACAAGCTTGGGATTTACAGTCATGCAGATCTGGGATCAAGTCCTGGCTCAGCCTCATACTGGCTGTCTCCCCTTGGGTGAGCTACTAACCTCCCCAAGGCTCAGTTTGCGCTCCTGGAAAAGTGGCATCATATAGGATTATATGAAATTGGATAATGTTTGTAAAGAACTCAGCCCATTTCTTGGTTTATAGGAAATGCTCCAAGATGGCAGTTATTTATAAAAATTAAGAAATCAGAATTCCACTGAAGCTGTTTAAGCAGGAAGGGAAGTGTATCATAAGGGTGAGGGATATCTGGTAGAACTCAGAGGCAGGGCATGCACCATCTGCAGAAAGAAGTCATGGGCAGGACCTGGGTGTCCATTCTCTGTTGCATGGTTCTGCTTCTTTTTTTTTTTTTTTTTTTTTTTTTTTTGAGATGGAGTCTCGCTCTGTTGCCCAGGCTGGACTCGGCTCACTGCAACCTCTGCCTCCAGGGTTCAAGCAATTCTCCTGCCTCAGCTTCCCAAGTAGCTGTGATTACAGGTGCCTGCCACTATGCCTGGCTAATTTTGTCTTTTTAGTAGAGATGGGGTTTCACCATGCTGGCCAGGCTGGTCTCAAATTCCTGACCTCGTGATCTGCCTGCCTTGGCCTCCCAAAATACTGGGATTACAGGCGTGAGCCACCGCATCCAGCAATGGTTCTGTTTCTTTCTGTACATTTTCGTACTTCTCTGAGCACTGGCTTTCTCTGACTATCCACATAGTGGACTGTGACCACCTCATATGGCTTCTGAATACTGTACAACCATAATAATTCCCAGTCACCCAGAATCACTCCCTGGTTGATTCTCAGGCCTAGCTCTGAATTTCTGAGAGACAGACTTCATAAACCTATTTCAGGGCAGGAGTCCCCTGCTGGCCCCGTCTCCCTTAGTGTGCCGACTCTGCCACTGGCCCCTGCAGAACCACTCTCCATCCCTTGCCACCTAATCCCTGCCCTGTTCCTCGCCTTTGGCTTCTGTTTTGGGTCTGCAGTGGAGAGCCCGGGCAGGGTACTAAAGGAGAGGAAGAGGATGAGGTCAGGACTCTCTCACCAGCAGAGTCTGCTCATGATGCTCTTCCCCAAGGCCAAGTTTGATTCAAGGAGACCCTGTCTGCAAGACTCTCAGGTTTCAATAAACTGCTTATCCCTGAGGACCAAGGGATGTGAAATAGCCCTGATGTTGCTGACCCTCAGTCACCTAACTATCCCTTATGGTTTCCCTACACCCTGCCCACACACTTGTAAATTGCCCCTTTATTAAACATCCTCCATTGATTTAAACGTGCCCATTCATTTCCTGCTGCAATGAGGAACAACCCATTTGGCCAGGGAATGGAGTTAAAGACTCTAAAAACAGGAGGCTCCTGGGCTCTCTACCTGGTGGGTACCCCTGTGGAGGTAGGGAGGTGATTCGAGGGTGGGAGGCTCAATGTGTTTTCTATGTTGTTATTGTTGTGGTAGTTTTATTATTAATAGTATCATAAACATCATTCATTGTTCAGAACTTCTACCCCTCTCAACAACTGAATGTTAGACTGGAGTCAGCCTCCATGACCCACACAAATCAAATGCAAACAGGCCTCCAAGAATATAGCCATGAATATCACTGTGGCTTTACCCTGTGCTTCTCCCCTTCAGCTCCTTATAGGAGCCTCAACAGTCCTTAATCTGGATTCTTTGCCTTTGAGAAAAATACTCTGAAAAACCTCAGTGATCCCCAGTTTCTTGGGCCAAGTAGTAACACCAGTAGAACTCTGGGGGACTCAGAACTAACTTAGCAGCTCAGAGAACATGGGAGGTTTAGGTACAAGGAGATGTCTCTGATTACTGGCAAGGAAGAGCATGCAGCTCTCTCCCCAGATATACAGGACTTTCAGGATCATTGTTGACCCATGTGAAAGCATCACAAATTGTGTAATTGGAGCTACCCAAAGCTTAAATCCTAGTCTCTGCTGTTCCAGTCCGTCACAAACCCTCTCTACTCTCCTTTCCACCTAGAAAATATACTCTTTTGTCAGTGATTAAATAAACCCACTAACCTGCTTCCAAGATTAAGCAGAGGTTATTCCTATTTAACTGTTCACAATGCACCAGAAATTGCTGAGGGCACTGGGTGCAAAATGCAATCCTGGCTCCCTGTTTTCTCCTTCTGCTCTAAGATAACACGCCTCCTATAAAGAAATAGCGTGACCCCCCAGTGCTGGGGTTAAACATGCATATTCTTGACGACAAAATATGTCCTTTCACATATGCAAGGTCATTTTTGTAAAACTAAAAGCAAACGTCAAGTGGAATTACTTTTCCTGACCAGGAGTAGGCTTATTGGATGAAAACGAAAAGTGGTAGAGAAAGTAAGAATTAATTTACCAAGCCAGTCATTTTCCTTTGTTCTTTTTCTACCTTGGTTAAATATTTGTGATTGCGGCATGAGGGCCTCCTCTCCAAGCTCAGTGTTTTCCTACACTTGATCCTGCATCAGAGTTACTGACATGACCTGTTGCCATGGAAACAATGGCGCTATCTCTTGTGGTGCCCAGCACAGGAGACTTTCTGTTGACTTTAGGGGAATTAGATCTGGCTGAAAAATCTAATTCTGTCACTTACTTGCTGTGTGACCTTGGGAACATTAGTGTACCTCTCTGAGTCTTAGTTTCCTCATCTGAAAATTGGAATTAGTAATAACAGGTCTAAGAGTTTTTGTAAGAATAAATGGGATCATCTGGGTAAAGTAATTGGTGTGTTTTCTGGAACTGTACGTGTTCAGTAAATGTTAGGTGCTTCTGTTGTTATTAGATATTAGGAAGTTAGAACATTTATTCTATTCAGTCATTCGTTCATTTACAATCTCATTTATTCATTTCATACATAATAATTAAGCCTCACTATGTTGCAGACACTGTTCAAGATGCTAAAGATAAAAAAGTGAGAAAAATGGACAAAGTTCTGCTTTCATGGAGCTCACATTCTAGTGATGAAACCAAATAATTAACAATAAACTATATGTATATTAAATGTATAATCTTATTGTGATAAATGCTGTAAAAAACTTAGAACAGGAAAAGGGTAAGAGGGGAAAAGGGCCAGTCTGCAGAGGCAGTGGAAGCTACTGCAGATAGCATCCTCTCCAAGGAGGAGACACTGGAGGAGAGACCAGAAAGGCATTGGGGGACAAGCCTTGTCATGCATGGGGAAGAACATTGCAGCAGGAGGGAACAGCAAGGGCAAGGGCAGGTGGCAAGTGGAATGGCAAGGTGACTGGTGGGTCTGGAGCAAAGAGAGGGAGGGGGAGCACTGTGGAGCCTTAATGCAAGGTCACAAGAACGCTTACCAGGGCCTGACCTGTGAACGTGATCTAAATGAGGTTGTCACAGCTGCTACAGGAAACAATAGAGCAGGGTGATGGAGAGAGAAAGCCCGGGACCCCTAGCGCCTGTAAGAGAATCTCAGCTCTACCACTTATCAGCTGTAGGAGCGGGGCCTTGTTACTGGTGTGGCACCTCAACGAGCAGCAGTAGCATCCCCTGGGAGTTTATTAGAAACGCAGAATCTCAGTTCAGCCCTGCCAGGTCAGTATCCGCATTTCCACCAGGTCCCCAGGGGATTTATAAACTCCTTAATATTTGAGAAGCACTGGCCTAGCACTTGTTACTTAACCTCTCTAGGTCTCCGAGGTCCCATCTGCAAAATGGGTGCAGCAGTCTCCCTTTATTTGTGGTTTCACTTTCTGCAGTTTCAGTTACATGCAGTCAACCACAGTGCAAAATGATTAAATAAAAATTCCAGAAACAAGTAATTCGTAAGTTTTAAGTTACGCACCATTCTGAATAACATGGTGAAATCTCCTGCCATCCCACTCCATCCTGCCCAGGATGTGAATCTCCCCTGTGTCCAGCGTAGCCGCACTGTCCATGTTGTTGGCCATTAGTCACTTAGTAGTCACACTGATTATGAAACGGACAGATTATAAGTAGAAGCAGGAATACAGTAAAATAGATGTTGAGAGAGAGAGGCCACATTCACAAAACTTTCATTACAGCATATTGTTATAATTATTCCATTTTAGTATGGGTTGTTGTTAATCTCTTACTGTGCCTAATTTGTAAATTAAACTTTATTATATGTGTGTATGTATAGAAAGAAATATGTATGTATAGGGTTCGGTTCTATCCTTGGTTTCAGGCATCCACTAAGGGTCTTGGAATGAATCTCCCCTGGATAACGGCTGGCTACTGTATAACAACAGTAGCTCTCTCATAAGGTTATTGTGATTTTTAAATAAGCTTGTGGCCATAAAACACTCAGCCTAGTGCTTGGCACACTGTAATTGCCCAGTGGATCTTAGTTTTTGCATTGTATCCCTGGTGGGATTAATCCTGGGGGCTGTCACGGTTTTGACTTCCTCAAGACCCACTTGAAACTTGCAACAGAGGAACAGTGCTTGTTACTGCTTCACCTGCTCTTGAGGCTGCTGGCTCCAGCAGGACCTGTCCCCCTTGGTTATAAACCACAGAAGCCCTATCGTCAGCAGCACCTGCAGTGGTGAAGATGGTTTATAGGGATCCACCCTCACTCTTTGTCCAGTTTCTCCTGTGATTCATAGTCCTCACTAATTGTTTTCCTCCGTGGAAGCTAACTGGCTAGGAAGAGGCTCAAACCTGCAATACTGGCCTTGATACCGCCATGTTTCCAAATGCAGAGATTATTTCTCTAGCCAAGATGGCAGCTGTCAAATCCGCCTCATTCCCAGCGGCATAACTATAAATCTCCAAACCACAATTATGTAGAAAAATGAAATCTGTTAATTAAATATGAGCTTGTAACTTTCAATCAAGTACCACCGGCAAATATCATAGAGTGGTAAAGCAGTTGGTTCTGAAGACAGACTCTGGTTTTGAACTCCAGCTCAACCATGTAGCTTACTTGTTGTGGTTTCTTAACCTCTATAGTTCAATGTCCTTATCTGAAACTGGGGAAGGGGGATGATAGGAGTACCTACTTCGTAAATGATGATTTAATGGGTGCAGCACACCAACATGGCGCATGTATACATATGTAACAAACCTGCACATTGTGCACATGTACCCTAGAACTTAGAGTATATTTAAAAAAAAAGAAATCCAGGGCCCACATTAGCTTCCTGGTGTGTGCACCCCTAGAATGCAGAGAGCTGGGTGCCTACAGCTGCCATCAGCAGGTAGCGAGGCAGTGGCTGATGGCATGGGGGTATAAAAAAAAAAAGAGTACCTACTTCAAAGATAATGCATATAATAAACTTGTAAAAGTCGTGAAAGACACTAAACATTCTAAAGATGTTAGTAGTCATGATTCTTATTTCTCTCTCTAGTTGTGTTGCCTGTGGATTCAAAGAAGAAAACATTCTCAGAAAAATGGAACCCATTCTTCAAGTAAGGGAATGTGGAGAGTGACATTCTCCTGCTAGTAAGGACAAGAGATGATAAAATTGAACTAAGGTGATCACAATGGGAATGAAGAGAAGCAAACACATTCAGGAGATATTTCTGGGTCCATAGGACTTTGTGACTTCTTGAGCACAGTGGCGAAGGAAAGACAGATTTAAGGTTTCTAGTCTACATTCATATATGGATAGTGATGACTACAACCCATGGGAAACATAGAGAAAGTTTCATTAAAAAAAGGACAGGTCCAAAGGCAGTCTACAAACTTCAGGGGAGTACATGCTCTGGTCAATAAATGTGTAGTTATTCAAAATGCAAGGTTCGATAAACATAAGAAAATGTGCCAAATTCATTAGTCATCAGGGAAATGCAAAGTAAAAGCACAATGACATACTAGAATGGCTAAATTTTAAAGGACCAATGATACCAAGTATTGATGAAGACGTGGAGGAACTCATTCAACGCAGGTGGGAGTGTAAATTGATACACTACTTTGGAAAAATGTTTGGTAGTATTTATCAAGGCTAAAATATGTTAGCAATTCCTCTCCTGGTTATATGAATAGTCTACAAAAATATATGTATGAAAATGTTCAGTTATTCACAAAAACTGGTAACAAGCTAAATAATGTCTTAAATGTAGAATGAATAAATTGCAGTGTGCTCATACTATTGTCTGAAATTGTCACCTAGTAAGTGCACAGCAATGGAAAAGAATAAGCCACTGAATATCATAGACAAAATATTGACTTGAAATGTTTAGATAGACACACAAGAAAAGTTCTGAATGATGATATTTACATGAAGTACAAGAACAGGCAAAACTAATAGCAAAAAAAAATGTCATTAAGCTGTACACTGAACATGTATGCATTTTACTTTGTGAAGGTTATAGCTCAATAAAAAAGTAAACTTTATAAAAGAACACAGGGCTAAAATCTTGGAGCAGTTCTTGGAAGCAATACACATGAGAAGGGCTGGAAATTCTGGTATGCACTGGAACTGCAAGGCTGTAGTGGTAATTTAGTATTCAAAATGAGTTGCTGGCTCTAACAGAACTATCAAACACTGCTTAAGGTCATTCCTGGAATTCATAGTGGTTTTGGCGTTTGTCAATTTTGGTCCCAGTGGAATCTGTAATAAGCCTCTAGAAGGAGCTGAATGGTGCAAAGAGAAGGGTGTGTCTCATAAACTATCAGGAAACTCTGGGGAGCCTGGAAGGACTGTGTGTATATCACAGAGCTGCCACAAGAGGGCACTGCCTCAGTCAGGAGGCGGTGGCTCCAAGTGGCTCTCAAGGCATGCCACCCACCTCCACCGCGACCCAGGAGCTTGGAGCTCTCCCCAGCAAGAGTAGTAGATGGTGTGTCCACCTGAGGTGGGACTGTGGTGTGGATTCTTCTGCTGGGGTGGCTTCAATTAAGCTGCTTCCTTCCTCAGGTGCAAAAAAAAAAAAGAAGAAAAGAAAAGAAAAAAAAAAAAAACAGCCAAAAGTGGCGTCTTCTAGTTCTACAAATTCCAACAGTTTAGATACTGTATCTCAAGTATCCCCTCTATTTGCTGTCTGTTTATTCATGAATATTTTTTGAACACCTACTATGTGTATTGAGGACACAACAGTGAGGAAGACAGAAATAGCTGCTGTCCATATAGAACTTAGCTTTAAATAAAAGAGAAAGACAGGAAGCAGGATGTATTCAGATTATAGTTAGTGATATGAGGAAAATGACAAGGATGATGTGGAGGGCAACAATTTTAGATAAGGTGGTCAGGGACTGCCTCTCTAAGGAGCTTATGTTAAAATTGAGGCTTGAATAATCAGAAGAAAGTGGCCATCCAAATAGCTGTGGGACGAGCCTGGCACAGACGAGAGTAAGTGTCAGTTCCAGAGTGGGGAGCACACTCGCTCTCTGCCACCCAGCACGAGCTACCTGTGGGGATTGGGCTTAGAAGCACCTAGTATGCCTCTCCACCGTTTACTCAATATCACCTTTTACTTAATATTAATGCTCTCTGGTTTTCCACCTCCTCTCAGCAAGGAGAGGAAACGGCAATTTTCCACCAGCAAACATCAGTATTCTGGGATTTAACTACCCATGAGTTAGAACTCAACATGGCAGCAGGGAAACCTATTGGATTTAGAATGCATTTGCTCAGAAAGGGAGCGTGTACACCTAGAGATGGTTCTAACGGGACATAAACAATAAAATCGCAATTACGTGTTAGATTCCCCATAACCGCTGCCTGTAATTGATTTCCAAGTTTTTGTTTTTCCTTTTCTTTTCATCAGATGGGTAAGGGTAATGTGCCTGCCACATCAAAACAAGGCTTGAGAGAGGCTTGAGATGCAATTATGTATACAGAAGCAGGAAGGAATCTTGGCCCTGGTGCGCTCCTGTCTTCCCCATGTCCCCTGAGTACCCTGGGCTTATCCAACCTTTTAGTAATTATCACATGGGATTGCCATTCTCTCCTCTAGAGCAGGAGCTATTCAAGAGCAGAGACCATGTGGAGTTTGTCTTGCTGAATGCAGCTTCTAGTTCATTAGCTGGTGCTTTGCACACACTTGGTAAGTGATGGTGAAATGCATGCATGCACACATGCCTGAGTTAATTCATCACCTCAACTCAGTCTATGCTTACTGAGCACCTAACACATGCAGGTATTCCTCTAGATGCTTAGAACATGGCAATAAGAAAGACAGACAAAAATTCCTGGCCTCACAAAGGTTGTCTGATAGTAGGAAGCAGGAACAGACAGACAATAAATTAAATAAATAAGACCAGGGTGGCTGTTGTGTATCACCTGAAGGTAAGACTAACAGGTGAGGGTGTCAGTCAACAGAGGGCACCCTGATGTGAGATGAAGTAAACCTTATTAGGACTTGGCCTTGACTCAGAGGACTAAAGAACTATCAGATATCTGTGAACACAGGATGGCATGATCTGACTCATACTTCTAAAGGATCAGGAAAACGCGACTGGGTTTTAGAACCGGGGGCCAAAGTGTCCATCCTGTTCAGTTATAAGCACCAAAACAGAGATGCCCTTACTTGGGGGCAAGAATAAAAGAAGTAGAAACTTGAGGCTCCCTCTGTGAGCTACATGGAACAATACTCTAGATGGACTGGCTCTGGGGTGTACCTGCCACAGTGCCGCCATATCATCTGCCTCTTAGCTCACTTTTGAAGGTGAATGTCAAGGGTGAAGGGTGGTGGCCTAGAAGGTGAGCACTGCTCAATCTCGGCCTCAGTGAGGGAATTCCAAAGGCTGGGACTCTCCGTCGGGGTTTCCAGTAGTATGCAGAGACTCACAGAGCAGACTGAGCTCCGCTGGGGTGCAAAGACTGCTCTGCAGAGTCTGTTCTCGGCAAACAGCCAGGCCTACCCCAGGAAGGAGCTCAGGGTCTGGAGGTGTCATCAGGTCACATTTATCCAAAGGGATCATTCTCATGGTCCTCTTGTTTCTCCCATCCAGCAAGCAAGGGATCCTTCCTTTTTATTTTCCTGTCCTTTTCACACCTGTCTTTCTCCATCAGATCGCAACAAGACCTTGAATTCACCCCATAACCGCTGCCTATAACTGATTTCCAAGTTTTTGTTTTTCCTTTTCTTTTCATCAGATGGGTAAGGGTAATGTGCCCGCCACATCATAACAAGGCTTGAGGGAGGTACATTTCACACATGAGTATGAAAACCCAATCATCACACTTAGGAACCACAAAAGGATGGAGGGGAACGGTTTTTTGGTTTTGTTCACTGTCTCTGCTGGTGAGACAGAAACCTCTATTCTGTCTCTCTGGCTTCCCTTAGAACCTGCAAGAATCCAAGTCTCAGTGCTCCTGCCTCACACCCTCTGGTAGGCATCTGCTGTTTTTGCATGCCCAGCTGGATTTTCCTTTGCAAAGCACCATTCTACCTTAAGAGTCACTGAGGTTCAGGTAGGGCTGATCCCCCGCTTACCTTGAGACACAATGATGAGACCTGGCCAATCAGAATCATGGTGATCATTCAGGGCACAAGCTCGGCCCATGCAGGTCAGCCCTGGGACATTTGCAGACATTACTAGGAAAGGGGTGCAGTTTGCGCTACTGGGATTGCTCCAGTGGTGAGGCAAAAGCCTGAGGCTACTGTTTTCAGCTTGGCCACAACCCAGCGAAAGCCCATCAGTGAATACGGCCATTGCAAAAGAAAGCAGTTAAGGCATGAGGAGGGACAGCATCAAGGCCACCCCATTAGAGCTCCTAGACCCAGCCAAGCCTGAAGCCATTGCTGCCCTAGGCTTTTCAGGTACAGGAGTTGTATTAGTTCTCTTTTGCTGGCGTAAAAAATTACCACGATAACGGTAAGGATAGCCTAAAACAACACAAATGTATCCTCTTACAGTTCTGGAGGTCAGAAGTCCAAAATCAAGATGTTGGCAGGGCTGTGTTCCTTCTGAAAGCTCTAGGGCAAAAGCTGTTGCTTTGCCTTTTCCAGCTTCTAGAGGCCACCTACATTCTTCGGCTCGGGGCCCTTCCTAACACTGCTCCAAACTCTTGCTTCCATCCTCCTGTCTCCTACTTCTGTAACCAAACCTCTCTGTTTCCTTTATAAGGATCCTTTTCTTTATGTTGAGACCACCCAGATATTCCAGGATCATCTCTGCCATTTCAGGATCTTTGACTTAATCAGATCTACAAAGCCCCTTCTGCCATAAAAGGCAACGTATTCATGGGTTTCAGGTATTAGGATGTGGATATTCATGGATTCTGGGGATGAGGATGTGGATATTCATGGGTTCTGGGGATTAGGATGTGGACATTTTGGGGTGCCTTTATTCAGCTGACCACAGGAGTCCATGTCCTCCTTTTTTTTTTAGAGCCACGTTAGGGCGGGAATCTGTCACTTACAATAGAGTCCATAATACGTATTCCTAAATCCACACCATCATCTTACTTCTGAAGAACAGACAAACCCTAGTATTCAGTTCATCCAATCAGAGTTATAATTTCCTTGTATCACACTTCAGTATTTTTAATTTTGGCCAGCAGTACAGAATAGAGGTTAGGAACACAGATTTTGGATTCAGAAAGCTTCGGTCTACATATTGACCTTTCCACTTACGAGTTAAGCCTTTTAAGCTACAATCCTCCTGATCTGTCAAATGGAGATAATGAAAGCACCTGCCTCAGCTGGTAATCGTAAGAATTAAATGAGATAATGAATGCATTGTGCTCACACTAGAAGGTCAATGCTCGATAAATAATGCTCTTTCCACTAAGATTGCAGACATGACTCCTTCCATCTGGTATTACACTGATTTCTTTTATACAATGTGTCTCAATTAATTGCTTCATTTTTATTTAGCTCCTTTAGAAGTGGCTCCAGACTCAGAGAATGTACCTTGTTGGATCTTCACACCAACACCTACATTTTAACGGTGTTGTTGGCAAGCGGTTTCACAGAACAGACAACAGAGACAACTTTTTGCAAGCTGGCCGTGACTTCCTTCCTTTATTCTCTCTCTTTATTGCTGACATTGCTCTACCTCCAGCGCAACCCTACCCCATCTGTGAGGTCGGTATTTTTCAGCCACGCTAAGCAAAGACTTTTCTTCATCCCTGTGTAATTTTGTTCTTTCCCCAGCTTATTTAATAACTGTGGGTTTTTTTTTTCATGTTCTTACAGAAAGTGGGGTTGCTCCTCCCCTCTGTCAAATTCCACTTGCCACTTAATGCTCCAGTTTAACTCTGCAGAAATTATTTCGGCCTGGCACTCCCTGGGCATTGCTTTTGTGTGCAGGTGCCACTCTGGGTGGAGTCAGGGCATGTGTTTAGAACTTGGCAGTGCTACCTCAACAACATAACAGGAAACAACAGGCAGCGGCTGCACGGAATGGTTCAAGTTTGGTGGCCAGCAAGGGGCAGTCATCTGTGACATGTAACAAGTCATGCTGTGTGGTTCACGGAGGCTGATGTTTCAGCAGATTTTTATATCCCAGATACAGGCTAACCGGAGGAAACAGGATAGGAACTTCCTAGAGACAGGTAAATTGATGCCAAGCTTCTACCTGGATACCTGCATACCTGCCCATCCCAGCATCAAACTCACCCACTCCTCCCTCTCCTTCCAGTGAGGAATTTATTTAACACTTATCTCTACACATTTAAAGCTAATTTTAAAAAAACTGTTCATACAATTGATTAAAATATACATGTGGAAGACATTTTTATTTTCACTCCCCCAGCTAGTATATACCCCATATTGCTGAAGTAGAGAGCAGGTATCATGTCATCCCAGGGAAGGCATCAGACCTCTTCACAGCTTCAAGATGACCTAAACCACTGCAGTAACTCCTTCCTACTTTCCCATCAATTGGCCTAGAAGTGGGCACGCAACCAAACTCTGTCCACTGAGACACGGGGAGAAGCCTGCTGGGAAGCTTCCTCATGATAAGGAAACAATAGTGCCTCAGAAAGAAAGTCTTTTTGTTTTCCTGCCTTTCTGCTTGGGATGCAGGACTCGATGCTTGAAGCTGTGACAACCATTGATCCCCATGAAGTAAAGGCCAAAAAATAATCTTAGAGATGATGAATTCCCCTCCTACCTCCCTGAACTGTGAAACCAACTTCTTGTTATGGTATATATTTAACTACCTTTATTATTTAACCCACTATTACTTGGGTATTTTGTTACTGGCAGCTGCATGCATTCTAAATGATACACTACCTCTTTGTTTTCTAAAGAGACTATTAAACAAAATGTAACCCTCTCTATGCCTGCCTTAAAAACTGTATGTATAAACATGGTGGCAACATCAGTCTTCTTACTGAACAATTTTAATGAAGTCAAGTGTTAAGAAGTCCCCAAATGGTAGTTACAATCTTTGGATGTTCAGTTCTCCCATTAAGTTGATTGAGCAAGGCCTTTACCTCCCCTCAGCAGTCTATTAAGTGCATTGCTGGGTTCTCATCACCCAAAAATTGCAGTATGTGATGGTTCTCACTACCCAAATATTGCAGTACTTGTCTATCTCAGTCCCTTTTCCCCATCTTGGCCACATAGCAAGATGTCTTGACCACAGCTTGCTATGTAGAAATATACAGAAGGCAAGAAAAAAAAAATCCTAGAATTCCCAGCTGTGTAGTATGAGAAACCCCCAGCATGGAGCTGATTTCAAGAGGGTGTAAGAGGAATAGAATCAGGAACCACAACGCCTATGGACATTGGTAATTAAATACGGCAGCTTGATGACATAGATTCCAGTTTAGACTTGACCTAACAGGTGATGTTTTTACTGTGGCCTTGTATCTGATAAGGAAATTAGAAATCTCAACATAAAGTTGTCAAGGGACAAATTAAAAATATTACATTGGGTCATTGGTTAGTCTTCAGTAGACCTAAGGCCTAAACATTTTACAGCTTCCCTAGCTACAAAAGGCAAATGTACAGAAAGTGTGACATGCCTGATGATACCTAAGACTGAAAGAGCTAAAATTCTTAAATTAACGTCAGCTCACCAGCAAGGAAGTCTTATGAGAGTACAGGTAAAAATCAGATGTTCCATACAAAGGAAATTTCTGGAAACATGGCCATAGGCTCCGCAGTGCAAGTGCAGGTCAACCACCAAGAAACTGGTAGTCTATGTGTCAAAAGTTCTCATGAAGTGGAATTCATTCCTCTGATGGTTTTACTAGCCCCAGGGGCTGAGCCCTCAATCTTAGAGGTTCTGAAAGCTGACTTTTCCAGCACACCAAGATCTACTCCTTTTCTTAGTTGTGGAATCACATTACCCGACCTCATGAGACTTGTTATAAAACTTCAATATCAATTTTATTAACATAAAATGATAAATGACTGGCATAGAAACTTTTGGAAGTTCTCCCAATGAGTTGACTCTCTTCCCAGACCCTGACTTATAAGGAGGCCCAAACCTATTTTACCTGAAAGCTTAGTGGAATTACAAGGCATTGGACTTGTAGGAGCATCGCACAAGATAACCTAATGCAGCAAACACACTCTGAAGATGGCTTCACCAAGGGACCAAAGCCAACTGACCTTACTGCCTTCAACCAGCTCCAGGAGGGATGCCCTTGCCAATGGGTCCAGAATCCTCCAAGTTGGCTGGCAATGCCCCTTTCTCCTGGACAGAGTCTGGGTGGATATTGCCAAAAATTGCCTCCAAGATTCTCCTTTCACTTTGCTTTCATGAACAGATTAAAATTCCTTTGACCAACATGTTTTTCATTAGATATGCTTATTCATTTGATCTCAGTTTGCTGAGGTGATTTGCAGCCTGGGAGCTATCTCTTCTCTTACAGTTGTTAAGATCCATTATATGTTAATTTTAAAACTTAAATCTCAGAGTATAATCCTATTGTCACCGGACGCATGGTGAATATCACACAAGAGCCACCAACTAGTTTCTATAAACTCTCTATTGGACTGTGAGTCCCACATTAGATCAGCAACATATGAGCAGCATGGTTCCACCCCTACCTGTTCATTTCAATCATTCATTCCTTCCTTCATTCATTTGTTTATTCAATAGATATTCACTGGTCGGCTCCTATATGCAGGCATTGTTCTAAGTACTAGACATACAGCAGGAAACCAACCAACCAAACAAACAAAACCTGTCCTAACAGAGCTCACATTCTCTCTGGAGGAGATAGATAGTACACAAATACTTGTCATATGTCAGATGGCAAGGAATGATATGAGGAAAGGCAGGGAAGATAGACAGATTTCTAGGAATAAGTAAGGCATGGAGCATGCAATTATTAAAATGTGGCACTGGAAGTCCTCATTAAGAAGAGTTAGGGGCCGGGCGCGGTGGCTCACGCCTGTAATCCCAGCACTTTGGGAGGCCGAGACGGGCGGATCACGAGGTCAGGAGATCGAGACCATCCTGGCTAACACGGTGAAACCCCGTCTCTACTAAAAATACAAAAAAAAAAAAAATTAGCCGGGCATGGTGGCGCGCGCCTGTAGTCCCAGCTACACGGGAGGCTGAGGCAGGAGAATGGCGTGAACCCGGGAGGCGGAGCTTGCAGTGAGTCGAGATCGCGCCACTGCACTCCAGCCTGGGCGACAGAGCGAAACTCCGTCTCAGAAAAAAAAAAAAAAAAAAAAAAAAAGAAGAGTTAGGGAGGTGTGCAAGCTATGAGATTATCTAAGGAAAGAACATTCCAGGCAAAGGCAGCAGTAAGCACGGCTGGAGCAGGGTGGACATGGGGAGAGAAGCAGGAGTTGAGGTCAGGGAGTTCATGGTAAGCTGAACTCATGGCCTATGCCTGTGTCTATACAATACCTGATACATGGATGAAAGAAAGTAAAAACATACCATTGATGGAATGTTCTCATCCCTCTGGTTCACGTAAACAGATAGAAAGACAAGGCATGGTTTAGCAGAAGATATTACCAATACGATATACCTAACAACTTGTATTCGGAATATATTAAAAGCTCTAGAAATTCAATAAGAAAAGGGCAGGCAGCCTAATAAAGAAATGGCAATAGACTTGAACAAACACTTTGTAAAAAAGCATATCCAAACAGCCCCCAGAATCCTAAAAGGTGCTCAATCTCAATGTCATCAAGGAAATGCAAATTACAGCTACAATAAGATGTCAATTCACACTGACCAGAATGACTGAAATTAACAAGCTTGACAATACCAAGAGTGGAGGCTACTGAGAAAGAGAAAAGTCACCCCAAAAACGGGAAGCTAGGCTATAGTATTCTCCCATTGAACATATTTCCTGTTACACCACACAATGAGACCCCTCCATAATCACATCTGAACACAGACAAAATTAAGAACAGTGTTCAAGCTACAAAAGCAACCAAACACACTGTATTTCAGCTATTATGGGTTGAATCCTATCCCTTCAAGAAATAAGTCAATGTCTTAATCACCAGTGCCTGTTCATGTGCCCTTATTTGAAAATAGGGTGTTTTTGCAGATGCAATCAAGTTAAGAGGAGGTCATTAGTGTGGGACCTAATCCAGTACGGCTATTGTCCTTATAAGAAATTGACTAGAGATACAGACACAGAGAGCACATCATAGGACAATAGGGGAAGAGATTGGAGCAATGCACCTACAAGCCAGGGAGAGCCAAGGATTGCCAGCCATCACTAGAAGCTAGGAGAAGGGCATGGAATTAATTCTCCTTCAGTGCTTCCAAAATGGAATTAGCCCTACCAACACCTTAATTTCAGACTTTTAGTCTGCAGAACTGCGAGAAAATAAACTAAATTTCTGCTCTTTTAAGCCACCCAGTTTGCAGTACTTTGCTACAGCAGCCACAGGAAATTAATATGTTGGCTTATGTAAGTCAATGCTACTTCTCTTCAAATTCCAGTTTAGCCTCATTCCATTCTTCCTGCTTTCTGGATAAAAATGATTAAGCCATCCAGTCACAGAATTAACCTGGCTTCCTGAGAGTATCCAAGTAAGATCAAAGTCCAGTTTCCTTGAACCCTCCCAAAACCACCTAACAGAAGCCCAAATCTCCTAATTCTTCCCAACACCCTTTTCTTGAGACGTCTCACCATCCCCTTCGTGTGTGCTCTCCCTTGTTGAAATGAATTAATGAACCTAAATTTGTTCATTTTCCACTACAAATGTATTCCTAGTGGTCTTCCAATGTGGAGCATTGACAATATGAATTGGCATAACTACTTCAAAAACTATTTGGCAATATCTACCCACATTGAAAATGTGCATGGCCAGTGAACCAAAAATTCTACTCCTAGACATAAGCCCAAAAAACGCATGCCTATGTATCCCAATAAACATGTATAAAAATGTTCTTTTTCTTTAAATTTTTTATTTCCGTAGGTTTTTGGGAAACAGGTGGTATTTGGTTACATGAGTAAGTTCTTTAGTGGTGATTTGTGAGATTTTGGTGCACCCATCACCTGAGTACTATACACTGAACCCACTTTCTAGTCTTTTATCCCTCACTCACTACCCACCCTTTCCCTCTGGGTCCCCAAGGTCCATTGTATCATCCTTATGCCTCTGCCTCCTTATAGACTAGCCCCCACTTATAAGTAAGAACATATGATGTTTGGTTTTCCATTTCTGAGTTAACTCCACTTGGACTTGGAATAATAGTCTCCAATCCCATCCAGGTGCTGCAAATGCCATTAATTCATTCCTTTTTATGGGTAAGTAATATTCCATTATATATATATATACATATATATATGTGTATATATATATATATATATAAAAATGTGGTGTATATATATGTATATATATAATGTGGTATATATATACATCACAGTTTCTTTATACACTCATTGATATTTGGGCTAGATCCACATTTTTGCAATCGTGAATTGTGCTGCTATAAACATGTGTGAGCAAGTATCTTTTTCTTATAATGACTTCTTTTCCTCTGGGTAGATACCCAGTAGTGGAATTGCTGGATCAAATGGTAGTCCTACTTTTAGTTTAAGGAATCTCCACACTGTTTTCCATAGTGGTTGTACTAGCTTACACTCCTACCAGCAGTGTAGAAGTGTTCCCTTTTCACTGCATCCACACCATCTATTATTTTTTGATTTTTTGATGATGGCCATTCTTGTGGGAATAAGGTGGTATCACATTGTGGTTTTTAACCTGCACGTCCCTGATCATTAGTGATGTTGAGCATTTTTTCATATGTTTGTTGTTCATTTGTATATCTTCTTTTAAGAGTTGTCTATTCAGGTCATTAGCTCACTTTTTGATGGGATTGTTTAGCAAGAAACAAAAATGTTCATAGTCGCATATTCTGGTAGAAAAAAAGCCCTTTAAACAACCCAAATGTCCATCAATAGAATGAATGAGTAAATTGTGGTGTATCATCAAATAGAATTCCATACAGCAATAAAAAGGAATGAATTACTGCTATAATAAATTATATAAATAAGTTTCAAAAAATGATGTTACCTTTTTAAAAAGCTTGACATGAAAGAATATACACTGTATGGGTCCATTTATATTAAGTCCAAAAACAAGCAAAATTGATGAATGAAGTAGAAGTCAAAATTGTAGTGAACTGGGGGAAACAAAAGTCAGGGCTACTGGAAAGCTAGTAACGGTTTATTTCTTGATCTGAGTGGTCATTACATGGGTGCATTTAATATGTGATAATTTATCCAGCTGTACACTTAGAAATTATGCAATTGTCAAGATGTATATTAACTTCAATTTATAAGGTTAGTTTTAAAATTACTTATCCTTGGTTATTATTTATAATGAGATAAACTGAAATATTTTATAATGCATTAACTTAACAGAATTTATTGAGCACCTACTATGTACAAGGCACCATAAAATAAAAAATAAAACAGCTAATGTGCAGTTTATCATATTTTACATTTAATTTCCTATCCATATGAGAAAGGTACTAATTTTATTATGCCCATTTTTCAGAGAAGGAAACTGGAGAAGAAACAGATTAAGGACTTGCCTGAGGTCACACAATAGGAGGCAGGGCTGAGGTTTATAACCAGATTCCCTTCATAGAGCTTTTCTGTACAGTCAAATGGAAGGGAGCACATAAAGATAAACGCACAGCAGATGAAGGAGAGAAGGAAAAAAGGACAAGAAGGAAATGACAGAAATTCTCAGAGGCAGCCTCAGCATCCTGTGAGTTAATGTATACTGCATGTGGAAGAAAATATTAAAATGATATATTTGATTTCCCAAAAAGATATGCTGAAACACACTGCATTGATAACTAATAAATTTCAATATGTTTCATAAAAAGTTGATGTGGTTATACGCTATATATTCTCATTTCGAAATTTATGGCTAAATCATTTGACAGTTTAAAACTGCATGGATAGATCACAATTCTGTTAAATTTGCAAAAAAGTATCTATTTAAAAAATTAATTATCTTTGGATAATCTTTTCCTTTCTGGCTTGGGTGGGGTGGGGTGTGGAGGGTAGTCACCTTCCAGGATTTTGTTTTAGCCACAGGACTTGTCCACTTAGAGATCTCCCCTGTCTGTACTTCTCCTCCATCTCTCTTACACATGTATGGGAGTCCAGGAGGCCTTGATTCACATTACAGCCCCACTTCAGCTAGGTGGCAAGCTAGGCAGGAAATTAGGGGGAAAAATCACCATGGAACTATACTTCAGTGGTCAAGAGCTGAAGCTCAGGAGACCATGAGTCTGGTTATAAATCTCTGCTCTGCCACCGATTGTGTGACCTCAGGCAAGTCCTTAATCTGTTCTATCTCCAGTTTCCTTCTCTGAAAAATGGGCATAATGAAAATAACACATTTCTCATAGGGTTATGGAGTTAAATGTGGAAAAAAAATGAAACGTGCAGCACACTGCTCAGCACATTGTAGGGTCTTTCCCTTTCCCATTCCCATGCTACCCTCTGCTGTCTGAGATTATACTCCCTTCTCTCATTTCTAAGCCTCTATTCATGGCATCTAGAGGGAAGCAAATTCTTCTCCCAACATTGCAATGGAAACATCACCCCTGTTAGGCAGGCATCATTCATTTGCAGATAACAGAATCCTAAGTCAAAATGGTTTGAGCAGAAAGGATATTTAGTGACTCTTGTTACTGTTAAGCCCAAAAGGAAAGGCCAGGATCAAGGCACTCAACAATGTCATCAGTATAATATCTCTCTGTTTCTGCATGCTTCTGTCTCTCTGTAACTATGCGTGTGTCTATCAGCCTCATTTCTTGGACATACTCTCCATGTTATGTCAAGGATGGCCATTACCAACTCTATGCGTACCAGTGTACCAATACTGAAGAAAAGACAATGACTCTTTTCTAATAGTTTCCAACAAGACTTTCAGGAGTGAATCCCATTGAACCACTTGGGTCACATGCCTATGCGTGAACTTATCACCATGACAAAGAGGATGGATTGGTCCTTGGAGCTGAGGTGGTGGATTCAACCCTACCCATAACATACATAAAGATTACAGCAGAAGTGGTCCCCACAAAGGAAACTAAAATTACTACACCGCCTCCACCAGGTAACTTTCCTAAGAAACAACACCATTCTCCAGTGCATTCCCCAAAGCCATTCCTGTCATGGAAAGGTTTCAAGGAAGAATTCACACTGATCAAGTGGAATCACAGAGTTTAGGATGACAGAACTGGGAAGTCCATATGCACAACCCCTCATCTCACAGATGAGAAAACTGAGCCTCAGAGAGGGGACGGGGCTCACCTGAGACCATCTAGTTGATTAGTGACAGAGGAGGGAGAAAAACAAAATGTGGGGTACCTGGTCCAGGGTGGTGTTGTCTCAGTTTTAATTTTTCCCATGTTCAAGTGTATGTGGCTAATATTTGCCTGTGTCATCTCTTTTAGAAGAGCATTCCTTTTTCTTCTTCTCTTTTTGAGGCAGCATCTCATTTGGTTGCGCAGGCTGGAGTCAAGGGGCGTGATCGTGGTTCACTGCAGCCTTGACCTCCCAGGCACAAGCAATCCTCCCAGCTCAGCTTCCTGAGTAGCTGCTACTACAGGCATGTGCCTCCATATCTGGCTAATTATTTTATTTTTTATTTTGTAAAGATGAAGTCTCCCTTATGTTGCCCAAGCTGGTCTTGAACTCCTGGGCTCAAGTGATCCTCCTGCCTCAGTCTCCCAAAGCTTTGGGATTACAGGAGTGAGCCACTGCTCTTGATCTAGAAGACTATATCTTAATACAAACAAAAACTACAGGTGATGCTCAACAGCCACATACGGTTGAATATTCCTTGCATAGCTGCCACCAGGGATGAAGAACATCCCCTGGAATCCTAATACATACACCCTACTGCCCCAGGTAAAGGACTCATTGTACCCACTAAGGATTAGGACAAGGGAGAAAGGAGACTTCAGTGAAGTCAGTCAGTTACTACTATTTCCTAAAAGAAGAGCAAAATGATCTGCCTTTGGGAACATCATGAGGATACCAATGGTGGCAGTCCAGGGGAATCTCTGAACTCCTCATTCTCTGCCCTATGTGACCAATGGCATCGTGAAGGTCCCTGAAATAGAAACGGATGTCAATTTCATATTCAGCTAGGCTTAGGATGAGATGGACTTTAGGAAAACTGCAAGTTAGAGTTCATTCACATTTAACTTATATGATTTCCACTATGTATACTCAACAGAGAGAGAGAGAGAGAGAGAGACAGAAAAAAAATAAGCAGCATGGATGATTCTGCAGTTTTTCACTAAATGAAGGCCTGCTCCAGATTGGCTGTGAGAGGAGAGGTATAAATCTGCAAGCAACACCTTCACTGGGAGACCAACCCAAGAGAACACAAGTGAATTTAAAGCTGGGAGGAAAACTGCCTGGGTTAGACACAGCAAGAAATATTATGGCTAGTCTCCAAAGGAATTTGCAGGTAATTCTGCATACATAAGCTGTTAGGCTGGTGCAAAAGTAATTGCTGTTTTGCCTGTACTTTTAATGGCAAAAAATCCAACTGCTTTTGCACCAACCTAATATCCACTCTAAGTGCTAACTTTGGAAGCTCCAAGTAAGATGTTTGAAACAAGGAGCACAGACAAAATGTCACAAGCAGCATTATTAGCTGACAGTAAACATAGCTAACACTTGCATAGCATTGTTCTAAGCAGTTTTCACACTATTAACTTATTTAATCTTCAAAACAACCCTAAGAAGTCAGATGGCAGATGTTTTCATGAGCCTCAGTTTTTAGATGTCCAGTGTCACACAGTTAACAAGTGGTAGAAACTGCAGTATTCAGATATAAATGTGTGCTTTTTTCCCCTTACTTCAAGTTACGTTTCCCTTGCCAAGCTCAGAAAAGACGCCATGTCTTTGTGTGTTGTTGCCTCAGGTGTGTTTCTGTGACCCAGAGCTGAAAGCAAACTTGCCAGGCAGAGGAAATAAAGTCCTTCCTAGCTATTTGTTTCTCAAAAGCCTTGCTTCTCTGAAGGATGTTATGGTGGATTATATTGGACAGGGAGAAGAAGTGAATGCTTTTTGGATTTTTACAAGCAATTTAAACTAACGCGATGCTATGGACTGAATGGTTTTGTACCCCCCAAATTCATGTATTGAAATCCTAACCTACAATATGATGGTATTAGAAAGTGGGGCCTCAGAGGTAATTAGGTCAGGAAATGGAATCCTTATGAATGGAATTAGTGCCCTTATTAAAAGACGTGAGAGAGCTTGCTTTTCCCTCCCTGCTCTCCACCATGTGAGAACATGAAAAAGACGAGAAGACCGCAATCTGCAAACCAGACAGAAGGTCCTTGCCAAATACCTAATCTGCCAAGATCTTGATCTTATACTTCCCAGAGTAAACCAAAAAATAAAACTCCCAGGCCCCCATTCCACCCCCAAAAACCATGTGAATGAATCCTCTCCTCAGCCAGGGCTTCCTAAAATTTAACCTGCAAGACGTTCAGGCCATGATGGGAAGTGGGGGTTGGACATGCCTCATTATACTCCACCAGCATTAACATCGATACAAACCTAAAGCCTGATAAGAAACATTTGCACTCTATCCTCTCTGAAGCCTGCTACTTGGAGGCTTCCTCTGCATGATAAAACCTAGGTCTCCACAACCCCTTCTCGAAATCCAGACATTCCTCCCACCTTGAGTTGTCCTGCCCTTCCAGACTGAACCAGTGTAAGTCTTCCATGTATTGATTGATGTATTCTGTCTCTCTAAAAGGTATAAAAGCAAGCTGTACACTAGCCACCTTGGGCACATGTTGCCAGGACCTCCTGAGGCTGTGTCACTGGCATGTCCTTAACCTTGGCAAAATTAACTTTCTAAATTGACTGAGTCTTGTCTCAGAAATTTGGGGTGCACACCAGACTCCAGAACTATTACAGATAACTGTCTGTTGTTTAAGCCACCCTCTCTATGGTGTTCTGTTATAGCAGCCTGAATTACTAAGACAGGGAAGGGAGATATTTATCCAACAAGACAACAAGGATGAAGTCCTCTGGGGTTCCCACAAACGAAGGCTGGTCTATGCCTGGTTGTCAGTGGCTGGGGTGGGAGTTAAACAGTTAGTGATTTATCCCCGACAGCCACAGTACCACACTCAAACGTGGCACAGAATCCTCCAGGTTTGGCCTTCATGGGAACAGCAAGGTTGGGACAATAAGCCTATAATTGGTAACCTGTCCAGGCCAGAGCCAAGTCAAGCCTTCTCTGAAAATGCCGTGCTGCAAAGACATCATGAGCTTTTGCCTGACACTGTGGGGTTGGATTGGTAGTGGAAGAAGCCCAGGTAAAGACAGATATTGAATTTTCTGCTGTTTCATATTAAACTTGATTTAAAGAAGGAAAAGAATGTGGCATTTCTTGCCCTGTGGTCTCGCAGAATAAAATGCAACCCTGTTACATAGATAAGAGCAAATTCCTGAGAGGGATGAGGAGAGTTGACCTTGGTAAGGAAGCCGGGGAGTGAAGGTCCTGAGGAGGTGAAAGAGGTGATGAAACAAATTAGGCCTCAATGCAGATAACATTCCTGAACAAGGCAAGATAAGGGAACAAAGGGATATCCTTGGCTGACTACAGATAGGAGAACAAAGAAGAGACCACTGTGGGTGGCCTCCAGAGAGGGTGACGGGCAGTGGGGGACAAAGGGGGCTGCATGACGGTCGGTCGGGAGGGAGGAGGAAACTTGGAGGAAAAGAGCCTAAGTCTGTATAATCAGCTGAATGATGAGTGTGCTGTTTTAAACCAGCCTGCTTGGTGTGGCTTTTCCCCTTAACACTGGTACACTGATAGAAAAGACAAGACTGAATTAAAATGAGAAGTATGGATTCCTGAACCCATTCAACACCATGGTGGCCTCATCACTCTGCGAATGACTCTAGGGGGCAAGATCATGTGTGACATATACTTGGCATCGTAATGTGCATGACACATGCCGAGGTGGAGGGTGAGTGAGGCAGAGCTGCCTGGCAGGGAAGCCACTGGGCTCAGTCAAAATGCTAGAAGCACAGACCCTGGACCCAGTGGACACAGCACATCCCACTCTGGTTTCATCAGGGTTCCTCAGAGGGGGCCAGTTTGGAGATCAGAAAAGAATGTGGAGACTCCACACTGAGTCTAGTCCTAAAGTTAACTGGCAGGAGAAACAGGCAAACCACAGGGGATGGAAGAGAGAAGGTAACAGAGACCAGAATGTTCATGAAATTGGTGGAAAAGGAGACAGGAAGGGAGCTGGTCCTCAGACACCCCCCTAGTGCCCAGAGCTGGTATAGGATCCACTACAAACTGGATGTTGTGGATAATATCACTGAATGCTAACGTTTCCCAGCTGTGTATTGTTGGAGATGGGGTGGTGCTGGTGGTGGTAGGGGTAGTGAGCGGCACCAGTAAGCGTGGGCTCAGAATCCGTGTTCTTGAATTCAAATCCCCGCTCTACCACCCACAACCTGCCTGTGAAACACTAGATAAGTGAGTTATCTCCTACCTACCTCGCTTATCTCATCTGTGAATGAAACGAATACTGCCTACTTCATAAAGTTACTATAAACACTGATTAATTAATTCAGGTAATGCTCTTCATATACAGGATAACGATACGTCCCATCTTATCTAGGACAGTTTGGTTTATGCCTGTTACATGGTATAATTATTAGTGGAGCTTTCTCCTTTTACTCTCAGAAGTGTCTTGATTTGGCCTCTGCTGCTGGCCAAGATGGAGTTAGCATGAAATAGAATTAGCATTTCCTTCCTGAAACAAATTTTTTTAAAGAAACAATATATATATAATGATTCTCAAGCTATTGGACATCAGAAAAGATAAGACAGTGGTCCCTGAAAGATGTGAAACAAAAAGAGGTGATTCTACTAACTGCCCTATCTTACCATGTAGAGAAAGTAGATGTCTAAGTCATGGTGTAAAGAAGAGAAAGAAGAGAGAAGGAGGCCGGGCATGGTGGCTCACACCTGTAATCCTAGTACTTTGGAAGGCTGATGCAGGTGGATCACCTGAGGTCAGGAGTTCAAGACCAGCCTGGCCAACATGGTGAAACCTTGTCTCTACTAAAATTACAAAAAATTAGTCAGGCGTGGTGGTGGGTGCCTGTAATCCCAGCTACTTGGGAGGCTGAGGCAGGAGAATCGCTTGAACCTGGGAGGCAGAGGTTGCAGTGAGCCGAGATTGCGCCATTGCACTCCAGCCTGGGCAACAAGAGTGAAACTCTGTCTCAAAAAAAAAAAAAAAGAAAAGAAAAGAAAAAAAAAAAAGATGAGAGAAGGATCTGGAAGTCTAGGAACGCCAAGGGCCAAGGTAGCTAAAATTTTCAAGGCTGAGTTCCAGAGAAAAGGACGCACAGAAAGAGAACTAAGGAGACCTTTAGAGGGTCCAACTTAAGTACTGATCAATGTGTGCCTGTGAAGAAACTTACCCAAGCACGAGGAAAGAGCCACCCCAAAGGATCAGATGAACACCACCCTCTAACAGCGGATTTTCCCAACAGCTAGAATGGAAACTTCTCAATTGATGGGGCATTGATGAGAGTATTAAAGAGAGTCTTGCTTCAGTAATAAGGAAGAATTAACCCTAGATTAAATGCTGCTTTGGTCCCACCTAACAAAATATAAAAGCAAGACCTACATGGATTAAACTGTTTCCTAGTAATTTAACTCTGTTTCAGAAAAGCTGTCAAGAATACTTATAGAAATACGAAAAACAACCAACCTAGAATTGTTTAATGATTTTTAAATGTCTTTTTAAAACAAAGGCAAAATTAAGATGTTTACAAAACACAAAATCTGAAAGAATTATCACCAACAAAACTGTAATACAAAGAATATTAAGATTCTTAGAGCAGAAGAAAAATTATTCCAGATATAGACTTAGATTGAGAAAAAGGAATGAAGCATCAGAAACTGTAACTGCCTGGGTAAATACAATAATTTTTTTCTGATTATTTTCTTATTAAATCTTTATAAAAGATATCAACTGCTATATATATATGTGTGTGTGTGTGTGTGTAAAATTATGAACTTAATTATAAACCCTAAAGTAACCACTAAAATAACTCAACAAAGAGTTATAGCTAATAAACCAACTAAAGAGATAAAAATGGAATTATAAAAAATACTCCAAAAAAAGGCAGAAAAAGAGGAAAGGGAATAAAAAAGAACAGATGGGACAATAAAAAATAAGTACTATCATGTAGATTTAAGCCCACTAAAGATGTCAATAATTACATTAAATGTAAATAGCCCAAATTCCTCAATTAAAAATCCCAAATTATCAGATTAGATAAAAAAGTAATACCTAGTTGTATACCGCCTATAAGAAATTCATTTTCAATACAAAGACACAGATTAAAAGTAAAAGGGTGAAAAGATGTATATCATGCTAATACTAACCAAAATAAAGCTGAAGATGCTATATTAGTATCAGATGAAGTTATATTTCAGGAATTAAAATTACCCAAGTTAAAGATAATCATTTCATAATGATAGAGAGGTCAAGGCATCAAGAGTACAAAACAATTCTAAATATTTATGCACCTAAACACAAAGCTTCAAAATCATAAATTGGAAACTTATAGAATTGTAGAGAAATAGAAAAATTGGCATTTTTGTCAAATTTTAACATTCTCTCAATAATTGATAGACTGCCTAGATAGAAAATTAGTAAGAACATAGAAGACTTATACAATGCTATCAACCAACTTAACCTATTTGACCTTTCTAGAACACTCGTCGACAACAGAAAATACATTCTTTTCAAGTGCGCATGGAACATTTACCAAGAAAAAGCATGTTATAAGCCATAAAACAAGCATCAATAAATATATAACGATTCAAGTTTTACAAAGTATGTTCTCTGACCACAGTAGGATTAAATTACAAATCAATAATAGAAAGCCGTCTAGAAAATTCTTCAAATACTTGAAATGTACGTAACACACTTCCAAAGAATTCATGAATCAAATAAGAAATTAAAAAGTCTTTTAAATTGAATAAAAATGAAAACACAATATATCATCAAAATTTGTTTAACGCGGCTGGGCAAGGTGGTTCACGCCTGTAATCCCAGCACTTTGGGAGACTGAGTCGGGGGGATCACTTGAGGTCAGGAGATGGAAACCAGCCTGGCTAACATAGTGAAACCCCGTCTCTACTAAAAATTCAAAAATTATCCGTGCATGGTGGTGTGCCCATATAATCCCAGCTACTCAGGAGGCTGAGGCAGGAGAATCACCTGAACCCAGGAGGTGGAGGTTGCAGTGAGCCAAGACTGTGCCACTGCATTCTAGCTTGGGCAACAGAGGGAGACCCCATCTCAAAAAAAAAAAAAATTGTTGAATGTGGCTAAAGCAGTGCTTGTAGAAAAATTAAAAATGTATAGCAACAAAATGCTTATATAAAAAAAAGAAAGCTTTCAAATCAATTACCTCAGCTTCCACCATAAGAAATTAGAAAAAGAAGAGCAAATGAAACCTAAAGTAAGCAGAAGAGAAGAAATAATAAACATCAGCATTTTAATTATTAATAAATCCATTTATAATTACGAATTGAATAAACTATAAAACAGAAAACAACAGAGAAAAACAATAAAACCAAAACCAGTTTCTTGTGAAGATTAATAACATTGATAAGTTTGTAGCCACTGATCAGGACAAAAAAAAGGAAAAAGAAAACACAAATTTCCAATATTAGGAATAAAATAAGTAACATCACGGAAGATCTAAATATAATCAAAGTATAGTAAAGAAATATTATGAACAATTCTATGCCAATAAATTTGATAACAGATGAAATAAGCAAATGACTTAAGTGACACAAAATATCAAAGTTTACACAAGAAGAGCTAGATTACCCAAATAACCCTAAATAAATTAAATAAATTTGTTGTGAAAACTACCACAAAGAAAACTCCGAGTTCAGATGACTTCACTGAAAGACTCCACCAAATATTGAAGGCAATAATAGTATTAATTCTAGACAAACTCTTCCAGAGAACTGAAGAAAGGAAAATATTTTTCAACACACTCTATGAAGCCCATTACTCTGATGAGATTGAAATAGAGAGAAAAGAGAGATTACAAAAAGAAAACTCCAAAACAAAAACCTACAGGCAATATCCCAAAGCATAACAACGTGAGCAAATCGAATCCAACAATGTGTAAGTACCTCATGACTAGACAAGCCTTATCCCAGGAAAAAAAGTTTAGTTTAATATTCAAAAATCAGTTAAAGGTATTCATGATATTAATATATCTTGAAAGAAAAATTACAAAAGCATTCAACGAAATCCAACATTCATTTCTAATTTAAAACAAACAAAAAAAAAACCTCTCAGTAAACTAAGAATAAAAGAGAACTCTTCAGCCAGATAAAGGACACCTATAAAATCACATAGCTTACTTATATCATTCTTTTTTTTTTTTGTAAATTATTTTATTTCTTCCTTGATGATTTAGAGGGACTATCTTCAAACCAGCACAAATATTTCATACATAATACCTGGCCATTTTCTAACCAGTTGAGTAATTTTTTGCACAATAAGCTACCTCACGTCTTTCAGCAAGAAATACATTACATTTGAATAGTAAAGACATCACATAATGAATTAGGACACAATTAAAATTTGCTTTAAATATTGCTTTGGGGGAGAGGACACCACACTTCTACTCAATGAAGAGAAACATTTTTATAGTCCAGAGGTCTTTTATTTTTTTAACACGTAATATGCCATGAATTCACAGGGAATAGGTTCCAGCAGCTCAGGCTCTTTCCCGTTGGTTCTCACAAAGCGTGCTTCTCTGAGTGGACAGGCTGAAGCTTCAGTTGAACCCAGGTACCTTTCTCTTTGGCTTCTTTCTCTTTCTGATCATTTTCCTTCACGTGTTTCAGGAAGCTATCTCAGCTCTTAGAGTGTTTAATGTGCTCAATATGCACATTAATTATCTTGGCAAGTATCTTGCCCTTGTTTGTTTACAACAATGTCAACAGCGTGCGGGGGAACACTGTAGACTCTCCCAGTCTAGCCATGGTAACACTTGTGGGGTTGTTTACAGCAATGCCAACAGCATGCTGGGGAACACCGTAGACTCTCCCAGTCTAGCCATGGTAACACTTGTGGGGCATTCCCTTTTGAAGAGTACCCATTCCCTTCATGTCTACGATATCACCTTTCTTATAGATTCGCATATACGTGGCCAAAGGAACAACTGTATGTTTTCTAAAAGGCCAGAGAATATGTATCGGGTGCCTCTCCTCTTTCTCTTTGTGTTTGTCATTTTGGCGAATTACTGGAAGATGGCAGTTCCAGCCGAAAGCTCTTACATCATTCTTAATGGTGAAAGATTAAATATTATTTTACTCCTACATCAGGAATGAGACAAGAATGCTCACTCGCACCAATTCTATTAAACACTGTCTAAGAGGTTCCAGCCAGTGAAATAAGGCAAAAATAAAATCTCTCCAGACTGAAGTAGAGCTATCATTATTCACCATTACCATCATCATCTATGTGGAAAAAGAAGCCCAGTGTAATTGACAAATCAATATCTACCTCCACACATAAAAATTAACACAAAATGGAACATTTGTGAAAAACCTAAAATCTTAAAACATTTAGAGAAAAAACAAAGAAGAAAACATGTGATTATGGGCTAGGCAAGTATTTCTCCGAAGAAACATAAAAACCATGCACTATAAAAATTAAAAATTAATCAACTGAATTTTATAAACTTTAAATTTTTAGTCTTCAAAGACACTGAACAGCATGAAAAGACAAGCCACAGACTGGGAGAAAACAGTTGCCATCACATATCTGATAAAGGACTTGTATCAAAAATATCTAAAGAACTCTGAAAACTCAGTAAGAAACAACCCACTTAAAAAAAGATGAGCAAAAATTTTGAACAGAAACTTCACTAAAGAAGATACATAGATGGCAAATAAAGACTTGAAAATATATTCAACATCATTAATCATTAGGGAAATGCAAAATTAAAGCCATGATATCATACTACATGTAATTATTAATAATATTTAAAATTATAAAGGCTCACCACACAAAGTGTCAATGAAGATGTGGAGGACTTAATATGTTTTATATGCCATTTATGAGAATATTAAATGGTACAACCGCTTTGGAAAAAATTGGCAGTTTCTTAAAAATTAAAGCTACACCAACAATATGATCTAGTTATTCTACTCCTAGGTATTTACCAAGAGAAATGAAAGCATACGTTCATACAAAGACTTATACATTAATGATCATAGCAGCTTTGTTGGTAATATTTAAAAAGTGAAAACAACTCAAATGCCCATGAACAGGGAATGGATGAATTAACTGTGGCATATCCATACTATGGAGTACTACTCAGCAATATAAAGGAATGAACTACTGATACACACAACATGTGTGTATCAATAAGTAAGAAAGAAAGAAAGACAATTCTAGAAAATGCAAACTAATCCATAGTGACAGAAAGCAGGTCAAGCGTGGTGGCTCATGCTGGTAATCCCAGCATTTTGTGAGGACCAGCTGGGCAGATCACCTGAGGTCAGGAGTTCGACACCAGCTTGGCCAACATGGAAAAACCCCTTCTCTACTAAAAATACAAAAATTAGCTGGCATGGTGGCATGTGCTTGTAATCCCGGCTACTTGGGAGGCTGATGGAGGAGAATTGCTTGAACCCAGGAGGCAGAGATTGCACTGAGCAAAGATCGCAGGAGCAAGATTCTGTCAGAAGAGGAGAGGAGAGGGGAGAGGAGAGCAGGGGAGAGGAGGGGAGGGGAGGGGAGGGGAGGGGAGGGGAGGGGAGGGGAGGGGAGGAAAGGAAAGAAAAGAAGAAAAGAAGCAGATCAGTGGTTACCCAGGAACAGGAGTGGGTGATAGGGAAGGATGATAAACAGGCATAAGGAAACTTTCAGGGGTCATAGAAACATCCACTATCTTGATCACGGTGAGGGCTTCATGTGAATATACATATCAAAATTTATTAAATTATATGCTTTAAACATTTATAGTTTATTATCTGTCAACTGCCCCAATAAAGTTGTTTTTAAAAAAGTATCCCTGTTTGGATGATAGATTATAACCTTCCTGTTAAAAAGGGGCCTGGTATTTATGAATGCTCAGTTAGTGTTGGGTATTAACATTAGTGTTAGCATTAAAATATTAGTATTAATATTATCCTACCAGCCACAGTCATACAGGCCCAGGAATGAAGACAGGTCTGATCTGCAGATAGGTCTGGCAGATCTGGGAGTAAGGGACTGGGGAGGCAATACAGGGCAGGGCTAAGCTTGAGTTTGAGGGGTGGGTGGAACTGGGTTAAAATCCATTTTAACCCAGCAGTTTACAAGCAGTGTGATCTCAGGCAAGTGCCTTAACTTCTTTGAGTTCTCAGAATCCTCCTCTATAAACAGTGGCAATATACTAAACTAGCCTCATAAGCTGGCTGGGAGGATCAAATGAGATGATCCGGGGAAAAGCAGAGACTCAAATTCTGTATACAGAAACCACACAGCAGCTTTTTCAAAAGCAAAAGAAAAAAATCAGCAAAGTGCCGGCAAGCAGCGGCTGCTGAGCACAGATGCTTAGTGACTGGTGGAGACAGTGAATCACTGAGGCGGTGTATGCTGCAGCGTAACCCTCAAGCACCAGGCTCTCTGCTAAACTCGGAGATGATCAACGGGCTTGGTTCCCTTTTCAGAATGAAATCATAACAGAAAAAAAAAAAAGTGGAAGACTTAAAAAAAAAAACTAGCTAAATGTGTTACACTTTGTAAGTGAGTTGCTGGTGGAACTATGCTGCTGGCCACAGCATGTACTTAGCAGAACCGTCACAAATGTTTAGACACAAGACTATCCTTCCAATTGATGAGGATGTCCTGCCCTTGTAGAAGGGAGCTTCCTGAGGACAAAGATGCTATGGGGACAGTAAGTTATCTGGTCGCAAGCAAAAGAGAGGCAAATGAAAAACCAGACAACCATCTCTGCAGAAAACAGCAGAGGCAAGGAAGGCTGAGCTGACCTTCTGAGTCTATGTTCCTTACCAAGTCTTTTTCTTAAGGTCGTCTTTCCTGTGGAGTCCAGGCAAAGTATACTTTTTTGAAAAGCTTAAAACATAATTCTCATATAAATAGTGAGGACATGCTGAAATTTTACTAACTTATTAATGAGAGAGCCAGCAGGATGCCAAAGCTGGACAATGGTTGCTAAGTTGTATATTTAAAATGGCAAATACTCTATAAAGCAATCATGGAATAATCATCAGGGTTATTGTTATTTTTATTTTATTTTATCTTACTTTATTTTAGAATCAGGGGGTACACGTGCATGTTTGTTCCATGCCTATATTGCATACAGGTGGGGATTGGGCTTGTAGTGGCACCTACTACTCAAATAGTGAACATTGTACCCGATAGGTAATTTTTCAACCAGCATCCCAGTTCCACCCTCCCACTTTTGGAGTCCCCAGTGTCTATTATTTCCATCTTTATGTCCATGTGTACTCATTGTTAGCTGCCACGTACAAGTGAGAACATTCAGTATTTACCTTTCTGTTTCTAAGTTAGTTCACTTAGGATAATGGCCTCCAGCTCCATCCACGTTGTTGCAAAGGACATGATTTCCTTCTTTTATTATGGCTGCTTACTAAGTCCATAGGGCTTCTTTATGGCTGCTTACTAAGTCCATAGTGTATATATACCATTTTCTTTATACAGTCAATTGTTGATGGACAGTTAGGTTGGTTCCATGACTTTGCTATTGTTTTATTCTAATACTGTGAAAAATGACATTGATAGTTTGATGCGAACTGCATTAAATCTATAAGTTGTTTTGGAAAGTATGGTCACCTTAACAATACTGATTCTTCCAATCCATGAACATGGGGCATTTTTTCACTTGTTTGTGTCATCTATAATTTCTTTTATCAGTGTTTTATAGTTCTTCTTGTAGAGATCTTTCACCTCCTTGGTTAAATATCTTCCTGGGTATTTTATTTTTTTGTGGCTATTGTAAATGGGGTTGAGTTCTTGATTCGATCCTCACCTTGAATGTTACTGGTGTACAGAAACGCTACTGATTTTTATACATTAGTTTTGTATCCTAAGACTTTACTGAAGTCATTTATCAAGTCTAGGAGTCTTCTGAAGGAGTCACGGTATTCCAGGTATACAATCGTGTCATCATTAAACAGTGATAATTTGACTTCTTTTCCAGTTTGAATGCCTTTTAGTTCTTTCTTTTGTCTTATTGCTCTGGCTGGGACTTCTATTACTATGCTGAATTGGAGTGGTGAGAATGGACATCTTTTTCTTGTTCCAGTTCTTAGGGGGAATGTTTTCAACTTTTCCCCATTAAGTACAATGTTGGCTGTGGGTTTGTCGTATATGACTCTTATTATTTTGAGGCATTTTTTGATGCCTGTTTTGTTGAAGGTTTCCATCATCAAAGGATGTTGGATTTTATCAAATGCCTTTTCTGCATCTGCTGACATGATCATATGGTTTCTGTTTTTAGTTCTGTTTATATGGTGAATTGCATTTATTGATTTGTGAATGTTGAACCATCCTTGAATCCCTGGGATAAAACCCACTTGAGCATGATGAATTATCTTTTTGGTGTGTTGTTGAATTCAGTTTGCTAGTATTTTCTTGAGGATTTCTGCATCTATGTTCTCCAGGGGTATTGATCTATGGTTTTATTTTTGTTGTTGTTGTTTCCTTGCCTGACTTTGGTGTCAGGCTGATACTGGTTTCACAGAATGTGTTAGGGAGGAATCCATCCTCCTGAATTTTTTTGAATAATTTCAGTAAGATTGGTACCAACACTTCTTTGTATATCTGGTAAAATTTGGCTGTGAATACATCTAGTCCTGGTCTTTTTTGTTAGGAGACTTCTTTAATATTAATTCAATTTTATTACTCATTACTGGTCTGCTTAGGATTTCTATTTCTTCCATCTTGGGGGATTGCATGTTTACAGGAATTTACCCATTTCCTCTATGTTTTCCAGTTAGTATGCACAGAGGTACTCACAGTAGTCTCTGATGCTCTTTTATAATTCTGTGGTAGCAGTTGTAATGTCACCTTTATCATCTTGGATTGTACTTACTTGAATCTTCTCTCTTTTTTTTCTTGGTTACTCTAGCTAGCAGTCTGACAATTTTATTTATCCTTTCAGAAAACCAAATTTTTGTTTTGTTGATCCACTGGACCTTTGTTTTTTTGTTCTTCGTCTCATTTAGTTCTGCTCTGATCTTTGTTATTTCTTTTCTTCTGCTAGCTTTGAGTTGGATTGTTCTTCTTTTTCTAGTTCCTTGAGGTTTGATACTAGGTTATTAATTTGAGATCTTTCTGTTTTATATAGGCACTTAATGCTAAAAACTTTCCTCTTAGCACTGCTTTTGCTGTATCCCAGAGGTTTTGGTATGTTGCGTCTCTATTTTCATTCATTTCAGTTTTTTTTAATTTCTGTCTTAATCTTATTGTTTACCCAAATGTCATTCTATAACAAGTTGTTTAGTTTCCATGTACTTGTGTAGTTTTGAGAATATCTCCTGGTATTGATTTCTAATTTTATTCCACTGTGTTCAGAAAAGATACTTGATATAATTTTGATTTTTTAAAAATTTACTGACACTTGCTTTATGGCCAAGTATATGGTTCATTTTGGAGAATGTTCCACGCAGAGATGAGAAGAATGTATATTCTGCAGTTGTTGGATAGAATGTTCTGTAAATGTTTATTAGGTCCATTTGGTCTCTAATCCAGTTTAAGTCCAGAGTTTCTTTGTTGATTTTCTGCCTGAAGGATCTGTCTAGTGATATCAGTAGGGTGCTGAAGTCCCCCACTATTATAGTATTGTTCTCAATGTTTTCTTAGATCTAGTATTTGCTTTATAAATCCATGCGCTCTGGTGTTGGGTGCATATATATTTAGGACAGTGTTAAATCTTGTTGTATTGAACGCTTTATCATCATATAATGCCCTCCTTTCCGCTTTTTTACTGTTGTTCGTTTAAATCTGCTTTATTTGATATAACGATTGCTAGTTCTGCTTGCTTTTGTTTTCCATTCACATTGTATGTCTTTTTCCACCCATTTAATTTGAGCCTATACCTGTCTTTATCCAGTAAGTGGGTCTCTTTTAGGCAGCAGAACCATTGTGGTTATTTTCCTATTGCATATAAAACCCTTGCATCTCTTCGAAACAAAACTAATTTATACCTTGTCAGTTAATAATAATAAATAGTAAGTAAAACAAAATTACATTTCCCGAATACAAGAGTCAGGAAACTATGGCCTGTGGGCCAAATCTGGTCTGCCTCACATTTTCATGGAGTTTTATTGAAATATAGCCACATTCACTCATTTATGTATTGTCTGTGGCTGCTTTTGCCCTACAATAGCAGAGTGAGTCGTTGTGACGGGGACTATATGGCCATCTAAATCTAAAATATTTATTACCTTGCCTTTTACATATAAAGTTTGCCAGCCCTGCCCCCAAGAGAGTCAAACCTCGGGCAGGCTTGTTAGTGAGTACTTTAGCATGACATTGAAAGGATATGCAGGGATCCTTTGCCATTACTTCCAAATTTCAGATAGAAACACACATGCATACACACATGCACACACATACACACACTTTTAGGGCTTTAGGGTAAGTGCAACTTCCACGTCTGTAACTGTGGCTGAAGAGATCCATGATTTTCCTTGGGAAAGGGTTATATAGACTGCTACCAGTACTAATGCAGAAATAACAGGAGGAAAAGATGCTAAGCAAAAGAGTAAAATGACCCGAAGGCTCTACTTTGCTCACAGCTTCATCCTTTTGGTTCACTTTTTAATTTAGTCAGATCCTGCCTACCGAGCACTAAGGACTGGATTTGATCCTGTCTCTGGTGTGGCAGCTGTTCCCTGTAAGACACCAACGACACCTGGAGGCTCTGAAAGGATCCTAAATGAATGCAAGGGGAGAATTACAAGGATGTCCATCATAAAATTCTTTAATAGCAACAAAGTAGAAATTATCTGAATTTTCAATGATAGGACATGCTTAAATAAAGAGGGCTTAAATGAAGCCACCCAATGAATGCTCTGAAGTCATTAGAAATGGTAACATGGCTGCATATTCATTGATAAGGAAAGACATCCATTCATTATATATTGTTGAAAGAACAAAGCTCATCCCAAACAGCAGGTACAGTATGGTTAATTGTTTTAAGATATAAATGTAGGAAACACCATCTTGATAATAGTTACTATCACCAGATAGTGATTTTTAAATGTTCTTTGTGATCATCCAGTTTTATTTATCCTAATTTTGTGTGTATGAGTGACTTGTGTAATAAACGAACATTAAGGAATATTAAAGCCTTTCCTCACAGGGAGCTGCTTTTTGTGTTCAGAGGGTAACATGATTTTGTCTCTCTCTCTCTCTCTACATGTACATATATATATACACATATATATATGTCAATATAAAATTTTTAATAAGAAAGATAGAGTATCAGTACTTCCCCCCAAAGGATCTAGTCCATTCATGTCATTATAAACCATTTTATATGAAGGGGAACTATTTTCCCAAAGAGGACAGGCCATGATAGAGGAACTAAAGAGAAAATAAGAAAAAAACATGGATAGGTGTACATATTATGGTATATACTGATGAGTGAAATTAGTTCTTTCTCAGAACAATGTTGATTTAAGATTCCAATCATTTGAGACAAACATAAAATAGAACTTCACATGATAGTATGTAGGCTAACCCATAGAAACTTCTACCTAAAGAGTATGCCATATATAATAGTGACTTTGTAAGGTCAACAAATATTTAGAATGCAATAACATTCTTCCTTCTTTTCTTCTTTCCATCCTTCTTTTTTATTTGACATCCTTGGCCTATTTCGGGAATTACGTGTGCTGCAATATGCCAGGCATTGTAAGGGCAGAAAGACCATGGACATCAATCCAACACCCCTATTCCCGTCTGCTTCAACCTATTGGTTGCTTACAATCAGTTCCTGAGGTCAAGTTATTCTATCTAAATCTGAACACCCATTTTGTTAAGAATTTTGCTTTTACAAAACAACCAATATAAGATGACATGACTACCACAAGATATATGTATAATACATCTATTCAATTAAATCATAAATTTTAAATATAGTAAGTTAGTGACTAGTTTGTAGTGAATGGTGCTTAAAAATAGGGAAAAATGCTTTTTTTCCTTTTTTCCTCTGGAAAAAAGAATAAGTATAGAAGTAACAAGTGTTCATCTTTGTTTTTATTTCTTCTCAGGTTAAAGAGTACATGCAATAAAGAAGAAAGGATTACAGAAAGAGGGGAAGTGTGGAAGAAGCCTTATAAATTTTATTAAGATATGAACACTGAAACCTTTCTCATTTTTCATAGAAAAACACATACTAGATCGGATAGCTAGAACAAAATGGGCTTGAGTTGAACAAAAGTTCACTGGGAAGAATTTTACTAAATTCTGGTATCTTAGGTAAATTTGTAGGAATGCATACCTAAATTAAGAGGTTGGAGTATTTAAACAGACAAAAGGTGAAAAAGCTAAGCACATGTACAATTAAAGTTTAGACAATTTGTATTTTTAAATGCTAGTTGATTTATGTTTCTACATTAATTCATTTAATAGGAACCTTGACAGGCAATTGGGAACGTACCTTAAGGAATCATTCCACAGTGCAAATCTGTGACCAAAGAGGCCCTTTTTCAACCTGACATTAGTTTTTCAACGAATTAATTGCAAATTTTAAGAATTATGAGATATCTGAAGTTATTTGTATTAGGAAATGAACAGAAAAATGTAATTATTTTTCCCCTCAAATAATATTTGAAGCCTGAAAAGAAGCTATGAACTATGTCATATTTCTTGTATCTTTCTGACAGTTTGTAATTACTTTTAATGCTGCTGTTCTCTATATTATTAATGCTAATCTGTCATGACAGGGGCTGAAGAGAACCAGTGATTATATGCCTTTTCACCAGCAAGGCTGGTTTTAAGTAAAGGTCTTAATCACAGGAAACTAGAAGAGAAGTTACTTCAACGGAAATAGACCTTAACCTTCTTCCTGGTTTCTGCCATCTCTTAAAATAAATGTACATCGACAACAGTTGAGGCAGTATGACAATCTATGCAATAATTTCTGCAAGTGACATCGTGTGATGACACTCAGTGATTCACAGACTCACAGAGTTGTAAGGTGTCTTAAAAGCTCATCGACTGCAACTTGCCTGCCAATGTCTGAATCATCTCTATTAATCATGGCCAATGGCTACTTCTTCTCTGTTACAGATGCTCAGAATGACAAGGAACTCATTCCCTCTAACAGCACTGCTTTCTTCCTTATTTTGAGTCAAGACCTTACTTTCTGCAAATTTACTTACTGGTCTCAGCTCTGTCTTTTAGTAGCACATCAGACAGGCAGCTCCTCTCACCCAACACATGTTTGGCAACCATTGCTATAACTGATATTCTCTCTTGGTCTTCCCAATTACAGGCTAAGCACATTGACTTCTTTTAATAAGCCCCATGATACCGGAAGTCCTGTGTTTTATTCACCTCTTTGTCTCTAGTGTCTAGCACAACATAGATACTCAATAAATAATAGTTGGAAGAACAAATGTAAGTTCTCATTATCTCTAGTTTTCCACATTTTTGTTTGCATTTCCAGGGACAAATAAACTTGACCACTCTTTTCCAATCTTTGGCCATTCCTACTCAAACCCTTCTGTTAGGAGATGATCTCACCCAAATTAACCAAAGAATGGGAGACACATTCCTCAATTCCCCTCTCCTCCACGCTGATATCTATTCCTTCTTACTTTCTTACTTTTCAGTTATATCTCTTCTAGTCCATCTTGGATCTCTCCACAGGCACTCCTTCAGTTTATCAATATGCTTGAGCTGCCTTCCTTAACCAAACTTTCACTCCATCTTGCCTTACCCTCAAAAGCTGCTACCTTTCCATCACTGCCAACATCTGCAATCATGTTCTACAGATGTATTTTATGTCTCCTTTATAAAATTATCAATATTTCATTGCTAACATGAAAGCACAGGCAAGAAATGGAAAGTACCACCCAAAGATTTTAGATTCTGTGTGTGCTAAAAATGATTAGTGAGAGTGGACTACTAACAATGAGGTGTCAATCAATTGAATTTAGACACACACGGAAGGGCAGAATCAAATTCTATTGTCTAATAAGCAAATGTTAACGCTCTGCAAAAACCTTTCGTTGTTCAACATAAACTCATATTTATACAGACATTGGAAAAAAAACTTTATTTTTCCATGAATGTATTTTTTATAAAAACACAGGCAGAATTTCTGATGGTCTAAATTGTTTTTGTAAACAAATTTAGAGGTATTTTTTTCCTATTTTAAAATTTGCTGTCAAAACTAAATAATACCAGATTCATATCTCACTTTAATTTTCAGCTTGGATCAATAAGCTCAGAAACCTAACTTCTAAGCTGGCTGCTGTGGCTCACGTTTTCTATCCCAGCCCTTTGGGATGTCGAGGCAGGTGGATCACTTGAGTCCAGGAATTCAAGACCAGCCTGGGCAACATAGCGAAACCACATCTCTACTAAAAATACAAAAATTAGCTGGGCATGGTGGTGCACGCCAGCTACTTGAGAGGCCAAGGCGTGAGGATCGCTTGAGCATGGGAGGTGGAGTTTGCAGTGAGCCAAGATTGTGCCACTGCACTCCAGCCTGAGTGACAGAGCGAGACCCTGTCTGAAAAAAAAAAAAGGAAATCAAACTTCTAAAATACATTGTTCTTTTTGCTTGTAATTAGCTCCTCCTAACATCTCTTTATATTTTATATTGTTTTGAGGTTCATCTTTTCTTCACAGTCAATACAACGAGATCATGATGGGTGCTTCTTTAGAGTGAGAAGTTGTATCAGGGAATTGGAACCATGCAGAACATTTGACAATGATGAAACTATAAGGCTTTTACTAAGCACTGGGCTAATCACTTGAAGCACATTATTTCCTCAAGTGTTGTAAGGTGTGATATTGCCTCCATTTCACAAATCAGGAAATAAGATTCACAGAGTCTAAGTAACGTGCCTATGGTTACACAATGAATAAGGAGCAAAGTTGGGATTCAAACACCAACTTTGAGAATAATGCTTTTAACAACAGCACCATTCCTCTCCCTCGTGTGTTATTTAAACCCATTCCCCTGGATTAAGAATCCGGATATAAAGGTGCAGAAAGGTGAGTGGTTTATGTAAGCTCACATACACTGTAAATAGTAAGAAACTGGGTCATCCATCAGGCCACACAGCATCTAAAGGGAAAAGACGCTTATCAACCATCCTAGCTCTTTTGTCAGGGTCCATTCTCACCTGGAAACCACTGGAGCTCTGACTGGGGAGCTGTGGCAAAGTAGAAAATGATTAGAAACTACACTTGAAGGATAAGAAAGAGAAGGCGTCAGGAGCTTGAGTCCCAGAACTTTATTTGCCCAGCTCCTTCAGCTCTGCACCTTACAATATGATCCCACCTTTACGAAGCAGAGAAGAACTAAACAAAAGAATTTTTTTAATGCTTCATTTTTTTTTCTATGAGTATAGCTTTAATAGCAGCCTCTGTTCTTAGGGGACACAGCAGTAGCAGACAGAGCACAAGAGGAGAGGAGTTATCCAGGTGACTCCTAACCTGACAAATACTAAATCCATTTCCTTCTTAAAGCAAAAATTTATATTAAATTAAAATAAAAATCTACAAAGCCTATACCACTGCCAAAGCCATACAGAACTTATGCTGAGTTATACAATCAGAAGACATTTTTGCAGAACACATTTGCATTTGAAAGCACCAACACATCCTAAATGTGCAGCATATGTACAGATCTGTGCAGTAGCAATTAGGAACAGAAATAACCAGTGCAACTGAATTAGAGTTGATGAGGTTTCAGTGTTCAAGACAGCCACTTCCTAGACATGACTAATCCCTGCTCATCCTTGGGGTCTCAGATTAGATATTGCTTTTTCCACAAAGTTTCTGTAGGCTTCTGAAGATAGGCCGTATGCCCATCTAATGCGTTTCATCTTCCATTTCTCCTTCCTCACAGCATTTGTCACCTGCTATCAGTATGACCAGTTTGCTTCTCAATCTCTCTAACAATACTGTAGGAGTTTGGACCATGTCTGTCTTGTGCCTTATTGTATCATTAATATGTCTCACAATGCCTGGCACTAAATAGTTGCACAAATGGTTTTGAGTGCATTAAGAATAAACAGTAATGGAATGCAAGACAATCGCTTACAAAAACCAAAAAAGCTACCTATTATATCAGCTCCAACTGCAGAAAGTCGAAAGACCAGGATGTGATATGGTAAGTGGTGGACATACAACTGAGTCAGAAATATAGAACCATGAAAAAGGAAAAACAACAGGCCAGACCACGATGATACCATCACACTAATTTCTGGATAAGAACTCTACTCAAACACTATTATTGGAGGCATTGGTAACTGCAAAACAACTTTGATCTGGTATTAACTTATCATTGCTATCTATCCATTATCCATCTGTCTACATATCTACTTATCTGCCTACCTACCTGTTATCTAACTAGCTATCCATCTATTCATCAATTTATTATCGATTGTCTGCCTATATTTCCATCCATCAATCCACATGTGGTGGGCAACATTCTAAAGATGACCTCTAATTTGCAGATGTAATTAAGGTTACTAATCAGCTGCCCTTAAAATAGGGAGATTATTCTGGATTATCTGGGAGGACCCAATGTGATTGCATGAGTCCTGATAAGAAGAAAAAAGGATGCACGAGACATGCAGCAGAAGGCAAAGGTGGCAAGATGGGAGTGCAGGGCAACATCTCATCAAAAGCAAGAGCAAGGATGCAGCCCCAAGAATCAAGAAGTGGTCTCAACTGACAGCCAGCAAGGAAATGGGAACCTCAGTCTTAACAGCCACAAGGAACTGAATTTGGCCAACAGCCTGAACGAGCTGAGAAGGGGATTTATCCCCAGAGCCTCAAGGAAAGGACACAGCCTGGCTGACCCCTTGATTTTGGCTTATGAAACCCAGAGCAGAGAAACAAATCTAGCTGACTGGATTTCTCTCCTGTAAAATTATGAGATAAAAACTTGCACTGTTTTAAGTCACTAAGTTTGTGGTAACTTGTTATGGCAACAATAGAAAACTAACACACCATCCATCAATCCATTACCTATCTGTCTACCTACCTACCTATCTATCCATTACTTCTTTATCTAGTATCTATACATATTTAACCTACCTATTGTCTATCTAAATAGTATCTATCTATCATCTATGCTTGTTGCCTGAACTGGCTCAGTTCACTTAACAACAGCCTCTTCTCCCTGACCTTCCACCTTGCTCCTAAACACACATGTTTTCCTCCTGGGATAGGCCAACAGTCACCAGAAAGCCTGGATGGCTACTCCTTCAGCTGTGGGACCCTTTGTAACCTGCAGTTTCCCTGGTGTCACAGTTCTCCCATAGTCTAACATCTCACTTCTACCCTACGCTACTGCCCTCTGCTTGACCTTCACTCTAATAGCCTGCTGGGCACTGGGTCCTGACTCTACTCCTGGATGCTCAATTGCAGCCACTAGGTAAGTGCCCACTACCCCATCCTTAATCAGCTCAGGCTCATTCACTTGAATCAGTTACCGATGCTCCAAGACCGTGGCTGTCTGAAAAGAATCCTAGCAAATCATCAGGACATAGTTCATTCACTTCTCGGAATGGGATCTCTTTTGTTCTAATGGATTTTTCTTTTCTCTTTATAAGATCTGATTTCAAACAACTCTTTCAACTATTATTAAGAGATACCCAGAACAGGAAACTGTCACTTATATTCACCTTTCTGTAACTAAAAATCTTTATTCCTTAGAGAACAGTGTCAGCAAAGGGCTAAGGGGTCTATTGGGATATGTTATCTCTCACAGCAACACTTAGGACATATTTCTTTATAAAAGATACTGTGCTACCCTTCTAAAATGATATATCAGACCTGAAATGGGCACATAAATCCAACTTCATAAAAGAAGAGCTCTTTTAAACTATTCATGTTCTTGGAAATATAGGTCTTACAGCATATTACTTGCCATGATATAGTTATGAGGATTTTATATAAATATATAAACATATATACATGTGTTTATTAAAATATATATGTATTGAGTTCTTACTTTATGCCAGGCATCAGATACATGCACTTTTACCTACATTTTCTCCTATAATCCTAACGACTCACTAAAATATGTCCTGCTGTCATCTGCATGCTATAGATGAGAGGTTAAGAAATTTGTCCAAGGTCACAAAGGTAGAACATAACAAAATTGGGATATAAATCGAGGAGTCCAAACCTGAGGTTCGTTATCTCAATTACAGTCGTGTCACTTAACAATGGGATACATTCTGAGAAATGCATCATTAGGCAATTCCCTGTTGTGTAAACATCATCGAGTGAACTTACACAAATCTAGATGGCGAAGCCCACTACACACCTGGGCTATATGGTAGAGCCTATTACTCCTAGGCTACAAACCTGTACAGCATGTTTCTGTACTGAATGCTATAGGCAATCGCAACACAATGGTAAATATTTGTGTATCTAAACACAGAAAAGGTAAAGTAAAACTATGATATAAGAGATGAAAATGGTACACCTGTATAGGGCCCTTACCATGCCTGGAGCTTGCAGGACTGGAAGTGGCTCTGAGTGAGTCAGTGACTGAGTGGTGAGTGAATGTGAGGGCCTAGGACATTACCGTACACTACTGTAGACTTTATAAACACGGTACCCTTCGGCTAAACATTTTTTTTTAATTATCTTTCTGCAATAATAAATCAACTTTAGCTTATCGTAACCTTTTTACTTTATAAGCTTTTTAATTTTAATTTTTTTACTCCTTCATAACACTTAGCTTGAAACAACACATTGTACAACTATACCAACATATCCTTTCTTCATATATTTATTCTATAAGCTTTTTCTATTTTTATTTATTTATTTATTTTACTTTTTAAACTTTTTTTGTTGAACCACACATACACAAACATTAACCTAGGCCTGCACAGAGCCTGGATCATCTGTATCACTGTCTTCCACCTCCACCTTTTGGGAGGTGTTCAGGAGCAATAACAGGCATGGAGCTGGCTTCCCCTGTGACAGCAACGCCCTCTTCCAGAAAACCTCCTGAAGATCCTGCCTGAGGCTGCTTTGCAGTTAACTTTTTTTTATAAGTAGAAAGAACATACTCTAAAATAAGGCTAGAGTATAGAAAATACATAAGCCAAATAACATATTTATTATCATTATCAAATAATACACACTGCACATAATCGTATGTGCTATACTTTTATATGACTGGCAGCAGAGTAAGTTTGCTTACACCAGCACAAACACACAAACACATGAGTTATATTTTGTGCTACAACATTGCAATGACCATGACATCACTAGGTGACAGGAATTTTTCAGCCTCATTATAATCTTACAGGACCATGACATATATGTGGTCCATTGTTGACTGAAATGTCGCTATGCAAAGCATGACTGTACTACGCTATGTTTTGCTCATATCACAGTGAGAATCCAGGTGTGATGACAGAAGCACCCTTGCTCTTGGGATGAATCACATCAAATCCCCGGCCCCTGTTTGTGAACTGAGGGATACGGACCATATGCTCTCTCATGCTCTGTCTGGGTCCCTCTCTGACCACAGTAGAGGAGGTGCCTGGTTAGCGCATATTATCATTGCCCTTTCTCTTTTCCGCACTAACCTCCTGATGTCATGCACATCGTTGTCCTTCTCTTTTTCTAAAGGTCATTTAACACTCCATTTAGTCACCCTTGATAATGTTCTTCTTTCCAGAGGTGTAGTGAGAGAAGCAGCTTTCAAGGTGATTTCTCTGCATGGAGGTTATGTCCAGATCTGGAAAGCACCCAGCCAGGATTCCGTTTCTGGATCAGGTAGTGCAATGTCAAGAGCAGAAAGAATCCAGTCCAGTGAGAGACAATCATGTTGATCAGTTCTTTACCAAAGAAGAACCTAACTGAAAATAGCAAACTGTGGCTGACAATTCTTGCTTCCAGCAACACCTCAGGAGCTGTCCACGTCAACTCCCAAACCACTGGGGGAGTAGTATGATGTCAGGACAGGAAATGTATTTCATGGAAATCACCAACTCTAGTCAGTTATGAGTAGATTCCTGGAGTTCTAGGATAAAATGCATTGGAAGATGGGCCTCAACTCAGCAGGAAAGACCACTGATCAATTAATGATGTCTGCAAGGGACAGAGGGTTAGAAAAGAGGCACCAGGCTCAATGTCTATTCATGGATCCTTGCAAAATCAGTGCTAGCACAGGCTTTGCAATTAAATCAGCCTAGGATCAAACCTCAACTCCCTCACCTACTAGCTGTATAACCCTGAGCAAATTTCTTAAACTTTCTGTCAGCTAAAATGGAATAGTCATGAGAATAAAGACCCACTGAGTCATTAGCAATTAACATAAGGTTCCCCAGATAAAAAGCAGTGCAAAGAACACTGATACATATAGCAGGATGGAAATGATTTTCTTCTCTTCCCCGCCCTTGGGATTGGGGAAGAAGTCACAAACTGCCACTCATAGGCCCAATCTCACCTTGAGACCTATTTTATTTGGTCCATGTTGTGAGTTTGCAGTGTCTAAATAATTTTGGAATTAGGCCAGGCGCAGTGGCTCATGCCTGTAATCCCAGCACTTTGGGAGGCCGAGGCAGGCAGATCACGAGGTCAGGAGATCAAGACCATCCTGGCTAACATGGTGAAACCCCATCTCTACTAAAAATACAAAAAATTAGCCGGGCGTGGTGGCGGGTTCAGGTAGTCCCAGCTACTCGTGAGCCTGAGACAGGAGAATGGCATGAACCCGGGAGGCAGAGGTTGCAGTGAGCTGAGATCATGCCACTGCACTCTAGCCTGGGTGACAGACTAAGACTCCATCTCAAAAAAATAAATACATAAATAAATAAAATAATAACAATTTTGGAATTAGCTGCCAGCTTATTTCAGATGTTAACTAATATATCTTATTTCTTTTAAAAGCTTGGTCTGACAACATTGGCCCCATCCCAACATGCCAACAATCCATTGAAGCTGACTAGTGACTGCTTTCTTTAAATAGTTTCTGAGCCCTTTTTTCCCCGTTTTCATTGTGATATATGTCATATATTCAAACGAGTACATGAAATAGATGCATAATTTTAGGAGTGATTAAAAGCCAACATCTATGTAACCCAGTTCCAGGTAAAGGGATGGAATATGGCTCGCACCCCTAGAAGAACCATATGCCCCTCAAATCACAGTCTCCATCAGCCTCTGAGGATCACCACTGTCCTGACCTACATGAGAATCATTTTCTCGCTTCTCATCATATTTTTATGATGTAAGTATGTATCCCTAAACTACATAGTTTTGCCTATTTAGAGAGCAGTATGTAAATGAAATCTCATTGAAAATCTTATTTTGGGTCTAGCTACTTTTGCTCTACATCATGATTTACAGATTCACCGAGCTTGATGGATTTTATTTATTTTCATTGCTACATAGGTCATGCACTCTCTAAGTTGTGTCATCCTTCCACCTGGCCCTATTATAGACACTTGGATTTGTGCTTTTATATCAGGACATCTAGCTTCCCTGATGCAGGGAAATAATTACAATTATAAGGATGTTCTGTCCTCTGACCACTCTTGCCAAGGTTCCTATCTTGTTCCACAGCCCCACTGTGAGTCCAGTTTGCTGATATTCCTCCCAAGGCTTAACCCTAAGGACACTCAGTGTGTACAATTTCTCCTCCATGTCCTTTCTTCATTCTCAGGGACCTTCTGAGCTCTTCCATTAAGTGACCCAGTAGCCAAGGCTAACTACCCTGCATTTATTGGTCCCTTTTTCTCAACAGGAAATTAAGGGATTCAGTGAAGCCAGAGACAGATCATCCCTCTAGTAGCACATCAGGCAGCTCACAGCAGCTCCAGCCATGGCTGTTTGTCATTATCCTGGCTTTGTGAGCCTTTGTCCAGCTCTCAATCTGTGCCGACATCTCCTCTGCCAAACCAATTTGAATTAATTTGTCAAGCAAAATTTTGTGAGATAATATATCAGCTGCATTACTGAAATAAGATCTATGACTTCTACTGTGATCCTTTCATCTTCTAATTTAGCCATTCTATCAATAAAAGCAATCAAGTTTTCTTGGCAAATTTTTCTTTATAAATCAGCTTTATGGGTGATGGATACGCATTCTTCTTGATGTTTATGGATTTTCATTCCTAATATCTGTTCTATTGCTTTACTACAATAGAAGTGAGTCATCTAAGACAATGACAATTGGGGTGCTTTCCAATATGCTTCTGGCTGTAAAAGTCAGTCTCAGAGTTTCAAGTATGCTGAATGGGCTATTATACCAACCCTCTGTGGTGGGCAGAGAACCAAGTCCCAACCTCTCAGGCTGGCATACAAGGACCCTGACCACGTCAATGCAACCATCTACCTCCCGCACCCAGTCTCATCCTTCTCATGCATAAATGACATGAAAAGGCTCAGGTGTCATGTTAATCCTCTTTTCTTTGTCTGTGATGTCCCTTGTGTTAGTTAGGACTCTTTAGGTTGTGAGTGACAGAAAGCCACTAGTGACTTCAGGTACCATTTGATCAAGGCTCCAGCAAAAAGGGCTTGCTTGCTTTCTCCTTCTCTCTCTCTTTTCATTCTGCGTTTTCCAGTTCTAAAAGAATCTCAATGGATGTCCTCACTGGATGGCTTTTCTAAATTTTCCCCTCCTTTTATGTTATAGAAATATATATCTATAGCAGAAGTTCCCAAGCGGGGGTGATTTTGTACCCCTATAAGACATTCGGCAATGTCTGAAACATTTTTGGTTGTCACAACTCAGGGCACATGCTACTGGCATCTAGTGGGTGGAGGCCAGGCATGCTGTCAACATCCTATCATGCACAGGATAGGCCCCACTGCAACGAATTATGTGGCCTCCACTGTTGATGGTGCTGAGGTGAGAAACCCTGGTCTGCCCCTTACTCTGTGACTATGCAGTCAACATATTTCTCTCCTCCATTAGTTGCAACAAAATGCTGGGTCTGCTATCCAGGCCCTAAGTGGCTTAGTCCCACTTGGCTTGGATACATACCTAGTCTATACAGGGATGCTGCACATGACTGCGCACAAAGGTGCCTGCCTGACTGACGGGCAAGTGGGACTGACCCCAGGTCTGGTGGCCCACTGACCAGGGGGTGATTGCAGAACTGTATGTGACAGAAAGGAAAAAACATATTTCCCCAATTTTCATTATCCCCAGGGGTGACAGAATAGGAAGACAGGCTCTTTCTTGCATCTCTGGCTAGGATTATATTTTCACTATTAAAATGTCTAGATCATTCGTGTTATTCTGTGAGATTTTTAAGAAGGATATAATGAACCACCTGTTGTATTAGGAAGCTGACCTGGGTTTATTTCACCACCTGGGAGATGGGACATGTGGCTTGCAGATAACTAGCCTCTAACTATCACTCCTTTGTCCCCCTCCTTCTGAAAACCCTCACCAGAAGCTCATGGTCATCTAAGAAGGACCTCACGCTCATTGTTACAGGGTCAGGATATTTACCAACACCGTGGCGGTAGGCAGAATTCTAAGATGTCCCTTGAGTCCCCTGCCCCATGGAGAATATGCTCTGTAGAATCCCTGGGACTGTGAACATGATTGTCACTCCCATGACTATGTTGTGTTATATGGACAAAGAGATTTTTGCAGATGTAATTATGTCCCAAATCTGTTAACCTTAAGATGGGAATATTTTCTGGGTGAGCCTGACCTAATCACATGAGCCCTTTAAATCTGGGTCTAGAGGTCAGCAACAGAGGATGTCAGCATTTCTTTACTTTTTTTTAATTTATTATTATTATTATTATTATTATACTTTAAGTTTTAGGGTACATGTGCACAATGTGCCGGTTAGTTACATATGTATACATGTGCCATGCTGGTGTGCTGCACCCATTAACTCATCATTTAGCATTAGGTATATCTCCTAATGCCATCCCTCCCCCCTCCCCCCACCCCACAACAGTCCCCAGAGTGTGATGTTCCCCTTCCTGTGTCCATGTGTTCTCATTGTTCAATTCCCATCTATGAGTGAGAACATGCGGTGTTTGGAGGATGTCAGCATTTCAAAGCACAAGGCTCTAACCCACAATTGCTGGCTTGAAGATGGAGGGGCCTGTGTGGCAAGGAATATGAGTAGCCTGTAGGAGCTAAGAGCAGGTTCCTGGATGACAGCCAGCAAGGAAATGGGAGCCTCAGGCACAAGGAACTGAATTCTGCCAAGAATAAGGGTAAGACTGGAAGCAGATTCGTCCCTAGAGCCTCCAGGTAGAAACTCAGTTCAGCCAACACCTTGATTTCACCTTGTGACCCCTAAGCAGAGAACCTAGCCATGCTATACTGGACCTCTGAGCCACAAAACTATGAGCTACTAAACGAGTGTTGGTTTAAGGTGCTATATTTGTGGTCACTTGTTACACAGCCATAGAAGAGTAATACATCTATCAAACAGGCCTCTAGTCACAGCTAATAACTCAGGCCCTTTGCTAACCCCAAAACATTCAGTCTCCTCTTATTCCTACTTTCTTGTCACACCACTATAGGTGTGGATGACTTACCTGAGACCTTGCAAGCTCATCACACCTAAATAAATTTTTTCAGCATAAGACCAAAGGAATTTAAATTTCACAGAGTTAAACTATAGTTTTCTTTAACACCCCATTAATACTCAGGGTTGCCCCTGACCTCAATTACCCAGTAATGCCCATTTTAAAAGCTTAAAGCAAATAATTTCTGAAAAAAGATGCAAATATAATATCAAGAAAAAAGCGGTCACCCTAATGCTGAGCTTTACTCGGGTGCAGCAGGATTTCACGGCCATCCCTTTTGATTATTTAATATTCATTTCATCTCCACCGGAGGCTGTGAGGCTGAATAGAGATGATGTCTCGGGATTGTTAAACATAACTCCGGAATGCGTGCCTGAAACACATTCTGTTTGCTAGAAGATGTAAGATAGAAGAGGCAGAGTGCTCTGTGCTGATGTAACTGTTCTTACTGAATCTCTGAGTTTAGCCACAGTAAGAATTGCAAAGTATTTAGGGCCAAATATTCAGCTACTTGCAATTTAAGGAATATTTAAAAAGCTATCCACCAAGTCCCACTATAATTTGAAAGACATACTGAAAAGTAGTATTGGGACTTGGGAGATGTTTTGATCATGAATTAAAATTTCATAACATTATGACAGCATTTTTGATGGTACTTTTGTCTGCCTGTGAAGCATTTCCCTTGAGTTCAGCTATGCCATTTGCATTTTCAATATTCAGTTGTTTCTAACTCATGCCCAGACTTTTTGACCACGTTCATATTGGAACTGAAAGAAAAGTACTGGCAGTTCCCAATTATTTGCTACAAATGCTCCCTCTATAAGTTGTTCTTAAGCTGATTATTACAAAAAAAATGCCCTTTTTCTTTTGGAAACAATTTTGTAAAGGGGTGAAGGGTTCCTGACCGATGATAAGCATTAGAAAAGTTATAGTTATGATGAATATGTTGTAAGAGAAAAGATTGATCATAAATTCTGCTGGATAATTAAAAACCTAGAGAAAATATACATGTTTATAAAATGAACATAAGCATACTATAGGTACAGATTATAATGGCATTAAATGTAAACGAATACATTGACCATTATTTAACAATTGGGCTTGTTACTTAAGATATAGAAAAGATTTTAAGGAAGGCTGGGAAAGGAGTTCAGGAATTATTGACTAAATGCCAATTTCCTCCCCCCATTTACAAGTTTCCTAGAGCAAGAGATAGTGTTCAGAACCACATCGACTGTCACAAAACTATCCTTAACTTCAGAATGATTTTGTCAACAGTGCACGGAATCATCTAATGCATGTATGTGTCTGTGTATGCATGTGAGCATGTGTGCATATGTATGTGCATGTGTGCCATGTGTACGCACATGGCTGTGTGTGAATTGGTGCACATGTGTACATTGTGCATGTATGTGCGTGCATGCCTATGTGCATGTGTGTGCATGTGGATATGTGTGCATTCATGCACATGTGTGCACTATACATGCATGTATGTGTGTACATGTGTATGTGTATGTACATAGGAGAATCAGAAGTCTGTTTCCTCCTCTTCTGATTTCCCTGCCTTCTCCCCAACACCTACCATACCCCACCCACTTGCCTTCTCACTCCTCTCTGTTTTGAGGTCCCTGTAAGGCAAGTCCTCTCGGAGAAATGCGAAGAGGTGAAGAGGAGAGGAAGGCAAGATGATACCTTGAGTTGGAAATAGCATGTGGAGTGAAGGATGAAAGAAAAAGGGGTTGATGTTGGCTGACTATGTAGATATAACTATGTTTTGCATTTTGAAAACACTGCGGTATTTTCTTTACCTCCTGCTTCCTCTCTGCTAAAGATGGACCCAACAAATAGATCAGTATGGTAGGAAATGAGGTAGCCACACTGGAAAAAACTGAATAGGCAGAATAATAGAATTCTGAATACGGAAAGTGGGACTGATCCCTGTCCATACCACATTTTCAGCAGCCTTAGAGGCTTTAACTTGGAGTTGTACCCATGTCAGTGGGCAGTGGGGTGGGATGGAATGTGATAGCTACTGTGGTTAGTTTGTTTTTCCTGCCCTTAGTAGTCCACTCTTTTACCCTTCTTCAGTCACAGGAGTGGACATCTGACCTGAGCTTACCTATTAGAGTACCCTGTTTTTCTGAACACAGTGACTTAGCTGAAGTGGGTATGTGATTCAAGAAGGACCAGTCTAGTTTCCTCACTAGAATTGATATACAGATGATGGGAGAGAGAAATTTCCTTTATGTTGGTACGAATAACCTGGAGCTGGCAAGAGCCACTGTTCTTGGCCACATGGAAATAACTCGCCTGATAATTGTGAAGAACTAGAAACAAGCAGATAGAACAGAAAGGGAATGGATACATGGACAAATGGGTGGACTGATGGATGGATTGATGGACGGATGGATGCATGGATAGATGGACCCTCCCTTGTCCTCCCCACATTTAAAAGAGGCAGAGGTGCCAATAACTGCATCCCAAAGCATAAAAGTGTCTCCCCCCAACCTAATATTCCTCTGGGATCATGGGCCTTAATCAAATTCATCAGCTACTTTGGCCTGGTTTTCCAGAACTAGCAAGTTTAACTCTCAAAGTCCCAGGGAGATTTTAGTGATCTCCCCACCTTGAGCAAGAAAAGGTTTTGAGTCATAGGCACCGTGTTCCAACAGCCTTCAAACCCAGGGCCATCATGTTGCACACTTCCAGGATGTGAATGGGGCCACACTACAGATGTCCAAGAGGTAAATGGATTCACTAGTGTTGGGCAAAGTGGTGGCCAGCCCCACCCTCTGACCTATTCTCTGGAGCAATTCTTTCATCCCTTGATCTAAGTTTCTTCCCAAGTAGATCCTCAGCCTGTCATCAAACAGACTTTAGAGTGGTCTTTCCCTACTAGTACTTAGAAAAACCCAATTTTAGAATAGGGTCCCATCAATCCTTTTCAAGTGGTCACTTTGGACTAAACATTTTAAACTAAAGTGACCACTTGAGACCCCCAAGCTGGGGTCCTAGCAATCTGTTCACATCTTGTTTTCTACCACCTGCCCCTCTGGTCTCTGCTGCCAGAATTTTGCAGATGATGTACTTGCTGGGCCAATCACTGGGCCATGAAGGGGTTCCATGGGGACCTCAAGCCCTCGGTATTTATGCAGGGACTTCTGAGCTCAAACAAGACAATGCTCACACTAAGTGTAAGGAACAATTTAAAATAACCTTCTCAGAACATCTCCACCAGTCATAATGTGTAGAACTCCTTTGGATCCTGGTTCAAACAAACCATTCATTTTTTAAAAATATGTTTCAGTCAAGGAACTAAACAGTGACTGGATATTTGAGGATGGCAAGTGGATACTGTCATTTTTTTACATACGATAATGGTATTGTGACTATTTTTAAGAGTTTTTCTCTTTTAGAGATACATACTGAAATATATGTAGATGATATGATAGCTGGGATATGCCTCAAAATAAACCAGTACGGGTGAAAGAGGTGGAGAGAAGTGGGTGGAGTAGAGACAAAACACATCCACTGACAGTTGTTGAAGGTGGGTGACAGTTACATAGGATTTCAGTGCACTTCTCTGTCCATTTCTGTATATGCTTGAAATTTTTCATAATAAAAAGTTAAAAAGTAATTTCAGGCATCTCAGGCATCTCATTTGAGATTCTGGAGTCTCCTTATTGCAAGCAAGTAGATATATCTACATTAGCATTTCCCAGTTGCAGAAAACTTAATTGCATGATGGAAAGTGTTTTAAAATGTCTAGTTCCACCAAAAATATACAAGAAAATCAAGCTCTGTACACAATGCCAAGCAAGCTAAAGAAAGTGATGTTCCATCAAACCACAGAAATCCAGAAAATGTCCATTTATGCTGAAACTAAACAAAGTTTCAGTAACATCACTGCCCAAGCCAAAACACCATTTCTCTACCTCCTGGAATCAAAGAAGAGGTACAGTTTCTAATCAGAGGCATATACTCAGCCCCCTTGAACGCACTCGGTAACAACAAGGACCTTAGTAATGAGGCAGTTTCTTCTCAAGTAGTCACTTTAGACTAGATCTCCATAATGTGGGCTTTCAATGCCATCCACCACTTCACATCAATCATATTAGAAAAAAGGATTCAAGGATTCTTCCAGATAGTGTTCGGAGACAGGAGGAAGTGCTTGTTTCAGACCTGTTCAGTTATCGGTCTTTATAAGAAGCAAATCCACGTGAATGGAGGGCTCAGGGTATCTGACATATATTTGCCTCTCCCTCATTTATTTCTAACAAATTACTGGGAATGCATCATTGCTGCCCTCTCAGAAAAGGGAGTCTCTGATTGGTTTTACATGTGGGCATTAAAAGAGATATTTGAAATGTGTGTGTTGAATAACTCCCCTGTTCACTGGGCATTGTATTTACTGACCGTGAGGAAGATGTCATGGGAGTGGCAGTACTATCACCTGAACATGGCTGGACACAGAACCTCTCAGAAACATTTAGCTTTAGTCTCCACTTCTGTCCAGCAAGACTCAGTAAGGGAGGCAGACTTGTATAGTAAGCCAAGCTCAGCCTGGGAGTTTGGACCTGGATCTGAAAAAAAGACGCACCACCTGAATATCTCCAGGTGTGTCCGTGGATGTTGGCATCTCTTCCCCTGCCCCTTTGTAGTCTCTGACACTCCTTACCCTAGTCAGCTGTGGTTCCTGAAGACCCTCAGCCATAGGCTACAGCTATGTCCCATCCCAACTTCAATGCCACCCCAGTATCCTGAGCAATAGAGGCGTGCATCCAACAGTGGGATGTAGGTTTCCTCGTGTTTCTAAGCCTACGATCAGGCATTGTGGGCTCTTGGCACCGTATGTTCTCCAAGCTCTTCCCCAGCCTCACCGGCTTTGCCTGGTTAGGTTTCTGCCTTTACTACCTTATTCAAACTCTCTATCAGTGGGTCTCCGCCTGAAGCATGCATCAGACTCAGCTGAGGGCTCTTACAACTCAGATTACCAGCTCTACTCCTCAGAGCTTCCGATTCAGTAGAATCTGCATATCTAATGAACTCCCAGGTGATCTTGATGCTGCTGGTCCAAGGGCTACCTTTTGAGAACCTGTTCTTGAGCTCTTTTTGAGCCTGGAGCCTTTTCCTGAATGTCAGCCGCTTTGGTTGGTACTGTCTTCCCCCCTTAGCTTGGACACTGACCTTAACCCTAGAAAGATCATGACCCTGATCCTGATTTGGAGTCATCATCAAGATCATCAGCCTGACTCAGCCTCAAGACCCCTGCTGGCTCACGTTGAGACCTCTGCTTCGACATCATATTAGCATGGTCATGAACCTTGAAAAAGATAAAATTTTCCATACTTTCTAGGACACCGTGATTTGAGTTGTTTCTACAGCTTCAGCGCCTACCCTAGGGTCGCACTAAATTTTCTTAGTTCCTGTCCCACCCACCACCAGTGTTCCTCCTACCCTGCAGCTCCAACGCTGAGGTCCCAACCCTACACAACCAAGCTGACGGGACAGTATTCCAACTCTCTGCATCCCTCTCCAATTCTCAAACCCAGATGTCAGCCTGCCAACCTGGCTCTAGTGCCTGCACTGCTGATTCATCTTGTGTTTTGTTATTATTATTAACAACAATAATTATTATTTACTCTTCCAGGACAGAAAAGGCCTCAATTCAAGCCTAGCTGTATAAATGACTATCTGGAAGGAATTTGGCCAAATGTCTTTACTCCTCTGAGCCTCAACACTCAAATAACCTGTAGATGCCCAGGTTTTCCCTGCAGATATTCTGATTCCATAGGACCGAGAGGGGACCAAGGTTTTGACATTTCCTCAAAGCTTTCTTGGTGATTACAATGCACAGCCAGGGCTGAGAGCCCCTGGTCCAGGCCTCATTTCACAAACACAGAGACCACGACTGCGATAACAGTGACATGTAGGAACTTCACTGAAATCTGGTGCTGGGATTCTGGCCTCTCAGTCCCTAGCTGAGAGATCTACATGGAGATGGACATAGTTGCCACCATCCCACACCTAGTCAGAGCTGAACCAGAGCAGTCGTTATCCAGCAGGGCTGGGCCACAGAATCACCTGTGGAGCTTGTTAAATGGACATTTGGAGCCTTACCCCAGACTCCTGCTACACGGAGGTCTCCAAGGGGGTTAAGAGGAGGAGGGTGACAGGAGTTCTTCCACTGGCAAGAGTGTGGTTTCAGCGTCCTCCAGTGAGCATCCTCCAGGCTGCAACACGTTCCCGCTGTGAGCTAGGTTAGTATCCTGGCTCTGACTTTACCCTCCGTTCTCTGGCTGTGATGCTCTGATTAAATCTCACATCTGACTCTGACTTGGGCTCCAGTTTTCACATTCTTCTTGGCATCTTGGCTTAGGATCTTCATCTTCTCACTCTTTCTTCCCAGCTTCCCCAAATGTGGGGTTGGTGCCTCCCTTACAGAGGACCGGATTCTGTCACTGCTGGGCAAACCTTCAGAGGGTTCCCCTCCCCACATGAAAACAGCCCAACTTCTCTGCTCAGAGGCTTGCAACTGAACTCATTATACACACTATTAGCCATAAAGGCTTCAGAGGCTATTAGAGAGAAACAAAAGTTCCCCCAGTGGTTTCCATAGATGGTCTGAAATGTTTATCACTGTCCTCAAACAACAGTAAGTCACAGGGACACATAATTTGGCCCCTGGCTGCTCACTGGTTTATTTATGTCATTTATTGAGAGCTTTTTAAAGAATTGTTCTTCCCAGACAGCCTAATGCACTGATGGAAACACATTGTCCACTTTCAAAAATCAGAATCACACATCATTGTCCAGTCAATATGTCCCTATTCTTTTATGGAGGCTAAAAGTTGTGCTGATTGAGAGAGAAAAATGATGTGTGTGTATGTGTGTGTGTGTATCAAAATCCTCCCATGCTTTGGGAGGGTCAGCTAGGGCTCTGCTATCTTTCAGTAAAATGTGGCAATTTATTTGTGGAAATCCCATTATAGCTAATAGGAGTTAAAAACCATTTAAAAAGATAAGGATGTCTAGCCATTTCAAGATTATTTTGTGAAACACGCCCTGCTAAAAAAGGCATGAATTTTGCAAAGAACATCACAAATCTACTCATACCAATTCAACTCACATAAAACAATTAAAACTAAATAAATCTGATACCAATGCTAAATGCTTTTTAAAATCTCTCTTTAAATACATCAAGCTTAGAAAATCTCACTACTAGGAAAACATGCACTGCACACTTAGACATCAATGGTTATTCTCAGGCATCCCTCTTTAAGAAAAATAATTGGACAAAATTTTAAATTTATATCAACTAAGATAGTACTATAATTTATAGAAATGGAAACTTCAAACATAAAGAACTTTCAAACTGGAGTAAATCATATCCTTGGACCCATTCTGCTCAACATGTTAGCAGCATCTTAGTAAAGACATGGAAATGATGCTTTTCCAATTTATGAGGGAAACAAAACTGAGTGAAATAAGCGATTAAATAGACAATAAAATAAAGAAGATTCACATTGATTTTGACAGCCCTGAAGAAACGGTACCATTTACTAAAGTAATTCTATTCTACCTCTGGAAATTGATTCTAGGAAAATAATCTTAACAATGTTGGGGGAGGAAATAAAAAAGAAAAAAGAAAACTACAGCATAAAGATGTTCAATACAGTCTTATTTATAATAGTGGGAGCAATCATGGCATGCAAATATTGGAAGAATGCTGCAATAAATTCTAATACATTAATGTCATGAAATATAAGGCTATGATATTTATGAAAAGTTACATAACAAAAAATGCTTGTTTTATTACTAAGATTAAAAAAATCAGGATCTAAAATGATAGGATCAAAAGTTTTTGTTTTTTGGTTTTTTTTTTGTTTGTTTGTTTTAAGACAGGGTCTCACTCTGTCACCCAGGCTGGAGTGTAGTGGCATGATGTTGGCTGCCTGCAACCTCTGTGTGCTCAAGCGATCCTCCCACCTCAGCCTCCCCAGTAGCCAGGACCACAGGCATGTACCACCACACCCAGTGATTTTTGTGTATATTTAATAGAGATGGGGTCTCACCATGTTGCCCAGGCTAAAAGTTTTTAAATATCTAAGACACATAGGGAAAAAGTAGCTAGAAAAAATATACCAACATGGTAGCACTTTATTCATTCTTCATTCAACACAATCATTTTCTCTTTCCACCATCTAACATGTATTAATGTTGCTTGGGCCAGCACCTAGGGGGTGATTTACATTTTCTTTTCCTTTCTACTTGTCTGTGATTTATAGTTTCTTTGAATACATATGCACGAGGCTGCAATTTCCTCGAGAGGACCCATTTATAATAGGATCCTCCTACTAAGCTTACAAACTAACACAGGCTCTCCACTTTCTTTGAAAATGCACGCCTCACCCCTGTTGTCAGCTCCCCAGTTACCTCAGGCTTCCTGCTCTCTCTGCTTTCCCGTGATGAGAGATGCTTATATTTACCAACTGACTCAGGCCTTATGAGCCCCGCAGTGGAGGCCCACCGACAGCTGCAGACCTTCTGAGCTAGTTCTACTCTCCCTTTGATTCCCAGCCCTGCCCCCTCCACCAACAAACAAGAAAATAGAAAACTCCCCAAAACCAACCATCCAATCGCAGGTATACAATCTATCAGTACCACCCTTGAAAACATCTGTAAACCATATGGGTTAACATACAGAACAAAGAAGGATGCTAATCACAAAGCTTCAGAAATGCTCAGCACCCTCCAGGTCACCTAAGCTGGGGCTCTATGGGTTACAAGAAACTGAAACATTTTCAACTCAGGCTCCAGGGCATTGGCACACACTGTCCCCACTTTGCAGAAAAGTCTCCTCCCATATGTCCACCTGGCTTACCCCACTACTTCCTGTCTTTGCTCAAAGATCCCCTCTCCAACCATACTATTTAAAACATTGACCATGCGCCACTCACATCCCAGCACCCCATCCCCCTCCCGGTAATTATTTTCCTCATTGCACTTATCCTTTTCTTACATGCCATATATTAATATTTTACTGATCTTGTTTACTATTATTTTTCTCATTGCCTCCCCCAACACTCAGTACCTCCTGGAATACAAAGTTTCAGGGGGACAGAAGTATTTTTATCTTTATTTTCTGAGGCTATAATCCTATCCCCTAGAATACCATCTTGCACATTCTAGGCACTCGTAATATTTGTAGAATGAATGATGAAAGAATGATGCAATCTCAAGGAAAACAGTAAGTCACAGCAATCATTTGTTCAGCACTTGCCATTTGCAGAGAACATTTCACATTCAGTATTTCATTCACTCCTCTCCAGAACCCTATGAGATGAGTAATGTTATATTCACTTTACAGATGGATAAATTGAGGAGCAGAGATGAAACGGCTGTCTCAAGATCACTCAGGTAGTGTATTAATTTGCTCAAGCTGCCATCACAAAGACTAAGTGGCTTAAAAAACAAAACTTTATTTTCTTGCAATTCTTAGGTCAAGGTGTCACAGGGTTGGTTTCTTCTGAGGCCTCTCTTTGTGGTTTGCAGATGGCTGTCTTCTCTTTGGTCTTCACGTGGCCTTCCCTCTGTATGTGTCTGTGTTCTAATCTCTTCTTAAAAGGATACCAGTTTTAATGGGTTAGGGCCCACTCTATGACCTTATTTTACCTTAATCACCTTTTTAAAGGCCTATTTCCAAATGCAGTCACATCTTGAGGTACTAAGGTTTATGATTTGAACATATGAATTGTGGGGAGATACAGTTCAGCCCATAACACGTAGCAAGCAGGTGGTAGTGCTAAAATTTGAATGTGAGTTTCCTGACTGCAACCCATACCCTTCTTGCTCCACTGTGCTCCAGCTATCCTAAGATAGGCCCTGACCTGAAGACCTGACAACCACCCCCTTACGTGGACAATCCACACTGCCCTGTTTCCTTCCAAAGAAGGGGCCTGCTTCCCCTCCTCCATAAATGCATCGTGCCCAAGCTAGACAGCACAATTTCCCACATCCCAAGAATGTGTGTGACCCAATTTCTCCTCCAGACTTGAATCTTATTAATCCAGTTCCTCCAGTGCTTAGGATTCCATTGTGAGTCGCATGGGGACCATCTTCTGAGCTGTGTCTTCTGCACAGAGCATCCCTCTTTCAAACAGCTCCCGAGGCAGCAAATAGGCACTGCAGAAATCCACAGCCCAAATGATCCCCAGGGGAACCCGCGATGCTGCTCTGGAAGGGTGGGCGAGAATTTACCCAGAGTTAGGGCCTGAGATGACCAAGGATCCACTTGCCGCCAGGCTATTCTGTCACCCCAACTCCCCGAGGTTATTATGCCTCCTCTCTCAAATCTAAAATAAGTAAATGCACTTTTGTACTTCCTTTTTAGGTGCCTTTATTCATCACCCCCACAGAGGTGCTTCTGTCCTGAGCATTAGACTGTTTTCCCCCTGAATCAGACACTATCATCCCAGGCTCAGGCCAGGCCTAAGTAATGACACTTTGCTGTTCGTTGCTGCTCAGCTCAGCTCAGCTCCCACGTTGCTATTAAAAGAACACAATAACTGGACCATAAAGCAGTCTCTTCCCACCATCTAAATTTACAATCAAATCAGACTGACCAGGCAAATTGACCTGATCAACTGATTAGGAATCGATCATTAAGAAAGCTTTAAAGAAAAACCAATTTGGTTGGCACAGCCAAGCTTTGGGGCATGCTTCTGATGGGAACATACATAAAGAGAAGAAAAGCTCCACTCATTTTGTAAACACTGAGCCCCTCCCCAGTCTCAGGCACTGACTGAGCCCTGGAGTTACCACAACAAACAAGATGTGGTCAAAGCCCTCAAAAAGTCTACCATGTTGTAGAGAACCCCATCAAGGTTCAGGATGGTGAGAAACAGAAGGCTCACCTATGGTACACAGTGCTAAAGGAGACCTGGAGAGATTAACACCTCACCCAGGAGGAGTCAGCTAACTGAGCTTGAAGAGGATGGTGTCAGGTGGAGAGGATACTGGGACAAAGATCAGCAATCACAGCACAATGAGCTCTAAGCCACTAGGCTGAGCTGTCTCCAGTGGCTTTGTCTTACAAACCCTCCACTGGCCCCCACATGATTGAAATACTGCCTCCAGTACAGGGTCTGTGCCTTGGGATCTGCTCCAGATAGTCCTGGGCAGCAAGCCTACACTTCCTTCTTCCCCAAAACACCCACCACAGACACACACACACACACACACACACTCTCACACTCTCATACACTCACACACACATACAAACATTCACACACTCACACACATGCAGTAACACATACATTCACACACTCACATTCAAACACATTCACCAACACACTCATAAATTCACACACACTCACATACATTCACACACAAGCACTAACACACTCATACATTCACACACTCACTTTCACACACAGGCAAAAACACAATCACATGCCCTCACACTCATGCACACATTGTTACGTTCATACATTTCACGTGCATGCTTACACTCACACACATACACATTCATGAGTGTGCACACACGTGTTTTCATTTTTCCTTTTAACCTCACACTTAATTTCAAATTGAAGTGGACCCCGAAGATAATAAGGATACTGAAACAAAAGAGGTTCAATATAAGGGCTCATTTCTCCCAAGGTATCTTTCTCATAGCGAATCTGATTTTTGCCAGGACTCTTTCTATGCCAACTTTAGCCTGTTGTCAACACAGATATCAGAGGGATTCTGTGAAGACGTGAGTCACACTGCTATAGTTTGGATGTTTGTCTCCCTAAATCTCACATTTAAATTTGATTCCAATGTTGGAGGTAGGGTCCTAGTGGGAGGTGTTTTGGTCATAGGGAAGAATCCTTCATGGATAGATTAATGCCATCCTTAGGTGAGGCAGAAGGTATATCACTCCTCTCTAGACCTGGTTGTTTAAAAGATCCTGGCATCTGCCCCACTCTCTCTTGCTTCCTCTCTCACCATAGGATCCCTGCCCAGATTGGCTCCTCTGTGCCTCCACCATAAGTGGAAGTGCCTCAAGGCCCTCTTCAGAAGCAGATGCTGGCACCATGCCTCCTGTCCAGCCTGCAGAACAATGAACCAAATAAACCTCTTTTTAAAATAAATTACCCAGCCTCAGGTATTCCTTTATAGCAGCACAAATGGACTACGACACAGATCATGGCTCTTTCTGGTTCCAAACCCTCCAGTGGTTTCCCATCTCCCTCAGGGCAAAATGGCCCACAAGGTCCTTCAGACCTGCCCTGTTACCTTGCCGGCCTCTTCTCCCACTCTGCTCCCCAGAACTTCAGCCCCCTGGCCTTCTTTCTCAAAGCCTCCAGGCCTGTTCTCACCTGAGGGTGGCTGTCGTTCTGGCCACTCCACTTGCTCTCCCCAAGGCCAGAAAGTATCCTCCCCCAGATATCTGCAGGGCTGGCCCCCTTCACTCAAATATCTTTCTAGTGAGGCCTTCTCTGGTCACCCTCTTGAATACTGTGCCACTGTCTCTTCCACAGGCTTCTATCTCCTAGTTCTGTTCTGCTTTTGTTCATAGTTCTTATGCCATATAACATGAAGTAGACTTCTCTTTCTTACTATTTTTTTCTTCCATTAACTCAGGGAAAAGGCAAATTCCCAGAAGACAGGGACTGCTGTCAATTTGGGCCACAGGCATTTTCCTAGCATTTTTAGGAGAGAACTGGACAGAAGACAGCTCCACACGCAAATCACGAGCAAGAGGTGGATTCATTTGCCCTGAGGCCCTTGGGATGAGATGCAGATCAGGGAAGTCCTCTTTACACCTTGAGGTTCCAGACAACCACCTTGGGGGCTACGAGAGGAAGGGATGAAAGGCAGCTGTGTGCAGAGCTTCTTCATCCAGGGAAGCAACTTTTGCATTCATTTTTATCTCTTTGAACATTCACATAATATTGCATCTAATGTAATGAAAGATTTACACTGTTTTAGACAAAAGTTTAGAGACTGCCTTGGAAAGATTATAAAGACAAAAAGAAATGGACTGAAATCTAACTCTACTGCTTATGATGGTGACATATGGGCCAAGTCACATATGTTCTCTAAGCTTCATTTTCTATATTTAAAAAATGAAGATGATGCCTACTTTCACGGGTGGTATTAACACTATTAAGGCTGAGCATGGTGGCTCACTCCTCTAATTCCAGCACTTTGGGAGGCTGAGGCAGCCTCATCACTTAAGCCCAGGAGCTTGAGACAACCAGCCTGGGCAACATGGCAAGACCTGTCTCTACAAATAATTTAAAAATTAGCCTGCCATGGTGGCATGCACCTGTAGTCTCAGCTACTTAGGAGGCTGAGGTAGGAGAATTGCTTAAGCCCAGGAGGCAGAGGTTGAAGTGAGCTGGGAGCGAGCTGGGATTGTACCACTGTACTCCAGCCTGGGCAACAGAGCAAGACTCTGTCTCAAAAGCCAAAAAAAAAAAAAAAATACTGTTTAACAACTTGGTAAGTTATAGGCACCAATCAGAACACATGATGTCAACACTAAAGGAGACAGAGGATGACTGTCCTGGCATAAGCAGAGGGTCATTAAACAATGGGTCCCCATGTCAATCTCACAGCCTCCCAACAATCTGAGGGCCTTTGAATCCTCTAGCAGACATGGAAGTGTGGGAGGAGGACAAGGCTAATTAAGGGTGAGTAATAAGAACCCAAGCCTTTTTGTAGCCACCTTTGAAAGGCAGATGCAGAATGCCCCAGCAATGAAAATTCAAAACAAAAGGTCCAGCCCACCTTCTTCCCTTAAGCCCTTGTCAAAGATTAAACAGCATACCCCAAAGCCACAGACAAGTCATAATATGCCCATATTTTATCTGGGTCGTATTGTGTGCAGCATAATTAATGTTTAAAAAGCATTTCTGCAATAAAACGTCTCCATGATAACTGGCATGTGTCATGAGGATGCTGTGGCTCTGTTTAATTTGATTGCAGAAGAGATTTCTAGTTAGTGGAGCATTGCTGCCAATGGCCCCTTACTGGACACAGCTAAACACAGCCAAGTGATTGCATTTCCAATCAGAGGCAGAGCCTGGGACCGACAAGTCCCCCGTGAGTGCGTTTCCTGGCCGCTAAAGCCCTTTGTTCACAGTCTGGTTCTGCAAGTGTGCTTTCTTCCGATGTCTCACAATCACTGGGCTGCTTACCAGCATCTCCAAGGAGGGCCTTTGCATGAATGTTATAAAAGAATTCTCGCCTGAGATTGCCTGATGCAGACCTCTGTCGAGTCATTCTCTCAATTTGGTGAGCTGATGAAAAGCATCAATTATCTCAAAGCACTAAAGTTTGACAATTTTTTCACAAAATGAATATTTTAGTCCTCACATAACAATAGAGGCAAAATGAGCTGGGATGAGTGAAAAATGGACAGAATTAATTTCTTCTTGGCACAACAGATTTTCCTTTGCCCATTCCTTTCACCTCTTCACTGCTACTTCCCTTGGAGTCTTAAGTCAAGAGAGGGGGGATACTTGTCTCACCTATAAATGGCAGCTGCATAGCTGGGACTGATAGAAATGGGAATGATTTCTAGACCTAGAAGACATGATCCACTAAGTCTAAAGAAAATATTTCCCTTGTCCCTGGCTTGGTTATGAAAAAAGACCAGATGTCCAGTCTATATTATAGATTTAACTGAAGTGCCCCTGTGCATGGTTTTCGAACCAATTCATAACTAATAAAAACATTTAACATTCTACTACTAAAGCTGAATCAGAAGTTGCATATTATTTACTCTTCTATACATATATAAGTTGGATCAAGTTCTTGATGGTCCCTGTAATACTATCATTTATATTTGCATTCTAACTTGCTTTCTAAACATGCAGTGTTGCTCTGTGGTTAAGAACTTGGGCTCAGCAGTTAAAATGCCTGTGTTTGACTCAACTCTGCCATTTATGCTATGTCCATACCCCTGACTCTGCAATTACTTGTACATCAACCTAATAGTAACAGAAATTGTGCTTCTCATGTGAGTATTGAATAGTAACCCCTTCAAGGATGTATAATACTTAACAGTTTACAAAACACCCTAAGTATGTATTATCTCAAGGAAACTATCCATCTCTTTTGTGGAGAAAGATGAGATATTCTACCATTTCTCAGGCCTTTACAATGGCAATTTCTCCACTTTGAATATTCTACTTCCTTTCATTGTCCTTCAGACTTCAGCTAAGATAACACGACGTCCAGAAGAAATTGTCCTTAACCCAGAGGTTAACTTGGAGCCATGAACCACCATGAAGCCCTTGTCTTCTCTGCTGTAGCACTCATTCAAACTTCACTATCATTGTTTGCACATCTAACCTCCCTGCAAGACAAAAGTGCAGTGAAGGCAAACAGTACGTGTATCTCACTCACCATTATATGCCCAGAGCTTAATACAATGACTAAACCTAAAATATATGTACTATTTCTTTAATGCATGCACTATTCAATTAGTAAGTTAGTTTAAATATGTAGAAATTGACACCTAGTTCCTACAGACACAATTATTGTTCCTTTAATATATCTGTGCTCCCCAACCTTTCCCAGCCTCCTTGCATTAGGCAAGGCCATGTAATGAATTCTGGCCAATGGGCTGTGAGCAAAAGAAATGAGTCCCTTTAAGGTCAAAGCTTAACAGAGTGGATGAGGTTGCTCTCTGCTCTCTCTTCCCCTGGTACAGTGATTGGAGAAGGCACTTATTGAGAAGAGGAAGCTTCAAGGTGGAACAACTGTATCCCTGACTCATAACTTGGAATCAAACTGACCTAAAGAGGCCTTGGACTGCAGAGGACTTTGTGAGACTTATTGTAAACCCATGGAGATTTGAGGGGCGTGTTTGTTACTACAGCATAGCTTAGCCTGGCCTGACTAATTCACAAGTTTTCCAGGATTACACAGCACACTAGATTCAAACTCAGACCTCTTGAATTTTAAAAGCTTAAAATTGAATGAATAATAAGGACTTGGCTTTAATTTCTTATAGCCTAATATCTTTTTATCATCATTATATCCAGAATGTCAAAAAACAAAAATCTCATGAACCACCTACACCAAAATTTCCTAGGAAAATGACCAGCCATTTGCCATCAATTTATGAACATTTTCTGTATATGTAATGTGGATGCCTCTCAAACCATACCTTCAGTCTATTTATCGACAGAAAAGGCTGTGTGGTAGAAGGAGTATCACTGTTTGTGAATGAGGCCACCTGTTCCTCTATTCTGATGTGACAGGTTTGAGTCTCTTCCCTGTGAGTAGGCGGACAGTTGGAGTTGATTTGCTAGATAGTTCCCTCAGATGTGATTACAGCACAATTACATTGATAATCAGCTCAGTGTGTGGTCAAAATGTTTTCTAACAAAAAAAAAAAGTATTTTAGTACATGGAAATAAGAGTATCTAGGGAGCAGGTAATTTATAGCTAATGTCTCCTTACATCAAATCTGATTGCAAAGAAAGGTTCTTTCTGTGAAGTTAGGCTACTGAAACAGAGATAGACCAACTGGGCAAGGGCGAAGAGGCTTAAGTTTTGAGCCAGGGCAAGGGTGTAGTAATTTCCTCCCTATCCTGTTTCGTCAAAGGGTGATGCAAACCATGCATGCTTCTCTGTAAACTCTCTTCCCTTTCTCTCCAACTCTGTGGTGCTAGCCCTAAGTATTTAGAAAAAGCATGCCAGCATTTAATGAGAACTTACTCCTTGTGGTTACCTTTTTAAATTCTCATTTAAACCATCAGCCCTTTGAAATAGCTATCTTCCCTGCTCAGCACTCAGAATCTGGGTGGTCTTGGGCAAGTCACCTGTGAAATAGAGGCCCTACCTACAGACCCTGCAAGGCTGGGAATCAGTCAAGTATAGGGGGATATATTTGGTTTCTTGGGAAACAGAATCCAAGATGGAGAACTGCATGCAGGAAACTTCTCAGGGAGCCCTCTCGGGAACAGCCCCTGTAAGGAAGTGGGAAAAGCTAGGTTGGATAGAAGGAACTTAAACTGTGATGCAGTTGCCAAATGACCTCAGCCAGTCCATGGGGGCTATACAGTTGGGGGCCCTTCAGTGTCCCAAATTAAGACAAGGGACTGGCCTTGGTACACCACCCACCCATTACAACCCATAACCCATTAAATGCTGGCTGGTCACAGAGAGGGGGAGTAATCTCAGGTAAGGTAATCCCTACACCCAGAGCAATGCCCAGGGAAGAACTCAGCTATGAGCCAGCAGCAGGCAGCACACAGGACAGTGAGGGAAGAAATGCTTCAGTGCTTTCCAGAGGAGGAAATGGATGGTGTACCACAGCATTCACTCATTCTATGAGGGCAAGAGCCATGCGCTACGGTCCAGTGGTGGGAAAAGGAAGAATGGGTAAACAAAGAGTCCATTATTTGCAGTGCAGTGGTGCCATTAGGAAGCACACTTGCATCCGTTTAGCATGAGGGAACACATTTCTGGAATGGGAATGGTAAGTACATCATCACCATATTGGATCCTTATACCATAGTTCATTTGGATTTGTGCAAGCTGTCTTCAAATTCGCTATGCCACTCATCCATAATTTGTGCTAGTGATGGATCTCAAGCTATTGTTAGACAAACCTCCCAAGCTGTTACAGTGATGTCATGATGTCATAATGTCAGAGGCCTTCCCACTTTCCCAAAGCACCTGCTGTTCTTTGCCCTCTGTTTTCTCCACCAGGAACCCCAGCCACTGTCAACAGTGCATGTGAGCCTCCAGTGTGACTCTCTTCCTTGCATTCTTAGGTGATGATGCTGGATGGAGGTCCAGCATCACCACCTGCGCAGCTGTCCTCAGTTACTGAACTCAAAGCTGCTATACAGGACACAAAGTACACACGGCAGGAAGCAAAGCTCTCGCAGAGGAAATAACGTATATTGCCAAACACACTCCTTTCAGGATTATGATGTAGATGCTCACGGTGGAGAACATTCCCAAGGTGCACACTGATGTTCACTGGTCAAGGGTGTGCAGGACAGTCTGTCCAGCCTGAAGCTCTCACTGAACTCTGGTCGAGAGACATTAGCATGCAGGACATAAAGGAGATGAAAGAGGACGAGGTGGAGGAGGAGGGGAAAATACACACGCACACACACACACATACAGAGAGAATAGTGTAATGAATTCTTCATATTTAAATATTTTGTAACTTATATATGGTTTTAGAATACATTTCAGAGAAAAATAGCATTTAACAGTACTGCATGAGGGTGGTACTGAACAGAACGTGTTTGCACAGGATGTATAGAAACTTAGACATGAGGGAATAAGGAAGATTTCTTAATGGAGCTGAAATCTGAAATGTGACTGGGATTTAGCAAGGTTTGAGGGTTTGGGGGGGACACATTTCAGGCAAAAGCAACAGCATATGCCAAGCCTGAGAGATGACAGAGCATTTGGCATATTTGAAGAAAGCAGCCCATGTGTCTTCAGAGGCTAAGAAGGGAAGTGAGGAGAGGAGAGATGAGGATAGACAAAAGAGGCAGAAGCATCCCCCTGAGTACGAAGGGAAGCTACAGAGAGAAGACCTAGGGGGCTGGGAAACAAGAGTGTGATTTTAGAAAGCGGATTCAAAATGCCGCCAGGTTCTCACTTGAACCATGGCCCTCAGAGCACAGCCTTTCTCTAAGCTGAGGAAATCTCCTTACCAACCCTAGAACCTGTGATCATCAGAATAGCAATTTCCTCTATTTTACAGCCCTTTATGGTTTCTCTCTCTCTCTCAATCTCTCTCTCTCAATACACAGGTACACACATATACATAATGTTATCTACATCATATACATTCCCATACATTTCAGCTACACCATCACAAAAAATCTTGCTAAGTGTACAGGGCAAAATATAGATGAGCAATATTTACATTTCACAGATGGGCAAACAGAAGCTTAGGGAGATGACCTAAACTGACTGCCCTTACACAGCCAGCAGGTGATTGGAGCCAATACACAAGCCCAGGTTGTTGCCTTCTCACTCTAGGCTCTTTCCACAGCAATTTCCTATGAGGAAAGTAACCTTTCCTTGGGTACAAATGTGCTCATTGTTCCACCCTTCTTACTGTCACTAAAAAGCAATTTTCTGGAGCCTGTTGAGCTGATTATAAACATAGATGAGAAGAAGTAAATATTATACAAGGAATCTCTTGACTAGCAACAAAACAATAGGCTAAAATGTGAACCACTAACAAGTCCCAATCATTTCTTCAACAAAAATCTACTAAATGCATATCATAGGCTAGTCACAGTGAATATAGAGAGGTGAGGCAGACACTACCTTGGCCCTTGAAGTACTTACTTATAGCAGGGCCAAGGACACCCATGTCTACCCTGACCAGTTGGAATGTTTCTTCATTTAAGAGATGTGATGATCGAATTATTGACCCCAATTCTTTGCTACCCTGGAGGAATATCATCCACCACATTCTTACCACAGCCTCATGGTAGGACAAGAATACTTCCCCTTCACTAGACTTTGTGATGGCCGTGTGACTTAGTTTGGTCAATGAGATGTTAACAGACATGATGCAGTCAGATGTTTGAAACATACTTGAACAGCTAGACTTGCGTATTGCACTCCCGCCCTTCAACAAGAGAAGAACTTGCCCTGCATAGTCACTGTCCAAGGAGGATAAGAAACATTTATAAGATACTTAACCTAATCCACAGCCTGGAACCTAACTAACCCAGACTAGAGCAACTGAGCCCAACCTTACCCACAAATATATAAGCCAAAAATAAATGTCTATTGCTGCATATACCACTGAGATATGCAGTCATTTGTCCTGCTGCATTGTGATGACAGCTATCTGATTCAGGAGGTATACATACACAGTACTATTCCTTTGAAACAAGTAGGAACTGGCTGCTGCTACACAAGATTAAAATTAGACAAATATCAACTCCTTGTTTAAAATACTTCTGTTTCCCCTTAAATCAGGAAAAAGGCAAAGATGTCCACTCTTACCATTCCTGTTAAACATTGTACTGGAAGTCCTAGGCAGTATGATAAAGCAAAAATTAAAAATAAAAGGCATACAGATGAAAAAAAAAGACTGTCATTTGCAGATGTTATGACTGTATAGAAAATCCTAAAGATTCTACAAAAAATGCTACTAGAATGAATAGATGAATTCAGCACAGCCACAGGATACAAGGCCAATATGCAAAAGTCGATTGTACTAGCACTGAAACATTAGAAATTGAATTATTTTTGTTAATGCACCATTTACAATAGCATCCCGAGACATAAAATACTTAGGGATAAATCTAATTCATTAAGTATAAGGTTTGTATCCTGAACACTATAAAACATTAATAAGATTTTAAAAAGACCAAGAAAAATGGAAAGATAAACCACATTTTAAGTATCAGATGATTCAACATTTTAATTCTCCCCAAATTGACCAATAGATTCAATGTCATCCCAATCAAAATTCTACAAGATTTTTTGTTAAAAGTGACAAGCTGTTTCTGAAGGTTATATGAAAAAGAAAAGAACCTAGAATGGATAGAACAATTTTGAAAAAAAAAAGTTGAACAACTTGCAGTACCTGATTTTCACATTTACAATAAAATTAGAGTAATTAAGAAATTATGACAGAGATCAACCAGCTTTAACTACAAGAGACTAGACAGAGATATTGTAGGCTTTGTTGGAAGTATGATCTCTGTCACAATAACTGCAGTACAAAAGTAGCCATAGATGATAGGTAAATAAATGGCATGACTATGTTTCCATAAAAGGTTTTTTTTAATAACAGGTGGAAGAATGGATGTAGCCAATAGTTTGCCAACCTGTACAGTATGGTATTGGTAAAAATATAGATATATAGATTAATGAAATATACTAGGATTCCCCAAAATAGACCCAAATATATGTGGTCAAATGACTTTTTTAAAAAATAAAGGTGAAGTGGTGAGAACTTGACCCATACCACATTTCAAAGTTATATCATAGATGTAAATGTAAATGGATCATAGACCTAAATACTAAATCAAAAACTGTAAAAACTTCTAAGAGGGAATCTTCACAGCCTGGAATTAGGCAAAGATTTCTTAGATAAAATGCAAAAATCATGAACTATAAAAGAAAACAAATTGATAATTTGGACTTTATAAAATTTAAAACTTATGCTCTTTGAAAGACACTATTAAGAAAATGAGAAGACAAGCCATAGACTGAGAAAATATTGGCAAAACATATAATTGATTAAGAACCTGTAGCCAGAATATATAAAGAATACTCAAAACTCAATAAGAATAAAAGAACCCAATTTTTAAAAAACTGATTAAAAAATATGAACAGACACTTTACCAAAGAGGAGCTAGGAAAGCAAACAAATAAACATGTGGAAAGATGATCAACATCATTAGTAATTGGAAATTTCAAATTCAAACCACAATAAATGACTACTTTAAAAAAACTGACAATACAAAATGCTGGTAAGGACGTAAAACAATAGGATCTCTCACACATTACTGGTGTGAATGCAAAGGAGTACAGCCAACTTAGAAGACAGTTGGCATTTTCTTAAAAATTAAGCATGCCCTTACTATATGATATAACAACTCCACTTTTGATATTTACACAAGAGAAATAAAAACGTATGTCTGTACAGATACCTGTATGTGAAAGTTTATGTTTGATTATTTATAACCTCCAAAAACCGGAAATAACTCAAATGTCCATCAACTGTTGAATGATAAACAAACTGTGGTACACCCCTTTAAGATTACTCATAAATTAAAAGGAATAATTCTGACACATGCAACAATATGGACTGACTGCAAAAGCATAACCCCAAGCAAAAGATACCAGACACAAAGGGCTACATCTGTATGATTTCATGTATGTGACACTCAGAAAAGGGCAAATTCCATGGAGGAAAACAGATCGGCAGTTGCCAGGGGCTTGGAGTAGAAGAAGGGCTGGTCTACAAAAAGGGCACAAAAGAACATTTTGGGGTAGCAAAAACATTCGACGTCTTGGTTATGATAGACTGGTACTTATGTACGTGTATACGTTGCTAAAACCGATGGAATCTAAAAATGTGAATTTGACTGTATGTACATTGCAACATAATTGTACCAAAAAAAAAAAAAACCTTGAGTTGTTCCCCAATTCTCTCAAGATTAAGATAAAAACACACATCTTTAACATAGCCTAGGTGTGCTGTCAACACTGTCTTCCACTACATCAATGGCCTCAGGATTTTAGATGAAGACTCCTACCCCAGATCATCTGAATCAGAACCTCTGGAGGCAGTTCCAGGAATCTTCACTTTTAAGCAGCATCCCCAGGCTACTCTAATGCTCATTATAGTTGGAGGATCCCTAAGGAGGAATTTCTATCTCATTCTGTGGCCCTACTCATCTCTGAGCGTTCCACACCCCTTACTGTCTGCACTCGAGCTACATTGGCTTACAACCACCACCACCACCCCAGGGCCATTGTCCAGCACCCCTGAATCCCAGGCACAAATGTCACCTCCTAGGGACACCTTCTAGGATATGCCCCAAGTGGGCCAGACTCACCTGAATTCACTCTGCCTGCAGCCTGCATATCTCTGTCCCTGCACTTCTCAGTACGTAATTACATATTGGACTGGTGAAAAGTTGTTTACTGCTCATCTCCCCAGGGAATGTGTACTCTGTCAGGGCAGGGCTCTTGCCTGTCGCCTGTGTTCATTCCCTAGCAATGTGCCTGACCTATATAGTATTAATACAACAGCAAATACATAAACTGTACTTACAAGTGCCAGAATGATTTTCACTTATTACAAGGTAATATTAATCAATATAATCCTCACACCAACCATATGAGATGGATGCTTTTATTATCTCCCTTTTATGAACAATAAAACTGAGGCACAGAAAGGTTAAATAACTTATTGGAGGCCTCATAGCTGCTAAGTGGCAAGCCAGGATGCAAACCCAAGAGGTAGGGCCCATCATACTGAGAACCACTATGCTTCGAGTTTTATATCTGCTGAATAAAACAAACAAATGAAGAGGAAGACTCAAGTTGATAAAGCAAAAACCCTGTTAGTAATGAACTGACACCAGAGCATAGCTCCACTGGTTCCCGATGCCAGTCATTAGCAACCTCATCTCAGACACTCCAACTTCTACATACACAGGTCACCTCTTCATAGGGAGCAGAGAAGAGAAACCTGCACTAGCATTTCTCAAACATAAACTCAGATGTTTCGTCTCCAAAAATCTTCTGTCATTGGGATGGAGAGCAGCAAAGAAAAGGACTTGCTGGCAACCAGCAGATTTGCTGACAACCAACAATTCCTGCCGCTGGACCACAAGTTTGCTTGAAGAAGATAATCAAGTCCATTTGTCAGACATTTGAAATAGCAGAGATTCCTTCCCTAGACAGACAGGCAAGGCAAAAACAAACCAATTTGTGCTTCCTTTCTCAATACTTGAATTTCTCTAGCTGAATCAGTTGGCACACTCTTAGGGAGGCTTTGGGGCATCAGAAGAGGTAACAACAATTGCCGCTATAGTGATTGGTACCCTGTGAGACCACAGACCTGCAGGGAGGGGAAAATGAGGTCCAGCTGAAGACATCTGGCACCAGACAAACAGGTGGAGGGTCCATAGAAGTGGAGGACTATGCAACATCTCAGCGGATGGTCCTCTATAGAGATGTGCCATCTCTCCTCTGCATGTCGCCCTAGAACCAAGAGGTGTCTGTGGCTTTAAAAGGCTGATGCCAAGCCCAGGCCCCACTGGGTTCAGCCAGGACCGCAGTCCTATAAAACAGCACTTCTCCATCTTTCCAGCGCACAGCAACCATGGGGAAAGGCGAATGCAGACTCTGCTTCCTGGAGTGGTGCCTAAGATTCTGCATTTCCAACAAGTTCCAGCTACTGCTGATCCTGCCAATTTGGGGGCCACCCTTTGATGAGTGAGGCTGCAGAGGTTTGTTGACTATAAAGGAGAGTCAGCCCCATCGAGAAAATCCAAAGGGGTGAAAAAAAAAATCAGTTTTTTTTTTAGACAACAGAAGATACAAAACCAAAACCCAAAACATAGCAGACCCTTTTCCTCTTGCTTTCCAGACACAGGAATTTCTCTAACTGGGCAATCTGTCAACCACCGCTTACTAGAGCAATGGGAGACCATGTTTTAAAATCAATCAGCTGCTATGATCGTAATGACTCAGTGTGATGCATATGGAAAAAAAATACAGCTGACAGGAACTGGGATACAGTCAAATAACAGGAGAACTTATCTGCAGTGCAGCTTACATCTCAGCTCTGAATCTTTGCAGAGAATTGCTCATCCCAATGGGCTTCTTCTGTGGTCCTCAGGATAAAGACTGATAAGACAGCCAGTGATACAGGCAGAAATTTTTTAAATTTTGATATGTCTTGTAAAAAAGCATTTGGAAAAAGTTTGGATAGAGGGATTAAAAGCTCTCCTGAGATTTAATTAAACTACACATGAGATGGGGAAGAAGAGGGAGCAGAGAAGGGAATACGTGAACTTCTTCTGTGTTTCTTGCAATTGATTTTCACATGTAGCACCTTCTAGGGCACTGAAAATCTCTCTGAAGGTGGGCACTGTTGTTATTTTATTCCCCAAATTAAGAAACTGCCTTGGAGAAGTTTGGTGACTGCTCATTGTTACTGTAATCAACAGCCACACAACTCCTTCTCTACCACACTAACGACAAAAGAAGACAACAAGCAAACCGGAGTCGTTGAGTGACAGCAAGCGCATCTACAAAGCACTGTGTGGCTTTTCAAGGACCTTCTCACACTCTCTCTTGCTTAACATACAAGAATATAAATCAGAAGTTCATTTTTCGAAACATCATCCTTCATGGACACACAGCCAGTGAAGGCAGATGCATGGCACAGGCCCCAGTGGCAATCTCTAAAGGTAAAAAGTAGAAAGAGATGTGGCATCATTACATCCCGGGAGGGCGTGGATCTCAATAACAATCAATGTTAGTATTGTTGGAGCCAACAGTGACTGAATGCTTAAGAATATCAAGCATTCTTTTTTTCTTTTATTTTAGGTTCAGGAGTAGATGGGTTTGTTATAAGGTAAACTCATGTCACGGAGGTTTGTTGTACAGATTATTTCATCACCCAGGTACTAAACATAGTATTTGATAGGTATTTTTCCTGATTGTCTCCCTCCTCCTGCCTTCCATCCTCAAGTAGGCCCCAGGGTTTCTTGTTCCCCTCTGTGTGGCCATGTGTTCTCATCATTTAGCTCCCACGTTTAAGTGAGAACATGCAGTATTTCGGTTTCCATTCCTGTGTGAGTTTGCTAAGGAAAATGGCCTCCAGCTTCACCCATGTTGCTGCAAAGTGCATGATCTTGGACTTTTTATGGCTGCATAGTATTTCATGGTGTCTATGAATCATATTTTCTTTATGCATTCTACCGTTGGGGATTTACGCTGATTCTGTATCTTTGCTATTGTGAATAGTGCTGTGATGAACATACATGTGCGTGTATCTTTATGCCAGCATTCTTAACAGTGACTTTGTGTCATGAAATGTGCCAAGGGCTTAACAAGCAACATCTTACTTAAATCCTCAAAACAATCCCATGGAGGCAGATATGACCATGAATCTCATTATCTGGATAAGGAGCTGAGGCTCAGTTAAGTGTCTAGGGTTACATGGATAGAACAAGACAAAGATAGAATTCGAACCCAGGTCTCTGGATATCAAAGCTGGTGTTCTTATCCACTGCACTCAATCCCCGTGGAAGAAACAGAGTAATTGGCCGAAGTCTGACACACTTTGTTCTTTGGCACCTGACCTGGCACCGCATGGATGCTCTAAGGTGGTTCCTTGGTGAGGAGGGTCACGTATAAGATCAGCGAGTGTTGAGGAGCAACTGGGGGAAAGGAACCAAACTCTGTCACAGAGAGTCAAGAGAACAGGTCAGATGGAACAGACAATTCTGAGAGGAGAAAGGAGATCCATGAGCAATGATGCCCATCTGAGACCTTTACAACTTAAGCACCAGATGAATTAGCTGAGCCACCTCCCCAGTTTTTGTTACACCTTACAGTTGCTTAAGGTAGCAACTCACGCTTTCATTCAACAGTGATTTTTTTCCCCTGCATGTTGGGCACTGTATTAAGCCCTGGGAATAGAGCAGGAAATAAGACCGAATCCCTGTTTCATTAAATTTCCATGTGGCATGGGAGATGACAGACATTGAAAATTAGGATGTAAGACAATGTCACGTAGTGTAAGGGCCATGAAGATAAAATAACACAAAGTGAGAAATAGAGTGAGATGGGAGTCAGAGTATTTGTTTTCAACTTTTTGTTAAGTATAACAAACACATACAGAAGTGCACCAGATAAAATTTAAGCTTACTGTATGTTAACACATTGAACACAAAAAATGTTACAAGCACCTGGGTCAAGAAATAGAAGATAACCATTTCAGAAGCCACACGTGCCCCCTTCAAGCCACAACCTCAAAGGCATGGGAAGTTCTCATGGAGAAAGCAACATTAGAACAGAGACCCAAAAAGGGGAAGAGAACAGTGAGCCATGTGGGTAGTAAGAGAAAGAGAGTATTCCAGGCAGCGCGAAAAACAAGTGCAGAGAACAAATGAATGGAAGGCAGTTCAGCAATACCAAGAAAGCAACTGTGGCTGCATCAGAGCAGATGGATGCATAGATAAATGGATGGAAGGACAGAAGGAAAGGAAGATGGAGAGATGAGTAGAGGGATGAATAGACTTTTGGAAGGAAGAAGGGGAGGGAGGGATTACAGATGGAGGGACCAATGAACAGAGAGGTAAGAGATAATATCAGAAGAAAGGTAAGCAACAGATGAAATCAAGCTTCGAAATAAAGAGCTAGGATTTTATTCTAATAGCATTAGGATACCATTGAGTGATTCTTAGCTAGAAATGGTATGATCTCATTTGCATTTTCAGAACTTAAGTGGAGGACAGACTTAAGGGGTAGGGCAAGAATAGCTCTTTACCCCTGCGATGAAAAAATTATATACACTCCCCAAAAACTTTTTATGAAGCATGTGAGATAGAAGAGTCCAGAGCTGCTCTGGTTTGAAACTTGCCAGAAAGGCACTGCAGCCTTGGAGAGCCTCATAGGCAGCCCAAGGGCCTGGTCAATGCTATGGTTCCCGAGTGGTCAAGCTGGAGAAGGTGAAGTGCAGCACACCAGTATGCTCTCAAGCAAAATTCTGCAGAGTCAAAAGTTCTGCTTTCATTACCTCCAGGCCTCTCCTTCTGGGTCATTTCTCCACTCAGCACTCTTCTCAACCCCTCAGACACTCAGCAGTCCTCTGCTCTCTAGCCCCCAACTTGACCCAGAAACACAAGAATCTGATGTGGCAATTTGCCTGGAGCCTGAAACTCTTCACATCAGTGTTTGGACAATCTCAGTGTTTGCAGTTTAAACCTCATCTCCTTTAGCATGCAATGAAATGCCTGTCTCCAGTTGGAAATTCCAGGCCATCAGAAATAGGAAATGGAGAAATTTGCAGATAGAGGAAGGCCTCACCATTCTTTTTGCCTCTAAACTGATAATTTATCCCCAACTGCTCTGGATGTTAACTGACCTGGTGAAGAGATGTTTTCTGCAAGAGCTTCCATCTGATGAGTTCCCACTCTTCCTCCCCTAATCTAGCCTTCTCTCCACTAGCCTTGGTCCCAGGACACCTCTCCCCCTGACCAAAACCCACATCACCAGCTGCCTCCCCCAGGCAGCCTCCCCTGCTTCACCAGGCACCCAAGGCAGGTGAGGGGCAGAGAGAAGATATTCAAGGACTCTAGAAGTAGGAAACTAAGGAGGGGTTCTGGCAAAATGGGCACCAAAAGCAGCACTCTGATCCTCAACCCAGAGCCACCAGTGGGGAGAGGGACAGGGTAAGGGAGCCAAAGCACGAAATGAGAACGCAGGCCTGTGTTTCAGAGCATGGGAGGAGGCAAAATTAATGCTCATTAGAGAGACAGAAGCAGCAAAAAGGTGCGAGTGGAAAACCTCGGGTTGTCTGCATAATCAATGCTAATCACAATCTTTTATGGGAATTGTTTCCCATTTTATTCCTAATTACCACTCACTACAACAACGATAAAGCATATCACTAAATATAATCTCGAATTAACTTTGTGGTAAGTTCCATTTGATTATAACAGCCCAAGGAGTGATTACAAGGTACAGAGTGGTCCCAGAATTAACTCCTCAAATGCATGCCCTTTACTGGTGGCCCAGCTCAGATGGACCAGCTCTGAGCATTCACTTCTGCATGTCGTGATTGCGCGCCCTGGATTTCCTCCATCCCACACATAATGGAAAGGTTTGTGTGCCCTGGATTTCCTCCATCCCACACATAATGGGAAGGTTCCCACTTCAGAATACCCTATCCCTACTGCCCTTGTGGTCATTAAAATACTGGGCAAACCGCAATTCCTAATTTTGATTCAGAAGTGTGATCATCCAACTTGGGCAATGTGGGCTGACAGTCAAACTTTAAGAAGTCTGAGAAACAGCAAGTCAGGGTGGCCCAGTTGTCATTGGAATCCTTGTCTTCCCTCACCTAGGCTCAGAATGGGTTCCTGTCATTGGATAAGAAGCAGCTGCATTTATGCTATCCTAGGTCAGTGATGAGGTGTTGACTCTTCCCTGCGATTGGCACTTAGAGACCTGCACAGTCCATGTCAGCAAAATCCAAGAACATGAGGTCCCTTCTCCCCAGTAAGGCATGCACATATTAACTGGAGGCCAAAGCATGGGATTACCAGTCCTAGTAAAGGGAAGTCTGTTTTGACAGCACCATCACCAGGAGTCTTGCTGGATGTCCAGAGGGAGATGCCTTGCTGCCGAGGCACTAGCTAAAAGAATCGCAGTCTGACCCCATCCAGCCTGGGGCGTTTTGTGGCCAGCAGAGATCGCCTCACCAGAAATCAACCGTTGTGCAAGTTGAATCTGGTCTGTGGGTATTATTCAATACGAAAAGCCACACAGCCATATATGTGGGCCCCACGTGGGCCTCAGTAACTCTCTGCAGCTGCCAACAGCTGGAGCCAACTCCTTCTGTGCTTCCCCCACCATGGTTCACTGGCCCATCATGAAGTGTTTTAATGCTGGGAAGACTCAGTTGATTTATAGCAGATAAAGCTAGAGAGGAAACATTGTTTATAACCTCCAGGGATAGATATAATATGATTATATCATGCTATGATGACTATCATTTATTAAGGGCCTATTTAGAGCCTGTAATGGGCATGGGGGTGGTGCATTTGGCCTAGACGCCATCTCTTCAAGAGCTGTGGAGCCAGAATTTGAGGTCACCCCGAATGAGGCTATTTATATATTCTAGTATGTTTGTTAAAAGCATTCATCTGTCCAAAATAAACACTTAAAATATAACAATTTTTGCAACAATTTGGGGATGTTTTTATTTTTTAAGCATACCTGGAGGCTCAAAAATGTGAATTAGGTCGGGCCTCTGGAAAGCCAAGAGTTCCTGAGCCTGTCACGTAGTAAATGCGTTAATCATTTAATGCACTTCTCGGCATTTTAGGCGTATTATTTCTAATTCTCAAACATAATTTCAAGGTGAGTATTATCATTTCCATTCTACAGCTAATATTTAGAGGTAGGTATAATTATTTCTATTATACAGTTAATGTTGAGGGGTGAATATTATCATTTATATTAAACAAATGAGATTATGAGGTAGGTAATATTATTTCTAATATGTAGATAAGGTTGGGAGGTGGATATTATCATACTTATACAGATGAGGAAACAGAAACCTAAAAAGTCATAGAAGTTTGCCTAAGAGCTTACAGTTTGGACAGGCGAAGCCACCAGAACTACAGACAGCCCAGAGTGGGGTGTGCTAGCTCAGTTGCCAGAAAGCTGCTTGTACAGGTGGGGGTCATGTAGCCCTGTAGAAAAAGGATGTCCTCCTCTAACAAGGAAAACACCTCTAAACCCCTACAGAGGCTTCATAGCAGCCAGCCTGTGTCTTTTCACATGTGCTCCCATGAGTCAGCACTGCACAGGGACTTCTCTGCTGCCTCCATCACCCCCAGCACCTGTCACAGAGGAGTTCCCCTAATGCATGGGATGGGCCCTGGGCTTTCAAAGCAATTTTGAAAAATGAGTCTGAAATGGTGCATGTCAAGGTTGCAGACAGTGATGCTTCAATGACAAGCATCCGTAATAACGTGACAGCACAGCTGCTAGGCTAAGCCAGAGAAGCTCAGAAACCTCTCTCTCATTTCCGGGAATCCTCCGAGTCTGAGCATTTCCTGCAGATTGTGGCCAAGGCCCCGGTCCCAGAGTTCCATGAACCAGCACCTCACCATATTAGACAGAGGCAGCCCCCACTTCAAAGCTACAGCAGGACAGTGACTGCTTTTCCACGCTGCATGCCACAGGAAGTGACACACTCCTGAAAAGGATACAGGTCCAAGTCTCCAGTCACAGTGATGAAGCAGGCCTTGCACGTTTGCAGGGCCTCGACTCTGATGTTTGCCATCTACTACTCAGGTTATCTCACTCCGTCCGTGTCGGGCCCCCAGGGAGTGAAGGAGCCACAGGTAGAGATCCAGATTTGCCTTTTGCAAGCTGTTCAATTTCAGGTTGGCCCAGAGTTACGAAGGTGAGGAACCAAGAGTACCTTTGCTTCTGTTTGTTGTTTGTTTGTTTGTTTTTAACCCTTTTATGTACGACCTGTTCCTCCAGCTTGCAGCAGCCTCTCTCACAACGCTCTTGGCAGGGGTTTTCTGAGGAACCAAAGTTTACCCAGAGATGTCCCAGAGCCACCTCGGAAAAAGCAGAAGAGAAAGTCAAGCAGCCAATTTTCCAAGGTGAGCAAAACACATTCAATCTGAGCACAGTCACTTGGATGTGTATTTTACACTGGGTTTTTGCATAAGATATTCTCTGCAGAAAGCGTTTCACTGCTGTTAAAAAATAATAAAGAAGAAATCGGAAGAATAAAGGAAACCCACTTAGAGGCCATCCAGGTCTGTCCCATTTAAAGAACTCTTTCCTGGGAGACAGAACTATTCTCCCTCGGGGGAAATGTAAACTGGCTTCCTAATTAGGCATCAAGACTTTAATTTGAAACAATCTCTTCCTAAGAACCAAGGGGTTTTGTTCTTTCCCATCTGACCATCCTCAGTAGGGCAGAGATCAAGGGGCAGAGACTCAGGTGCCTACAGGAGCCAGGCAGGAAATGCTCAGACAGAAGAGGCCTATGAGGTCTCTATTGAACTGAGAATTGCATTTTACATTCATCTCCAACCCCCTCGGGGGTTGCCTTGAGGAAAGGAGGGACAGTGATGCCAGAGCTTCTGATTTTGCAAGAGAAGTTGGAACTCCAACACTGTGTGTGACTTTTCCAAGGTTTAAGTCATGACAACTCTTCAAAAGAAAAAAAATCAAAACACTCTGTGGGCCAAACTACACATATCTGTGGCCCTGTGCTGCCAAGCTGAGGAGCTGGAACAGACAGACTGGGAAGTTTTGGGGGCAGCTAGAGAGAAGACAATATCCCCTCACCCTCCCCATTGTTACTCAGAAACAGCACGGTTGTATTCAAAGATGCTGACACCTACGAAAACACACTTGATAAGAGATCAGCAAACTTTTCCTGTAAAGGTCCAGGCAGTAAGTATTTCAGGTCTTGTGGGTCAAACGGTCTCTGCCACAACTACCCAAGTCTGCCTGACCACCAAGCAAGCCTCCCCTGCCTCTCACCTTTCCACCTGCCTTACCCTCTGTTTCATGCCCGGCCCTCCCTCTATACCAGCCCACCCTGCACCTGCTCAATCTCTTCTCCTCTTTTGTCTCCCAATGTAAATGTCTCTTCTTCAGGGAGACCTTCCTCAGCCTCTCCCTCTCCTGGACTAGATCAGAACCCTGGTTATCACTGATCTCTCATAGCTACTCCCTGTGCTGTTCTTACCCAGTGATGAACACACTTTGTTTTTATATCTTTCAGTAATTTTTTTTAAAAATAACCTCTGTTCCAGTCTACTCTGTAGGCTCCAAGAGAGCAAAGGCTGTAGTTTTTGCTTTCCACTGTGAATACCTAATTCTTAGTGACGCACCTGGCCCATGGGAACCACACAGGTATGTATGGACCTGGATAAATTAATCCACAGCACCATGTGCCACTGATGACTACCTGAAGCATTTGTCAGAAACACAGGAGTTCCCCTGCCACCTTCACCTTGGACTCCCTTGTGGATTCCCGCCCCATGTCCTCGCCTGGCTGAATTTGGTGTTGCTCCTTGGTTGCTCTCATACCTGATCCCAGACCTTCTCTAACCTTCCACCCCTAAGCTTTGAGTGAAGTCACTTCCCTTCTCTTTTCCATCCAGACCTGACCCAACGCTGGTTAATGGCTCCACCACACTCCCCCCGCCACCATGCAGGTCCTCCTTCCCTAGCGATGCTGAATCCCACACACCCCCTCTAAAACCCAGCACCGTGCCCTAGGGCTTCAACTTCAACATCCACAGCAACCCCATGACTAAAGGAAGAATTGTCCATTTTACAGATAAGAAAATATGAGTTTCCAGAGGTAAGGTAGATTTAGTGTTTAAACTTAAGGCTCTGTGAGTTCAATGCCAATTCCTTGTTTTCTCAGCTCAATGTCAGGCAAGAAGAGCAAGAAATAATGCCTGACATCAAAGGAGCTTAAAAACCCAATATGAGTGACCTACAAGTTTTATAGTTGTAGTGTGCTATGCTTGTATATTTAAAATCATCACCCCTTCATCTTAGCCCATCTGATTAACCTTTGTGCCTACTATGACATATAGTTAACAAATAATTGTGTTTCAAGTGAGCCTGAGGAAATACGACCTGGTACCTCCGCCGTGATAACAACAGAAGTAGTAGTGATAGCAAACATAGTAGCTAACATTTATCTAGAGCTTTCTATGTGCCAAGGGGCATTCTAATCTCTTTACTTATGGTGGTGTGTTGAATAGTGTCCCCTAAATATTCATGTTCACCCAGAAACTCAGAATATGGCCTTATTTGGAAACAGTCTTTGTGGATTCGGTTAAGTTAAGGATATGGAGATGATATCATAGAGGATTTTAGGATGGCCCCTAAATTCAAAGACTGGCATTGCTATAAGAAGAAGAGAAGACACAGACATCCAGGTAAGAAGACCATGTGAAGATGGAGGCAGAGATAGGAGTGATGCTGCCACAAGCCAAGGAATGCCAAGGCTTGCTGGGAGCCATCAGAAGCTGGAAGAAGCAAGGAGGGATCCTCCCCTAGAACCTCGAGGCAGCACTGCCCTGCCCACACCTTACATTCAGAGTTTTGGTCTCCAGAACTGTGAGAAAATAAATTTCTGATTTGTTTTTTTGTTTGTTTGTTTTTTGTTTTTTTGTTTTTTTTTGTTTTTTTTGAGAGGGAGTCTTGCTCTCTCACCCAGGCTGCAGTGCAATGGCATGATCTCAGCTCACTCCAACCTCCACCTCCCAGGCTCAAATGATTCTCCTGCCTAGGCCTCCTCAGTAGCTGGGATTACAGGTGCCCACGACCACACCTGGCTAATTTTTGTATTTTCAGTAGAGACGGGGTTTCACCATGTCAGTCAGGCTGATCTCAAACTCCTGACCTTGGGATCTGCCTGTCTCAGCCTCCCAAAGTTTTGGGATTACAGGCATGATCCACTACACCTGGCCAAATTTCTATTGTTTTAAGCCACACAATTTGTGGTGATTTGCATCCCTAGAAAATGAACACACTTGCTCTGTGTCATTTACTTGTCACAATAACTGTATGAGGGAGGTATCATTTTCCCTATTTTACAAGTGAGGACATTGAGATTCAGTGTGGTTATGTGATTTGCATGAGCCCCTCACTAATGAATTGTTGGGCTGGCTTTGAATCCAGGTGGTCACTCTCCAAACCCCTGTGGCTACAAGTGGCCACCGACAAGTTTTCCCAGGCTTCCCCAGACTAGAGCAGAGTCCCACACCCATTCAGCCTCATTGCCAGTCTCCGTACTGTTTTTTCCTGGTGACTAACACAATCTACAAGGGAGAAATTTCTCTTTGGCAAAATCCTACCTTTGGGCTCTTCTGCCCTGCTGGGTTCTCCAGCACATGCCGTGGAGATTTGCCGTGTGGTGCTGTGATCTGGCTTGACTTTACTCCTTTGCTCTCCAAATAGAAGAGTTCAATAACTCAGTGGCAGCCTGTCTACCCTCAACTGGAATTTAAAGCACAGATGTCGATCATCATCAAGCCTCTCCTCTTCCTGCTACCTTTCCTCCTCCTCACATCACAAAAAGCCCTTCTTGTCAGATGGAGGGGAGGACCACAGAACAGGAGGATCGTGGAAAAATGGAAAACTCCTTGGCACATGCCGCTTAAGGTTTCAGCTCAGAGCATCAGCCGCCCAAAACAGGCCTTCCTCCAGCTTCCAACCGAGGGGTCAGGAGGGGCAAAGTGAACATGGTAATTTTTCTAAGTGTCTTATTAAATCTTTGTCAAGTGGCTGAACATCTGCTCTCTTTTCTGCTTGTGTTTGGAGGAGCAGATCTAGCCCAGAATCACAGGGTTTCAAGGGACCTCAGTTCATCTATAATCATACCAGAGCCTTCCCTCAGGCCCTTGCCAAAGCAATTAGCAATCCTGCTTTTAACCAATTAGGCCCATCTTTTCAGATCCCTGTGGCAGAGGCTGCCTTCTCCCTCCCGGCTGCCTGGCCTCCGAGGAGGCTATTTCAAAAGGCACAATTTGAACCAATTACACTTGTCTTGTTATTATAATCATTAATCATCATCACTCTAATGACAACTAATAGACTACTACAAATCCCGTTCTAGAACATGATGGGGACCTACATAAATAAAGAACAAATATTTTGTAGAGTGCTTCCAGGTTTTTCCGAGCCCTTTAACGTTGATGATCATGTAGGGTCTTCAATACTGTAAGGTGGGTTATCAATGTGCACATAAATAGCAGCCTTACGCCAGTTCTCAAGTCACTTAATCAGGCCATAGCCAATAAATAAGTCATAAAGAGCATTGGTTAGAAACAAAAGAGAGGCCTACAGTGTGGGGTGGTAGACAGAGAAAAAAGCAATCTTGGGACGCCTTATATCTGCATGATGATTTTCTATACTCTAAGCCCAGGTTTCTCATCCTGTCCCACAGAATTGTTGTAAAGATGCAACAACATGGCACTTAGAAAGCACGTAACACAATGCTTGTCAAATTTTCACCACAATAATGATAAGGAATAATTATTTTTTCAAGGCAAATAACATTTTAATGCAATGATTTTAAAACATCAGAATGGAAAAAATCCATGATGAACAAGATATCAAAATGTTAAACAAAGACAAGTCCCCATCTGGCACATGCACGGCTCGCCTCATTCCCCTCACCCTCATCCTAGCCCTGGTTCGATCACCCTAGTGGTCAGTGGATGGCTTGTGGTGTGATGGGGAGAGTGTCATACTAGGGAAAGGCCTGAGTTTGAGTTCTGCTGATGCTATTTACTTGCTGCAGGTTCTCAAGCCATTTACCCTTGCTGAGCCTATCCAAGTAGACAAGAAGGCCTATTTCTCTTCTGGGATTCTTGTAGGTAATGATATGAGCAAAAATATACAACTCTTTTTTTGGAAACTTGAGGTCTCATTCAGCTGTTGTATGCGTTTAATGGACATAGGGCTCCCAATCACCCTCCAGAGGTAACCCTTTAAGCCTTTTAGGAACCAGATAATGTTCTCAACCTTTCAGTCTATCTGCCCCCACTCTACCCCTTCCACAACAGAATGGACCTGCCCTTTGCCAGAGCTCAGCTCCCATGCACCTGCCAAGGTTTGCCATAGGCCAGATCTTCACTGTGCTCCCTATTTTTAGCCAATAGGGAGGGGATGGAGGAAGGGTTGAATGTCTTCTCTGAGGACATTGCTTTTGAGTAAGAACAATTGTTGAGCTTGTGCAATGTGTTAAGCCTTTTGCTCTACCCGCTACATGTTTTGTCCCATTTAATCTTCACAGGTACCCTACAGATAGATGCCATTGTTCTATTGCTTTACTGTTGAAGTAAATAATGCAACATAAGTCAAGTGCCCTGCCCAAAACCATGTAGCTAATGAGCATGAGGTAAGCCCAAGCCATCTGGTTCCCAAACGATATCCAAAGCATTCAATACATGGTGTCTTTAGAGACAAGAATAAAATATATTACCTAGGAAAGGCAGAGGGGGTGGAGATAAGAGCTCAAGCAGAATGTGTTTATTGGACACTGGGGAGGAAGAGAAGAAAAAATATTAATGTTCATGGTGTGTTTTGGTCACCATGTGATGTGGCTTCCTATACCGCCTCTTTTAACTCTCACAACAGCCCTTCAAGGTGGTATTATCATCTCCATCCTTGAGATCAGGAAGTTGAGAACAGAGCAATGCTAACCCAATGGGGTAGAGCTAAGTCTCAAGCCCCATTCGCTTTTGCCTGTAGCCCATGATCTTCCGCTAATGTTTCCCAGGCGGTATAGCACTGTCTGACCTCCTTCTCAGCACGGCGCCTGAGTCCTGTGGCTGACTGACTGGCTCTACTACAAAGTCTTGTTTTCCACCAAACTTCTGGCTACATAATAATTAGCATGTTGACATAAAAACCCTAGAAGAAAACCTAACCAATACCTTTCAGTACATAGGCATGGGCAAAGACTTTATGGCTAAAACACTGAAATCAATTGCAACAAAAGCCAAAATTGATAAATGGGATCTAATTAAACTAAAGAGCTTCTGCACAGCAAAAGAAACTATCATCGGAGTGAATAGACAACCTACAGAAGGGGGGAAAATTTGTGCAATCTATCCATCTGACAAAGGGCGAATATCCAGAATCTACAAGGAACTAAAAAAAATTTACAAGAAAAAAACAAACAACCTCATCAAAAAGGGCACAAAGGATATGAACAGACACTTCTCAAAAGAAGACATTTATGCGGCCAACAAATATGTGTAAAAAATATCTTCATCACTGGTCATTAGAGAAATGCAAATCAAAACCACAATGAGATACCATCCCATGCCACTTAGAATGGCGATCATTAAAAAGTCTGGAAACAACAGATGCAGGCGAAGATGTGGAGAAATAGGAATGCTTTTACACTGTTGGTGGGAGTGTAAATTAGTTCAAACATTGTGGAAGACAGTGTGGTGATTCCTCAAGATCTAGAACCAGAAATACCATTTGGCCCAGAAGTCCCATTACTAGGTATATACAAAAAGGATTATAAATCATTCTACTATAAAGACACATGAACACTTATGTTTATTGCAGCACTATTTATAATAGCAAAGACTTGGAACCAACCCAAATGCCCATCAATGATAGATTGGATAAAGAAAATGTGGCACATATACACCTTGGAATACTATGAAGCCATAAAAAAGAATGAGTTCATGTCTTTTGCAGGGACATGGATGAAGTTGGAAACCATTATCCTCAGCAAACTAACACAAGAACACAAAACAAAATACCACATGTTCTCACTCATCAGTGGGAGTCGAACAATAAGAACACATGGACACAGGGAGGGGAACATCACACACAAGGGTTTGTCAGGGAGTTGGAGGAAGGGGAGGGAGAGCATTAGGACACATATCTAATGCATGCAGGGCTTAAAACCTAGATGATGGGTTGATAGGTGCAGCAAGCCACCATGGCACATGTACACCTATGTAACAAACCTGCACACTCGGCACATGTATCCCAGAACTTAAAGTGAAATTTAAAATAATAATAATAATAATTAGTGTGTTGATTTCTTCTGGTTTTCATAGAATGGTCTTCCATCTTGAAGAGCAGCCAAGTAACAGGACTGGCCTCAGGTTATTATCTGCCTATCCAGCATAAAGCACTCAACAACCCACATACACCAGAAGCAACAGCAAACTTGATCGCTCCCTTCCCTCCTAATCCATATTCAGTCCCTTCCATAGTACTCCCAGTTCTGCCTTTATGCCTTTTCCCTACTCTCATTATGTTTTTCACATGTTTTCCAGCTGCCATCCAGCCAATACACTTAAAGAGGAAAATGCAACAGAGGAGTTAAGAACTGGAAGCTTTGAAGAAACCAACACTAAATTCAAAGCCTGGCTCAGGCCTGTACCTCTCTGGGCCCCAGTTTTCTCACCTGTAAAATGGATGTAATATTACCAACATGATAGAACAATTGAGGAGATCAAATGAGATAATGCATGAAAAGGGCTTAGCAGGCCAGGTGTAGTGGCTCATGCCTGTAATCTGATCACTTTGTGAGGCCAAGGTGGGCGGATCACTTGAGATCGGGAGTTCAAGACCAGCCTGGCCAATATGGTGAAACCCCCGTCTCTACTAAAAATACAAAAATTAGCTGGGTTTGCTGATGTACACCTGTAATCCCAGCTACTCAGGAGGATGAGGCAGGAGAACTGCTTGAACCCGAGAGGCGGAGGTTGCAGTGAGCCGAGATCGCGCCACTGCACTCCAGCCTGGGTGACAAAGCGAGGCTTTGCCCCAAAAAAAAAAAAAAAAAGAAAGAAAAGAAAAGAGTTTAACACAGTATACAACAGAGAATAAGCACTTATAAGCATTTGGTAATAAAAACTAGCCTTAGATAATGTGTCCATCTTGGCAAGTCCAGTCCCTGGAATTTTTCTTATTCTATCTAGGAGTTCAGTGAGGAAATTTTCTCTTCCCATCTCACAAGAGTATCTGGCCTCCATGCCCTCTCTCTTCCATGAGGTTGGCCTGACTGTGATTAACCTCTCCCCAGTCTGATCCTGTACATGTAAGTCTAATTTTTTATCTGCTACATAGATGTGAACTGCACATCCTCAGAGAATGAGGCCTATGCAGGAGTGATGGCTTTATCTGATTGGAGTCAGCCTGGTTAGGAACTAGATATTCAGAGCCTGATGCTTTGGGGAAGAGTACTGCTATGCACAGAATGCTCTCATAAACAAAGCTGTAAAAGCACCAGCCATAGGGCAATTCAAGCACCAGACATAGGGCAACTCTCAAAGCCCAGAGCTTAAGTCTGGGAGAGTCTTCTGGATTCATTCTGGTATCATTCTCATATGCCAATATGTATATAGGTGGGCCCAGTGACTTATGCCTGTAATCCCAGCACTTTAGGAAGCCGAGATGGGAAGATCGCTTGTATCTGGGAGTCCAAGACCAGCCTGGGCAACATAGTGAGACCCTGTCTCTACAAAAAATAAAAAATGAGCCAGTGTGTGGTGGTAATCCCAGTTATTCAGGAGGCTGAGGCGAAAGGATTGCTTGAGCTCAGGAGGCTGAGTATGCGGTGAGCCATGGTAGCGCCACTGCACTCAGCCTAGGCAACGGAGTAAGCTCCTGTCTCAAAAACAAAAGTATGTCAGTGGTGGAGTTTTTAGAGAAACTTCCCATGATGAAAAGGACACAGAATTGAGTTACTCTAAGAAATGTGACCAATACACCTCTCTCTGCTCAAGAGCCTCCGGTGGTTCCCAGCTGCCCATTGCAGTGCTCCACAAACATTTTGGCCTCCACACTCTTTTGCAATCTTAAAAAATATTAGGCCAGGCGCAGTGGCTCACTCCTGTAATCCCAGCACTCTGGGAGGCTGAGGCGGGCAGATCACAAGGTCAGATCGAGACCAGCCTGGCTAACACGGTGAAACCCCGTCTCTACTAAAAATACAAAAAAAAAAAAAAAAAAAAAAAATTAGGCAGGCGTGGTGGTGGGCACCTGTAGTCCCAGCTACTTGGAAGGCTGACGCAGGAGAATGGCGTGAACCAGGGAGGCAGAACTTGCAGTGAGCCGAGATCACGCCACTGCTCTCCAGCCTGGGTGATAGCACAAGACTCCGTCTAAAAAAAAAAAAAAAAAAAAAAAAAAAAATATATATATATATATATAGAGAGAGAGAGAGAGAGAGAGAGAGAGAGAGAGAGAGAGAGAGATCCCCACTCCTACATAGGTTTTGTTTATACAGGTTATATCTACCAATATCTGCCATTAGAACTGAGAAATTTAAAAATATGTATGCATTTAAAAAGAACAATCATAAACTTTAAGTGGCTCTTTACCCACGCATGATTTTGTTACACCATGCATTGGTCATTAAAAAGCTATTGGCTCAATGAGTTATGCAGCTGTTCCAAATGTTGAGACGTTCCATTATATAACACTAAATATTTTAACATCAGGCAGTTTTTTGTGAGTACACTGTAGGAAAAGAGTCAGTGATTTGCAATGCAGTTGGGTACCATTGCTTTGATTTGTGCAAAAGTGACAGCCATTTAATCAGTTTTGCTTTTACACCACCAATACAAGTATCCACACAGATGAAGAGACAAATAATGAATTTATATTATCATGAAAAAAGTTTTGACTTAATAGGCCCACTCTGAAAGGGTCTCAGGAACTCCCCACCCCCACCCCCCATGGGTTCTGCAGACCACAGTTCTAGTACTTCTGGAATCAAATCAGTAGTTAAGAATTTTGGCTTTGGTTTCAGGCACAGGGTAGCATGAATCAAAATTCTTCCACAGGCTAACTGAATAACCTTGGATAAGTCGCCTGACCATTTTGAGCCTCAGTTTCCTCTCCCTCTGTAAAATAAGAATAAAGATAGTACCTATCTCATAGGACTGTGATGAGGATCACATAAAATATTCTATATAAAGAGCTATATAGTACCTGATACAGAGTAGAGTACCCAATAAATGATATATACATTTTAATTTAGCAAATTCTTATAATATAGGTGCTAATGTGGGATAAAATGTGTAAAATAAGGGGAGAAAGGCAGACCATTTAACTTTGTCTATTGAATATGTAAGAACATGCTATCTCCCTCATTCTGTTTCAGGATCCTGAAGGAGAGAAATGGGCTAAGCACGTTGCTGAATTTACACCCATTATCAGGTGGAAATGCATCTTATTTATCCTAAAGAGACTATCAGTGTTCATATGTAGCTAATGCTCATTATCAAATAAAAAGTAAGTAGCAACAAAAAGCAGTAATTTAGCTCAAACATGCATTTTCATTTGGATATGAATCTTTTTCAGGTTTTCCATCTTTTGTTACGTTAACCATTCATCTGTTACACCTAACTGACACTAATATTGCCTTCACATGCTGAGGGGAGACTTTAAATTTAAATACGGTACTCAAACTTCCTAGAAGTCTCCTTTGCTATAAAAAAGAATATGCTTTATTCTTTAGAAGTCAGATCAAAGTAAAGAGCAAACCTTCCCTTAAAAAACCAGCAGCAACTTCTTCCAGCAAAGGCAGTCATGTATATCTCTGCACAGCTGCAAAGCAAGCTAACAGTATATCTGGTTCAGTATAAGAAAGGCAGAATTATGAGCCTGCCTGGATGATGGAATATAGAAATGCTGCTTTTCAATGCCTCTACAGGGGTACCTGTTAGCTGCTTCCTCCTAATCCAGACTCCTAACCCTTGCACACTTAACCTGCTGCTTACCCTACTCAAGGCGCTGTGACTCTTTGTGGTCCTGTCTGTGGCTCTGGACCTCCTTCTTGCTGAGTTGACTGCAAGCTGCTTTATTTGCCTCTTCAATCATCCAGCATCCCCCCTAGCAAAGGAAAACCTGTACCCCTCAGATGAGTTGTGAGAGAGTCAGCACCAAGGACAAAAGAAGAAAACTGAAGTTACTTTTGGAAAATGATTCAGCCTTAACCTGACCTAGACAGAGATGTCCCACATGGGACCATCACTAGGAAAGGAACACAACTCCATCGCTCTCATAAACAAAGTTGTAAAAGTGAAATGTTTGGGCAGGGACAAATCCACAACTTTACCTCATTCTACCACTCACAGGCAGGCTTCTCCAACTGGCAAAATATTCCTGGCTTCCCCAGCTCCAGGGTGCTCAGAATTCCCTGGGAAGCTTGCTAAAATGCAGATTCCCTGGCCCTGTGCCTCAGGTGATGCCAATGCAGACCTGCCAGGACCCCCTTAAGATGTCTTTTCTACCAGCCTGGATTTCCCAGCTAAACCAGTTAGAGGATTTCTAACCACCTTGATTTCTTTCCATTGCCACTATTTATGTCTTCTTTCATTTAAAAAACACTTATCAATCATATATGGCAAACATATATATAATACAATATATGACATATAATAAACTACTTTCATCAAGCTTAAATTCTAATTAAATGAATCACACAAATAAACAACCTATGTGATATATTCAAATGCTCAGAGCAGCTTTGTTCATAATACCTAAATAATGGAAACAATCCAAATGTCCGTCAACAGAAGACAGAGAGATAAACTGTGGTCTATCCACACAATGGAATAGTATTCCACCATAAAAAGAAACCAAGTGTTGATACATGGCACAACATGAATAAACCTTGAAAAAATTATGCTGAGTGAAAAAAGCCAGTCACAAAAAGACCACATATGTTATGATTCCATTTATAAATAATGCACAGAAGAGGAAAATCTATAGATACAGACAGTTAACCAGCAATTGCCAGGGCTAGGGAGTTGGGACAGATACGAAGTGATTGCAAGTAGGCATGAGAAATCTCTTTGGGTGCTATAAGTAGATTGTGGTGACATCTTTAGACTTGTGTGTCACCAGCAAATACAGGTTATGCTCCATATCTCTTTGTGTTGGGCCTCAGGAGTAGACAAGGCCATGGCACAGGGCTCAAAACGGCCATAGGAAAAAGCTGGAGTTAAGGATGGTGTGAGAAGGAGGTGGGTGGGCGCAGAAGGCCACATGCTGACACCTCCATCAACCCACATTTCACGGAGGAAAGAACAGGGAACTATCAGAAACGAGACAGAACAACCAAATGGCCATAACGTCAAGTCCCTAAATCATCCAAAGTGTGTCCTCGTCTGGGGCAGTATAATGACACAAGAATTAAGAGTCAGAGGTAGCTAACATTTAACAAACCCATCCTATGTGTTAAGCCCTGTCTTAAGCTTTCTGTGTGCATGAACTCATGTAATCATCACAGCCACTCTGTGACATAGGTATGAATGAAAGAGGTTTCTGTAATATACAAGTCAGGGTCCTGGCAGAACAAAGATGGCCCATTCAAATGAGGCCAGTGATGAAAGCTTAATAAAGGGAGTTTACAAAGGTATACGCAGTGCCCCAGGAACTAACAGGTGCTGGTGCAGTACTCCACAGCTAGTGACAGCAGGAAGTCATCACTCCTTTGGGTTTGAAAGAGCTTGCAAGTAGACGGATGGGGACCGGCACCTGAATGGAGAACCATCCAAAGAAAAGGGATGCAACCAACTCACAGTGACCCGGAAGAAAGGAAATGGGAAACAAATACCTCGACCTAACTCTCTTCCCTTTCTTCAGTTTTCTTCTGACAACTTCCATTGACAAACCCATTTGGACACCACAGGATAAGGAAGCCCATTGCTACAGCCTATAAGTCAGCCTCCTATACACAAAGATGGATGGACAAGGATAGAGAATGAATCTGGAGGAATAAATGGAAAACATCCCATGTCATATCAGCATCATTCACTCTTGACAAATAGGGAAACCAAGGTCTGAAAGAGTTAAGGGATGTGCCCACGGGCATACTTCTAGAAGGTCAGAGCTGGGCTAGGAATCCAGACATTCTAGTGGGTCTTAACCAACCCCTAGGCTTCAAGTGTTTCCCTGAACCCCAATCAGTGTGGAAAATGATCAGGACTCTCCAGGTTCCCAAGATTAGAGGAAACAACTGGGTCCCAGCACAAAGTGATCATCCAGAACCAAGACCAGGTCACATGACCGTATACTCCCCACACCTTCCAACTCCTGGATTTTTCAGTTATGTTGTACTCAGGCCTCATTTCCCATAGGACAAATGCAACCCAGGTCTGGGTATCAACTCTGTCCAGGTCACTGAATGTGGCTCAAACACAAATCATCAGGCATGAGGTTTTTGGTGGAAAATATTTTAGACTATTCTATGTGAGTGCTGTTTCTCTGCCACCTGCAGGCCTGCTGTGCCTGGGAACAGTTGGGGAAGCAAAACTCATGCCATCCCTGCTTGTCCTTCAGCCTTAGAGAAAGCACTGCTTGGGGAGATGCTTCAATTTGTATGCTAAAAATCTCTCCAACCCTTAAAGGAAAAGCAAAGTGCCTCTCCCTGCTCCGATTTGCCGCAACTTGCAGGACTGGTACTTGAAAAAATGGGCTATGGGGTCTGTGAGTCCCCAAATGGACTTGGTTGTGAGGGATCTCCTTCATGTGACTTCTCACGTCATACCCACTGGGTCTGTGGGGTCCCAGAGCTGTCCTAAGATGACCTGGTCCTGGAGACAGATGCCACCCAGGAGTCCCAGCTGGTGAGCTCCACCCCTTCCAGCCCAGGTGGCCCCTCAGGAGAAGAAGGTGAGGTGGGCATTGGGCAGTTTGGGGCATTGACTGAGATGACAGCTGAGCGATGGGGTTAATATGAAGGGACAAGCCTGTCTGCCACCCTGTTTGTTATCAAACAGTTCCTGCAGAGCACTGCAGTCACAGTGAGCACATCAATCCCAACACAGGCAGCCTTTCGAAGGTAGATGCCAGGCCTTCAATTGGCCAATGTACTATTGGTCAGCCCACCTATTTCATCCTTGACTTCTAGCTTTATTGTTCTGTGATAGGGAGGAAGGGGTTGCACTCCCTGTGTCCATTTCATCTGCCTTTGCTATTATGCACTGTGACAGTCTCTGCTCACAGCAGGTTGCAGAACTGAGCCAGTTTTATGATTGCTCTCTACCTTTTTCCCCAGTCTGTGGATCTTTCCATCCCAAATAAATCAATGTTACTATTTCTCCTTTCTCCCCCCATTCTTGGCAGGCTACTGCTCAGGCCATTTCTTTCAGATAATGAGCCAGGCAAACTTTCCTGCAGGGCCAGTGTGGGGCCCAGGCTGGGATGGAAACAAGGCTGCATGGTTCAAACCAGAGAGTTTCTGAGATGCTGCACAAACTGCCCTCTGTCTGGGCCAGTCATGGCCATTTCCCTTCCACGTGATGGAGGAGGAGGAGCATGGGACAGGGCAGGTAAGGGTGGAGAGAGCAGGTGCAAAACCATGCTTCATCCTAAGTCACCCTAAGTGGACTCAAGTCGGCTCATGGAGTGCACTGTCTTTATGTCAGGAGAGCTTCCAATACCATTTCCACTTCAGACATCAAAAGAAGGACTCTGGAAGCCATTTAGCTGAATGGTTTTCAAAGGAGAGACTTGTTTTTTAAAATAAACACTTATGCAGAATCCCAATATATAAAAGAGAGAAAGCACCATACTGGCTGATGTTGGAGAGAAAGCACCATACTGGCTGATGTTGGAGAGAAAGCACCATACTGGCTGGTATTGGAGAGAAGGGCTCAGGACCCTCCCCACTCTCTCTCCCCATCAACCCAAGAGGCCACCCAAGTGTCTTTGTGAAAACCCAGAGTTTTGCCGGTGTGGTTTGGAAACTATGAGCCAACCCTTTCACAGGGCTGAAATCTCCTTCTCAGCATTTCTGGTATGTTCCCAACTCCAGCCATTTGTGGCTGTCCCTCCAACACACATCCATGAATCTGTCCCTGCCTGGTACCGCTGCCCTCCTTGTAGTGCCTGATGCCAAGCCAGCTGGAGGCCTCTCCTCTACCCTCAGACCCTCCACCAGGTGCCTCATCGGAAGGACTGGCCCGCTCTGTGGCTATGCCCTCAGCCTTGTGTTCCCAGGCTCCCTGCCTGGTCTCTTGATGCCCAAGAAAGCCACCTTGACCTGCACATGGACAGGTTTTTTCCCCAGGGTGGGTAATTTCCCTATCTGCCTTCTTGGCATTGTAGCATGATGGTTAAGAGCCATAAGCTTCCAAGTCACACTACCCAGGTTCAAATCCTGACTCTGCCCTTTTCTAGCTACTCACTTTGGTGACCTTTGGCAAGTTATTTAACAGCTCCATGAATCAGTGTCCTCATCTGCAGAATAAGCATAGCAATCCTTCCAACTTTAGAGTTGGGAGATCCTGTATGTGGTCAATGTCCAGGGATGCTACTCTGTCACACTCATACTGCCTCTTGAGTCTATGACCCCAGACCTGGCACTCACAGCCCAGCTGGAGCTGGGACACCAGCCAGTTCCTCCACCCTGCTCCAGCATGCACATTTCAAACCACTCTGCCACCTGCTGGTAGTCTACACATGATCCAGGGGGAGCAAGTCAAGACAAAACTTTAACTCATGTTTATTTTCTTTTTTTTTTTTTTTTTTTTTTTTTTGAGATGGAGTCTCGCTGTCGCCCAGGCTGGAGTGCAGTGGCGCGATCTCGGCTCACTGCACACTCCGCCCCCCGGGGTTCACACCATTCTCCTGCCTCAGCCTCCCGAGTAGCTGGGACTACAGGCGCCCGCCACCTCGCCCGGCTAATTTTTTGTATTTTTAGTAGAGACGGGGTTTCACCGTGTTAGCCAGGACGGTCTTGATCTCCTGACCTTATGATCCGCCCGCCTCGGCCTCCCAAAGTGCTGGGATTACAGGCGTGAGCCACAGCGCCCGGCCAACTCATGTTTATTTTCTAAAAATCCGTTTAACAAATGTTTATTGAGCACCCATGTAATGCCATGAACTGTGCTATATATTAGGGATTCAATAGAGACTAAAGAAGACAAGACTGTTATCCTACAAAGCTAACATTTCAATGACTCTTTTTTTGTGATATTTCCCTAAAGGAACTGGAGGCAAGGGTTGATCCCAAGATCTGACAAAATACTCAAGAAAATGCTCAGCCGCCCAACCGTGTGTTGCACAGGTGCTTAGTGAGAGCCCCAAGGGTAAGAATCAAATAGAATCATCACCATAATTGTGGGCAGTGTTTTCTTTTCCTCTTGGGCAGAGAGCCTTCCATTAGGCACAGAGCAGTGAGGGTTGGGCACAGGACTGAGTTCGGGCTCATGGAGTATGGCCAGAAGTGACATGAGCTGCTTCCAGGCCTGGCCCATAGAAACTTCCTGCATGGCTGCTCCATGCTTTTCCCCCTTTCTGGCAGTCTTGAACAAAGAGTGCCCCCACGGCAACTTGGGAATCACCAAGGTAGGGAAGATAGCAGAACCACAAGACAGAAGGAGCCGGAGCCCTTGAATCACCACTTGGAAGAAAGTTGCTCAACCAGGAAAACTTTCATTGGAGCTTGACATGAGTGAGAAATAAACTTTGATATTTAGAGGTTATGTTTTACCATGGCTTATATGGTGTTAATGTACAGAAGTGGTGAAGGACCATGGAAAGAAACAGGAAGAAAATGAGAAAATGGGATGGACGATGAACAAGACAAGAATTCAGGCATCTTTTGTTGCTCTTATAACTTTTCTGTTCTCTAATGTTAAAACGTAAAGTGGTTTATTTTCCCTCTGAGTTCAGTAATAAAACATGTGCCACAAAAGGGGAGTATATGCCTGTGCCCACTGTCTCTGAAAAAGAAAATGTAACTTTAGTTTGACAGGATTTCTTTCACAGGAGGGGGAAAGAAAGAAAGAAAAGTACAAAGGAAATTCTCAAGCTAGTTGGAGAATCTAAAGACATAGTCTCAAGCACAGAGAGCACACTCAAGGAACTTGGAAGAAATATGAAGTTTCAAAGGCTGACCGCAGTCTCTGTCAAAGTTTCTGCAGTCTGACATCTCAGACTGCAGAGTCTCAGACCCAGCAAGAGGTCAGATGAAACCACCTAAATCACAGATGGGTTAACAGAAGACGAAAGCTATATCTTCTCAGTATGTAATCCAGGTTTAAGGAAGAACCTAAGCTAGCAAAACAGGTGTGATAAAATGAGATGTATCAGAAGGGATTCTCCTCCAAAATAACATTAAAACTGTTCTCAATAGGAGTTCCTTAGACCCTTAACATCAGAGTCACTGGGAATGCTGGTTGAAATGAAGTCTGTTTATTCTTAATAGTTAAAGAATAGAAAATACCTAAATGTCCATCAACAGGTGAATGGATAAACAAAGTTTGGTATATCCATACAAAAGAGTATCATTCAGCAATAAAAAAAGTGACAAACTGATACACACAATATGTGTGAATCTCAAAAACATTTTGGTGAGTCAAAGAAGCCAGACATAAAAGTACATACCGTATGTTTCCGGTCACGTGAAACTCTAGAAAAGACAACTTTAATCTAAAGTGACAGAAAACACATCAGTATTTGCCTGGGCAGGGAGAGTGGTGTGGAGAGCGAATGGGAAGTGGCACAAGAATGTGGGAACGTGTTCCAACTTGACTGTAATGGTGGCAACGTGGCTTTATAAATTTGTCAAAACTCATGAAAAGGTACACTTAAAATAGGTGTGTTTTACTGTATGTGAAGTATACCTCCACAAAGTTGATTAAACATTAAATCTTACAAAATGTAGACCTATTAAAAGCAACAATACTCCAGTAGCAATGAGCACACCTAGCACCCAGATGATGATTTCTAATACCAGGATGATTTCCAATACAAGGATTCTAGAATGGGAGCAGGAAGTATACAAAATGAGCCTGAGCTCATTGTAGTTCCAGAAAGTAAGGAAGTACTGAGAAAAAATAAATAAAATGAGTGACATGGTTTGGCTGTGCCCCTACCCACATTTCATCTTGAATTGTAGTTCCCATAATCCCTACGTGTCATAGTAGGGACCGGGTAGGAGTTAATTGAATCATGGGGGCAGTTACCCTCATGCTGTTCTCATGACAGTGAGTGAGTTCTCATGAGATCTGATGGTTTTTATAACAGGCTTTTCCCCCTTTTGCTTGGCACTTCTCCTTGCTGCTGCCACGTGAAGAAGGATGTGTTTGCTTCCCCTTCCACCATGATTGTAAGTTTCCTGAGGCCTCCCCAGCCAAGCTGAACTGTGAGTCAACTAAACGTCTTTCTTTTATAAATTACCCAGTCTCAGGTATGTCTTTATTAGCAGCATGAGAACAGACTAATACAACAATCCCACAGTAACAGGGTTACGTTAAGGAGATACAGAGTGAACTGAAAGTGCTCCCAATGGCCAAAGCCAAAACATTTTCAGCAACCAAATAGTATTGATATTACCCAAAAGTTAAAAATAAATAAAAAGTTAAAAATTAATTAAAAATAAAATAACATAATAGCCATGTGTCCATATCAATATAAATAAATGATTAAACAAATAAATAAATAGGGGAGAATAGACAAACTTTTGATACAGAAGAATTCCAAATAATTTACATATCTACTCCACCCTTCAGGAAGTAGAGCATAACTCCTATTCTTTCAGTGTGGGCTACAGATAGTGAATTTCTTTCAAATAGTAGAGAAAAGAAGTACAAAAGAATAACTGTGCAGTGAAGAAACAACGAACACTACCTCAGCCAGGTGATCAAAGTCAACATCAACAGTGATATATCATGTTGACAGTATGTGCCCTTGATATCACGTGATGAGAATGGCATTTACTTCTGTGGTTTTCCTAACAAAAGTCCATAACACCAGCCTAATCATGAGAAAAACATCAGACACATTTCCATTGTGAGACATTCTTCAAAATAACTCCTCAAAACTCCTCAAAATGGGGAAGGTCATCAAGATCAAGGCAAGTCTGAGAAACAGTCACAGCCAAGGAGATGTGACAACTACCTGTGATGCAGTGTCCTGGACAGGATCCCGGTACAGCAAAAGGACGCTAGGTAAAAACTAAGGCAATCTGAATAAAGCATGAACTTTAGTTAATAATCATTGATATTGGTTTGTTCATTGTGACAAATGTACCAGGGTACAGTAACAACATAAGTTAGTAACTGGGGAAACCGAAGGTGAGGCCTATGGAAACTGCACTATCTTTGCAATTTTTCTGTAAATCTAAAACTGTTCTAAAATTTAAAGTTTATTTTTAAAAATCAGAGGCCCATTCATTCAGCCTCTCTAGTCCAGGTGCCCAGTAATCTGTATTCAACACAGCCCCGTGAGTGTATCCAAGAAGCCCTAGAGCAGTGGTTCTCAACCTTGACTGCTTATCCCAATCACTTGAACTTAATACCACCGCCAGAACCCTTGTGATTCAACAGGCATGAAGGGAGGTCACAAACAGGTCTTCTTAAATGGTCTCCTGGTGACTCTATCATGCAGGGTTGACAGCCACTGCTTTAGGGACATGTTGGATTTCTTCATTCTTTTTTGCTTCTACATCCAATATTTCCACCCCCAAACCCCCCACCCTCCCACTCCACACCACACTTTCCCTTAAAACACATTTAAGCATATCACTTGCCTGCTTGGGAAAAAAAAAAAAATACCATGGGCCCAGAGAATGCAGGAACCACTCCAGGAGGCATATTACAGTCCTGGGCCACCAGCACCCAGCCACCTCCCAACTCTACCTTGGTCCATTCCCCTGCGGCACCACAGGTACCCAGCCCTGCAAGCCTCTGACTCCATTGCACCTTTACAGCACTACAGCTCATGTGCACGCCTCCTCTTTCCCAGACAGACTCTCCCACTGTTACAGTAGGTAGCTAGTCAGACACGAGCAGGGTAGGAAAGTCCCCTACCACCACCACCCCCACCAGGAATGTCAGGCCACCATTAGGTGATGGGCAAGTGGTTGTTAAATTGTCTCTAAAATAAATATCAGTTGCCGCCAGTGCCAGGGTAAGGCAGTCTCCCAATAGATAGAAAACCCTTGAAACTGGTGATTAGCAGCTTCCAGATAAGATCTCAGCAGTTGAGTGAGTCGGCTCAAGCATGAGCACTAAGAGGCAAAATGACAGAGTTTAAATGGCATATGACCTTCCTCTTGGAACACTCAACTAGTAAGGGGAAAATGCCTCAAGTGAGCATGTGCACAACTTCGGGAAACACACTGTGCACGAGGCCCCTCCCAAGCACTAGCAGGCCACTGTGCATGCAGACAGCCCACCCCAAGGGAAAACTCCGGGGAGAAGGGATGCGACCTCCCAGAAGCATGCCAATGTATAAAACCCAAAGTCAATGTCAAATCATGCACTTGAATCTCTCAAATTGCCCACTTGACCCTCTTCTACATGTACTTCCTTTTGCTCCCGCTTTAAAACTTTTATTTAATTATTTATTTATTTATTTATTTATTTATTTATTTATTTATTTATTTTAGATGAAGTTCTGCTCTTGTTGCCCAGGCTGGAGTGCAGTGGTACAATCTCAGCTCACTGCAACCTCCTCCTCCTGGGTTCAAGCAATTCTCCTGCCTCAGACTCCCGAGAAGCTGGGATTATAGGCACTCGCCACCATGCTCGGCTAAGTTTGTATTTGTAGTAGAGATGAGGTTTCACCATGTTGGCCAGGGTGGTCTCCAACTCGTGACCTCAGGTGATCTGCCTGCCTCAGCCTCCCAAAGTGCTGGGATTACTGGCATGAGCCACCACACCCGCTCTATGCTTTAAAACTTTTTGATAAACTTTTACTCCTGCTCTAAACCTTGCCTCTGTTTCTTTCTTTCTGAAGAGTCTAGAACTGAGGTTGCTGCAGACCCACAGGAATTCGCCGCTGCTAACATACTTGGGGGCTGTGTGACTCAAATACATTCGCTAGAGGTAGCACCGCCTGTTCTGCCTGACAAGCTCTCCCTCAACCTTCAAAACCTAGATCAAATGTCTCCTCCTCTCTGAAGCCTGCCCAGCTGTCCCCCTAGAATACAGTCAGTTTCCTCTTCTGTCTTCCGGCCACACTTTTCTGAACTGTGCCTCATCACCCACCAGAGTGGACTGCAATCTTGCTTTGAATGTCTCTCCCCATCACTGGAAGGTGAACACCTTGAGGATAAGAATATGCCACTGTTTGTCATTCACACCCTGCTGTCCTCCCAGCACCTATCACAGTGCTGAGCAGAGTAGCTCCTCAGTATTCATTCAAATGCGTAACTGAGTAAATGCATTAATGAACAAACTCATTCTAGAGGCCTCAACCTCGTGTGAGGGGAAATAAAATCTGCCAGCTAAGAAAATACCTCTCTGTATCAGATGGCCCGTCTATTTCTGTTCATTTGCTCTGCAAGTGACATTCCGAATGTTTCCTTAATGTGTTTGTTAAGAACTACATATGCCAGCTTGATGAACAGGCTCTGGTATACATAAGCCAGTCAGGATGTCAGCAATGCTGCTGGAGAACATGGAAAACAAGCCGACATCTCAGACTCACGGACCAGCCCAGAAGCAGCAAGCACCTTGCAAGGTAGACAGAAGGCAGAGATGGGGCCAGGACACCAGGCTAAAGCCCCAGGGCATTTCACAGTCCTGCCCTCAGCTCATCCCCATGACCCTCTGTAAATCAGGCAGGGCTATCATCTTAAATCTCTTTTTTTGGTGGAGGAAACTGAGGTTCAGAAAAGTTGGGGTGGAAGCAACTATCAGAAGCAAAGACCAAAGCGGCCACCACAAAGGAGAAATTGACTTGAAGTCCCTTCCTTTTGTAAAATCTTTGTGGGAATCATAAACTCAATTCCATACAGCCCTGTGCTTGATTTTAAGAAGCAGCAAGTAAATACCCCAGGGTCCCTCAGTGAAGGAGCAGGAACTGGAATGTGACCTTCTTATGACAGTGGGAAAGATTCTGTGTGGTATAGAAGAAGAGGTTCTAGGAACACAAACCATTGAGGATCTGATAAGGGTTATGGGCCCTCTAAACAGGAAAAAATCCAGTGCTCGTGGTCTTGCATAAAAAGCCAGAGGCTAAAAGGCCCTGAAATGTGCAGAGATTATTCAGGGGTCCATAGGTCTTGTGTAAGAACCGCTGGACTAGATGCTCTTACAGTCCCTCCAAATCTTGACATTCTCTAGTTTATCTTTTTTTGTAAAGGATAAAAAGGATTTTTAAAAAGATTTTTGCTTAGTAAAGACTGCAAACATAGTAACTACTCACTAAATGAAAGCTACTAATTGCAATGGTGTGATGATAGATGTGCAAGCAGTCTCCTACAATTGCAGGGGAAGGAAATTCAACTCAAATTGACTTAAACAAAATAGAGATTACTGGGAGTATCAAGCTTCAGGCATAGTTAGATCCAGGTGTTTAGATGGGATTCATCCAAAATCTAGATCTTCACGTCTTCATTAATCTTTCTTGGATCTTGGTTCTAGTCTCAGCCAGGCTCTCTCCTTGTTGGGGCAAGATGGCCAGCAGCTGCTCCGAATGTACATCCTGTCCTTTCAGTACTCCCCAAAGAGCAGTGTGCTTATTTTCCGTAAGTTGCAGCAAAAGCTGTACATGGTCCTGTTTGGATCACCTCAAGTCACTTGCCAATGCTTGAAGAAATCTCTAAGCTTCAGTGATAGCATACTCCAGTGGCCCTGGCTTTAGTCTCAGTTCCACAGTAAAATCTAGAGGTGGAGGCCAACCACCAAGTCATACACATTGAGAGTGGGGAAGAGGTGAATCTGCAGGAAAACACAGTGTGCTATTATTGGGTGGGGGTGGGGAATGGGAGGATGATTCTATATAGGCAGAATGAATTGATGGCTACTACAGTAATCATAAACACCCATGTCTACTGAGCTATTGCTCTCTGGAGTAGACGCAGCGTGGTGGTCTCTGTTCAGCAATGCTCTTGATGACTTCTTAGGTAGGATGTGTTGGTCCAAGGATAAATGGGATGGAGGACTTCAAAGGCATAGGAAACCCATTGACTCTGTCACCACAATAACAGCCCTGCTGACTCATGGTGACTCCCACCTCCTTTTGAGAGAGCAGCCCCAATAATAGAAAGCCTCCCATGTCCCACAGTCCTGCCTCCTCTTGTCAACAGCTACTGTTAAAGTGAGAACAGAAAATCTCCTATCACCTTGACAGGCCTCCCACTCAAGTGTATTTTTATTATTTTACCTAACCCTGAAGGCTATCTTTATCTTTCTCCCCTACAGAGTGATTTGGTGACTGTCTGCTTTAATCATTATAGAGATTCAGAAATTTCCTAGGGGCAAAACTACAATTCTTACAGAACAGTGATACCTGGAGTGCTTTTTCTATTCAGGACTCCAGCCCTGAAAGGGAGTCTGAGCACCAGTGATAGACTGCCATCCTCTGGGCCTTGGGAATGGGGACATGTCTCTCTACCCCCTTGTCCTCAGTCAGCAGCTGGCTCAGGGACATCATGGGTCTAGATTAGATGAAGTAAAGTGCTTTCAACTCTGTTGCCTCTTTCTAGCCTGCTTTGGTCCACAGCCAGCTCAGAAAGCTCCCTCTTTTTACTACTACTCAAACAGCCACCCTGGAAACCCAAAAAGGAATGACCTACCCACAGCCTTGAAACTAGTTATCTAGTTTTATCCCAGGAGAGCTGGGGTTTTTTTGTTGTTTTTTGTTGTTGTTGTTTTTGAGATGGAGTCTCGCCCTGTCGCCCAGGCTGGAGTGCAATGGCATGATCTCAGCTCACTGCAACCTCTGCCTCCTGGGTTCAAGCAATTCTCCTGCCTCAGCCTCCCAAGTAGCTGAGACTACAGGTGTCCACCACCACACCCAGCTAATTTTTGTATTTTTAGTGGAGATGGGGTTGCATCATGTTGGCCAGGCTGGTCTCATACTCCTGACCTCGTGATCCGCCCATCTCGGCCTCCCAAAGTGCTGGGATTGCAGGCGTGAGCCACCGTGCCCAGCAGAGCTCAGTTCTTTTTAGGATGGAGAGGGAACTCAGTTTTGGATGGAATGGGGAAACGTTTAATGCAATGGGAGTAAAAAGGTAGGAAAATGGGCCAAGCACAATGGCTCACACCTGTAATCCTAATACCTTGGGAGGCTGAGGCAGGCAGACTGCCCTGAGCTCAGGAGTTCGAGATCAGCCTGGGCAATGTGGCAAAACCCCATCTCTACTAAAAATACACACACACACAACACATACACACACACACACACACACACACACACACACACACACACATTAGCTAGGCCTGGTGGCATGCACCTGTAGTCTCAGCTACTCAGGAGGCTGAGGCATGAGAATCGCTTGAGCCTGGGAGGCAGGTGTTGCAGTGAGCCGAGATCGCACCACTGCACTCCAGCCAGGGTGACACATTAAGACTCTGTCTCAAAAAAAAAAAAAAAACAAACAAACAAAAAAAAAGTAGGAAAACCAAGAGTTGCCATCTAGGTGACCAAATTCTGTTTCTTCTTTTGTAACAGCCTCAAGGAGAGTCTACTGGTGATCTCCCCAATACTACAGTCTGCTTGTTCCCCTGCTCAAAAGCCTTCTCTTGCTCCCTGTTGCTGTCAATAGAAGATAAACCTGCTGGGTGTGCCCTGCAGGCTCTGTGTGATCTGGCCCCTGTTTACATCGCCAGTCTACAGTCTCTTTGCTTTATCCCTCACTTTGCTCCAACACGTGTTAAAGAGTAGTTCCTGTTCTCTTACCAGAAAACTTACAGGATTATTCTTTTAAATGAATTTCTCTACTTGGCTATTATTAGTTTCCAAGCCACTCTAGCCAGTGACAACAAATGTGATGGCTTGTGTATTTACGTATTTTCTTACAGTTCTGGAAGAACTGGTTTCACCGGGCTGAAACGAAGGTGTTGGCAGGGCTGTGTTCTCGCCAGAAGCTCGAAGACTCCTTCCTTCCTTCCTTCCTCCCTTCCTTCCTCCCTTCCTCCCTTTCTCTCTTTCTTTCTTTTTCTTTTTTGCCTTTTCCAAATTTTAGAGCAGCATCCTTTGCATTCCTTGGCTCCTGGTCCCTTCCTCCATCTTCAAAGTAGCCAAGCATTTTGCTTCAGTGGTCACATTCCCTTCTTTTATCTCAAATCTCCCTTCTTCTTCTTATAAGGACACTTGTGATTGCATGTAGGTAATCCAGGATAACCTCCCCATCTCAAGATCCTTATTTAATCACAACTGCAAGCCCTTCTTGCCATATACGGTAACATTCACAAGTTCTGAGGGGTTAGCACCTGGGTATCTTTTGTGGAACCCGTGATCAGCCTACCACAACCACTTCCCATATGTCTGTCAGGGATCACCCATATGTCAGTTGCTCGAGGAGGTCCTCACTGTCCCACTTCTCTTCTCAGCCAAAGGTTATATATCTCTTGCCATCCCCTGCTTCCCTCCACATTGCACACACTATAGTATGTGACACCTGTGACTGGCCTGTCCCTCTGACTAAACCCATCCCCAGATGGCAAGGGAAAGGTCTAATGCATGGAAATGTAAGTCACTTATGAAAGACCACATGAAAGAAGTGTGAAGCATGAAGCTACAGAACAATAGGTATAACATGAGCACTGTTTAAAGAGCACTTGTGTCTAGAAAGATGCGACCTGACTTTGACCTGTGGTTACATCTGGAGAGAGGCATAGGCTTGATGAGGCAAGAATGGCATGAGACTTCTTTTTCATTCTGGTGTTACCTTTTAACATGAGCATGTGTTCATGAATTTATTGTATATAAAAATATTTTAGAAATTAAATAGCGGCATATTTCAGATTCTGTAATGTTTCCCCATTTTCTGTTTGAACAAACAGTTGTTTTGTATGTGTCTGCAGTGTCCAACAGGGCCAAGTTTGAGATCTTTCCAAGAAGACCACTTAGTTTTAAAGACTAAGACTTTCTGAGACTTCTGCCAAAAGCTAAAATTGGTATCCCAAGGTGCCAAGTTCTGATGGTCACTCTCTTTTAAAGGGATCCATGTGGGGTAGAACAGGCAGATGAACCCGAGTCTCTAGTTAGTGAGGACTGCATGGAGCCAACAACTGTCAGAGCTTGAGGATGCCACACAGAGCTGGAAAGACTGGGCATCCACCCCTCCCAGAGGAGGGAAGGGGATCCATGGCCATCACTTTCTATGGTAAATGTTACTGACCAGCCAGCAATCAGCAGATGTCAACAGGCTTGAGTCAAGCCAATTGCTCTAATTAAAACATCACTAAATGCAGAAACACTGACTCAACTCAGCCAACATTTGCCTTTAACACATGGTGCAAAGAAGCAAGGGGATGCCCAGAGAAAGCCATTTGCTTTCTGAGCACCTTCTACACGCAAGTGCTCAGAAAATCCCATGAGCAGTCACGGGAGACAAAGCTGAAAAGATACAGGGCAACGACGACACTACCAACATGAAATTTCTAATAAATATGTTAAGGACAAGAAACAGGCATGGAGAAAATATTCCTCATGCATACAACAAAGGTTGATTATCAAATGCACATTTAAAAATCTCCCTCAAATGAATAAGAAAAAGGCAAGCAATGCAATAGAAAAGTGAGCAAAGGATAAGAACAAGTAATTCACAGAAAAGGGCATTCAATCAAACAGCCTGCAAATACATGAAAAAATGTCCCAAATCACCGTAAGATTAGGAAAAGGTTGATGTTGTTCTTGCACTCTATTTATAGGAGCACAAATTTTTAAAGTAGTTTTGTGAAAAAATTTGGGCATAAGTAAGAAACTTTAAATTGTATATACCATTCCACTCTGCTGCGATCAACCCTAGGGAAAAATACATATACCTATGTAAAAAAGTGCGAAACGCATTTTCATTGCAACATTGTTTGTTACTGTGAAAATCTAGAAATAACCTAATGATCCAATTACAGATAAATTGCTAAGCAAATTATAAAGCATCCACACTAGGAGATACAATAAAATGGCGATACATCATTGTATAGTCACATTAAAAGATCTCTAAGATATTCTGTAAGCATTAAAAGGGTATTGAGGAATTATATTTATAAATTATTTCTAGATACTTATATTTAAGTACACAGACACTAATCAGGAAAAATATAATCCAAACTGCAAATAGTAATAACAAAATTTGTTCTTTTCAAACTGTTTTCCCCAATATAATTGGTACAAATATGGTTTAACAGAGCACATGGAAAAAGAAATTAGAAATATTTGCTGATCATAAAAGCTTAAGATCAATATGCAATTATCACAAAAGCTAAAACAATGTAAGTTACACTAACAAAATAAGTCCTTAGAATTTTAAAATGATAGTGGCTGGTGACCTCTGAGAATATCTCAATTTGCAAATTCCATCCCTCTTCATTCTACATCACTTCTCTTACAGCATTTGTGAAGTTTACTTATTCTACTTTTCTATAAATTACTGAAAATACAATGATAATAGGTCCCAGTGTGATTCGGGATTTTTCTATATATCACTTTACTTAGATAATTTGTTGCTTTATGTAGTTTGTAGCTCTTTTACTACGTGCCTACAAATATGGGAACTGTGTTATCTTCCTGACAAACTGACTAATATGAAGTACACTTCTTTATTTCTGTTACTTCTTCTCTGTTTTGATGTCTATTTTGTCTACTATTTATATATAACCACATCAGTTTTCTTAAGCTTGCTATCAACTGGCTGTGTCCTCACCCAAATTTCATCTTGAATTGTAATTCGAATTGTAGTCTCTACATGTTGGGGGAGGAGCCTTGTAGGAGGTGATTGGATCAGCAGGGTGGTTTCCCCCATGCTGTTCTCCTGATAGTGAGTGAGTTCTCATGAGATCTGATGGTTTTATAAGGGGCTCTTTCCCCTTCACTCTGCGCTTCTCTCCCCTTCCACCTTGTGAAGAAGGACATGTTTTCTTCCACTTCTGTCATGACTGTAAGTTTCCTGAGGCCTCCCCAGCCATATAGAACTGTGAGTTGATTAAACTTCTTTTCCTTATAAATTACCCAGTCTCAGGTATTTCGTTATAGCAGTGTGAAAACAGACTAATACAATCATCTTCCATCCTGTTGCCTTAATTCTGTGTCTTTAAACTGTTTCTCTCACGAATGGCATACTGGTTAGTCTCACATTTTATCCAATCTGACAAAATGAAGTATTTTATTTATTTATATTTCATGCAGCTTGTGGTAAAATTATGTTTAAGTTCATCATTTGGGTATTTGTTTTCCATTAATTTCATTTACTCCGTTTATTCCAACTGTTCCTTTGTTCCTTTTTTCCTCCATTATTTTGGAAAAAATGGGTATTTTTTAGCATTCCAATTTCTCTCCTTTATTTGACTATTTAGTTATATCATTTCATGCTATAATTTTAGTAATCCTCTAGAGCAATGCTGCCTAATTACAATGTGACCCACATATATATATTTACAGAATATCTAAACTTCCTAGCAAAGTTTAAAAAACAGATGATATTAATTTGATAATGTATTTCATTTAACCCAATATACCCAAAATATTATCATTTCAATATGTAACAAATATAAAAGTATTAATGAGATATTTTGTCTTCTAAAAGTACATTTACATTGTCTTTGCAATTTGACATAAATTTTATACCTACAGCATATCACAACAGTTAAAGTTAAAGATAGGCCTACCAGAGCAACCACATTGTGTTTCAACAGAGGATAGTTACACTGTGTCAGTTTTTAACATAAATTTAAATTAATTAAAATTATAAATGTACTTCCTCAGTATCACCAGCCACATTTCAAGGGCTTAATTGCCACAGATGGCCAGTAGATACTCTATTAAGCAGTACACTCTAATATGTAAGGTTAACTTATCACGGTCTAACTTAAAATAATACTATGGCATTTCATGCACAATGGGGCACTCTTACGATAGCATAATTTATCCGTTTTCATCCTTTGTGCTATTTTCACATATCCTTTTCTTCCACTTACATTAGAGATTCTACATAATTATTATTTTTGCATTAAACATCCAGTAGTCTTTTATAGTTTAACTATATGATGGATATGCATTAAAAAAATAATTTCTAAAATTAGATTTTTGGCTTGCCTAAATAGTTATGCTTTCTCAGGGTCTTCAGTTTTTATTGTAGACCTGGGTTCCCTTCTGTTATCATTTCCCCTTAGCTTGAAGAACATCTTTCAGCATTTCCTGCAGTGCAAATATGCTGGCAAAACATTCTTTCAACTCTTCCTCATTTAAAAATGTCTTTAATTTGACTTCATTATTAAGTATATTAATGCTGGATGCAGAATTCTATGTTGAGATTTTTTTATTTTCTTTCAATTCTTTAAAAAGTAAAAAAAAAAAAAAAATTCAATGGAGACTAAAGATATTCCATTGTCTTTGGTCTCCATTGTATCCAATGAGAAGTCAGTTTCCATTCTTATATTGTTCCCCTGTGTATCCAATGTGCATTGATTTCTCCTCTAGCTGATTTTAACATTTTCTCCTTAGCTTTTCTTTTTGTCAACTTGACTATAATGTAGTTTTGTTTCAGGTTTTGTTTTTTTCTTTTTATCCTACTTGGGGCTCTCTGAGCTTTTCTTATAGCAATGGGTTACTATTTTTGATCCAATTTTGAAAATTTCAGTCCATATTTTTTCACATATTTATCTGTCATTCTCTCCAACAGACACTCTGAAAAAAAGTTTGCTTCACCATTTAACACTGCCTTTGAAGTTCTGTTAAACTTTCATTTTTCTTTTTTCCTTCTGTTGCTTCAGTTTGAAGCTCTATAGACCTGTCTTCAAGTCTTGGTGCTGCTAGATCTCTTCTGCCAAACAGTTAGCCAACTTGTCAATGCAAAGGAATAGTTCTTGGAGAATAATAAAAGTGCTGCTTCAGTGAACACATAAATGATAAGAAAGCTAAACATTTTTATTGCTGATATACAGAAAGTTGGAGTAGTCTGGATAGAAGCTCCAGGAAGCTACAACACTCCCTTAAGCCAAAGCCTCATCCAGAGCAAGCCTTACCTCTTCAATTCTGTGAAGGCTGAGAGAGGTGAGGAATCTACAGAAGAAAAGCTTAAAGCTAGCAGAGGTTGGTTCATGAGGATTAAGGAAAGACACTCAGTCTCCATGATATAAAAGTGCAAGGTAAAGCAGAAAGTGCTGATGCAGAGGCTGCAGCAAGTCATCCAGAAGATCTAGCTAAGATAACTGATGACAGTGGCACTGAACAACACATTTTCCAAGTAGACAAAACAACTATTAGAAGAAGATGCCATCTAGGACTTTTATAGCTAAGGAGAAGTCAATGCCTGGCTGCAAAGCTTCAAAGTATAGGCTGACTCTCTTGTTAGAGACTAATGCGGCTGGTGACTTTAAGTTGAAGTCAATTTTATGGATCATTCTGAAAATCCTAGAACCCTTAAGAATTATGCTAACTCTATTCTGTCTGTGCTCTATAACGGAATAACAAAGCCTGAAAGATAGCACATCTGTTTATATCACAGTTTACTGAGTATTTTAAGCCCACTGTTAAGGCCTACTGCTTGGAAAAATAGATTTCCTGCAAAACATTACTGCTCATTTACAATGCATCTAGTTACCCATCAGTTCTGATGAGGATGTATACGGAGATTAATATTGTTCTCAGGTCTGCTAACACAACATCTATTCTACAGCCATCAAGGAGTAATACTTCAAGTCTTATTATTTAAGAAATATGTTGTAGAAGGCTATAGCTGTCATACATAGTGATTCCTCTGACAGATTTGAACAAAGCAAACTGAAAACCTTCTGGAATGGATTCACCATTCTAGTTGCCATTAAGAACATCCATTGTTCATGGAAGGAGGTCAAAATAACAACATTAACAAGAGTTTGAAAGAAGTTGATTCTGGTGTCATGGCTCACACCTGTAATTCCAACACTTTGGGAGGCCGAGGCAGGCAGATCACTTGAGGTCAGGAGTTCGAGACCAGCCTGGCCAACATGGTAAAACGCCGTCTCTACTAAAAATACAAAAATTAGCTGAGTGTGGTGGCATGTGCCTGTAGTCCCAGCTACTCAGGAGGCAGAGGCAGGAGGATCACCTGAACTCAGGAGGCAGAGGTTGCAGTTAGCTGAGATCAGGCCACTGCACTTCAGCCTGGGCAACAGAGCAAGACCCTGTCTCAAAAAGAAAGAAAGGAGAGAAAGGAAAGAAAAGAGAGAAAGAGAAAGAGAGAAAGAAAAAGAAAGAAAGAAAGAAAGAAAAGAAAGAAAGAAAGAAAGAAAGAAAGAAAGAAAGAAAGAAAGAAGAAAGCAAGAAAGCAAGAAAGCAAGAAAGCAAGAAAGCAAGAAAGCAAGAAAGCAAGAAAGCAAGAAAGCAAGAAAGCAAGAAAGAAAGAAAGAAAGAAAGAAAGAAAGAAAGAAAGTTGATTCCAACCCTCATAGATGATGTTAAAAGGTTTAAGACTTCAGTGGAGGAAAGAACCGCAGATGTGGTAGAAATAGTAAGAGAATTAGAAGTGGAGCCTCCACCAGGCACGGAGGCTTACGCCTGTAATCCTAGCACTTAGGAAGGCTGAGGCAGGTGGATCACCTGAGGTCAGCAGTTCAAGACCAGCCTGGCCAACATGGTGAAACCCCATCTCCACTAAAAATACAGAAATACAAAAAAAAAAAAAAAAAAAAAAGCTGGGTGTGGTGGTGGGCACCTGTAATCCCAGCTACTTGGGAGGCTGAGGCAGGGGAATCACTTGAACCTGGGAGGCAGAGGTTGCAGTGAGCCTAGATTGTGCCACTGCACTCCAGCCTGGGGAACAAGAGCAAAACTCTGTCTTTAAAAAAAAAAAAAAGTGAAGACTGAAGACATGACTGAATTACTGCAATTTCATGATAAAACTTAACAGTTGAGGAGTTGCTTTCTATGAATGAGCAAAGACTGGTTTCTTGAGGTGGAATCTAATCCTGGTGAAGATACTGTGAACACTGTCAAGATGACAACAAAGGATTTAGAATATTACATAAACTTAGCTGTTAAAGCTGTGGCATTACTCTAATTCACTCTAATTTTGAAAGAGGTTCTACTGTAGGTAATATGTTATCAGACAGCATTGCATGCTGCTGTGAATGGAAGAGTCAATTCATATGGCAAACTTCATCATGTTACTTTGAAAAATTTCCACAGCTACCTCAGCCTTCAGCAACTCCTACCCCAATCAGTCAGCAGTCATCAACGTTGAGGCAATAATCTTCATCAGCAAAACTTTTAGAGCGCACTGAAGGCTCAGATGATTGTTAGAATGTTTAATAATAAAGTATTTTAAATTAAGTTATACACATTTTTAGACATAATGCTATTGTACACTTAATAAACTACAATTTAATGCAAACATAACTTTTATATGCACTGGGAAACCGAAAATATTTGTGTGACTAGTTGTGCCATTTGCTTTATCGCAGTGGTCTGGAACGGAACTCACAATGCCTCCAAGGTATACCTGTACTTCATGCTAAACACTGTGTCTAGTGGTAGCTCCTCCCTCTGAAGTTGTCCTTTTAGATTTCTTTACGTCCATAGCTCTTTGAGGGCTTTTTTTTTTTAAGTATGATTTAGTTGTTATTGTTTGCCTAGTGATTTGTGGTTGTGTTTTGGGGGATAAAGGTCCTTCATATCTCCCTACATCCTAGCCAGAAGTGGAACACCTCATTTAGGTTTTGTTGCATAATTAACATTCCCAAAACCTAAGGCCTAAAACAACAATCATTTGTTTAGCTCATATTTCTGTGGGTTGACAATTTGGCCTGGTTTAAACTGGGTGGTTCTTCTGGTCTCCGATGGGGTCCCTCATGCATCTGTGGCTAATGACTAGTCAGCTTAGAGGATCTGCTGTGGCGTGTTGGCTGGCCATCAACTGGCACAATGGGGCAACTGGATAGCCTGTATCTCATTCTCCAGCAGGCAAGCTTGAATTTGTTCCCACACCAACTGGGCAGCACAGCTACCTAGAGCATGAAGATTTCTTGAAGCTTATGCTCAAAACTGGCACAACATCACATATGTCACATTCTTTTGCACAAACAAATCACAAGCCCAGCCTAGATTCAAGAGATAGGTACACAGCTTTACCTCTTGATGGAAGGAGCTTCAAAGTCACATGAGCAAGGGCATGCATTATGGAAGAGTTGAGAATTGTAGCTATTTTTGCAATCTACCAAATAGTGTAACAGTTTGTTCTTTTTGAATTTTTTAAAATTTTCAGTGCAGTACTCAAATTATCTTCTCCTAAAGAAAACAAAATCTACGCTTTTTATGTTTATCAGGGAAAAAAAAATCATGGACTATAATCATCCCAAAATGAAAATGTCCAATCCATGAATGGCAATGACATTGGGTGATCATATCATGACATCATGAAGGTAAAGGTAGATTCTGTTCTACTCCAACCCAATGGGACTGTACTTGGAGCAGTGTTTTGGCTCAGGGAGGGGAATCACAAGAATAGCATTGTCAACCTGGGACATTTGGGGAAGAAAGAAATCAGTTCAGACCAGGACTCAATTTCACATCATAAGAGAGATGGTTGAAGGAATCAGCACTGTTTATCTTAGAGAAGAGAATGCATTAGAGACAAACCAGCCAGCTTCAAATATCTGTAGATCTGTTTGGTTTAATCCTTTCTTTCAAACCCAGAATGAAGGATTACTTTATCTAAATTATTTTTTATTGTGATATAGTTCATATGTCATAAAATTCACCATTTAAAGTGTTCAATTCAGTGGTTCTTATTATATTCACAAAGTTGTACAACAATCACAATTATCTAATTCTAGAACATTTTGATCACCCCAAAAGGAAATCTCATACCCATCATCAGTAACTCTATATTCCTTCCTCTTTCTAGTGCCCCTGGAAACCACTGATCAACTTTCTGTTTCTATAAATTTGCCTATCCTAGACATTTCATGTCAATGGAATCATATAAGAGGTGGTCTTTTGGGACTGGATGAAGAAATGCTTTCTTCGTTCCGCATAATGTTTTTGAGATTCATTCATGGGTAGTATGTAACAGTACTTCATTCCTTTTTGTGACTAAATATTCCATTGTATGGACAGATCTTCTTTTAATCCATTTATCAATTGATAGACATTTGGGTTGATTCTACGTTTTTGCTATCATGAATAATGTTGCTATGAACATTTATATCTAAGTTTTTGTGCAAACCTAAGTTTTTAATTTTCTTGGGTATATCCTTAGGAATGGGATTGTTGGGTCATTTCAGTTCACTCTTGAAGGCAAAGCCGTGTTAAGAGAAAATAATTTTCCACCAAAGGAAACTATGTTCACAATGAAATGAGCTTCCATGAGAGTTAGTAAATGCCTGTTCCTGGCGTGGTAGATGGAGAGGCTGGATGAGATTCTCGGCAGGACATGGGATGTTAGACTAGTAAGAGGCAGGAGTACAGTTTAGGAGCAAATATTCGGGAGCTAAACTGCTTTAGTTCAAATTTCACTTCTGCTACTTGCCAGCTGTGTGACCTTGGGCAAAACACTTAATCTAGTTTAGCTTCTGAATTTCCTCATCTTTAAAATAAAAGCACCTATCTCCCTAGTATTAAATTACATAATATATGTAAAGCTCCTGGCACAGGCCTGGCACAGAATAAATACTCAAACAACAGAAGCTACAATTATTACCATCGTCATCATGAGAGCTGAGGCTTAGACATTTTCTTTTAAATGCAAATTGGAGACCCCGTTATCATTTTACACTTCTACTCATTCACAGTCTTTCCATTTATCAGTTCCTCAATGATTTTCTTTCCAAATATAGTTTTACCAAACATATATAGATTAAAAGTCACCTGGAAGCAAACCCAAACCCTGCACCATTCTATTGACAATTGGACTGATTTCAGATTCAAAGAAGGGAATTAAAAGATGAGCCCGTAGCCAAGGTTTAAGTCCTTGATGGGAATCCAGTGACACTAAGCTCAGTGGGGTAGTTGCTAGGCCAGATGACCTTACAATTGTCCCTTCCAACTCTCCAAAGTCCTCTGTGGTCTAGAAGCACAACCTGCAACTATGGATCTTTGGGGCAGCTTCTTGGTATTCTCCAGGGAACATCTGGATCAATTTCTCCATTAGTCACCTACACTGTCCAAGAAAATTACCACAGGCCTACAAGACAGGACTAAAGGAATTTTGACCATGCAGAAGCAGAAAGATTTGTAAAGCAAGCATCTCAGGCCTGAATGCTCATGGGAATCTAGCCCTTCAAACAAAAACAGGAAGCAAGAGCTTAGAGCAAGGGATTAGATTCCTGTGGGTTTGCTTTGTCTCCTAAGCTATACTCCAAGCCCTGACTACTCAAAGTGCAGTCCATGGTCCATGGACCAGCAGCAGGGCATTGCCTGGAAGCTTGTTAGAAATGTGATATCAGTCCCCTCCCCAGACCTTCTGCACTGGACTCTGCATTTTACCAAGATCTCCAAGTGATTGGTGTGCACAGTGAAGTTTGGGAAACATTGTTCCAAGCTACTTGAGCAGCAAGTTTGCTTCCTAAGAATTATTACATAATGTTCTTCATTTTTACAGCATTTTGCAAGTTACAGAGAACTAAACCACAAGACCCCTGGGAGGAGGAATAGGCTCTTTTCATTTCTGTATAGTAGGGCCTGTGGCAGTATCCAACACCAAATTTGCTCTCCAATGCTGGATGAATCTGGAATAAGTTCTGACATGGCCCAACCTAAGGAGGTGACTTGGGAAGTAAAGGGAAAGGATTAATGTTTGTTTTATACGTACTATGTATCAGACACTATTATTATAGAAGTAAGATATTTTAGTCACATTTATAATTGAGGGAATTCAGTTCAGAGAGGCCAACTAGTCTGCCCAAAGTCAAAGAACTCATAAGCAAAAAAGCCAAGATCAAACCCAAGGTTACAAAGTTAATAGAATATGGCATAGCAAAGAACTCAAATCCCAGGTCCACCTAACTCCATAACTCTGTCCATGACTGAGTATAGCACCAAAGGAATCATTCATCAAATGGATTGACATAATTGACATAATGATGTGATTGACACGTCAACATTTCTTTATTTAACAAAACAAACATATATATATGTATATATGTGTGTGTGTGTGTGTGTGTGTATATATATATACACACACACATATATATATGTAGAGAGAGAGAGAGAAAGGGAAAAGTGGGAGAGGGAGCAGGAAAGAGAGAATGAACTCACTATTTACCAGGCACCAATCCTGAACATTTTACATGGGTGACTTAGCTCACGTTTCTTAACATTCTCATGCGGAAGTTCTATTATATCTGCTTTACAAGTGGGAAAATGATAGCACAGAGAGATTAGTACCTGTCCAAGGTGACCCAGCTGATAAATGACAAAGCTGGGATTCCAGCACAAGCCCTTGAGCCCATATCGTCAACCGCTATGATGTGCTGCTACTAGCATGAAGAGAAAACTTGACTGCTGGGCAATTTGCCTACCTATTAAACCTCTGCTTCCCCAAGATGCTCCCTACCCATCATGGCAGGTGTGAAATCACCTGTGGCCAGAAGACAGGTCCTACATCAAGACATCACTGAAGCAGCCTGAGTCCCAATCAGGAAGTTCCACAGTATCCTGAGATGGAAAACCACAAGAATAAGGAAAGTATTCTCCTTTAGCAAGAAGCCGAGGAGTGTTCTCTCTATCCTGGGTGCATCAGCTGCCCTTGTTCTTGGCTGGTATTCCTGCTTCACCCTGCTCCTCCTCTCTGTCCTTCTCGCTATTAGTTCACCTCTGCAGACTTCACGTGTCTTCAACCAACAGCTATGAGCTCATTCTGCCTACCAGGAGGCCAGCTGCTCTTGGCCTGCACTTTGCTTCCGGTCACAGTCTGGAAGGTCCTGCGTCCCAGAGAGAAGTAATAATGCTCAGCCTCTTCTTTCCTGATGCACTGGGGCTGCAACTGCTCATTCCTTCCCCCTTTAACCCCGTAGAATGCATCATCCTTTGCTTTGGCCTCCAGTTGGTCATGCAAATGAACAAGGGTCCTCACTCCAGTAGGCAACAGGCTTCAGAATTGACTCAGAAAAGCGTTTGCTCTTGGGCATTACCTAATCCAATCAGCCTCCACCTGTTGCAGATGTACTCTGAAGCTCTCCTCTTAAATGAACCACAAGGTATCTTTGAAAAAAACATTTGAATTTGCCTGCATTCAGCATCACTAGGTTATTTCTAAGCATTTCAAAACCTATGCTTGCATTTGAAACATTTTCTTTTTATATGACTGCATTGGTTCAGACTCCAACCCCACTTGATGGCTAGACAGAGTAATGCTCAGAGGCTTTAAAGTTTCTACTTTACATTGATGTTTTTCAAAATTTAGCATATGTAAGATTTGCATCAGGAACACAATAAAAATGAGTTTGCTATGTCAGTTTCCAGTTTCTTTCTCTCAGGTCAGATGTCAGCATACCTAGCGCGGGACAACTGAGGAATCTGCATTCTCAAAGAGAAGCCTTCATGGTGCCACTCCTCTCCACTTCCCATGCCTTGTTTATGTAGGTGGCTCCATGCTTTGAGAAATACTGCAACAGGGTAAGAGAGTCTATGAATAGAATTTAGGATTCTATGAACGTGGATGGGAAAGAATTTTGCAGCCTCATTTTCAACATCTTCAAATTGAAAATTAGCATTTCCCTTAATAATAAATATAGGCCACAAACGACAGTTGTACTAACAGTGCCTGTGACTTTGTCACCAATGCAACTCATACTTTTCTATCACACAAGTTTTGCAGTTATCTCAAAATATCTTTTACATTCACCAGTTCTTCAAAATTGTAGTTGTTATGAGACTTGCTGCTAGATCTCAGCAATATGTTAATTTAAAAACACAGCACAAATTTTGTTTAATATTCTAATAATTGTAATTTAATAGAATTGGCTGCCTTTGTAATCCAACATTATTTTTTATTTAAAAGCGTGATGCTGAGAAGATGTCCCTGGCCTTCACCAGACTGCTGAAGGGAATCTCTGAATTAAAAAAAAAAAAAAAATGTTTAGGAAACTCTGTTCTCAGACATCCCCTTTGCTACCCCTAACTCTTTGCTGATTCCAGGGGAATTTCAATGACAATGCTTGCCCTACTCAAGGGAAGCCAATGGATAGGTCTGGTTGAGCCAATCAGATGCTCCTTCTTGACGTAGGAGCTAGCATGCAGTCAGTAGGTGGGGGACTCTGGGGCTAAGAGGTCTTTAGAATCAGGACACAATGGATCCCACTGCAAACCACAGTCCCATACCAGACAATGGTGCAAGGGACAGACTGAAGAGATTGAGAGAGCTGGCCTGTGACTAGAATACAGCAGAGATAGGAAGCAGAAGTCAGCTCCACGAGCTAGAACCTATGATCTCAGAGGGGCTGAGAGAGAAAGAGCATTCCAGTTTCCCCAAGGCTCAGCTATACTCCCTTCCCTGGACCTGCAGAAACTTCACTTCTCTTTGTATTAATCTATCTCCTTTCCCTTTTCTAGTTGGAGTTTCTGCTTCTCCTAGCCAAGGCCTTGACTACAGGTGCATGGGTGGCCCTTATTAGTTGTTTCAGTATCTTTCCATGTTTGCTTATATCATCACTTAGCTGCATTGTAAAAAAGGGTGGATTTTTAAGTCAGACTTCCCGAGCTTATCCTCTGCCACATCCTGCTTGTAAGAAGGTAGGCAAGTTGCTTGGCCTTTCTGTACTTCATTCTCTCATCAGAAAAATGAGGACAATAGGAGTAGCTACTTTGAAATCCTGGCCAGTAACAGCAGCTACCTAACATGAGCATCAAATGAATTGATGTATATAAAATATGTCTGGGACAGAGTGAGTGCTCAGTAATTGTATGCAATTATAATGCTTATTGTCCCCAAGTCACAGGCCTTGGACTCTTGTCATCTGTACCTGCTTACCCTTCTTTTCGGCACAGTCCCAATCAGAGCTAACCATGATGGACAGGCCAACATAGGGGCTGGGCATCTCCACAGATTGGCATTCTCTACTGGCAATCTTACACTTATTCTTTGTAAAAAGCTTTCCAGTAAGATCGTGAAGATTTTCTCTTGGAGTTCTGCTCAATTACTAGAATAGATTCACTTATTTGTGAGATAATTTGTTTCTCTTGTGCTGAGATTTCTCTTCTTGTTTGGGACAAAATATAGTTCACATCACATCTCCATTCATTCCTGGGCAAACAGTTCATACCCCCGCTAAGGTTAGGAAACTTTAGCACATAGGGTGTGCTGGACACAGGCACAGAGCTGCACACACTCCTGGTGGAAGGCAGGGGGCAGAATTACCAAGGCATCCCTGAATTGAACACGGTAGCTCTGAGAAAGGATGGCCACCTCTTCAGCTACCAATCTACCCCTGTCCGTCTTTTCCTTGATGTGACCCCAGGTGTTTCCTCTCCTATTAACAAATACCACCTAGCACCAGGCTCTGAACACAAACACAGGGCAGCCACTACTATTTCCTGGATGCACGTCTACCTTCAGGGCTGTCCAAGATGTGGATGCTCAGAGAGCTCATTGCAAGGGTCCAATATCAGCTTTCAAATCGATGTGGCTTAACCTCTGTCCCTCTATCATTGATGTACCCATCAGGGAAGTCACCTAGGGTAGATGTAGCATGCTAGAAAAGCTTGTCTGATTTTTGTTTCCCTCACCATTAGGCAGTTTCCTTGCTGTCTTACGGTTTAGATTATTTTTAAATGATTTATGGAAAAATGAAAACTAATGTTCAATTAGACCAAGACCCTCCATCCAAAGAAGATGAATAATATAATCAACCTAGACAAATGCCAGTCTAATTCTTAAAGCTGCCTGCAGACAAAGATTGTGAAATCCTCTTATCCCTTATTGTATCTTTTAATCAGGCTAACATTAGGAAACTTATTGCAATGATAACAATAATAATATTGACAATCATGAACATGTGATAAATGATAGCTACTTGCCATATACTTTTCTAAGCATGTTACACATGCTCATTTAATTTTCACAAAAATGAAATAGGCACTATCATTATCTCAATTTACAAATTGAGTCAGAGAGGCTAAGTGACTTGCCCAGGGTTACTCTGCTAGACATTACCCTGCTACTGCTAGGACTTCTGCTAGAACTGAGCCCATTTTCTCATGCATTCTGTGGAGAGGCTGAACAAAACCACTTAAAACTGCCCTGCCTGCTGTCCCAAAGATGACAGAAAAGCACCTCTTCACCCCTTTGCCTGGTTTCTCCTGCAGGCAGCATTGATGTGGACTGTTCGGGTCCTCTTCCAATCCTGCCACTGAATTCTTCTGCAACATGACCATGTTTTTTCTAGGACTAAGCTTCCTGGTCCATAAAATCAAGGTGTTGGACCAGGTGATTGCTAATGTTCTTCCCTAGTTGTGATGGTTAATACTGAATATCAACTTGATTAGATTGAAGGATGCAAAGGATTGTTCCTGGGTGTGTGTCTGGGACGGTTTGCCAAAGGAGATTAACATTTGAGTCGTGGACTGGGAGACGAAGACCCACCCTCATTCTGGGTGGGTACCGTCTAATCAACTGCCAGCGCAGCTATAACAAAACAGGCAGAAGAGCATGGAAGGACTTGACTTGCTGAGTTTTCCTGCCTTCATCTTTCTCCCATGCTGGATGCTTCCTGCGCTTCAACGTCAGACTCTAAGTTCTTCAGCTTGTGGACTCTTGGACTTACACCAGCAGTTTGTCAGGGGCTCTCAGGCCTTTGGCCACAGACTGAAGGCTGCACTGTGAGCCTCCCTACTTTTGAGGTTTTTGGACTCAGGCAGATCCACCACTGGCTTCCCTGCTCCTCAACTTGCAGACGGCCTATTGTGAACTTTGCCTTGTGATCATGTGAGTCAATTCCCCTTAATAAACTCCCTTTATTATATACATGTATCCTATTAGCTCCCTCTGTCTAGAGAACCCTGACTAATACACTGGTCTATTTTTGAGTTTTCAGAGAAAGAAAAGAACCCTCACCAAAGCATAACGGATGACAACTGGGTAATGATCATTTGTGATGGGGAGGGTTCAAATAACCATGATTTCATCATTGTTTGGGGATAGCTGACAACCAGAACAGTGAGTTTCCCAGCTCTGGAGGCAGCCATCATAAGAGCAAGTGGGTAGTGAAGCTCTCACACCGGGCTGGTTCTCTGATCACTGCCTCCCTGGCTGTCTCCAAGAGAACAGAAAGGGTGGTCCCATAGACCACCACAACATCACCTGGGGAACTCAGTGACATGTCCAGAACCCACTCTCAACCAACTGCATCAGGATCCCTAGAGGTGGTGCCAGGAATCTGTATGTTCAACAATATCCTGGGTGATTTGAAAAACACTGGAAACCATGACATCAGGGGCTGTCAGTTTAGAACAGGTGACTAATCTCTTATTATTACTCGAGATTCAGATCACTTTTTACATTCTATAAAATTTGGATATTTTTTATTCATTCAGCTCCTAGATTTTATTGTGAAGAGTCAAGGGCAAATTGAGGGTATGCCCAGCTTTCTAAACTTCGAGATTTTGCCCATACACATTCCTGTGTGTCTTGCATATTCCACCTTCTTCAATGGATACTGCTTTCATCTTGCAAGTGAAAATGGGAGCATCTCTCAGCTCCTTCTTGGCTCTCAGTAAGGGAATTTTCTGATGGAACGCTTTGCTACAAACAAACACCTTCTTACCTAGTGAAATGTCACCATCAGAACTGCCCTGTCCTAGAGGGCCGTGGACTGAGCTTTGTGTCACAAGAGAAGACAACAGAACTCCTTGGATCATGTGTTAGGCTGAAGGACAGCAAAACAATGTCCTGCCATCTGGCCTTGACCTTGTCTTTCAGGATAGAAACCTTCAGACATGTGCCTGAGCCAAGCTGTGTGTCAGCTGAAGATCTCCGGGTCTCTGCTAACCACAGACATGGCAATAACTTGGGCTAATAACATGTGTAGAAGTGAAGTATGTTACATCCAAAAGAAAGACGTTAGAGACGGCATGTTTCTTCCCTGCAATGGCAATAGATAATGCTCCAGACAGTAAGCCCCATCAGCATGGGTGTTAGAGACAGGAAATGTAGAGCAGAGCACTCATCCCACCCACTGAGCATATGTAGCAAGTGCAAGAAATCACCCTTCATCGCATTAAGTCAATGAGATCCACGAACTATTTGTTACTGCAGCAGAATGTAACCTATTCTGACAGATATAAAACATGACTCTTAGAACAGTGGTTTTCAACCCTGGCTGCACAACAGAATCAGCTGGGGAGCTCTAAAATAGGTGCTTGGACCCAATCCCAGGTCAATTAAGACATAGTCACTCTCTTAGTTAGTGAGATAATCTCTCCATAAATATATTGACTGAAGTACACTGACAATTTTTCAGACTGGGGTTTGTGGGGAGGAAAAAACAGCAATGAACTGCTGAGCTTATACAATCATATAATGCCTTTAATGACAATTTTTTAAAAAAATAATGGCTTAGGGGTATCTTTGAGTACCAAATGCTATATTTATTAACCAATAACAAGGAGCATTTGAGGTGTCTATATTGGTTGTGATTATTCTGAGAAATGTGACAGTTTTCCTGATCTATCACCAGATATGCGTATCCCAGCCAGTTTAATTAACTTTTCTCATGTGGTTCACTGCATTTAGAAATGCAAAATTATCTCACTGTGTCCAGAGATTTGTCAAACACAACCTGAAAAAAAAAAAAAAAACTACTCTTCATTTACTGTAAGGAGAGAAAGGGAGGAGGAAGGGGAAATTCAGAAACAACATAAATGCAACCCCATTTTCCTAGAACCATCCTTTGTTTTGAAAACAAAGAGAAATTAGCTGGACATGTGACAAACAGACAAAAACTCCAAATAATGAAAACTTGCTCCGAAAAAAAACAAAAATCCCCATTATTAGTATGCCTGGGGAGATCACATCTACTAAGCAGCTGGGCTCGGCTGGTCTCCAAAGATAAGCGGGAGGAGGGAAGAAAAGGCTGTTAGAGAGATGGTGCTGCTGATACCCGGAAGAAAGCCACCCTCTTGATAATTGGCTAAGATTTTAAAATTAAAATACTGCTCATTTGGCTGACCCAGAATTGCAGAACTACAAGTGCAGGGAAATTTTCCTTTAGTGGGAATGAAGTCTCTGGGCAGAAAAGATGGGCTCCAGACGCCTCTTTTGAAGTTGAGCAAAAACTATTGCTGAGCTGTTCTGAAAGTATCTTCCACCTCTGGACCAACAGCCTCACACTGGTGGCACCAAGAGTGGAGGCAGCATTTTCAGTTTGCATTTTCATCTGTGCATTTTCAGTTTGCTGCTGAATACTGCCTGAACTCAACTAAGAGGAAGCCAGAGACCTGTGGCCCCTTCTCAAGGAGCTGCACAAGACATTGACAGAAATCAAAGAGATAAAGATCCCATCCATAAGTGACTTCTTAATTTTCTGTAACATATTTGCCTGTGATTTGTGTAAACATGGTTTCTGAAAACTAGGATCACAAGCAGTCCTTGGGAAGTCGAAAAGTTGAGGAAGACAAACCTAGAGCTTTGAAAAAAATGTGTGTGTGTGTGTGTCTGTGTGTGTGTTTTAAAGGAAGAAATTTTTTCTGCTAACCTTCCACTCTAACATACCCCCAACCCCCCCGCTGGCAGACATTGTTAATCAATCATGGCTGTCATTCCCACTGAGCCCAGATGTGGCCAGAATCCTCAACATCTCATTCCAGGTAGTCACCACCAATCAATGCAAGTTAGCATGCATGATGAGCACTACGCTCTCCATCTGAATAATTTGAGATTAGACAGAACTTCCAATCCAAGCATTTGCCAAGAGTTCTATGAGGGGAGGCGAACAGTGTTGGCCACCCTCCCAACACCCATTTACCCTTCCTCTGAAAGCCCCAGTTTTGCTCAAGTAGCTACTCCCTCCTTTACTCAGCCACGTACCTCAAAGGAGATAAACCCCCAGTTCTCTTCCCAGGACGTAAGTTATGTCTGGTCCTAGCCAATCACAGTAATCCATTTCCTCTGCCAGTGATGGGTTAGGATTGTGACACTATGCTGGGCAATGAGACTCGAAGGGAGGACTTGGGGAAGTCTCTTGAGAAAGGTTTTCTTTTCCCAAGGAATGAAGGGAAACAAAAAGAGGGAGGAGAGGAGAAGATGAGAGGAAAGCAGGACCTCTCTTCTTAAAGACATCCATATTTGGATGTGGTACCAAGACCATCTTCCTACCAAGGGAAAAGCAAGGCTGAAAGATAAGCCATTATGCAAAGATTGTCAGAGAAAAATGACAGAAAGAAAATACCTGGGTTTTTCACCTACTTCAGGACTTTTAATTATGGGAGATAAGGAATCCTCTCTACTGTTTAAACAAGCTGAATTAGAGCTTTTGTTTATTGCCACTGAAAATATTCCCAATTAATACATAGGAGGGGCTCTGTGCAGCTGGGCAGAGAAGAATGCTAGAGAGGAGACCAACAGCCACAAACACCGTTTCTGACGTCAGTAAGCAAGGGGCCCCTCATGACCTCAGTTTGAATTCTGGATCAAACCAGGCCAGATATTTAGGAAAATCCCAACTAAGAACAGAGCCAGAACCATAGCCCAGGACGTTGAAGACTGGTCCCCAGGTTCCATAAGTGAAGATAAAGTAAGTGGGGAGGAAGAGAAAGGGACTAGCATCCCACAACCAATTGTGTATACCAAGTTCTCTTTTCACTTAATGTTTCTTACAACCTTATGAGGTAGGGTGATGATCCTGATTCTGGAGATGAGGAAGCACAGAGAGAGGTTACCAGGGGATCAACAGCAGACCTGAGGTTTTGTCCTGGGTCTGACTTGGAAGTTCAACCTCCTTCTACTATATCATGAAACCAACATTGAGTTTCACCTGGTTCTAAAACTCCAAACTTGAGCGTCTTCAATACCCCAACCAGCTACAGGATTGGCCTGGTTTAGGACTAACGCTGCTGGTGAGGGCTTTGGCTTCCTGGGGACGAAGCAGAATTTGGGACCAGAAGCCAGATCCATCACATAATGGTGAGTGTAGGACCCAGATCCCCTGTTGGGCTCTGTCACCAGAAGCAAGAAACACTGGCCCCTCAGACTGCTGTTCGTAGTGATGCATGAAGGAGCAGCCTGGGATTGCCCCTGCCCGCAATCTGCATGTCAGTTTTCAATGTGGAGTAGCCACCAACCAGACACCACAGGGCCATGAGTTTACTGAGAAGAGAACCAATGTTCAACAGCGAGAGAGAAGTGAACACATAGATGTGGAGTCAGAAAGTTGGGTATTCATTATGTATTAGTTTCCTGTTTTTGCTGTGAAAGGAAAATAAATCTCGGGGACCCCAAATCACTAAGCCAAAGGGAGAAGTCAAGCTGGGAACTATGTCAGGAAGACCTGCCTCCTATTCTATTTCTAACTAAGATAGCTACAAAGATAAAAAAGCTACAAGGAAATTCCTTCTGGACAAAGGACGGATGGAACTCAAAGTCATCCCTCTACTCACATGAGACAAATGTGTATCTGACTGCTTCCTTTGACCTATTGTTTCACTAAGCCAGACTAAGGCATAAGTGACTATTCCTATAAATTGTATATTCAGTAAAAGGCTAATCAGAAGCTCAAAAGACTGCGACCATTTGTCTCTTACCTACCTATAACCTGGAAGCCCCCGCCCCATGTTGAGTTGTACCAGCTTTCCAGACAGAATGAATGTACATCTTACATATACTGATTGATGTCTCAGGTCTCCCTAAAATGTGTAAAATCAAGCTATGCCCCGACCACCTTGGGAACATGTGTCAGGAGCTCCTGAGGCCACGTCACAGGCATGTCCTTGATCTTGGCAAAATAAACTTTCTAAATTGACTGAGATCTGTCTCAGACATTTTGGATTCATACTGCCATGATAAATTACCACAAACTTAGTAGCTTCTAGGAATACAAAGTTATTCTCTTACAGTCTGGACGTCAGGAGTCCAAAATGGGTTTCACGGGGCTGAAACCAAGGTGTTGGCAGGGCTGCAAACTCTCAGGAAGCTCTTAGAGGGGAATGCATTTCCTTGCCTGTTTGGCTTCCAGAGCTGCATTCCTTGCATCCCTTGACTGATAGCCTCTTCCTTCATTCTCAAAGCCGCAGATTGGCAGCTTCAAATCCCCCTCTGCTTCCATTGCCACCACATCACCTTTTCTCTCCCTTGCAGTCAAATCTCCATTTTACAAAGACACTTGTGGTTACATTTAGGGACTTATCCATATAACTTAGGATTATCTCTCCATCTCAAAGTCCTCAATCACATCTACTAAGTCCCCTTACCATTCCTGTAATGGCGCAATGGGTTTGTCTTGCCCATTGTCCAGACAGAGCTGATTTATCATAACGGGGAAACTGCAATAGAGAAGGAGATTTGCACACATACAGCCAGTTAAATGGGAGAATGGAGTTTTATTATTACTCAAATCAGCCTCCCCCGAAATTAGCAGGCTAGAGTTTTTTAAAGAGAATTTGTGGGGATGGGGTGGCTATGGAATGGGTGTTGCTGATTGGTTGAGGATACAATCATAGCGGTACGGAAAATGGCCCTTATGCATGCTGAGTGACTTCTGAGTGGAGCCACAGGACCATGAGTGGGTCTCAGTGGAACCATCAGTGGTTAGAAATACAAAAAACTACCCTGAAAAGACATCTCAAAAAGCCAATCTTAGGTTCTACAATACTGATGTTATCTGCAGGAATAATCAGGAAAGTTGCAAATCTTGTGACCTCTGGAATAATGGCTGCTAATAGTTTATGTCTACATCTTAGCAGAATTCAGGTTCCTCACATGCTCCTAATCTAGTAGTCCTTCATTAGCTTGGCAGGTCCAGATGAGGCCATCCAGTTGTCAGAAATGCAAAAACCTGAAAAGACATCTCAAAAGGCCAGTCTTAGGTTCTACAATAGTGATGTTTTCTTCAGGAGTAATTGGGGAAGTTGCAAATCATATGACCTCTGGAATAATGGCCGGTAATTATTCAAGCCCCACTCATCCTAACTTGGTGGACTTTCATTAGTTTTGTAAGAACAGACTAGTTTTGGGGAAGGGCTATTATTTAAACTATAAACTAAGTTTCTCCCAAAGTTAGCTTGGCCCACACTCAGGAATGAGCAAAGACAGCCAACCTGTGAGGCTAGAGACAAAATGGAATCAGCCATGTCAGATTTCTCTCAGTGTCATCATTTTCTCAGTTATAATTTTTGCAAAGGCGATTTCAATATCCTACCACCCAGCTTTCCGAGGGCACTTTAAAAAATGATCCCGCTAAATATACAATCATGTCATCTGCAAAGAGGGACAATTTGACTTCCTCTTTTCCTAATTGAATACCCTTTATTTCTTTCTCCTTCCTGATTGCCCTGACCAGAACTTCCAACACTATATTGAATAGGAGCGGTGAGAGAAGGCATCCCTGACTTGTACCAGTTTTCAAAGGGAACGCTTCCAGTTTTTGCCCATTCAGTATAATATTGGCTGTGGGTTTGTCATAAATAGCTCTTATTATTTTGAGATAAGTCCCATCAGTACCTAGTCTATTGAGACCAACCCCATTGTCTGAGCCCAAAATCTCCTTAAGCTGATAAGCAACTTCAGCAAAGTCTCAGGATACAAAATCAATGTGCAAAAATCACAAGCATTCTTATACACCAATAACAAAGAGCCAAATCATGAGTGAACTCTCATTCACAATTGCTTCAAAGAGAATAAAATACTTAGGAATCCAACTTACAAGGGATGTGAAGGATCTCTTCAAGGAGAACTACAAAACACTGCTCAACAAAATAAAAGAGGACACAAATAAATGGAAGAACATTCCATGCTCATGGATAGGAAGAATCAATATCATGAAAATGGCCATACTGCCCAAGGCAATTTATAGATTCAATGCCATCCCCATCAACCTACCAATGACTTTCTTCACAGAATTGGAAAAAACTACTTCAAAGTTCATATGGAACCAAAAAAGAGCCCACATTGCCAAGACAATCCTAAGCAAAAAGAACAAAGCTGGAGGCATCACGTTTCCTGACTTCAAACTATACTACAAGCCTACAGTAACCAAAACAGCATGCTACTGGTACCAAAACAGAGATACAGATCAATAGAACAGAACAGAGCCCTCAGAAATAATACCACACATCTACAACCATCTGATCTTTGACAAACCTGACAAAAACAAGAAATGGGGAAAGGATTCCCTATTTAATAAATGGTGCTGGGAAAACTGGCTAGCCATGTGTAGAAAGCTGAAACTGGATCCCTTCCTTACACCTTATACAAAAATTAATTCAAGATGGATTAAACACTTAAATGTTAGACCTAAAACCATAAAAACCCTAGAAGAAAACCTAGGCAATACTATTCAGGACATAGGCATGGGCAAGGACTTCATGACTAAAACACCAAAAGCAATGGCAACAAAAGCCAAAATTGATAAATGGGATCTAATTAAACTAAAGAGCTTCTGCACCTCAAAAGAAACTACCATCACAGTGCACAGGCAACCTACAGAATGGGAGAAAATTTTTGCAATCTATCCATCTGACAAAGGGCTAATATCCAGAATCTACAAAGAACTTAAACAAATTTACAACAAAAAAATCAAACAACCCCATCGAAAAGTGGGTGAAGGATATGAACAGACACTTCTCAAAAGAAGACATTTATGCAGCCAACAGACACATGAAAAAATGCTCATCATCACTGGCCATCAGAGACATGCAAATCAAAACAACAATGAGATACCATCTCATACCAGTTAGAATGGCGATCATTAAAAAGTCAGGAAACAACAGGTGCTGGAGAGGATGTGGAAAAATAGGAACTATTTTTATACAGATCCTATTTAGGATCTACATGAAGCTGGAAACCATCATTCTGAGCAAACTATCGCAAGGACAGAAAACCAAACACTATATGTTCTCACTCATAGGTGGGAATTAAACAACGAGAACACTTGGACACAGGAAGGGGAACATCACACACCAGGGCCTGTCGTGGGGTGGGGAAAGGGGGGAGGGACAGCATTAGGAGATATACCTAATGTAAACGACGAGTTAATGGGTACAGCACACCAACATGGCACATGTATACATATGTAATAAACCTGCACGTTGTGCACATGTACCCTAGAACTTAAAGTATAATAAAAAATATGTAGCTATTAAAAATTTAAAAAATAAGAAAAAGATCCTGCTATGCATAATGAGCCTAGCACATAGTTGGAACCAGTGAATAACAAGGATGAAGATGTGAATGAGAATAGCAGAAACAATAACAAAATCTACTGAGCACTCGCTACATGGCAGACACAGTTCTAAGTTCTCTACATGGATTTCTCATTTAATCTTCACAATTCTCACAAAGAGAAATAAGTACTAATGCCAATCCTTTTTGCAGATGCAGAAGCAGGCAAAGGAAGTTAAGCAATTTGCCCAAGGTCACACGCCAGAAAGTGTTTCTATTGGTTTCCTGGTATGCAAATTACCACAAAACTAAGTATCTTAGAACAATAAAAATATATTATCTCACAGTTCTGGAGGCCAAACATCCAAAACTCAAGGTATTAATAGGGCTGTGCTCCTTCTGAGAGCTCCAGGAGAGGATCCCACCTTGCTTCTTCCAGCTTCTGGCATTGCCAGCAATTCCTGGCATTCCCCGGCTTGTAAATACATCATTCCAGTTTCTGCCTCCATCATCTCATGGAGTGACATCTCATGGGATAGAGCAAGCACTTCCTCATTCTCGCAGATTCAGGAGTAGCCAGTGTACAGGAATGGTCATAGACAGTCCCAGATCAAATGATCCTGGGAACCGCCCCTACCCCCAACCCCCAGCACCCAGTACAGACGAGCCCATGTTTCACTCAAAACTGATTTGACTTCAAACTAAAGCTGAGCCCCATTATCATTACTTAATGTCAGTGTAACAGCAGTGTGATACCCGGGCTTTCACACAATATATCATCCCTGCAGACTTGGATGCTAGCAGGACACCGTAGAAATACAGCTTCCCAACTTCCCAATGTGCTCACGGCCATCAATATTGATAGAGTGTCATCAATCAAATCACGCAGGCTTTTATATGCTCTCATTTTTAGCCTCGCCTCACCATGCATTATAATGGAATATTTAAAACCATGTACACATTTTGTCAAGGCTTCATGACCACTAAATGCTCTCTTGTTTGCAGCTCCAAATATTATTCATTACGTCTAGATAGGTGGTGTGCAAAAGTAAAGAAACCATGCAGGAACGGAGTGTGATTAAGAACGGGGAGGGAGAAAAACACCATCAAAGTCTGCTGTCTGATTCAGGCCTACATTCCAGACCAAGAATGTCAAGCACAAACTCATGCTCCCTCCCACCTGTTTCCTTCTGAGCCACTGGAGTCAAGATACGTGGCTCAAATACTAGCCCTCATGTGAGCTTGGACAGGCTGCTTTACCTCCAGTACCCTTGCTGTCCTTATCTGAAAAAAAGGAGACAATTCTACCCTTGGAAGTTTTCAAGGACTTCAGCCAAGGCTTGCACATCTCTGTGTTTTTGCTCAAGAATGACCTTTCCTGTGAAGCCCTCTCTGGCTATCCCTTTGTAAAGATTTATTTGCCACCTTCCCCCAGTACTAGTCATGGACGATCCCCCTTAGCATCCTCCATCTTTCATGGCACTCCCAACCTGCTTAGACTCTCTGATTCACTTAAATGTTTTATTTATTATCTGTTTCCTTACACCAGAATGTAAGTCCAACAAAGGCAGGATGTGTCTGTTTCATTCACTGATTTACCTCTGCGCTAGGCGGTTCTTGCGGCGCTGTAAAGGAATGCCTGAGACCAGGTGATTTATAAAGAAAAGAAATTAATTGGCTCATGGTTCTGCAGGCTGTACAAGCTTGGCACCAGCATCTGCTCAGCTTCTGCCCAGCATCTGCCCAGCTTTCTGGGAAGTCCTCAGGGAGCTTTTACTCATGCTGGAAGGTGAAATGGGGACAGGCGCATCACACAGTGGGAGCAAGGGCAAGGTCTGGGAGGGAGGTGCCACACACATTTAAACAAACAGATCTTGCAAGAACTCACTTACTATTGTTAGGACAGCACCAAGAGGATGGCGCTAAATGTGGGAAATCAATCCACCCTCATGATCCAATTGCCTCCCACCAGACCCACCTCCAACACTGGGGATGACATTTCAACATGAGATATGAAGGAACAAATATCCAAACAATATCAACCCCCAAAGCCCAGAACAGCAGGAGGCACACAGTAGCTCTGCCAATAACTGACTGTTGAGTAAATAAATATCGTACCTGCCAGCCCTAATGGTCATTTCACACTTGCTGGATAACAGACAAACTGAGAAAGTCACCAATAGCACCACATGTGTATTTAGCACCTACTCTGTGAGGGCCTCTGCTGTGAGCCCTGTGTGCATTATCTCCAGCAAGCCTGAGGGGCAGGTGACAGTCTCCCACTTTATAAACAAGGACTCCCGGTTGTTCCTGTTCTGAACCTGGTGCATAGTCATGGTGTGACCTTGAGCAGGTCACTGACTCCGAGGCCTGTCCTCTCCTCTACAGCCCTTTTCTGTGCATCCCCACAGGACTCGGTCCTTGTCCCTTTATCACAGGGACCACACTCTATCATAAATTCTCTCTCCTGAATCACTTGAGCTCAATGCAGGGGGAGAGACCATGACTTACCCTTCTACGAGTCTCCATCACCTGATAGTTGCCCTGTGAATCTGAGGTGAATACATTAATACAAATAAAATGAAGAAGGCAAACTAGAATCAGGGATAGCAAGTATTGATGTGTGCATTCCCATTCCTCCTCCCTCAGCCCTGCTCACAGACTGTCTGACAAAGCGAATAAACCCTTTCTTTCTAAGCATGGACTCAGCCTCAAAATCCTTCTTTACGCACCACGTTGAGCAGCTGTTTCCCAATCCACAAGAGTTGGCACAGCAAACTTATCAATCATCTCTGACATGACAATGGTTGCTGCATCACCCAACCCACTTCCTCTTCTTCATGGGCCTGCAGTCTACATCTTCCACCCTTCCTTGCAGTGGCTGTGCCAGTGCAACAGAGTTCTAGCCAACAAGATGTGTGTGCAAGTGATGAGCAGCTCATCCAGGTCTGCCTTGTCCATCCCTCCTATGAGGGATCTTCTGTGCTTCTTTCTCCCCTCTATGGATTGATGAAGACAAACACCATGATCTTAAAGGCTTCATGTTGAAGACAGTGGAGCAACAGGGTAAAAGAAGCCTGGAGCTCCAAATCACTGCTTGGAGGAAAGCCATCTGCCATCCAGGAAGTTGCATTTACAAAAATGAGAATTGAACACTAAACATTTGGCAACCTACAATTTGAGCTTGTATGTTACAGAAGCCAGCTTTACCCTAATAAACCTAGGTTACTGTTTTTTTCAAAATATCTTTTTCAGCTCCAGATTCCTACAATTCAAAAACTTTTCATTTGTTATATAGTGTCCGAAGGTACTTTCTAACATCTCAATGAGGCATGTGCACTTCTGTTTGTATTTATATTATTGTATAGGGTACTGTGTACTCAGCAAGTACAACCTTTAACTCTAGGAAATACTTAAAGGATTGCAAGATAGAATTTCTGTCTTCAAACCACAGGTCATCTCCTTGGGAAAATGAGACATATCCATGTAAAATGGTTGACTATCCCAAAGCACTACCTGAAGAAATGTAGCAACAAATGACATAATCAATAGGAAGTAATACAACACCTATACATCATTACCCATGTACCTCGGGCAAGTTACTCACCCCCACCCATCACCAACAACCCAGAACATAACTTCTTCCTTGAACAACACAGCACAACAATTGCACCCACCTCACTGGGTTGGGGAGACTTTAGGTAAATATAGGTGATGTGCATATAGCAGCAACTGGCCCAAAGTAAGCTTTCAATAAATGTTTGCTTCAATTTTGACAGGAGAGATAGCTAGCTATGGAAGGGAATGGCAGAAGGTATGTGGTGATGGCTAAGAGAGGATGTGATAAGGGAAAGAAGTAGGATCAGGAATGCATATGTTATGTTCAGGAAGCAGTGAGGAAATCAGTCTGGATATGTGACAGAGATTTCAAACAAGAGATCACTCTTACCAGGACTCGATTCTGCAGAATAAGAAATCAGTACCTTAACCACACTTTTGGAAAAGTGCATGATAAACGAAGGAAGGATAGATATGTGGATGAGTAGATGGAGAGATCAAAGAAAGAGAGAGAAAGGCAAGAAGAGAAAAAGAAAGACTGGTCAATCGGGATTTGACAGTATGGCACAGTGGAAAGAATTCATGCTTCAGAAGGAGAAAGACCTGGATAGAGGTTTCGACTCTGCTTCCTATTGTTGTATGATTTTGAATTAATTGCCTTCTCTCAGTAGCTGCAGCTTCCTACTTTAAAGCGGGGGTCACAGTCCCCATATCACATAGCCACATGGTGAGAAATAAATGAGGTAAACGATAGGAAGCCCGGCACACTGTCTGGCCATGGGGTAAGTTCAGTCATGCGACACTATGAAAGCCCTGCAGTGGAGATCAAGTTGCACTCAGCAAATATTTGCCTCTCCCTCCTCGTCTATTTAGTTAGTGAAAGCCACAGTTGCCTCTACAATAGCAATGAAAGCTCGGTTCCCAGACCGGCTCTGGCTAGGACTCAAGCTGGCAGTCAATGGAAGCAGGAACAAAAGCCCAGAAAACGCCACCATTGCACAAAGTCCTGGGCAATGTTGCCACCCTCCACACATCTCTATTAGGGAGGAGGCTTGGGATGCAAGCTAGGGTCTTAACAGTTTCCCCTCATTCTGCTGAGGAGAAATGTGCCCTGGTCTGAGAAAGCTTCTCTCCAATAAACATTCCTCTACCTGGCTCTGTTTACCTGCCATCCTCCGTCATACAAGAGCAAACTAGTCTTCACAATTTCCCAATCACACTGAAATTTCTGCTCTGGATTTTCTGCGCTTAAAGGGGTGGGGAGTGAAAAACTTGTCTAGTAGAGTTAGGGGTAACCGTCACAGAAATATATCATCAAAAACTGTGGTGGACCATTCATGGTGTTCTCATCAAACAATTGACTTAGTTGATTAAAAAAAAAAAAAAGTCCTCTTTGCAGAAAGCAAGAGTGAGTTTTCCAGCCATGAGGCACCCACTGCTGCCCTACAAAGGAAGAGGTTGTGAGAGAGAGGACTGTTTTGGCCACTTTCCCTCAAACATAGCAGAAAATGTGTCCTGCTGAGGGCATCAGACCCAGCCTATGGTTCTGCAGTGGTAACTCTCACAGCGGGTGGCCAGAGGCCAGCACTGGTCGTTTCTTGATGGTTTGTTTGTATCCCTGAAATGCCAGGAGCGTTGGGAAAATGATGGTGGGAGGGAAAAGGACAGAAATGGGAGAAAAGCAAAATGTTCTTTAAAAGCATTAAAAAAAAAAAAAACCCAGTAACCTGAGTGGGAAAGCAAACATGAGGCACTGCTAGCCACAGAAGTGAGGCTGAGGCTGGAAATGGGAAAACTGTCACAGCCTAACAGAGCCAGGACTCTGGAGGTCACACTTTGAGAACTTATGGCTTCTGCCCAACAACTGTCTTTGCGGGGCCACCCACATAACCTGCAGGGCCCAGTGCAAATGAAATGAAACGTGGGGCCTCTTGTTTCAAAAGCAGAAAAACATGTTGTTAATGATACTGAAATGTACAGTTTTTTCCTTTCTTCCACAATCTTTCTCTCAACTTGTCATGATGCTGTTTATTTGCTATTTAACACCATTCTAAGTAAAAAATTTAAAAATTAACACATTAACTTGTTAACATGAATTTTACCATCATCTTTGAATTGTGCAGTGTCAGTTTTAAATGCACATATAGGAGAATTTAACTAATGTGCAGAATCACAGAAATGACACAATTTGAAAAAAAAGAAATTATACAATTTGTATTCCACAGCTCATGCATGCATATATATTATACTCTTACCAGGACAGTGAAATTGTTGCACAAAACTGATTCAACTGCTTTATTTCACTTCTTATATTCTAGGAACACATTCTATCAACACTATCCACCTTCACCTTACTATAAGGAAGGACTGGAAGGAAAAGAAACTCTGTGTTGCCCAATCTGTCCCATTCCTTCTATGTCCTCATTTTCAGCATAAGTAGTCACCTCATGCAGGGAAGTAACATGAGTAAGAAAGAATCTGATAGGGTTCCTTGGTCGTTTGTTTCTTAGAATGCCATCCTCTTCCTTCGGTGTTCAAAGCAAGTCCTGGTTTGAAAGGAAAGCATTGATCCTAGGGTGGTCAGCACCTTTGGTTACTGAGTCCTAGACATAACACACTTACTTTGTACTCACTTTAAGTCTCTCTAAACTTCCATGCATTATGGGCCCATTGGAATTCTGTGCTCATGGGGCATTGAAAAATGCTATATGCAAACAGGGTGGCAAGGATTGCAGGACATACATATTGTGTGTCTTCTGCTCACAATCCTACATACAGTAACTCTTATCATTGTAAAAGAAATGAGAGGGAGATATGGGACATACAAACACAGAGGAGAGACACAAGAAAAGAAACCATGTAAAGGTAGAGGCATATATTGCAGTGATGTGGCTACAAGCCAAGGAACATTAAGATCCACCAGAAGGTAGAATAGGCTAAGGAGATTCTCCCTAAAACTCAGGAGGAAGTATAGTCCCGCTGACACCCCTATTTCAGACTTTTGGCCTCTAAAACTGTGAAACAATACGTTTCTGTTGTTTTAAGCCACTAAATTTATGGCAATTTGTCTTGGCATCCCTTGGAAACAAATACACTCCTATCGCAGCTTCCTTCCCCATCCCACGTAACCCCCTCACATCCATCATGCTATTGTATTGAAAGCACTTAGCACAGTAGGTGGCACATTTTTTTTTTCTTAAATCAATGATAACTTAGATATAAGCTCTAAAAGCACAAGGACCTTTTCTATCGTGACTTCTCTTCATCCTCAATGCCTAGCACACTGAAGGGGCTCAAAATGTAGCTTTCAAGTCAGCAAATGAATTAAGGATGTTTCCTTTAAGATGGAATGTAAGTTTGACTTTCACCCAACAAATTCTCCCAATACGCTATGAGATAATTAAACATATTTATATAGATCATCAATAGGGCTCTTGGGGTTTGTTCACTTATCCATTCAATAGCTATCCAATAGCCTTCTATAATCCTGGCCCTATTCAAGGTGCTACAGCTGCAGTGGCAAACAGGAGAGGTGAAGCCTCTGCTTTTGTGGAGTTTATGTTTGAGAGATGGAGACAGATGATATACAAGGAAACAAACAAGACTGTAGTAAGATTTCAAGTCGTGATGACTACTGTACAATTTTTTAAAAGGGTTGATATAAGGACAATGGTGGGAAGGCAGGAGCTATTTTGGACAGAGTAGTCATGAAAAGGGTCTCTAAGGTAATGACACTTTAGTTGAGACCTGAATGAAGGGTGTGTAGACATGAGGGAGAAAATACCTCAGACAGAGAGTGCAGCAAGTGAAAAGATCTGCAGCTTGGCAAACTGGAAGATGGACAAGAATTCTATGTAATTACACGTAGTCCCTGAAGGGAAACTGAGCAAATGGTGTCAAAAAGAAAAGTAGGAACCAGGTCATGTAGGTTTCATAGCAATGCTGAGTTTATTTTTTTCTGAGAAAAGACATTGGAGGATTTTAAGCAGGGGGTGACTTGATCTGTTCTAAGTCTCTCTGGCTGTTGCGTATAGAACAAACTGAAGGGAGTAAGGGGAGAGAATAGAATCAGAGATCTGTTGAGTTTTTACAGCCATCCAGTCAAGAGGGTACGATAGCATGGACAAGGTCTTTGTTGAATGAATTTTAAAAGGAGCAGCCCTGCACACATGTATGTTCTATAAAAAACAGATTTTAAACAAAGTTGTGCTAATTTAACCTACCTAGACTATATTAGTGATGGGTGTTCAGTGAATACTTGTAGATGGATAGCACAATCCCGATGCCCAGCTCATTGACAGTCAGGCTGACTTAAGACTTGCCAAAAGCTGATACTTCCAGCTGCATCAAATACCACAAAAAGGTGAAACACAGCATACTTCAATGTTGGCTTCATCTGTCTCTTGATATCCAGTGAGGTAAAAATGGCACCAAACTGGGCATAGAGACACATCCCCATAGTCTCAGCTACTTGGAAGGCTAAGGCAGGGGATCATTTGAGCCCAGGAATTCAAGGCTGTAGTGAGCTGTGACTGCACCCGTGAATAGCTACTGCACTCCAGTCTGGGCAACATAGTGAGATCTCATATGAAAAAAAAAACAAAATGGACACCTTTGCTCCTAGGATTGTCTGACCTATTATTCACCAGTAGCCAATCCAACTTATTTTAGCCCAGCTATTTCCAACCACAAATGGCAGAAAGGACAGGTAACATAAAAGCTCCTTGAATATAATATGCTGAAGATATTAGATGCTGATTTCTTGGTTGTGATCCCACCTGTTGGGGAATAGTGAGGAATAGGGTGAGGGTTTCACAGTACTGTTACTCATGAGATATGTGACCTGCCACATATGTCCTCTGTAACTGGCTCAGAGTTGAATGATTAAAGAAATATTTTGTACTGGGCTTGAGATTCATAAAGCTTAGAAGGCAGGCTTTAATATTCCTACAAATTTCCTGAATAGTATGTTAAAACTACACTCAACAAGCCTCTTTCTGAAGGGATATGGTAAGACCATGAGCTGTTGTTTCCCTCTCTAATGTTTTCTAGAATCTTTCCCAGAGTTTATACTTCAATATTCAGGCAAGTTAGGGACCCACCTGGGACTAAGTGATACTTTACCCTTATACCTTGCTAAATGACATGGTCATTCTGCAAAAACAGGCCAACAGGATACAATTTCACATCCCACAGAAGGAATCCAGGTTTTAGAGGAATACATGATCCAACACTCTACGTAATAACAACTTACTGAATAAATGAATGAATGAGTGCTGTTAGTTCACCGCCTCTGAGACCAAAAGTGTAACCTGAGGTTCTCTCAGCTGCTTATATTTCCAGCATCTGAGCACACTCATTATCAATAGATGCTTGAAAAATGATGAGGTTACAGAATTAGCTGAATTCATTCATGACCCAGATTTCCATATAACCTCAAGAAATCAAATGGAACTGAATACAAATGTTTGTGGAAATAACAGACATATATAATAATATATTTGCATTCCCTGCTTCTGGGCCAATTGACCTTGTTTATAGAGTATGATCCCATCACCTTTTAGTCACAGCTAAAGGGCTGAAGATGCTACCTGATCCAAGAATAGTCCTTCATAGATTGAGTTGAGCCAGTGTGTTCCTCCATTGGGAATCTCATTAAAGAGGCACAGAGTCTGTTATTAGTTGGCAGAAGATACTTGAGGACATAATGGAGGGAAAGTACTGGAAAACTACAGCCCATGGGCCAGATCTGTCCTGCTGCCTATTTTTATTAATAAAATTTTACTGGAACAGCATCATGCCCATTTGTTTACAAATGATCTCTGCATTCATGCTACAATGGCAGAGCTAGATCATTTAAACACAGATTTTATGTTCCATGAAGTAAAAAATATTTACTATCTGGTTCTTTACAAAAAGTTTGCTGACCCTTTCTCTTAGTCAGTTTTATGCATCTATAACAGAGTATCACAGACTGGGTAATTTATAATAAACATAAATTTATGATGCATGCACTTGCTCTCCCCAAGGGACCAAGGACAAGCCTGCTACGTACTACCACCCATGGTAACCCCACCCATACAATTGGCAGAGCATACACTTCTCCAAGGACTGAGGACCAGTTAACCAAATGCCTAGCAAAACTGTGCCACTACCTCCATAAATGCCCACAGTCTACATCACTGAGGAACTCAAATATGTCACTGATTTGATTAAAGTCAAAGAAATCACATGAAGACTACACTCCTGTGTCCACCAAGAACAAAAGGTGAAGCATCCTACCCAATTGACACTATAGGCCACATCTACCTATGACAAATACTCCATAAATTTGGAAGAGGTAACTGTTCTACCAGATATACAAATGTCAAAATAGGGACACAAGAAACATTTAAAAGCAAGGACACATGACAGCTCCAAAAGAACACAATATTATCCAATAACAGACTCCAAAGAAAAGAAAATCTATAGAATGCCTGGAAAAGAATTCAAGATAATTACCTATAGGAAATGCAGTGAGGTACAAGAGAATATAGATAGACAATTCAATGAAAGTAGGAAAGCAATTCAGGATCTGAATGAGAAATTCAAAAAACATGGTATCATAACAAAAAGACAAACATAAACCTTGAGCCTGAATAACTTAATGACAAAATAAAATAGGCAATTGAAAGCATCAACAATATACTAGATTGAGCAAAGGAAAGATTTTCTAGAAGACAGATCTTTGGAATTAACCCAGGAAGGAAAAAAAAAAATAAAAAAGAATAAAGAAAGCCTATGGGACCTATAGGACACCAAGAAGCAAACAAATATTTGTGTTGTGGGAATTCTAGAAGGAGAAGAAACAAGATAAGGTATAAGAACCCTATTTAGGCTGGTGCAATGACTCACACCTGTAACCCCAGCAATCTGGGAGGTCAAGATGGGAGGATTACTTGAGCTCAGGAGTTCAAGGCCAGCCTGGGCAACATAGTGAGACCTCATCTCTACAAAAACTCAGTCAGGTATGGCGGCATGAACTGGTAGTCTCAACTGCTCAGGAGAATGGGGTGGGAGAACTGCTTGAGCCCAGAAGGTCAAGGCTTCAGTGAGCTACAACTGTACCACCGCACTCCAGCCTGGGCAACAAAATAAGACATTGTCTCAAAAAAAATAAAAATAAAAAGCTTATTTAGTGAAATAATAGCTGAAAATTTCCCAAACCTTGGGAGAAATGTAAAATCCAGAATCAAGAGGCTTAATGACTCCTAAATAGATTTGACCCAAAAAAATTCTCTCCAGGGTATGTTATAGACAAACTTTCAAAAGTCAAAGATGAAGAGATAATTCTAAAAGTAGAAAGAGAAAAGCATCAAGTCACATATAAGCAAAGTCCCCATTCGACTAACCGCAGATTTATCAGCAGATAATCTTACAGGCCAGAAGAGAATGAAACAATATATCCAAAATGTTAAAAGGAAAAAAAAAAAACTATCAGATAAGAATACTATACCCAGCAAAACTAGCCATCAGAAATGAAAGAGAAATAAAGACTTTCCTAAATGAGCAAAAACAGAGGGAATTTATTATCACTAGACCAACCTTATAAGAAATGCACAAGGGAGTCCTACATCTGGAAGTGAAGGGATGATAACTACCATCATAAAAACATGTAAAAGTATAAAACTCACTGATAAACTATATATACAAATAAGAAAGAGAAAGTAATCAAATCTTATCACTAAAAAACTCTCCAAAGTACAAAAGAAAACAATACGAGAGGAGGAAAGTAACAGAAGATATACAAAACAACCAGAAAACAATTAACAAAATGACAGGAGTAAGTCTTCACCTATCAATAATAACCTTGAATGTAAATGAATTAAATTATCCAATTAAAATATATATACGGGCTAAATGGAGAAAAAAAATTCAACAATATGCGGCCTACAAGAAATTCACTTCACCTGTAAAGACACACACAATGAAAGGAAAGGGATGGAAAAACATTTAACACAAATGGAAACCAAAAACAAGCAGGAACCGCTACATTTATATCAGATAAAATAGACTTTAAGTCAAAAACTCTAAAAAGAGACAAAGAAAGTTGTTATATATTGATATAGGGATCAGTTTAGCAAGAGGATATTGTAAACACACAGGCACGCCATCCAGAGCACATGCATATATAAAGCCAATATTATTAGATGTAAAGGGAGAGACCACAGTGGAACAAAAATAGAAATTAGTAACAAGAGGAACTTTGGAAATTGTACACATATATCAAATAAATAACATGCTCCTAAATGACCAATGGGTCAACAAAAAAAAATTTCAAATGTCTTCAAACAAATGAAAATAGAGACACAACAAAATAAAACCTATGAGATACAGCAAAACCAGTACTAAGGGAGTAGTTTATAGCAATAAATGCCTATATCAATAAAGTAGAAAGATTTCAAATAAACAACCTAATGAGTCATCTCAAGGAACTGGAAAAGCAAGAAAAGCCAAACCCAAATTGGTAGGAGGAAATAAATAATAAAGATCAGAACAGAAGTAAGTGAAATTGAGACTAAAAAATGCAAAAGACCAACAAAATGAAACTTCTTTTATCTGAAAAAACAAAAATCAACAAGCCATTTGTTAGACTAAGAAAAAAGAGAGAGAAGACCCAAATAAAAAAAATCAGAAATGAAAAATAAGCCATTAAAAATAGTGCCACAGAAATACAAAGGATCATTAGAGACTATTGTGAACAACTACATGCCCACAAATTGGAAAACCTAGAGAAACTGGATATATTCCTAGACACATGAAATCTACTAAGATTAATCCAGAAAGAAATAGAAAACCTGGACAAAGCCATAACAAGTAATGAGATTGAATTAGTAATAAAGTCTCCCAACAAAGAAAAGCCCAGGACTAATGAGCTTTACTGCTGAATTCTACCAAACATTTAGAGAACTGACACCAATTCTCAAACTATTCCAGGAAATTAAAGGGGAGGGAATTCTTCCATACTCATTCTATGAGGCTGTCATTACCCTGATGTCAAAACCAGGCAAGGACACAACAAAAAGAAAACTACAGGCCAATAGCCTTATTAAATATAAATGCAAAAATCCTCAACAAAATACTAGCAAACCAAGTCCAACAGCACATCAAAAAGCTTACACAGCATGATCAAGTGGGATTCATCCTAGGGATGCAAGGATGATTCAATACATACAAATCAGAAAATATAAATCATCACACCAACAGAATGAAGAGCAAAAACCATATGATCATCTCGATAGCTGCAGAAAAGCACTGTTAAAACTCAGCATCCTTTCATGATTAAAAAAAATAAAATCTTTCAACAAATTAGGTTTAAAAGGAAGGCACCTCAACACAATAAAGAGCATCTAAGACAAACCCAGATCCAGCATCATAAGAACTGGAACAAGACAAAGATGCCCATTTTCATCACTCTTAGTCAACATATTACTGGAAGTCTTAGCCTGAGAAATTAGGCAAGAGAAAGAAATAAAGCGCATACAAATTGAAAAGGAAGAAATCAAATTGTCTGTTTGCAGACAAAATGATTTTATATACAGAAAACCCTAAAGACTCCACCAAAAAATCTTGGAACTGATCAAAAAATTCAGCAAAGTTACAGGATACAAAATCAACATAGAAAAATCAGTCGTATTTCTATACACCAACAACTAGCTAATAAAGAAATCAAGAAAACAATCCATTTACAACAGCTACCAAAAATGGCATATATACACAATAACCAAGGAGGTGAAAGATTCTACAATAAAAACTATAAAACAATGATGAAAGAGATTGAAGAGGATATAAAAATGGAAAGACATCTCATGTTCATAGATTGAAAGAAATAATATGAAAATGACCATGCTATCCAAAGTGATCTACAGATTCAGTGCAATCCCCATCAAATAAACAATGTCAATCTTCACAGAAATAGAAAAATCCTAAAATTTGTATGAAACCACACAAGACCCCAAATAGCCAAAGCAACCCTGAGCAAAAAGAACAAACCTGGAGGCATAATACTACTATGGCTCTAAATAGACCAATGGAACAGAATAGAGAGCCTAGAAATAAATCCATTTATTTACAGCCAACTGACTTTTGACAAAAGCATCAAGAACATACATTGAGGAAAAGACTGTCTCTTCAATGAATGGTGCTGGGAAAACCGGATATCCATATACAGAAGAATAAAGCCAGACCCCTATCTCTCACCATATAAAAAAATCAACACAAATGGATTAAAGATTTAAATGTATGACCTGAAACTACGAAACTACTAGAAGAAAACATAGAAGAAATGCCTCAGAACATTCATCTGGATGAAGATTTCATAGATAAGACCTCAAAAGCTGAGGCAACAAAAGCAAAAATAGGTAAGTGGGATTATATCAAAATAAAAAGCTTCTGTACAGCAAAGGAAACAATCAACAGGGTAAAGAGACAACCTGAAGAAGAGGAAAAAATATCTGCAAGCTGATCATTCAACAAGGGATTAATATCCAGATTATACAAGATACTAAAGTAACTCAACAGCAAATAACAATAATAACCAGATTTTTAAATGGGCAATTTAAATATCTATCTACGCAGATAGATATTTCTCAAAAAATACATAGAAATAGCCAATAGCATATTGAAAAATGCTGAACATCATTGATCACCAGGAAAATGCAAATCAAAGCTACAATGAAATATCATCTCACTCCAGTTAGAATGGCTATTATCAAAAAGACAAAAAAATAACAAATCTGACAAGGATGTGGAGAAAAGGAACTTGCCTTTTCCACTGTTGGTGGAAATGTAATGTAGTATAGTCATTATGGAAAATAGTATGGCGTTTCCTCAAAAATTTAAAAATAGAACTACCATATGACCCAGCGATTCCACTACTGGGTATACAACCAAAGGAAAGAAAATCTGTATGTTGAAGAAATATCTGCACTTGCATGTGCACTACAGCACTATTCACCATAGCCAAAATATAGAGCCAATCTAAGTGTCCATCAACAGGTGGACCAATAAGAAAATATGGCATATATACACAATAGATCAATATAAATCCATCCCCATACACTGAAAAGTTAAGACTTTCAAGAATGTTAAAGAGTTCTTTCAGGTCATATCTTGTTCCCTGAACTAGCATAGCAGCCCACTGACCACCCCTCAAGGACCAACGTACTGACTTTGTAACTTATGTGCAACAAACAGTCTTCAGAGGTGTCCCTGGAGTGAACATTACAGAAAGACCTTTATGTTTATCTATGCAAAAACCCAAGGAACTCTGAGTAATTTCTCTTGAGCCTTGTAAGCACCTCAGTCAGGACATTACAGAGGTGGAAGAGACCATGGGTGGGCCCTCCAAAGATTCTGGCTGCTTTGTAGTAAAGAAAACCAAAATGTTTCTCCCAAAAATGTTGAGGATTATTATATTAAAGACACTGAAAATGCAGGGGAACACATTGCCTCAGCTTTTATTTGCCTGATGACAGGACATAAATCCTTTCTTACTGGAGACAGCACTTGCTTATTGCCCTACGGAAGGCACCAGCAATTACCAGAGGAATCTGGGAACAGATTTTACTACCTTTCCATGTTTTCCCTGCCTTCTAAAAGACTGGAACTGCTCTCTCCTTTGTCTTGTCACTATGCTAAGATTTATTGCCCTTTGTTAAAATACTATTTAAGCAAGGACCCTAAGCTACTGCCTTGAGAGAGATACTTTTGAACTGAGGTCTCTCTCAAATGATGGGTATAGCACACATCCATAAACTTCTGCTGGTGTTTATCTTATTAATCTGACTTTTGTTTTCAGGGAAGTGTCTCAACTAAAGAATTTATCCGGGTAAAAAAAAAAAAAAAAGAAATTATTTTCTCCCCTTTGGTAGAAATTGTTCCCTTTGTCCATGACTACAGGAGGAACCACACACTAAGCAACTGTTCTTTCTTCCAGGCCTCATAGGAAAGACTTCAAGAACTGAGTTTCGTAAGCACTCAATCAACATCTATTGGGTACCAACTGTGTACCAACCAGTGTAGCTAGGGGGTCCTCAAGATCATCCCCAGGTTTAATGATTCACTAGAAGTACTCACAAAACTCAGAACACTCATTATACTCACAGTTATGGTTTATTGCAGCAAAAGGATACAGATTAAAATCAGCAAAGGAGAGAGTCACGTGGGAAAGGGTCCAGGAGAGAAGAGGCATGACAATTGTCCCAGGGGAGTTGTGCAGACAGTGTCTATGTCTCCCAGAAATGATGTGTGATAATACACACCCGAGTATTTGACAACCAGAAAAGCTCACCCAAGTCTTGGTGTTTTTATGGGAGGTCAGTCACGTAGATAGGGTAGACATGCTGTGTAGCTGACCATAGTCTCCAGCCCCTGCAGAAGTCAAGCTGACACTTTGTAGCCCAAGATCTCTCCCATAAATCACATTATCATCATAAGCTAACTGGAATGAACCAAGACCCCCAGATAAACAAAGACATGATATCAGGAAGGACATCCCAAGAGCTTACTGGTTACCTCCCAGGAACTGGGCAAGGACTAAATCTTCCTTTCAGCAAGTTTAATCCTTTACTACACAACCCGAGTGAGAAAGATGCCAGAGGAGAAGAAATGTGGACATGCCCTGAGACAACTTATCCTGTGGTTGGAAAAACAACAGCATGAAGGTCCTCAGTAAGCAGACCTCTGCTTACATCAAGCAACATGAACTTTGCCAAAGCCTGCAACTCTCCAGGACTCTGGCGTTCAAGGCATAGCACGAAAACTCTGGCCCTGCAAATAGCCCAGCACCTCCCACTTTGGCATGTCTTCCTGAATCTGTTGCAGTCATTCATTCACCAAGAACTTTCTAGCACCTACTATGTGCCAGGCTACATTCCAGGCACTGGGGATGCAGGAGTGAATACAACAGGCAAGTTCCTTATAGCCGCAGAGCTTGCATTCCAGGGTGACTTGGCAGAACAGACAAAAATCCAAGTAAACAGAAAGCAAGTTCACTGCCAACACTGATTAACGCATTAAAATAGCTTCAAGTGAGAGAAACTGGTACAAAAGTAATGCTTTGAAAAGGTAAAATGTAGCTGGGAGGACTGAATTATCAGAAGGGATGAGTCTTTCTGATTATCAGAAGGGATGAGAGAACAAACAGCGAGAGCCTATGCCTGGGACAGAATAAGACTATGCACTGATGAGAACACAGCAGGCTCGGTGCACAGAGAAGGTCCTAGAGTGGATCCAACTACTATGATCAAGTCTTCACGTCAGCTCTTGCCACTAACAAAGAAGCCTATTGGAGGTCAGTGTCAAGAAGACAAAAAATTGTCTTTAAAATAGAGGTTGGCTTTAGGGAGATGGGGAAGAATGAATTCATGAAAATTAGGGGTTTTTTAAAATATTCCACATTTTAGGGAGTGGGTCTTTTGAACTGAGGTAAAAGTCATGCAACATAAAATTAACCATTGTAAGGTGAAAAATTCAGTGGCGATTAGCACATTCACAATTTTTTGCAACTACCACCACTACCTAGCTCCAAAACATTTTTATCACCCCAAAAGAAAACTCCATACAAGTTATTGTGCGATGAATGAGTGGCTTGAGCTGGGCCTGGCTAGACAGGAAAGGTAGAAGAAGCAAGTTTTAAGCACATGTTGGGCATAGGCAGGCAAGAAGGTGGACAGAGCTGTCATGCAGCAGCCTGGGGTCTGCAGTTGGGCCTATCAAGAACATGTGTGGTTCCTTTGGCCCTTACCCAGCCTATTCTGCCTTAATATCAGAGAGTGCGCCTGGGGAAGAATCAGCAGATTATTTCCTGCCCTGGGAAAAGTATATATGTATATTGGGAGGTAGAGATTGACACAGGGTGGAAATGTAAACATTTTTGTAAAAGAGACTGTCCAGGAAGAGTACCTAATCCAATCAGGAGGTGAAGACCTGAAAAGATGCCTTCCTGGGGAAAATGCTGTTTGAGTAGAGACCTGAAGACAAGGACCAAGTATCAAGTTCACCAAATGGGGGTGGGAAGTTGAGCCATTAAGAACATACTAGAGGCCGGACGTGGTGGCTCACGCCTGTAATCCAACACTTTGGGAGGCCGAGGTGGGCGGATCACCTGAGGTCAGAAGTTCGAGACCAGCTGGCCAACGTGGTGAAACCCTGTTTCAACTAAAAATACAAAAATTAGCCTGGTGTGGTAGCGCACGCTTGCAATCCCAACTATGCTTGCAATCCCAGCTACTCAGGGGCTGAGGTAGAAGGATTGCTTGAACCAAGTAGGTGGAGGTTGCAGTGAGCCAAGATGTCACCACTGAGCTCCAGCCTGAGTGACAGAGTGTGACTCTGTCTCAAAAAAACATAAAATAAAAAGAGCATACTAGAGGCAAGAGACTGTGGTCCCTGAATAACCAACTGTATCAGTACTATCTAGAATATTGCTAGAAATGCAAATTCTTGGGCCCTGCCCAGACCAGCTGAATCAGAAACTCTGGGGATAGGGTCCAGCAATCTCAGTTTTAATGCACCCTCAAGAGGATTTGACACAAGCTACAGCTTGAGAATCACTGCTTAAGATTATTGCAAATACTTCATAGTCATGTTCAAAGCCTTTCCAGGCTGCCCTTGAACCTACCTTTCTAACTCTCTCCTCTATCCAGAATGCCCTGATGCTTGTCCTCCTGCTTATGCTTCAAGATGAAGTTTTATTATTTTTCATTTATAATTTTTTCCAGTCCTCACTCTGTACCAGTACTATTTTAAGCAGTATATACATATTAATTGAGTTAATTCTTACAATTACCCTAGGAGATAAGTGCTGTCATTATTCTCATTTCCCAAATGAGCAAATCAAGGCTCAGAGAGGTAAGGTAATTTTCCCAGGGTCACACAGCTAGCAAGTGGCAGAGCCAGAGTTTAAACCTAGACTAACCAGATTCCCAACCATCATGCTACACTGCTATAAAGTTCAATCTTGGGTTGTTCTGACTCCTTCCCAATCTCTCTAATCACCATATATGCAAACACACACTGTAGTACTTATCACTTGGTGCTGAAATTACACACCCATCTGTCTCCACTTTAAACTGTGAGCTCTGATGGTAAGGGCTATGATGTTCATCTCCGCATCTACCTGGCACAGGTAGGTGCTCTGAAACATTGAAAAGGGGTGGATGAGTTTGGTGTACCTATGAGCAACACTACTGCACACCTTCTGACCAACTCATAGAGTTCATTTTATAATCTGTCGCTTAGTTGGAAAAATGCTCAATCTCAAGAGACCACAGGAAAAAGAGAATCACTATATCTGGGAAGTGCCCAACTTCATGTGACTCAGTGCCATCTCTAGGGAAAACTTCCCATTCCCTTGGAGATACTTACTCTGAATAAATAGAGACTTGACATTTGAGTGTGAAGGCCAGGACCGTACAGAATAGGCTGTGGTGACTGCAAGTGCTACAAACACAGCTGCTGTCTCAGAAAACAAGTCAATAGGTTTCCCATTTTAAGAGATGACAGCTCTTCATCAACTATTTTGACTTGGTGTCCTAGCCAGGGGAATGAGCTGAGAAAGACGTTGCAAGCTCTTTCTGCCTGTAGCCTTCAGGGATGTCCTGACTCAAGGGTACAGGAGGACAACCAGGCCACTATGGGCCCTGGGAAGTCATCCTGCCAGAGAGGAATGTGCCCTTAAATACACTTCCGGGCTACATGCAGTTCTTTTTAAGGTGATAGAAGTAAAACTGCACAAAATCATGATCAAAGGGACTGGAAACACAACTCCTAGTCCCAGTGATACTCAAGTGGAGTCACAGGTTGCTTTATGTTTCTATTTCTGTTACTCTAGTTCTCTAATGTAAGCTCCCTGAGGTCAGGCATCTTCCATGCTCACCACCATATGCCCGGAGGACTATGGTAGGCACTAAAATATTTGTTGGCCGGGTGCAGTGACTCACACCTGTAATCCCAGAACTTTGGGAGGCTGAGGTGGGCAGATCACCTAACACCAGGAGTTTGAGACCAGCCTGGCCAATATGGCAAAACCCCATCTCTACGAAAAATACAAAAATTAGCTGGGTGTGATGGCACACACCTGTAATTCCAGCTACTTGGGAGGCTGAGGCAGGAGAATCACTTGAATCCAGGAAGTGGAGGTTGCAGTGAGCCGAAATCATACCACTGCACTCCAGCCTGGGAGACAGAGTGAGACTTTGTCTCAAAAAATAAATAAATAGATAGATAAATAACAAATAAATAAATAAACCTGTTGATGATCTACTATGTGATGCCAAAATGACTGAATTGCTGCAAATTCAAGAGTATCAGTTAGCAATTGCTATATAACCAACCAGTAGCTCATCACGCTGCTCAGAACACTCTCAAACATAGTAGCCTAAATCCATAAGCATTTATCATTGTTCATTGTCTCCAGGTCAGCTGAGGGGTCCAATTATCTGATCCAGGCTTGACTGAGCTCAGCAGGGCCAGCTCATGTGTTTGGCAGGTTGGCTGGTTGCTGACTGGTCTAGCATGGCCTCATTCACATAGTGAATGGTTGGCTAGCTTATCACTGGGATTTCAGGGGTAGCTGGATCCCAGGTCTCTTATCATCCATCTAGCCAGCCTGACTCTGTTCACATGGCAGTGGCAAGTCTCCAAAAGTGCAAGACCTAGGCTCAGAACTGACACACCATCATGTCCACCATCACAGCAATCACAGTCCAGCCCAGATTTCCAGATTTCCAGTGATGGGAAAACAGACTCCATGTCTAATTGGTGAGGGGGAATTGCAAAGTCACAACACAAGGAACTCCCAAGTGTACTGTAGCCATTTTTGCAGTCTACCTCACAGGTTTATTTTTAAATTGGTAGCTAAAAATACAGGTTACGTGGCACATAGGCATTGCTGGAGGTCCCTTCAGAGATACCTCATGAAGATAGGTTTCTAACTCTCAGAGTTAATGTAAGACTTAATTTGTCATCATACTGGCTAACAGGTTCTAAGAACATCAGTAGTAAGAGTTCATTTATTTGATTCTTCCTAATGGTGGAAGAGAGTAAAAATAATGAGAATTATGATGATCATAATTTTTAATAATAGTAAAAGAAGAGGAAAGCAATATTCATCAAACAGTACCAACTACATGCCAACCATGGGGACAAGGCCTTATGTATACATTGCTCCTAATCCTCACAAACCCCAAATAGGTCTTCTTCAATCATTTCCCTGATCGGAGATAAGCTATGAAAAGCTATCTAAATTGCCCAAGCAGAGGTGGCAGAATGCAAGCTCAGGTCTGCTGATTTCCAAGTGAGGGCTTTGTCCATGATGCCAAACTCACATCTGAACATTCCAGGAAGAGAACACAAAGTGGGGAAGTAATTAACTTTCCATGGTTTGACCCCTTGATACTTAAGAACACTCTCAGCCCTGCCTTGTTAGGCCTCTTTCTTGCCTCTGCTGGAAATGCCTTCTGGTCAATGCAGGGTTAGAGTTTTAGTAGCCATGAGGGCAGCTGTGTTATTGAGGCTTATATTGTCTGATTACTTAGGGAAACAGTAGAGCTTAATTTTATTAATTCATATTGATTTATATATCTTGGCTCATTCCACAAAGGATTTGAGGAAACTTACAATAAAAACAATACAGTTTTATACAATCCCGGAGATCAAATGCTGGTAGAAATGTATTCCCAGAACTACTTTTTCCATGGCATCTTTTACTGTTCTGTGTGGACAAAATAAGAAATCATCATCACAGAGTCTCAGCCCTGAAAGAGGCCATAGTGGGTCTCCAGCTGTATTAGTCTGTTCTCACACTACTATAAAGAACTACCTGAGACTAGGTAATTTATGAAGAAAAGAAGTTTAATTGACTTGCAGTTCTGCGGGCTTAACAGGAAGCATGACTGGGAGGCCTCAGGAAACTTACAATCATGGTGGAAGGGGGAAGGGAAGCAAGCACGTCTTACCACAGTGGAGCAGAGGAGAGAGAGAGAGCAAAGGGGGAAGTGCCACACACTTTTAAACAACCAGATTTTGTGAAAACTCACCCACTATCATTAGACAGCAAGGGGGAAGCCGCCCCTGTGATTCAATCATGTCCCACCAGGCACCTCCTCTGACATGTGGGGATTACAATTCAGGATGAGATTTGGGTGGGGACACAGAGCCAAACCACATCACCAACTAAAGAACCTAAAAATTACGTGGGAAGCTGCTTTAAATGAAGATGACTTTGTTACACACCCAGACTCTGATTCAGGTGGTCTGCGTGAGACCTTAAAACATGTTTAAAATAATATTTAAATTCCCTCCAGCAATTCTGCCACAAATATCACACAGATTGTACATTGAGGAAACCTCATAAAATCCACACCACGTAACAATAAAGGCATAGTCTTGCTAGCATTCACTTTAAATTAAGATACTGACTTAGAGTCTACTGTGTACTAAGCCCAGGGCTTAGCACCAGAGAGGGAAGATAAATAAGAGGAGAACCACCACCCTTCAAAACTAAGTCTAACCATGGTAACAATGAACTACACAATCAGTGGTGACACAACATATTTAGTACCACAAACCTAGAAGCATAAACCCTTTGAGGAGCGTGGGTAAATTTCATCTATGAGGTCCTTCATGGGAAGGTATGGTTCAGAGCATGGGCTCTGCAGGTGAACAGTATCCTGGCTTTCAGTTTGCTAACTGTATGCCCTTGCACAGGGGACTTACCTTCTCTGGGACTTGGCTTTGTCATTTGTAAAATAGTGATAAGGGTAGTGCCTACCTAATTAGGTTGTGAGGATTCAATGAGAGAATAAATTCGTTGCCACATATGGCTCAGAGTTATAATCTGTGTGTTATCTATGTGTTTTTCTACTCTGGGCACTTCAAAAGTTGTTTTGTTATTGTTGTTGGTGTTGGTAATGGTGGTGGTGGTGGTAGTGGTGACGGTGTTAAATGCGGTTTTGGTGGATGTGGTGGTAGTGGTGGTGGAGGTGGTGGTGGTGAAGATGGTGTTGAAGGTCATGGTGGTGGAGGTGGTGTTGGTGGTAGTGGTGATGGTGTTGAAGGTGGCAGTGTTGGAGATGGCGCTGAAGGTGGCAGTGGTGGAGATGGTGCTGAATGCTGTGGTAGCGGAGGTGGCGGTGGTACTGGTACTGACAATGGAGATGGAGTGATAATGAGGTGGTGATGTTTAATCTTTTCCTAGTCTACTTGGAAAAAAAAGACTAAAAGAAACTGCAACCCAAAGGCAAGCAATGGAGACCCTGAAGCCTGGCTGCCAATTAAATTATTCTTTTCACAATCCCCAAATAATACAAAAGACTATGATTTGGGCTGAGGCAGAGAAGACACAGTGAGTTCCACTTTGGCTAATACATTTGAAATAAACAGAATTTCCAGATGAAAGGGTGGTTCTGTAGCTATGGAGAAAGATGAAAGTAGGAAATAAGGATTTAAGAATCAGTCACACATACTGAGAAGGCACAAGCAATGTCCAGGAAAAATCTGTAGAGAACAAAGAAGAGAGAGAAGATAACACAGTAGTTCCCATTTGTCTGTGGGGGATACATTTCAAAACCCCCAGTGGATGCCTGAAACCATGGATAGTACTGAGCACTATATACACTATGTTTTTTCACATATATAATATAGATATATGATAAAGTTTAATTTATAAATTAGTCACAGAAAGAGATTAACAATAAGAACTAATAATAAAATAGAAAACTTTTAACAATATACTCTAATAAAAGTTATGTGAATGTAGTTTCTCTTTTTCTCTCTCCCAAAATATCTTATGTACTGTACTCATCTTTCTTCTTGTGATAATGCAAGATGACACAGTTCCTATGTGATGTGATAAGATGAAGTGAAATGGATGGGATAGGCATTGTGACTTAGCATTAGGCTACTGTTCACCTTCTAACAATATGCCAGAAGGAGGGTCACCTGCTTTGGGTGATCCTGGATCACAGAGCCATGACAATGTGGAGGGTGGGATATCAGAAGTAGTCAGTCAATGGCTAATAAGTGGATAGTGCATACAGCACAGATACACTATACAAAGGGATGATTCACATCATGATCAGGATTAAGCAGGATGGCTTGAGATTTCACCATGCTACTCAGAACACATGCAATTTAAAACTTATGAATCGTTTATTTCTGAAATTTTCCATTTAATATTTTCAGCCTTGCCTGTTTTCAAGGGCTGATGCCTCCTAAGTCACAATTTTACTAATCTTTCCAGTTTGAAAAACAGTTTCCTTTCCAGAGATAGTGGGAACATACTGTTCTGGGTCAGAATATTGAGTTTACTGGACACCCAATTCACTGGCTATTTGTTCGTGGAAAGCTGTATCTTTATACTTAGAACAGTTCTTCCACATGCACCTGCTTCATCTCCACACCTGCCCTATAGGATATGACCACCACTCATACAGGCCCACCTACTTCTACTCCATACAACTTCACACACTCTAATCCACCCCACCCAAGACTGCTCTTGGACACTGAAGATACTGGTTTCAGATTCTCAGGACTGACTGAAGAAGGAGACACCCTTGGCTTCCTTCTTCTTCTTCACTGGTTATTCATGAGAATTGCTTGGCCAAAAAGCAGTATTAAAACCTATTTAATAGTCCCAACATCTAAATGGGATTAGATGGGCTACCTGAAGAACTTGGGAGGTCTCTAGAATTGACTCATTTATTTTATTATTTTCTGACCTCCTATTGGGTGCTTGTCACCATTGGCATTAAAATGTTAAGTAAAATTATATATAACCATGGCCCTCATGAAGCTTAAAGTCCAACCAGGAAGAGAGATATTAATCCAGTTCTTACAAAATTAAGGGTAAAACTCAGGCTCTTAAGTATTGCGCTCTTAGATTGGTGCAAAAGTAATCACTTTTTTTGCCATTAAAAGTAATGGCAAAGCAGGCCGAATAGGAAGAGCTCAGGTCTGCAGCTTCCAGTGAGATCAATGCAGGAAGCAGGTGATTTCTGCATTTCCAACTGAGGTACCCAGTTCATCTCATTGGGACTGGTTAGACAGTGGATGCAGCCTACAGATAGTGAGCCAAAGCAGGGTGGGGTGTCACCTCACCCAGGAAATGCAAGGGATCAGGGAACTCCCTCCCCTACTCAAGGGAAGCTGTGAGGGACTGCTGTGAGGAACAGTGCATTTGGACCCGCATACTACGCTTTTCCCATGGTCTTTGCAACCAGCAGACCAGGAGATTCTCTTGGATGCCTACACTACCAGGTCCCTGGGTTTCAAGCACAAAACTGGGCAGCCATTTGGGCACACACCGAGCTAGGTGCAGGATATATATATATATATATCTCCCAGTGGCACGTGGAACACCAGTGAGACAGAACTGTTCACTCTCCTGGAAAGGGGGTTGAAGCCAGGGATCCAAGTGGTCTAGCTCAGTGGATCCCAGCTCCACGGAGCCCAGCAAGCTAAGATCCACTGGCTTAAAATTCTCGCTGCCAGCACAGCAGTCTGAAGTCGACCTGGGACGCTCGAGCTTGGTGGGGAGAGGGGCATCCACCATTACCGAGGCTTGAGTAGGCAGTTTTCCCCTCACAATGTAAACAAAGCCGCTGGGAAGTTTGAACTGGGTGGGACCCACCACAGCTTGGCAAAGCCTCTGTAGCTGGACTGCCTCTCTAGATTCCTCCTCTCTGAGCAGGCCATCTCTGAAAGAAAGGCAGCAGCCTCAGTCAGGGGCTTACAGATAAAACTCCCAACTCCCTGGGACACAGAACCTGAGAGAAGGGCTGATGGTGGGCACAGCTTCAGCAGACTTAAACATTCCTGCCTGCTGACTCTGAAGAGAGCAGCAGATCTCCCAGCACAGTGCTTGAGCTCTGCTAAGGGACAGACTGCCTCCTGAAGTGGGTCCCTGACCCCTGTGCCTCCTGACTGAGAGACAGCTCCCAGGAGGGATCAACAGATACCTCATACAGGAGAGCTCCAGCTGGCATCTGGTGGGTGCCCCTCTGGGACAAAGCTTCCAGAGGAAGGAACAGGCAGGAGCAATCTTTGCTATTCTGCAGCCTCCACTGGTAGTACTCAGGCAAACAGGGTCTGGGGTGCACCTCCAGCAAACTCCAGCAGACATGCAGCAGAGGGGCCTGTTAGAAGGAAAATAACAAACAGAAAGGAATAGCATCAATATCAACAAAAAGGACGTCCACACAAAAACTCCATCCAAGGTCACCAACATCAAAGACCAAAGGTAGATAAATCCATGAAGACAAGGAAAAACCAGCGCAAAAAGCTTGCAAATTCCAAAAACCAGAATGCCTCTTCTCCTCCAAAGGATCACAACTCCTCACCAGCAAGGAAGCAAAACCGGATGGAGAATGAGTTTGACAAACTGACAGAAGTTGGCCTCAGAAGGTGGGAAATAACAAACTCCTCCAAGCTAAAGGAGCATGTTCTGACACAATGAAAGGAAGCTAAGAACCTTGAAAAAAGGTTAGAGGAATTGCTAACTAGAATAACCAGTTTAGAGAAAAACACAAATGACCTGATGGAGCTGAAAAACACAGCACGAGAACTTGGTGAAGCACACGGAAGTATCAATAGCTGAATTGATCAAGCAGAAGAAAGGATATCAGAGATCAAAGATCAACTTAATGAAATAAAGCATGAAGACAAGATTAGAGAAAAATGAACAAAAAGGAATGAACAAAGCCTCCAAGAAATATGGGACTATGTGAAAAGACCAAACCTTCATTTGATTGGTGTACCTGAAAGTGACAGGGAGAATGGAACCAAGTTGGAAAACACTCTTCAGGATATTAACCAAAAGAACTTCCCCAACCTAGAAAGACAGACCAACATTCAAATTTAGGAAATACAGAGAACACCAAAAAGATACTCCTTGAGAACAGCAACCCCAAGACACATAATTGTCAGATTCACCAACGTTGAAATGACGGAAAAAATGTTAAGGGCATCCAGAAAGAAAGGTCGGGTTACCCACAAAAGGAAGCCCATCAGACTAACAGCAGATCTCTCAGCAGAAACCCTCCAAGCCAGAAGAGAGTGTGGGCCAATATTCAACACTCTTAAAGAAAATGATTTTCAACCCAGAATTTCATAGCCAGCCAAATTAAGCTTCATAAGCAAATGAGAAATAAAATCCATTACAGACAAGCAAATACTGAGAGATTTTGTCACCATCAGGCCTGCCTTACAAGAGCTCCTGCAGGAAGCACTAAATATGGAAAGGAAAAACTGGTACCAGCCACTGCAAAAACATAACAAATTGTAAACACCATCGACACTATAAAGAAACTGCATCAACTAACGGGCAAAATAACCAGCTAGCATCATAATGACAGGAAAAAATTCACACATAACAATATTAACCTTAAACGTAAACGGGATAAATGTCCCAATTAAAAGGCACAGACTGACAAATTGGATAAAGAGTCGAGACCCAACCGCATGCTGTATTCAGAAGACCCATCTCACGTGCAAAGACACACAAAGGCTCAAAATAAAGGGATGTAGGAATATTTACAAAGCAAATGGAAAGCAAAAAAAAGAAGGGGCTGTAATCCCAGTCTCTGATAAAACAGACTTTAAGCCAACAAAGATCAAAGAAGATAAAGACAGGCATTATATAATGGTAAAAAGATCAATGCAACAAGAAGAGCTAACTATCCTAAATATATATGCACCCAATACTGGAGCACCCACATTCATAGAGCAAGTTCTTAGAGACCTACAAAAAGACTTAGACTCCCACACAATAATAGTGGGAGACTTTAACAGCCCAATGTCAATATTAGACAAATCAATGAGACAGAAGATTAACAAAAACATTCAGGACTTGAACTCATCTCTGGGCCAAGTGGACCTAATAGACATCTACAGAACTCTCCACCCCAAATCAACAGAATATACATTCTTGTCAGCACCACATCGCTCTTATTCTAAAATTGACCACATAATTGAAAGTAAAGCACACCTCAGCAAATGCAAAAGAACAGAAATCATAACAAACAGTCTCTCAGACCACACTGCAATCAAATTAGAACTCAGGATTAAGAAATTCACTCAAAACCACACAACTACATGGAAACTGAACAACCTGCTCCTGAATGACTACTGGGTAAAAATGAAATTACGGCAGAATAAAGAAGTTCTTTCAAACTAATGAGAACAAAACCACAACGTACCAGAATCTCTGGAAAACAGCTAAAGCAGTGTTTAGATGGAAATTTATAGCACTAAATAGCACACGGGAGAAAGCGGGAAAGATCTAAAATCAACACTCTAACATCACAATTAAAAGAACTAGAGAAGCAAGAGCAAACAAATTCAAAAACTAGCAGAAGACAAGAGATAACTAAGATCAGAGCACAACTGAAGGAGATAGAGACATGAAAAACCCTTCAAAAAGTCAATGAATCCAGGAGCTGGTTTTTTTAAAAGATTAACAAAATAGACCACTAGCAAGACTAATGAAGAAAAGAGAGAAGAATCAAACACACACAATAAAAAATGACAAAGGAGAGATCACCACTGATCCCACAGAAACACAAACTACCATCAGAGAACACGGCAAACAACTCTATGCAAATAAACTAGAAAATTTAGAAGAAACAGAAAAATTCCTGGACACATACACCCTCCCAAGACTAAACCAGGAAGAAGTTGAATCCCTGAATAAACCAATAACAAGTTCTGAAATTGAGGCAGTAATTAATAGCCTACCAACCAAAAAAAGCTCAGGCCAGATGGATTCACAGCCGAATTCTACCAGAGGTACAAAGAGGAGCTGGTACCATTCCTTCTGAAATTATTCCAAAAAATAGAAAAAGATGGACTCTTCCCGAACTCATTTTATGAGGCCAGCATCATCCTGATACCAAAACCTGGCAGAGACACACACAAAAAAGAAAATTTCAGGCCAATATCCTTGATGAACATCGATGCAAAAATCCTCAATAAAATACTGGCAAACCAAATCCAGCAGCACATCAAAAAGCTTATCCACCATCATCAAGTTGGCTTCATCCCTGGAATGCAAGGCTGATTCAATATATACAAATCAATAAACATAACCCATCACATAAACAGAACCTGTGACAAAAACCACATGACTATCTCAATAGATGCAGAAAAGGCCTTCAGTAAAATTCAACACCGCTTCATGCTAAATATGCTTGATAAACTAGGTATTTATGGAATGTATCTCAAAATAGTAAGAGCTATTTATGACAAACCCCCAGCCAATATCATACTGAATGGGCAAAAGCTAGAAGCATTCCCTTAAAAACCAGCACAAGACAAGGATGCGCTCTCTCACCACTCATATTCAACATAGTATTGGAAGTTCTGGCCAGGGCAATCAGGCAAGAGAAAGAAATAAAGGGTATTCAAATAGGAAGAGAGGAAGTCAAATTGTCTCTGTTTGCAGATGACCTGATTATATATCTAGAAAACCCTATCATCTCAGCTCAAAATCTCCTTAAGCTGATAAACAACTTCTCCAAAGTCTCAGGATACAAAATCAATGTGCAAAAATCGCACGCATTCCTATACACCAATAATAGACAGAGAGCCAAATCATGAGTGAACTCCTGTTTGCAATTGCTACAAAGAGAATAAAATACCTAGGAATCCAACTTACAAGGGATGTGAAGGACCTCTTCAAGGAGAACTACAAACCACTGCTCAAAGAAACAAGAGAGGACACAAACAAATGGAAAAACATTCCATGATCATGGATAGGGAGAATCAATATAGTGAAAGTGGCCATACTGTCCAAAGTAACTGATAGATTCAGTGCTATCCCCATCAAGCTAACACTGACTTTCTTCACAGAATTAGAAAAAACTACCTTAATTTCCATATGGAACCAAAAAAGAGCCTGTATAGCCAAAACAATTCTAAGCAAAAAGAACCAAGCTGGAGGCATCACGCTACCTGACTTCAACCTATATTACAAGGCTATAGTAAACAAAACGTCACGGTACTGGTACCAAAACAGATATATAGACCAATGGAACAGAATAGAGGCCTCAGAAAGAATGCCACACATCTACAACCATCTGATCTTTGACAAACCTGACAAAAACAAGCAATAGGGAGAGGATTCCCTATTTAATAAATGGTGTTGGGAAAACTGGCTAGCCATATGCAGAAAACCAAAATTGGATCCCTTCCTTACACCTTATACAAATATTAACTCAAGATGGATTAAAGGCTTAAACATAAGACCTACAACCATAAAAACCCTAGAAGAAAACCTACGCAATACCATTCAAGACATAGGCATGGGCAAGGACTTCTTAACTAAAATACCAAAAGCAATGGCAACAAAAGCCAAAATTGATAAATGGGATCTAATTAAACTAAGGAGCTTCTGCACAGCAGAAGAAACTATCATCAGAGTGAACAGGCAACCTGCAGAATGGGAGAAAATTTTTGCAATCTATCCATCTGACAAAGGGCTAATATCCAGAATCTACAAGGAACTTAAACAAATTTACAAGAAAAAAATAAACCACCCCATCAAAAAGTAGGCAAAAGATATGAACAGACGCTTCTCAAAAGAAGACATTTATGCAGCCAACAAACATATGAAAAAAGGCTCATCATCGCTGGTCATTAGAAAAATGCAGATCAAAACCACAGTGAGATACCATCTCAGGCCAGTTAGAATGGCGATCATTAAAAAGTCTGGAAACAACAGGTGCTGGAAAGGATGTGAACAAATAGGAATGCTTTCACACGGTTGGTGGGAGGGTAAATTAGTTCAACCATTGTGGAAGACAGTGTGGCGATTCCTCAAGGATCTAGAACTAGAAATACCATTTGACTCAGCAATCCTATTACTGGGTATATACCCAAATGATTATAAATCATTCTACTATAAAGATACATGCACGCATATGTTTATTGCAGCACTATTTACAGTAGCAAAGACTTAGAACCAACCCAATTGCCCATAAATGATAGACTGGATAAAGAAAATGTGGCACATATACACCATGGAATCCTATTCAGCCATAAAAAAGGATGAGTTCACATCCTTTGCAGGGACACAGACGAAGCTGGAAACCATCATTCTCACCCAACTAACACAGAAACAGAAAACCAAACACCACATGTTTTCACTCACAAGTGGGATTGAACAGTGAGAACACATGGAAACAGGGAGGGGAACATCACACGCCAGGGCCTGTCAGGGGGTGGGGGGCTAGGGGAGGGATAGCATTAGAAGAAATACCTAATGTAGATGACAGGTCGATGAGTGCAGCAAACCACCGTGGCACGTGTGTACCTATGTAACAAACCTGCACGTTCTGCACATGTATCCCAGAACTTAAAGTATAATAATAATAATAAAGTAATGGCAAAAACTACGATTACTTTTGTGCCAACCTGTGAGGGAAGGCAGGCTGATTCTTCAGTGGTATTAAGTTGGAATATTCTGACCTTTTAGGGGTTATCAGGGAAGACTTCCTTCAGGAAGGGACTACTGAGCTGAGATCCAAAGAATGTATAGGAATTAACAAGATCAGGGGTTCCCACCTCTGGAGGTAAATTGGAATCACCTGCATAGCTCTTAAAATGCTGATTCCCAGGCCTCTCAGCAGACCAAATAAATTAAAATCTGTTGTGGTAGGACCAAGCCTTTATATTTTCAGGATCCCTTCCCCTGCACTCTAGTAGATTATCATGTGTTGCCAAGGTTGGGAGCCAATGAACTAGGAAGAAGAGACTGGGGACATAGGGAAGGGCATGTGCAAAGTCCCATGAAGGAGAAGGACATGGCCATTGGTGGAGCCTGAAGAAGGCAGGTGCGGCTTGAACACGGAGACGAAGCCTGATCAGGGATGAGGCAGGGAGGAGGGTGCGGGCCAGGAAATACCACACAGGCTGTGCTCAAAATTTTGTTTTTTTATTTTAACATCAATGGGAATCAAGTGGAGATTTTTTTTAATTTTTATTTTTATTACCATTTCTTGGCCACAATCAGCTTTGCATTCTGAGAAGATTCTGACTCCCTGATGAAGAAAAGATTGGAGGGAGCAGGAGGGACTAGACTTGGCCTGTGTGTGCCAGTGGGGAGGGGAGGAGGAACTTGCTTGACCTGCAGGCTGCAAACTGAAGGACAAGCAGTGACTGCTCTCCCACGGTGGGGGGAGAGGGCAGGGTGAGGTCTGTCAGTCAGGTGGCCTCTGTAAGAGCACCAGCCTTGCCAAGAAGGCAGACCATTTTGGCAGCCTCAGCGAGCACTAATCAACAAGTTTGGCCGAAGCCCCTCTCCTCAGGAGGACCAGGCACAGCGGCTTCGACAGCCTCACTTGGCACGGGGCTGGGCGAGGCTGCCGTGATACAGGCAGCCTGCCGGAAGCCATATGCACTGCTTAATTCCTCCACAAACCCACTGCTTGCAGCCACACAGACATATGCAGCCTTAATATGGTTACAGCGTCTTAAACTCCCAAGGAAAGGGGGAGAAGCGATGTTCCCGCCCAAGCACGGTGGTGGAGAGGAGAATTGTCAGAAGTGATTCTTGGCTGAGATTGGCAACATACACTGTCACTTGAACCTATCAATAGACCAGGCTGATGATGTTTTTCACTTAACACCTAGCGACGAGGCTGTCAGAAACTGGCAGGAGATCCTTGCACGCCCTGCCAAGAAAGAGGAACATGAAAAATCTGTCTAAATCCATGCTTGCTAATAAATATACCCCTGGAATTCTTTTTTAAAGAACGCATCATTTCAGATGTCTAGGCAATATTTGCCAGGCATTCAAAAAGCCTGATGGAGCCAGGAGGTTTTTCTCCAGCTCCAGTTTTCATGTGACTTTGGATTGTAGGCAGAACAGGCAAGGCAGGGACTTAGTAAAGGAGGGGCCCCAAAGATATTAATCTTTGTAAATTCTAGTGTGGGGTCAAGTGTGAGGCAAAGAGAACAGACACATGACACTGCCCCTAGGCTCCAGTGACAAGCTGTAGGACCAATGGAGCCAAGATCCTCATGGTACCTGTATCAGAAAAGGACATAGCGGGCTCCTTGGAGGATCCAGAGGGAAGATGCAATAACCACAAGCCAACCCTGTCTGGCTGCTGTGCAGTTGTTTGTGCTCTTCATGAATATTCCCAGTAGGACTGCACTCCTCCTGCATCCCCACAAGCTAGGTGAGGTCATGTGACCTGTGTTGGCCCATGGAGCGATACACATCACACTTCAGGACAGAACCCTTAAGAGCCAATGCACCATGTGTGACTTGCACTTTCTTCCTGCCCCGATGACTGGCAGTAGCTAGGTCACAGAGCAAGGACAACATGCAGAACACTCCAGCTGACCTGCAACAGATGTGGAGCTTATGTGGGAAATACAGTTAGTTGTTTTAAATCACGGAGATGATGGGGATTGCCACAGTATAACCCAGCCCATGTGCTGTTAGAGCCGTTGTGAACAATTCCTTCTCTCTCGGTCATCCTCCACCCTATCATGCGCAGGCTGTCATGGACAGTGGTTACAGTCCAGCAAGTCTGGGTTCTAGTCTACCAGTGATGGTCTTGGATGAGATTCTTAAACTCTCTGAGTCTCCATTTTTTTCACCTCTAAATTGTGAAAAATAATACTATCCTCTCTTTAAGGGTTTTGCATTAATTATATACAATACTATTTAGAAATTATTAACCTTTACTGCACTCTATGCAGAAAAGAGTTAACATAGCAGGCCTGACACTGCAATCCTTAGAAAGGCTTGCTTGCAAGGTTGGCCCTTAGCTAGTTTCTGGGAACCTGGATTTCAGGAGGGTTCCCACTATTCCCTAAGTGATTAAGGGGGCTACTCTAACTAAACTGTTTGTGCAAACAATATCATGTATACTGCACTTGCATTCCTCATGGGAGTCTGGAATTTTGGTATGTTATTAGCAGAAGGTGCCTACATGATCAGCCCCCAACAAAAAACCCAGGGCATGGAGTCTCCAGTGAGCATCTCTGGTTGGCAACATTCCACATGTTTTCACAACTCATTGCTGCGGTAATTAAGCATGGCCTGTGTGATGCCTCTGGGAAACCTGTGCCTGGCTTCCTCCAGGCTTCACCTATGCACCTGTGCCCTTTGCTGATTTCGCTTTGTATCTTGTCACTGGAATGTAACTTACACATGAATCTGACTATATCCTGAGTACTGCGAGTCCTCCGCAGGCATCACCAGACCTGCGGGTTAATTAATTTAATAATAACATATTAAAAAGCTAATTTAATATATTACGTTAATATTAACAATCTTTATACTTACTGTTAACTTATATTAAATTAATTAATATAGTAAATTAACTTATTAATATGCTAACTATTATATATAGTTAAACATATTAAAATATATAAATATATGAATAATATATATTATATATTATATAATATATTATATATAATTTGCATTACATTATTATATAACATAATAAAATCAATTACATAATATACAAATGATATTTATTAAATCTATAATATAGTATATATAATACAATATAATATAATAATTCTTATATATTAATATAAGAATAGCAATATATTCATATATTAATAGTATTCATATATTAATATTATGAATATATTGATATAATAATTATGTATGATACAATCAATTATATAATATATAAATATTATATATTAAATATATAATATATAAATATTGTATATTAAATATATAATATATAAATATTGTATATTAAATATATATAATATATAAATATTGTATATTAAATATATATAATATATAAATATTGTATATTAAATATATATAATATATAAATATTGTATATTAAATATATATAATATATAAATATTGTATATTATATATATAATATATATTGTTTATTAAATATATAATATATAAATATTGTTTATTGAATATATAATATATAAATATTATTTATTAAATATATAATATATAAATATTATATATTAAATATATAATATATAATATAATAATAAAATGCAAATTATATATATAATATATCATGTATTATTTATATATTTATATATTTTAATATGGTTAACTATATATAATAGTTAACCAGATTAATAAGTTAATTTAATATATTAATTAATTTAATGTAAGTTAACAATAAGTATAAAGATTATTAGTATTAATGTAATATATTAAATTAGCTTTTTAATATAAGTTATTATGGTATTATATATTAAATATATAATATGAATTATGTATTATGATATATTGTTATAAATTTATATTATAATGTATTATATATTAAATTTAATATATTAACTTATTCATATGTTACCATACACAGTTAAATATATATTACAGTATAAACATATTAAACTCATTAATATAAGTATAAAAATTGTTAGTATTAATTTATAACTTTAATATTTTAAAGTTATAAACTATATATTAATTTCATATATTAAAAGTTTTAAAAATATTAGTCATAAGTATATATTTATATTATAATTTTAAAGTGTTAAAGTTATAATATATTAATATATTTCAATGTATACTTATTCAATAACTTTAATGCATAGTTATTAAAATATACTTATTAATATACTTTAATGTATACTTTAAAATAAGTATATATACTTACATTAAGTATATATAAGTATATAAATTATATACTTTCATGTATACTTACAACTATTGTTATAAGTTAACAGTAAGTATAAAGATTGTTAGTATTAAAAATAAAAGAAAGAAAGACACACCAAAAGAAATGAAAATAACTAATTCATAGATAAATACAAAGGAAAAACACCTGGAGACCAACTGATGTCCCCAAGGTACTTCCTCAACTACCAACCACCCAGAATGGTGAGTTATTAGCCTAAGATTTTGGAATTACCCTCCCTATAGGACAAGTATTGGCCCCAGGGAATGTGTCTGTCCCTGCTGCACACAAGTGGCCATTCCTAAGGTCACTCAGTAAAAACAGCAATCCTAGGAGCCACAAGAGCTAACATTTATTGAGCTCTCTTCTCTACCTTTGATGTACATTATCTCATTTAAGCCTCAAAACATCGCTCTGGAGTAGGCACAGTCACTATCCTTGTATATAGACGAGAAAACAAGCTCAGAGAGGTGCAGCTATGTGCCCACCAGACAGTGTCACAGGTAAGGGTACGGACTTGGAATCCAGACTGCCTGGGTTCTCATCTCAGCACTGTGGCTGCCATAACAAATTGCCACAAATTAGGAGGCTTAAAATGACAGAGATTAATTCTTTCACAATTCTAGAGGCCAGAAGTCGAAATCAAGGTGTCAGCAGGACCAGGCTCCCTCGGTGGGCTCCAGAGGAGGATCCTTTCTTGCCTCTTCCACTTTCTGGTGGTCCAGGCATCCCTTGGCTTGTGGCTGCAGAGATGGGATGCGGTACCCATCTCTGCCTCTGGCTTCACTTGGCCTTCTCTTCTCTGTCTCTCCTCTTTTGTCTCATATAAGGACATTTGTTATTGGATTTAGGGTCCACCTATTTTAGGATGATCTCAACTCAAGATCCTTAATTACATCTGCAAAGACTCTTTTCCAAACAAGGCCACATTCTAGGTTCCAGAGATGAAGACATAGACAGAGCTTTCAGGGACTGCCATCTAGCTCACTACAAACATCACTACTTAGTGCCATGCCACCTCGGACCAGTTCCTTAACCATCTGACATGTCACAGGATTTTTCTGAGGGCTAAGCAAGGCACGTGGTCTGCCGCATAGTCAGAGCCCCCCAGCACACAGCTGTAATGCAGAGTGACTAAGATTTGAACTCAGGCACGCACAACTACTATTCAGTCTTACTTCCATCTGAGAACAGTTCAAGAGGGAGCCTCCCTTTTGGGTGGGTGTCTGAAGAAATCTTTGTAGACCCAACGACCACCCATTCACCGTCCTGCAGTCATTCTGACTAGAACCTTTCTAAGGACTCTTTTGGTCCAGAGCTTGCAACAGGCTAAACTTCCCCACCAGGCTCCCTCCTGAGGCCCTCAAAGAATAATTCTGGAGAATCTGGGCTCCTCTGTTTCACCATCTCAAAAACCCTGACAGTGATTACTGCTGCCACACTAGAGTACTTTGAGGGTTATCGAGTTAATGACTATAAAGTCTATGGAGCTCTTGAGAGGAAAGAAGCCATAAAAATCAGATAAATAAAACAGTCAATCAGCACGTGTTTATTGTGTCCACAGGGTGCACAGCACTGTACTCAGAAATAAAGATTAAAGGGGAGAAAACTAAAGGAAAAGAAGGAGGAAAGTTAGTTTAACCAAAGTCTTTCCAGGCCAGAGTACAAGGCCAGCCATAAACTAAAAAGCTAGCGCTCCCCAAGGCTTAAAACAATGAAGTGGGTGCCTATGAATCAGTAAAAAAATGATAAAGAACTCAACTGGGGGAAGCAGTGGGCAAAGGATTCAAGTAGGCAGTTCACAGAAAAATAAATACAACTAGCCAATAAGCAATGATGAGACACCATAATTAATCAAATAATAATGAATTACCATCTCTTATTTTTCATGCAGGCACTTTTTTAGTTTTCTAATACACAGTGCATGAAGAGTGTGAAGAAACAGGTACTCTTCATGCACTTTTAGGGACACTATGGATTGGGGTAACCTCTCTGGAGAGCAAGTGGGCAAGAGCTATCACAATTAAAAATATATATACCCTTTGACCCAGCAATCCCACAGTTGAAAATTTACCCTGTGAATAAACTCACAAGAAAACACACGTGGCTAGGCTGGGCACAGTGGCTCATGCTTGGAATCCCAGCACTTTGGAAAGCCGAAGCAGCCAGATCACTTGAGGCCAGGAGTTTGAGACCAGCCTGGGCAAAATGGTGAAACCGTGTCTCTATTAAATAATGTAATAATGTGGAAAACAATGTAAAGATTCTTTGAAGAACTAAAAGTAAATCTACCATTTGACCCAGCAATCCCACAACCAGGTATCTACCTAGAGAAAAAGAAGTCATTATATGAAAAAGACACGCATACTCATGTTTACAGCGGCACAATTTGCAATTGCAAAAATAAGGAACCAGCCCAAATGTCCATCAGTCAATGAGTGGATAAAGAAAATGTGGCGCATGTATATAGACTACTCAGCCTTAAAAAGGAACAAAATAATGGCATTCGCAGCAACCTGGATGGAATTGGAGACCATTATTCTAAGTGAAGTAACTCAGGAATGGAAAACCAAACATTGTATGTTCTCACTAATAAGTGGAAACTAAGCTATGAGGACATAAAAGCATAAGAATAATACAGTGGACTTTGGGGACTCAGGGGAAAGTGTGGGAGGAGGGGTAATAGACTACACATTGGGTACAGTATACGATTGTTGGGTGATAGGTGCATTAAAATCTCAGAAATCACCACTAAAGCACTTATTCATGTAACCAAACAGCAGCTGTTCCACAAAAACCTAATGAAATAAAAAATAAATTAAAAAAATAATAAAGGAATAATGCATATCCTTATATAACCAGGTATTTTTTAAAAACCTGGCTATAAAAGGATACGCATTATTACATTACTGCTCTTAATAACCGAAAATTGGGAACAAGTTGATGTCTAAAAGTAGAACAGTGATTACATTATGGGTAATGTATATGGTAAACATTAGGCAGATGTAAATGAAGTAACTACCTGGCTGGCAAGAGCGTGTGCCAAACTATCACATTAAGAAAAAAAAAAAAAAAACTACCGCAGAACAATATGTGCTATAAGCATAGCTGGGTCTGCACCTCTGGCCCTGCTGTAGCCAAGGCCTGCCCCACCACAAAGATATCAGGGTTAGGGCTTTCTCTGTGAAAGCCAAATTCCACCCAGATTCTTCACCACAGAAAGGAAGAACATAGCAAATCAATTAAGACCTTGAACTTGGAGTCAGATGACCAGGTTCAAATCCCAATTCTGGTGCCACTTACTAGGTGTGACATAGGGCAGGTCACTTCATCTCTCTGTTTCTTAATTTTCCTAAAATAGCAATAGCATCAGTACTTGCTTCACAGAGTCATTCTGAGAAACAAATGTGTTACTATCTAAGGAGAGCTTTTAAACAGAGCTTGGCGGATAGTCACTACCTCTGTAAGTGTTGTTAGGCAAATAAATTGGACTCAAATGGTAAGCACCCCATCTTCTGAATCCCAGTGTGACCCCCGCCCCCGTTAATGTGGCCCCAAACACTCAAGGGGTAAAGAAGGGAAAGGAAAGTGCCTTGTAGTATTCAATGGGCCACTCTACAGGATGAAGTCATCTTGAAAAGGATAATTAGGCCTCCACTTGGTTTTCATTTTATTTCGTTTTCTTGCCTACAGTTGACACACAGGGAGATTGTTACCTCCACAGCCGCCAACAGCAAAGCTGCCCGGTTTCTCCTATTTCTATAGCGAACTCCTGAAAGAGAGAAGTCTGCTGGTGCAAACTGCTTTCATGGGAGGAAGCATCTAAAATGCATTTTAATTTCCATTTGTGTGAAGCTTTTGTATCAAATTACAGATCTGGGGCACAGTGCATCTCAGTGAAGAATCCCATTTTCCATCAGTTTAGATGCATTTGTCGTACTGTCAAGGGGTAAAATATTAAGGCTGAAATCGTATCTCCATTGGCGACTGTCTGCTGGTGTCCCACTTCCTGTGTTGATTGAGTCAGATGACAGAGCAACAATTAGTATTCAGAGACAAGCGCTGCCCCCTTCGAGGCCCCAGACCAGGCAAAGTGGCAAGTCCAAGGGGCTTCTCACTCAAATGCAGTCATGTCAGTGGTCTGTCATTAACAGCAAGATCACCAGTCAACTAGGGCCAGCCAAGGTTGCTTGAATAAACTAAAACAGAAGCTGGCAGAATGCGATAAAGCAGCTAAATTCTGCAAAACTACCAAGTGACTGTTTACCAGGCTGCTGAATGCACCTAGTTTATTTTATGCAAGTCAGACTAAGCCTGCATTTGGAGGTCAAAGCAACTAGGCTAGAAAAGCCACCATTCCTGGCCGGGCGTAGTGACTCATGCCTGTAATCCCAGCACTTTGGGAGGCTGAGGCGGGTGGATCACGAGGTCAGGAGATCGAGACCATCCTTGCTAACACGGTGAAACCCCGTCTCTACTAAAAATATTTTTAAAAATTAGCCGGGCGTGGTGGCAGGCGCCTGCAGTCCCAGCTGCTCGGGAGGCTGAGGCAGGAGAATGGCATGAACCCGGGAGGCAGAGCTTGCAGTGAGCCAAGATCGCACCACTGCACTCCAGCATGGGGGACAGAGCGAGACTCCGTCTCAAAAAAAAAAAAAAAAAAAAAGCCACCATTCCTTAAATAGTTCTTATTTCTCTGGCTGGGCATATTAAGGTGGCCTCATTGGAGTGTACAATTTCTGCCCTGTACAAGGCTGCTGAAATAGATTCCCCTTCTCTGACTCTAACCTTCCTGCAGTGGCCAGGACTGCTCCCTTGGGTGCCCAGGACCAGTCAAAAATCACCTGTTTGTGATTACACTAGACTCATCTGGATAATCCAGTATAACCTCCCCATGTCAAGATTCATAACATTCACAAAGTCCCATTTGCCATGTAAGGTAACATACTCACTGGTTCCAGGGATTTGGATATGAATGACTTAGGGACCATTATTCTGCCCCCCCACACTGACCTAAGAGAGTGGTCCTAAGAACCAGACTCAAAGGAAGGGCTGTGGAGTTGGATCACTGATTAGTTGCCTGGCAACGTGGAGTTTATCACTAGTGGGAGGTGGAGCATCATCATCTGTGGGCACAGCATGATTGCTAAGACTTTCACCTGTGGAGAACCGGGACCAGAAAGGGGCAGAAGGGGAGATACTGGTTTGTGCAGTGTCTCTGGTGTTGGAGAGGAGTGAGAGATACAGTAATTCTAAGGACCGTGAAATTAGGTGGCTGTCACTGAATACCATGAATGCCTCCAAGAGAAAAAATGGCAGCCTCAGGGCAGTCACTCAATAATTTAGAGCAAACAGTGTCAGAGAGCATCCCTGGCATTATTTAAAGAAATGCTCATCTTCTTCAGCATAAAGACAGAGCTGAAGAACAGACACAGAACCTAATTGTAAGAGCAGCTGAAGTTCAGAGTTCTTAGATTCTTAGCCTAGGCACATCTCTTCCACCAAAGTCAAAATCCTTATGGGAAGAAGTGGGACTCTGAGACCTGGGGTGGAGACACTTGAAAACATGCATTTGAGCTCCTTCAACCCTATGATCCCCCTGAACCCTTTAGGCCTGCAAAAGTCTCCTCCTCCCTCTCACTGGAAGACAGAGCCCCTTCCCTTGAAGAATGAGCAAAGCCACTAATGAGGTAGGTGCCCAACAAAACAATGCCCCCACATCCTCTGCTGGCTACCAGACCAACACCAAGAATTGACTCTCAGCCTGACCTGACTGGGAAAGTGTTGAGCCTTCCAGGGAGAGAAGGTTTCTATACCACAGGGGCTCCAACTGGCTAACATGAATGGGCTCACATGGCTAACTTGGGCCAACATAGCCTGTCCATGTTAACTAGCTAACATGGGTGGGCAAGAACCAGGAGAGTGTGGGAGTAACTGCAAGGGTGCTGGGCCCATGGGTGCAGAACATAAAGCATTTGGGATAAAAAAAAGAGTTTATTTGATGGGTAACCATCAAATATAGGCTTTAACACCTGGCAAATCTCTGAGGGATGAGTCTTCCATGCAGCAAGGATGGCTCTTGGGAGCTTAGGTTTAAGCCCCTCAAGATGGAAGGCAAAGGAGAAGAGGGATGTGGGTAATAATTTAATTAAAGTCAACTGTTACAGTGCCTTTGAGGTTTGGAAGTCATTGCCAAGGTATCTGGAAAAAGAAATCCGAGCTGACATTCTAGGAAGCTCCAGTTCTTTGTGGGATCTGAGGGAAAGAAAACTCCCCTTGTTGGAAAATGGCATCGCTGCCTCCTTTTACTAGGAGTGATCAATATGACACCTCCTGAGGAAAAAAGAGCAACCAGCAGACCTGAGGAATGCTGCTCTTAGAAAGCTCTGCCTGCAAGGTCGGACCTTGGCTGACACCTGGATACTTTGATTTGGAGAGGGTTCCCTCCATTCTCAGAACTGGAAAGTGGGCTCACTGCATCAACACTGTTCATGCAAACAATATCATTCATGCTAAACGCCTGCTCTCCTTACTGAGATCTGGAATTTTGGTACATGCCAGGAAAAGGGTGCCTACATGACTAGCCTCCAATTTAAAAACCCAGGGTCCTGATTCTCTCGTGAGCTGTCCTGCTTGGCAACATGCATACAGGTTATCACAGTATGTTGCTGGAGGAATTACACTTGTCCTGCGTGACTCCACGGGGAGAGGATAGTGGGAAGCTTGTGCCTGGCTTCCTCAGACTTCACCCCCTGTGCCTCTTCCCTTTGCTGATTTTGCTGTGTATCATTTCACTGTCATAAATCATAGCTTTCAATATGGCTGTATACTGAATCCATGAGTTCTTCTAGCAATTCATCAAACCTGGGAGTGGTCCCGAGGACCTCCATCATATACTACGACAACCAGATAAACATAGTTCTTTTCATACATATTTTTCTAAATGTTCCTGAGGGCAAGAAACTTAGTGGATCATGAAGAAAATACACTCTTCCCTTAAGAGTTCAAAAGTTAAGGTGTTCGTTTCCTTCTATCCTGAGGGATTTTGCTTCCCTTTGTACCCACTGTTGACGTGTTCCAGCTTCTTTAATGTGTAAGGACTCTGGTTTCATACTTAGAGGTTTGTGTTCTTGCCTTACAAAATATAACTTTTTAGAATTTCTTGGGGAGGCTCCTTTCCCACTCCAAAAGCATAGATACAGAATTTTTTTATTCCACTGCCCCAGAGATCTCTAAAATGTTCAAAATGTTCATGTTTATTCCTCAGACCACATTTTCTAAACTACCCCTTTCACTAATAAATGGAACCAAAGCCCTGTTGGACAGATTTCATGTTCTGGCAGTGAAGGGATGGGAGAGAAGACTCAGGTAATGCCTGGGAGCCTAGAAGAGTATTTCTATCAGACTAAGGAATAGATAAGATTTTCTGAGAATCCCAGTTGATCTTAAGAAACACTAAGAGGCCTGGTGAGGTGGCTCATGCCTGTAATCCCAACATTTTGGGAGGGTGAGGCGGGCAGATGGCTTGAGTTCAGGAGTTCCAGAACAGCCTGGACAACTGTGTTAGGGTTCTCCAGAGGGACAGAACTAATAGGATACATGTATATATGAAAGGGAGTTTATTAGGGAGAATTGGCTCACATGATCACAAGGCAAAGTCCCACAATAGGCCATCTGCAAGCTGGGCAAGAAAGAAGCCAGTAGGGGCTCAGTCTCAACCTAAAAGCCTCAAAATCAGGGAAGCCAACAGTACAACCTTCAATCTGCGATCAAAGGCCCAAGCACCCCCAGCAAACCACTGGTGTAAGTCCAAGAGTCCAAAGGCTGAAGAATCTGAAGTCTGATGTCCAAGAGCAGAAGGAACAGGAGGAAGCATCCAGCATGGGAGAAAGGTGAAAGCCAGAAGGCTCATCAAGCCAGGGTATCCCACCTTCCTCCGTCTGCTTCATTCTAGCCCTGCTGGCAGCTGATTAGATTGTTCCCACTCACATTGAGGGTGGGTCTTCCTCTCCCAGTCCACTGATTTGGATGTCAGTCTCCTCTGGCAACACCCTCACAGCTACACCTAGAAACAATAATTTACCAGCTATCTAGGCATCCTTCAATCCAATCAAGTTAACACCTAACATTAACCATCACAGCAACATAGTGAGACCCTATCTTTACAAATACAAAAAAATAAGCTGGGAGGGGTGGTGCATGTCTATAGTCCCAGCTACATGGGAGGCTGAGGTAGGAGGATTGCCTGACCCTGGGAGGTTGAGGCTAAAGTGAGCTGAGATTGCACTACTGCACTGCAGCCTGGGCAACAGAGTGAGACCCTGTCTCAAAAAAAGAAAAAAGAAAAAAAAAAAGAAAGACTAAGCATTATCATAGTTGACCAAGTCTTAAAGAAAGACTAAGAATTATCACGGTGTAAAATCTGGCAAAGAGGACCATTTGAGTGAAAAGGGACAGGAGTAAAAAATGGCTGAGGTCATTCCAAGAACCTTCAAGGAGCTCAAATTCTGGACTGAAGGGGCGGAGAGATGGCCTAGTCAGGTGCACAGGGAAGCTGTCCTCCCTCAAAGTTTACCAAGGAAAAGGGAAAGTCTACTCCAGGGGTAGGAGCATCTATGAAAGCAAGCTCTGTGTGCAGGGTGGAACCCACAAATCATCTCACCAATTGATTCTCAAGTTGCTGTATTATTTTTCTGGTTGGAATGTTATTTTTCTCTTCTCTATTCCCAGTGCTCCATCCTAGACAACTTTTCTTCCAGTTTCCTTGGGTCCCATTCCCTGACCAGGCTCCTCAGCCCTCAGTTCCCCTGATCTCTGGTCCAGTCTTATTAGGCATAAGATGATGGTACTACAGTCTGATGCTTAGTCAACCCGTGCTCTGTCCCAGCCCTGGGATTCTTGCCCCACCCTGCCATCTCATAGATATCTGCATGGGGACAGAGGAGTTGGGTGGCTGACTAGTCAGGGTCATGGTAGGAAAGAGATGGCATGTTGAAGGGGTGAAAGGTTAAAAGGACTCTTTAGAAAAATGTGGGCAAAGTGAGGAAAATGAACAGGGAATGAAGCTCCCCGGGGCTAGCAATGGTGGGAAGCTGAGACCACCCCCAAGACTGAAAGGACAGAAGGAGGGAGAGTTACCAGAACTCAACAAGACCTACAGCTCTGGGAGAGGGCCACCTTACAGGAGCGACGGCCCACAACAGAGAACTGCAACAATGCCAACTTGTGCCCCATCAGGAGGTGAAGTAGGAATTCAAATAGGCTTTCCTCCACTTCTTTCCCTCCAATCTCCTGCTGCTGCCACCATTGACCAAACCCAGTGAGAAACCAGAGGAAAGGCAACTCACGCACAGGTCTAGGGATGCACATGAAGGATCCTGGATTAACAGCTAAGTACAAGTCAAGACATATAAACTTATAATTCAAAATATATCCCAATCATTTTAGTCTCTATGAAATAGAAAACTGATGCCAAGAAAATTTTAAAACTTATGTTAAGATGCAACTTTACACTTTCATAGCACATACCTTGGTAGGCAGCCAGTTATTAACATGCTCAGGTGTCTGAAGTGGCCCTCTCCCCCTAGTAGGTAGATAAAAGATGCCACATTAGAACAGGACGGGAGTGTCTGGGGATAGAACTAGGCCCTTCAGTACTTCTCTGGGGTAGCAAATAAAACAGATTTTGCTGCCTGTCACCCCCCACAGCAGTGTTTGCACTTTCTAGCAATCATGTCTCTTGTATTATCAATTTCACTTTTATGCAGTTACCAGGACTCAGTTCTGATGAACCCAGCAGACACCCTCCTTCCTGCCTTAGTCCTCAGTCACCTTGGAGTCTTGTTTCAAAAACTGGCTTTCTGATCAATTTCATGTTTTCACAGTCAACAGGCATTAATCCTAATGAACACCGCTTATTATGGGCTCTCCCTCACAAGTGGTAGGGAATTCCTGCGTGAAGTGGAGGCTCAGATGTTTTTGCAGCTTCCTGTGCATATAAGCCACTTTAGAGTTTCTCTAAAATTGAAGTTACTGTCCTCCAGGGTAAAGAGCTTAGAGGCAGTGCAGGCTGAAGGGGTGGCCACAAGAGCAGGAAAAGGAGGGGAGGCTGGGAGAGTGAGTGTCCCGATTTCTTCCAGGTGGCAGTGATGCCTGCCTCCACAGGTGAGCAGAAAAGCACCCATAGAGAGTGATATGGTTTGACTGTGTGCCCACCCAAAGCTCATCTTGAATTGTAGCTCCCGTAATTCCCATGTGTCACAAGAGGGACCTGGTGGGAGGTCATTGAATCATAAGGGTGGGTCTTTCCCATGCTGTTCTCATGGTAGTGAATAAGTTTCACAAGATTTGATGGTTTTATAAATGGTAGTTCCCCTGCACAAGCTCTCTTTTGCCTGCTGCCATGTAAGATGTTCCTTTGCTCTTCCTTCATCTTCTGCCATGATTGTGAGGACTCCCCAGTCATGTGGAACTGCGACTCCATTAAATCTCTTTTTCTTTATAAATTACCCAGTCTTGGGTATGTCTTTGTTAGCAGTGTGAAAATGGACTAATACAGAGGCTTTGTTCGCTTTTCTTTCACGGCAAAACTCCCACTCAGTTTAACAGATAATTGCCATTGGGTAACATTTCTCCAATTAACATTTTTCTTTTCATTAATAGTTCTTTGAGCAAGGAAACTAACTCATTTCTTGCCACGTTTGGAGGTGCGATCCTCCTTGGTGCTATAGAAAGGCAGGGTAGTATAGTGGTTAAGAGTTGAGGTTCTGCAATCAGTCAGTCCTGGGATTAAATCTCAACTCTACCACTTACTGGCTACACAACCTTAAAAAGGCCACTTAACTACCTTAGAAAGACTACTTCACTTTCTGGGCCTGTTTTCTTACCTGTACATTCTTATCTGTAAGGTAATTATAATCCTTTCTCACTGAATTTTTTAAGAAGATTAAAAAAGAGAACACAGAGAAAGCTCAGCATAGCCTCAGAATAATTAAATATAAAATTACCATATGAGTCAGCAATTCTACTTCTCAGTATGTATCCAAAATAACTGAAAACAACGATTCAGTCACTTATACATGAATCTTCACAACAACACTATTCACAGTAACCCAAAAGTGAAAACGGTCCAAATGCCCGTCAGCTGATGAATGGATAAACTGTAGCCTATCATAACACTGGAATATCATTCAGCCATAAAAAGGAGTGGGGAGTGACTGCTTCATGGGCATAGGGTTTCCATTTGGGTCATAAAAACATCTGAAGCTAGATAGGTGTGATTGTTGTGCAACGTTGTGAATGTACTACATGCCACTAAATTTCACAGTTTACAGTGATTAATTTTATGTTGTATGAATTTCATCTCAATTTTTTAAAAAGTTCAGCATAGTGTGAGGAACATACAAAGTGGGCAGTAAATGGTAGCAATTATGACATCCCCAGGGAAGCTTATATCTCCCTCTGGGTTGCATTCAAAGACTCCTTGTCAGCTACAGGCTTCTGCAGCTGCAGGTGGGTGAAATGTAGCCAAAACTCTTCAGCTGGGCAGCCAAGCCCCTCTATGCCAGTTCCCAGATCACATCACTAACTTTAGCTCTCAATGTCTCCCTCTACCAGTGATTTTCCCCATTTGTGGAGGTGAGGGGGTCATTAATTCTTTTAAGAATCTGCTGGAAGCATTGAATCCTGTCTTCAGAGGGAAAATGCAAACAAAATTTTCACTCGGCTTTTCAGGTTTCAAGACCATTCATGAGCAGTAGGAATGTTCCCTTTGACCTTCTTTCATTCTTACCCTACCCTCACCCAGCAATGTCTGCCCATCCTTTAAGGCCCAGCTAATACACAACATATCTACTGTGACTACCTCAGCCTTCAAGGCCCTTCCCTTTCTCAGAATTCTTCTGGAAATCCATATGATATCACCTACTTGGTATATTACCACACACTGCTTTGTATTGCAGGATTTCTCTTCTTTTTTTTCACAGGTTTACTTTTATCTCTAACTGTATTGTAAACCAGAGGGTGCAAATTCAAATGTCTCCAGAACCCACGTAGTCAGGGATGATGATAGACTGGAGAGAATCTCCCTCTTCTAAAAACCCTGGTGTCTCTGGGTCTATAGTTTGTCATGGAAAGTCAGAAATCTGGACATTTATGTGAAATCTTTTAGTTTTCAAATGCTAATAACTACCCCCCAGAAGCACATATTAGGTGGACACATTTTGTTGAATGCATGGCTGGTCTTGGTCAGACAAAAGACATAGTCAAAGTAATAACTTCTGCAGGCCCTGATTTACTAGAATACAGCTTGGGTGAATTCTAGGGTGCCTGGAGGGCTTTGACCTAGCATTCTAGGACAACCAACCACCTGTTAGCCAAAGTGACTGGGGTCTGATTTTTCTTTAAAAGGTCTAATACTTTGCTTTAAGGCTCACTCCCAGGAAGGAGATTTCAGATTGTGTCTTGACTGAAGACTGAAAAACCGTGCTTAGGTTAGAGGTGGTGATAACTTGGATCATTTCACAATTGTTTGTGCAGTTATTTCATGACACATATTGGACTGGGCACAAGAGATGCAATAAGGAACAAGACAGACTATACCCGTGCTCAGGAGTTCAGAAATGAAATGCAAGAGGATACTGATGAGGAAGAATAAGAATAGGGCATACATGAAATTAAAAATACAAATGGCCAACAAATAAACACAAAGATGTTCATCATCACCAGCACTCAGGGACATACAAATTAAAAAGCACTTCACATGGGCAAAAATTAAGAAGTGTGCTAATGTTGATGTGGGAAAATGGCTTCTCTCTGAACTACAAGTGGTATCATAATTTGGCTCAGGCCCTTTCAAGGGCAATTTGCTGGTGCCATTAATGTTTAAATGTGCATCCCCTGTGACTCAGTGACTCCACTTCTTTGTAGCCACTTTGGAGAAAACACTCATAGTACAAAAAAGACATATTCAAGTACATTCAATGGAACATTGTTTTCAAGGCAAAAAAAAAATCCTATATCAATAGGGAACTGTTGGAGCAAGCTGTCCTATGCGATTGTATAATGAAATTCTATGCAGTACGTAAACCAGTAAGGTAGGTTTGTTGGTCCCAACACGTAAAGTCTCTAAGACACAGTGCTGAAGGAAATGCACAGACAGTAAATACGACTACTCATTTTGTATGATACAATTCTATGGGTTAAAAACACACAGATGTTTCTAGTTTAAAGGGATCTAGACTAAATTCAAAAGAGTGGCAGCTTCTTATATGGAAGAATTCTCTGGAGATGGCTGGTGATGCTCAAGGTAACTGGAGACTTACTAGGAATCTTTGAAAAAACACGCTCATGCCGTACCTGTGTGGTTGACAAAATTTAAAACACTTAGATGATTTCACGGATCTGTTTTCATCAAGGACATCTGTGATGTTCCACTTTCTCACAAGCCAGAAAATCTCATAGTTCTCACCCCAGCATTATTTGCACATTTTTGTTGTTGTTGTTGATTATATCATAGTGACTCTCTAACAACTGACTATACTATAACCTTGTACTTTCCCTAAGTTTCAAAATTGGTGTTTCAGGCCCATTTTTATTTCCATTTATAAAGCTGTCTTTCTTTCAAAATAAAAACTGCTCAGACATGTGTTTTGGGGAGGCTGGGCCCAGCTAGGATCAGCTAGAAGCCTGAAATCACTCTCAGATGCCAAGCTGGCTGCTGGGTTCCTCCAAGAACTGCTGTAAGGGGTAGTAAAACAAATCTTTGTGGCTAAACAAAGCCGGCACCAAAGCCCAGTTCCACCTACCCTGGTTGTGAGACACACAGGACATCTATCATTCTTATTTGGCTGTCCAGTGTTGAAGAGCCCCCTAACACATCAGGAAGTGAAAATCCTTCCAGTCTCTCTTGCAGTGAGGGTCCAGCACATAGCCGAGACTCCTCCCATCACCCACTTGCCACGAAGCAATGGGAGCAGGTAAGCCAAAGCAGCAGCACTTGTGGCAGCCATTCTGGCAAAGGTGGCAGCCTCAGCTTCACCATCTTCCCAAGGCTGCTGTTACCCAGGCTTGCTCTGTCTTGTTTGCTGTGAGCAGGACACACTTCAGGGTCTATACCTGGGACATCAGTGGTAGGGTCTTTGGTGGTGGTGTTCTTGGCTGTACGGCTTCTAGACCTGTAGTTCCAGCCCTCCCGTAGATCCTTCAAACTTCCCAACAACATATTGACAAATTGATTTTCTGCTTGGTCAGGGTTGGTTTCTATTAGTTGCATCTGAGAACCTCACTGACCTGGTAATCTTGGGAAAGTTACCTAATTTCTTCTGTTTCTTCATCTATGAAAATGAGAATAATAATGTCTATTTCACAGGGTTACAAAGAGATAAAATATATGCCATATATTTAAAATATACATATTGCATATATGAAGTATATTTTAAAATGCACATACATAGTAATATATTGACTGAATGTTTTATGCACTTACATGAATTTATGAATATTATATATCTATATATAACATCTACATTAGGTAAAATAAATTAAAACGTCGAACCCTATAGTTTTCTCCCCAGGGTTGGGGGCAGTGGGGTGTGATGGGTTCTTAGGATTTATAGTAGATTGTTGTTTATTTCCACTCCTAACATTTCATAGATAAATGGAAAGGCAAATGATGTAAAGTTTTTCAAGGAGGCAGGAAAAAAATAAATTAAAAGACGGGATTTGTGGACCTAAGCTTGAGTATAAATAACTGCTCCAAACCACCTGTGACTCGCTTATTTTGTGTGTAATCTGTGGTGACCTTTTCACTGAAGGCCAATTTTCTGATATCAGAATAAATTCTGACCATAGTCCAGCTGGCTTGACAGCATTCACAGAACTTACCTCTTCTAATACAAGTCCCATTAAACATAATTAGAGCTGAAAATCTTCTGGAAAACAACTCTTGAGTCCCAGAGTGAAGTCCACAGCCGAACAGGTGACATCAAGATTAATGACCTAGTTGGGTGCCCATGCCAGCGTTCCCTTGTCAGCCCAGGTAATCAAGAGGCAGAATATGTGATAGTATGGAAGGGCCTCCGGGATCCCAGTGTGCAAATTAGTCTGAGCATCAGATTCTCTAGAACCAGGAATTTATCCTGTCCCTCTGTTCACAGGGAGTATGTAACCATCATGACAGGTCCTCCGGCTGCTTGATCAGCAGAGGGGAAGAGAGACTGGAGGTTCCCATTTCCCAGATCCATGGGAGCCTCAGAAATGAGCAGCCTCAGCCAACAGAGACAGAAATAGAGGTGAGGTGAAAATGAGTGTGTCTTTTCCTAACTCTCTCTGGACCATCCGCAGGACAGATACAGAAACTCCCTCACAAATTGTCAGGGCACAGTCACTGTGTTCCTCATTAAGCCTTTTCACCTGAGGACTCCAAGCTTCCCCAGGACATTCCTTCATACATTCAAGCAATAGGAAAAGATAAGCAGAAAGCACAAACCCCAAACTCCAATGGGGAGAAAAGGCAGCAGCATATCTCAGCCTGAAACCAAAGCAGTCCTCTGCTTTGATTTTAAAATAATGATTGATCAAAAGGGATCACAACCACTTCTCCTCCCTTAATTCAGGAGCTGGTTAATGTACTGGGAGATGAAGGGGCCCCACAGCCATCTTTCTTCTCCCTCTTCCTCCCTATACTCTAGCCATTTCTTCAGGAAAAAGGGAGTTTATAAATATCTATTACATGCTTCTCTAGTGTACTTTACGCAATACTTTGCTTATAAAACCCTTTTCTTCTCTGTGGGAAATTATTCCATGTGGTTTACATGGGGCTAAACTTGCTATTCACAGACAGCCCCTGCCCAACACACATGCACACACACACACACATACACACACACACACACACACTGCCACCATAGTAGTGAACACCAATACCCAGAAGTGGCCAGTCCAAGAGTGACCATATGACCTATGACCTAAGTCAGGCCCATCAGAGCTTCCTCTGATATATGAACACCAAAAAGGATAATATCATCTTGAGCTACTTCTGGTCATTTCCTGCAAAAATATGGGGAAAGTTGTCTGTAGTACGAGAGAATGGAACCACCATCCAAAGAAAGAGATGAAAGGATAAACAGGAATAGACACACAGAGCCCTCATGCTATCAAATGAGCCATTAAAAGAATGCTGTTTAATAAATGAAGAAATTCAAAACAAATCCACTCACTTGTAATAAGAGGTTTGAGGTTAGAAATGGTGAAAGAGTGAAAGGGAAGTTGACCCCACAGGCTATAAATAAAGCTGTGGGTCATAGTGTGATCTTGGCATTTATATAGCACCTGCTGAGTGCCCAGCTCTAAACCAGGGGCTTTTTGATATGTTTTGTGTAGCAACTGAGAGGGAGGAATTCCTTGGAACTCACACTAATTTATTTAACAAGGAAAGTGCCTGGCTAAGACTTTGATACAGAGAGGTACTTAATAAATGTTTTATTGAATAGTGTGATCTGATAAATTCAGGAGACAGGGGGACTATATTCTCCCTTGATCTTCACATAATACTTCTATTCATTCCCTTTATGTATATGACTTCTTATCCACTAATTGACTGTGTGCTCTTAAACTGGGGCTCTGCTATCCCATACCCTTGCAAATTACTCTTCAATGTCTAGTCTCTGCTATGAATTTATTCCTATGAAAATTCATCTTTTAGCCCCACCCATCATCTTGGTCTGTCAACATGATGCGGAATCATGACTCCATCATCCAACATTTAAGTTTCTTCCTTTCAACTCTGAATCATTTAAAAATTTAACAGGCTTAACTGATATATCTGTATTATAACTATTGGTAAATACAGGCAAGATAAGGAGAAGATGGTCCCACAATATACAGGTAGAGAAAACTCCCTTCCTTCCTCCAGAAAAAAAAAAATGACATTAGTAGAAGATCTTCATATATAGTTAAATACCCAGTTATAAATCAACCTGCTAACTAACTGGGCCCACATTTCCACCTGCCAACTATGGGGGTTTTATGAAAGATGCTGTCAGATGCCCTGCTGGATATCATGCACATCCTGCCTCCAGGCTGTTATAAGAGTACAAGAATCTGATCACATAAGAATTAAATTTGGTTTGACACGACCAGTTCTTGGTGAACCCATTCTGGCTCCCAGTAATCCCAGCTCCCATTTCCACTGCCTCACAAGCCATCTGTTTGATAATTGAGTCTGGGACTGCACCGTTCACTAGTGTCAAATTCACTGGCCGATAACTTCTAAAAGAACCTTCCTTCTCTTTGGGAAAGTTCAAAATCTGTCTATTATCAGTCTTCAGTCACCTCTCCTTTTTCTATTCAACAAATAAATATTTAAAGAATGCCTAACCATGTGGCTCTGTGTTAGGCATTTGGCAAATAGAGAGGAGTAAGCAGACAGGGTTGCTATTCTTAGAGAATTCCAATGACCATTGCCAACAATAGCATTTCAATCAAGCAAGCATAACATGAGAATCTCCCATGAAATTCTCCCATAACATGGGAGAATCAAGCAAACACAACATGGGAGAATCTCCTGTTGTGCTTCACCAGGTCTATCTCTGGGGGAAATAGATCTGAGTTAGTGACTTTGGCTGCATGTTGCTGGAATTCTTCCTACGACTCTCTCACCTCTGCAACTCCACTCAGATATACCAAGGAATTCCTCTCTGCTCTGGCAGTTCTAAGAAAAATAATGAGACAAATGGCTGGCAGTTGCTGAGCTGTAATATTTACTGGGAGAAGTCTCAGAGGGTTTTTGCTCTCTACTTTGGAAAACTGTTTGCTACAGCCAGCCACAGAGATAAAACTGAGCAGCACATGGGAAGAAGGGTATGTCCAGTATAAAGCAATAACATGCCAGAAATTCATGCATTAACCAAAACTTCATATTCAAGCCCAGCAAATGGACTCACCAAATGGCCTCACCAAACTAGAAAACCCTCAAGTGCAGAGACATGACTATGTATCGTCACAATCCCAAAGCAATGCTTGGAACACAGCAGGTACTTATGGAAGATCAGCTACATTCATGACCCCTTTGTGCAGTTGGCCCCATGTGACTTTCAGTTCCTCTTATTACAGAGGTGGAGCCTACCTCCCTACCTCTTGTCTGTGCTGAACTTGTGACTTGCTTTGGCCAACAGAATTCTGTGGAAGTGCTATGTGCTGGATATGAATACCAGCTTCACATTCTTGTTCTTTCTGCTTATCCTCCTGCACCTCTGCCTCTGCTATGAGAATATGCCTGGACTAGCAAGCTAGGATGAAAAAGCAATCATCCTCTTCTAGGATGAGAACAGCCATGTTGTCTTGGTTTCCCCTTGCATAAGCCAGACTGTAAATGAACGATGCCCACTCGACCCCTGACCTGTGAGTGAGCCTAGCCAAGATCAGCAGAGCCACTGGACTGCCCACACTTGACTCAGGACACACAAGCAACAGAAGCTTATTTGTTCTTGTTAGTTACACAGCATTATTTTTGGTATGCACCATTGCGTTGGTGGTATTAACAGTTCTCAAATATAAGAAGGACAAAGAGAAGAGGGAGGAAAGGGGACATTTCAATGCTAAGCTTATTATAAATTTGCCACATATGTGATATCTACTCTTCATGTTTGACATATTCTTCCTGTGCCAAAGGAATAGATTTGGAAAAGGAAAAAAAAATCTGCCTTCCTGATTGTCATAAATTTCTTGAGAAGGAGCGGATATGAGACAGAAGGGAAGGAGAAGGTTCAAAAGTAGCCTCTCTGTATCCTGTATAGCAACCAGCACTATAGATTTTACGTTTAAAATTTCCAACAGACCCGCAAGACAAATTTCATCTAATTCTGGAGACCCAAGCTTGTTTCTATGAACTGGTGATGGCCTCCTGCCTTCACACCTATGATGGACCCAGATTCCCTCCCCTTTTCTCTATTTTTCCCCACAGGAAGATCATTAGAAAAATCAGAATTTAAACAGCAATCAAGGCCAGGCATGGTGGCTCATGCCTGTAATCCCAGCACTTTGGGAGGCTAAGGCGGGTGGATCACTTGAGGTCTGAGTTCAAGACCAGCCTGGTCAACATGGTGAAACCCCATCTCTACTAAAAATACAAAAATTAGCTAGGCATGGTGGTGGGCTCAGCTACTCAGGGGCCGAGGCAGCAGAATCGCTTAAGCCTGGGAGGTAGAGGCCACAGTAAGCTGAAGTTGCACCATTGCACTCCAGCCTGAGTGACAGTGAGACTCTGGCTCAAAAAAAAAAAAAAAAAAAAAAAAAAAACAACCAGCAATTAAGCAGCGCTGCTTTCTCTCTCAACTGTTAAAACTTCACGCAAGCAGTCCTCTGTTCATCCACTTTTTTCCCGAAATGCAAGTGAAGAGCCCCTTTTAGTTGGCTTCAGTATGTTTCTCAAAGTGCTGACTCTTCTGGGTTTTGGATGGGTGACATGGTGAAGAGCACAGGCTCTAGAGTCAGACTGACATGGCTTTGGCTCCCAATAGCTCCTAGCTCTGCCACATAGGAACTGCATGGTCTTGGGTAAGTTTGCTAGCCTCTCAGGACTTAATTTTTCTTTGTATGAATGGGAAAGATTGTCATACCCATGTCACAGGGTTGTTGTGAATATTAAATGAGAAAATGGAAGCAAACTGTTCAGCACTATCCTGACACATAATAGGTCTCCAATACCCAACAGCCATCATAATTCTTTAAGCTGGGGCCTATTCTTTTGAGTTGGAGGATAAGTGGAATTTTTTTTTAATCCTTTGTCATTTTCTTCTGCTGCTTATAGGGCCTTTTGGTATCGTGGCTTTTCAGAAAGCTCTACAAGCAAATATCAGATGACTTGTCAACATTTTCCCTTTTGGTCTTTATTAAAATCACTCTACAGGACATTGGTCAAGACTGGACTTTGCAACTCTGGACAGTAGGAAGCTACACCAACACTAACCTAGCCTTACAATTATGAATATTGAGGAAGGATTCTGAAATCACCATTGCCAAAGCCTGCCTGCTTCCCAGCCTGGACTCTTTCCTTCTTCCAAGGCCCAGATATCATCAAGAGGCATCTCCAGTCTTGGTCCCAGGTCCAACTCCTGCCATAACATTCCAGTTTCTCCAGGATGGGTCTCCTAGGAATGAGAAGAGTGCCACAAATATCCACTACCCTCACTGCCTACTCTGCCACCTAAGCTGGCCAGCTGATGGCCTTCCACTCACCCTATGGTCTATTCCCGGGGCTCCCACCCACTTACCGGAAGCTCCACTTCTTTCAGGAACACCCAGAGTGTCTGCTAAGGCTCTGCCCATCATTTGTCTGCATTCCTTCTGGCCCACTCTCCCTCAAAGCACCAGCCTCACCCCAGGATATGGACTTCATTGCAGGGTTACCGCTTGTGATAGTTTTATGTGTTAACTTGGTCAGGCTATAGGACCCAGTTATTCAATTGAACACTAGTCCAGATGTTGATGGGAAGGTGATATGAAGACTTGGTTAAGATCTGCAACCAGTTGACTTTAAGTAAAAGAGATTATTCTTGATAATCTTGGTGAACTTCATCCAATTGGTTGAAAGGCCTTAAGAACAAAATTGAGGTTTCCCAGAGGAAGAAGAAATCCCATCTGTGGACTGCAAAATCATCTCCCGCTGGAGAGTACACAGCCTGAGGGCCTGCCCTGTGGATTTTAGACTTACCAGCCTCCACAACATGAATGTGTGTGTGTGTGTATGTGTATGTGTGTGTGTGTATGTGTGTGTGTGTGTGTGTGTGTGTGTGTGTATGTGTGTGTGTATTAATCCATTACTGGTTCTCTTCTCTGTTAGCATCCTTCCTGCCCAGGAACCCCTGCCACTACCACTGCCCACACAGCCAGCAGATCAAACCCAAAATGGCCAAAATCTGATCTCATTGCTCCCACAATTCACATCAAAACCACCCAGCTCCTAGTCACAAGATCACTTTACCAGGCTGACTGTCCTGTTAACATTTAACAATATCAAAAGCCAATAACATTTTCCTGAGCCATTCCTGTGGCCTGAGATGATGCTAATCACCATGTATGAATTCATTTAATCTTCCTGCCATCCTATATGGTAGGAATTATTATTATTCCTATTTATCCAAAGAAAGAATCAAGACTCAGCAGCACCTTCATGGAGGTGACTTAAGGTCCCCTGGCTACTAAAAGGTGGAGCTGGTATTCACACCTGCTCCAGCAACTTCCCAGTCCCAGTTTCTGGGGCCTCTGGCTTAAGCTGTTTTCTTGCTTCCAGTTTTACCCTAAATCCATGTTCTACATAGTAGTGATAGTAGAGCTGAATGTTGACCTCCTAAGAGATACGTCCACCTGAAACTTGTGAATGTGACCGTGTTTCGAAAAAATATCTTGGCAGACATAATTAAGAACCTCGAGATAATATCCTTAATTAGAGTGGGCCCTAAATCTGGTCATAAGTGAGCTCACAAGAGAAGGGGCAAGGCACAAAGAGGAAAAGGCCATGTGAAGATGAAGTCAGAGACTAGAGTGGTACAACTACAACCCAGGAGATGCTAAGAATTTCCAACAACTGCCAGAAACGAGAAGAGAGGCATAAAACAGCTTCTCCCTCAGAGGCTCCAGAAGGAACCAACTCTGCTGACCTTTTGATTTTAGACTTCTGACCTCCAGAACTGTGGAAAAATAATTGCTATTGTTTCAGCCACCTAGTCAATGTGTGGATTAAAGTATTTTTTGTTCCGGCAACCCCAGGAAACTAATACAGTGGTCAAAGTGATGCTTTAAACACGTAACTCAGATCGTGTCATTTTCCTATGGAAAACCCTCCAATGACATCCTATTACACTCGAGTAAAATTCAAACTCTTTACTCAGGCCCGCCAGGCCCAATAGAGTCTGGTCTTGCCTTCCCCTCTTACTCGTGACATCCTCCATCCTCACGCCCCTGATCGGTTCACCCTAGCCACACCAGTGATCTTTCTGTTCCCAAATGCACCAAACCCATGCCTGCCTGAGGATCTTCAGACTGACTGCTCCTTCTGCCTGGAAATGTTTCCCCCAGATATTCCCAGGGCTGGCTCCTATTCACCTTCAGGACTCCAAAGTCCCCTTCTCAGAAAGGCCTCCTCTGACCACAAATTCTAAAATAGCCCTTCCCCAAGCACACCCTATCCCACTGCCCGGTCCTGTATTTCTTCACAGTCCTTATACTTGTTTACCTGATTGGTTTATGAGTATTATCTGTTTGTCATGAGAGCAGATTCTTGTCTGCTTATTCACTGATCAATCTCCAGCACCAAAAACAATGCTGGGCACTTTGTAAGTACCTAATAAATGTTTGTCTAATGAACAAAGATATTTTGTTCAACTCTAACTCTGGGGCCCAAGACAGCCACCAGATCCAGATAGATAAAGGATTCAAGATTCTTCAATCTCCCACCTAGTCCTAAACCTCTGTTCTAGCAAAACCTGGGACTGAGCCCAAAGCTCCATCTGTCTTTGCAGCAAAGTGGACCCCCAAATCACTGGTCAACATCCCCTTCCCACTGCTGCAGCAATCATAAAAACAGTCAATCCCAGAAGCAGACAGGTTCACTTCTCCCAGCACCCAATGGACCCCCAAATCACTGGTCAACATCCTCTTCCCACTGCTGCAGCAATCATAAAAACAGTCAATCCCAGAAGCAGACAGATTCACTTCTCCCAGCACCCAACGGACCCCCAAATCACTGGTCAACATCCCCTTCCCACTGCTGCAGCAATCATAAAAACAGTCAATCCCAGAAGCAGACAGATTCACTTCTCCCAGCACCCAATGGACCCCCAAATCACTGGTCAACATCCCCTTCCCACTGCTGCAGCAATCATAAAAACAGTCAATCCCAGAAGCAGACAGGTTCACTTCTCCCAGCACCCAACGGACCCCCAAATCACTGGTCAACATCCTCTTCCCACTGCTGCAGCAATCATAAAAACAGTCAATCCCAGAAGCAGACAGATTCACTTCTCCCAGCACCCAATGGACCCCCAAATCACTGGTCAACATCCCCTTCCCACTGCTGCAGCAATCATAAAAACAGTCAATCCCAGAAGCAGACAGGTTCACTTCTCCCAGCACCCAATGGACCCCCAAATCACTGGTCAACATCCTCTTCCCACTGCTGCAGCAATCATAAAAACAGTCAATCCCAGAAGCAGACAGATTCACTTCTCCCAGCACCCAATGGACCCCCAAATCACTGGTCAACATCCCCTTCCCACTGCTGCAGCAATCATAAAAACAGTCAATCCCAGAAGCAGACAGATTCACTTCTCCCAGCACCCAATGGACCCCCAAATCACTGGTCAACATCCCCTTCCCACTGCTGCAGCAATCATAAAAACAGTCAATCCCAGAAGCAGACAGATTCACTTCTCCCAGCACCCAATGGACCCCCAAATCACTGGTCAACATCCCCTTCCCACTGCTGCAGCAATCATAAAAAGAGTCAATCCCAGAAGCAGACAGGTTCACTTCTCCCAGCACCCAAATGCTGTACACATCTGCCCTCTTCCCCTCTACTGCCCTCCAGCCCTTCCCAACACTGCCATGCCCCTCCTCTCTTGGTCCATTGTTATCTCCTGACTGGTGCTCACACTTGAGCTCAGGACACATTTCTTTCTTTTTTTTTTGAGACAGAGTCTCACTCCGTCGGCCAGGCTGGAGTGCAGTGGCATGATCTCGGCTCACTGCAACCTCTGTCTCCCAGGCTCAAGCAATTCTCCTACCTCAGCCTCCCAAGTAGCTGGAATTACTACACCAGCTACTGGCATGTGCCACTATGCCCGGATAATTTTTGTATTTTTAGTAGAGACGGGGTTTCACCATGTTCTCCAGGCTGCTCTCAAACTCCTGACCTCAGGTGATCCACCCACCTCAGTCTTCCAAAGTGCTGGGATTACAGGCGTGAGCCACCACGCCCGGCCTACCTTTCTTGAGCCAGCAGGGATCTGTCACTTTACTTCCTCCTAGAGCCACAAAGCAGCTCTCCACCTACCCTATTGGCAGGACCCTCAAGAATGTAAGAATGCTCTCCCCAGCTAAGAAACTCCAGCAGCATTGGGAGCTGCAACCTCCTTGGCCCAGTGATCCTGTGAACTCCAAACTCCCCACCAAAGGCTAGATCAGAGGCTGCAGAAAGTCAAGGAGACCAGCTAAAGACAGAGGCCTTCCCTAAAAAAAGTCCTTGACAGGAATCCTGTGGCACATCAATGCCAAGACATGGCCATCGTCCTCTTCTCCAAGGAGCAGGTCTGCCAATGGCTCCACAGCTGTGTGCCTGGCATGGCAGATGGAGTGGATGACCAGTGCCAGTTCTGGCCATAATCAAAACCCACAGGTCCAAGCCCCATCCTATTTAAGCTTGTTTGCCCATCCCTGAGTCCCAGAATACTGTACCTGCCTTCTTTGAACTGAAACCCCCAACACCCAGGCATCCAAGATGGCCTCCATCCCCCCTGGAACCACAGGTGTGCTCAACGTCCACGCTCACAGACCCCCTAGAGCCTGCACGTGACACTCAACGGGGAGCTTTTAAACATATTTAGACCAGCTCCCCACTCCCTGCCCGCAACGAAGATTCTGAGCCAGTGGGACAAGCAGGCATTTTTTAAAATCTTTTTATGTTTTCATTGGGTTTTCATTTTCGTTTTTTTACCTGCAGCCACTGCCTTCGAGTGTAATTTAAACTTCACATACAAACTGCAACTCCTTTGAACTTGAGGAGATTTCTAGTTCCGCAAACCTTTCCCACACAGTTCCAGGGGCCCTCTTTGACCACCGAAGGTGAGCCTGGGAAGTGGGGAGCAAACTCATAGACGCCTCTAGAGCAAGTCTGACTCAAGACCTCCCTTGCCCTTGCTTTTCAGGAGCTCAGAAATAAGATGGAGTTTTCTCCCTTGTCCCCAGGAAGCCCATCCACCTGCCCCGATTTGGCCAGTTTCACCTGATGCTGAGTGGACACAGCTCTTCTGGTTTTAGCAAAGTTTTAAAACCATTCACCACCCAGGTTTGCTGAAGCTAGCGTCGGGTTCACCTTTGGCAGTGAGTGATGCATTTCAGCTGGGTATCCTGCCTCCACAGGTTTTTCCCTTGGCCTGGCCGCAAAGCTGGGCAGACACATCAGGCCCCATCCAGAATCTAACAGAATTCTCGTCCTAAGAAGCTCAAGAACGATCCCCAGCAGAGATTATTGCCACCTACATGAAGGACTGTCCCCAGATGCCCTGATGAAGAATCCAAGACCCAGAGCAGATATGGAGAGTTGGAGAGCACATTAGAGAACACTCCCAGAGCTCCCTGCAGTCCTCTGAGGACACCCAGGATCCCTGAGGCCCCGTATGGCCCCTTAAGGGCAAAAGCTGCCTGAAGCCTCTAGGGCAAAGGCCCCCAACCTACCTAATCCTAAGAATCACCTGGGGCGCTTGCTAAAAACCACAACAGAATCAGAATCTCTGGAGAAAAATGGACATGTTTATAAATGCTCTGGATGATTCTCTGGCAATATGGGGAAGCAAGGGGGTTAAGTCTTGGCCCAAAGCTGTTCCCCAATTCAAGATCCCACCCAGACTCCTGAGCTTCCTAACTGGTAGTGATTGCCCAGAACCAGGTATTATGTTTTGCTGAGCTCAGGCAAGCCAGTCTCCTAGAGGCCTAAATCACTAGAGCAACAGTTCCCAGAGTTTTTAAATGATTTAAAGACCATCCATATTAGAAACAAGGAGACAAAATGAATGAGGGGTATAGGGCCTGTTATGCAATTCAGATTCCCAGGCCATGAGCCAAAGATCCTGAAACAGAATCCCTGAGAGCAGGGCCCAGGAATCTGCTTTCTGAAGAAGCTTCTCCCCCAGGGACACCTTTGCCCATTGACATTTGTCAACTCCTGGCTGGTGTCTGATGGAGGGGCCATCAAGACCAGTTTTGGGGACCTGAGATACTTAGACACTCCACTGAAGACTGGGGCCTGTGTCCAGAAGTTTCTCCATATCAAACCCACTTGCAGAGACCGTCATTTCTGATCCCTATTTCCAAGTCAGAACTCAAGAAGAAAGCTCTTTCTCCAAAGCCTGCTGGAGGAACTTCAAAGCAGGCTGGCGGGCTATTGCCTGCATGTGTGCCCTTCTTGGGGAAGTCAGTCCTTCCCTGGTGTGAAGCTCAGGGCCACAGTGAAGATGCTGCATTGTCAGGAGGGGGCCCCTCTTCCACTAAGAGACAGTCCTATAACTCTTCTTATCCTACTAGACCTCTTCTTCCTCTTCTGTGAAATGGACTAAGTTGAATCCTAACACCCTCAACCCATTTCTCCTGGAGGATATCACTGATGAAAATCACTACTGAATACCACCTCTTTTATCCTGGACAAAAGCTATGGGTCCCAACAGGTTCCCCTATCCCTTCCTTACCACAATGCAGACAATATTCTCTCTCTACAGGGTGTATCTGAGCACGTCACTTCCCTGCCTAGAATGCATCAATAATGTATTCATTGTTCTTAGGATACAATTCAAAACACTTAGCATATAGGCGCTACGGCCATGGTGCCCCCATTAATCTCACTGGCTTATCTTCCACCCAGTGTCTTTCTCCCACTTCTCAAAAGAGCTGAGCTATTCCTGTTCTTGGTAACTTTGCACATTCTGTTCCCTTCCTGAAGTGCCCTTTCCCTGGTAACTTCTAACTCAACCTTGGAGCTCAGCTTTCCTGACCACTTTCCCTCCCCATACCTAGCTCAGGCCTCATTAGCCCCCCTCGTTGATCCCTTGTTAGCATTTATCAAATGTGTAGTGAACTCGTTATCTGCATAATTACATGCTCATTACCTGTCTCCCCAAAAAGCTGTGATGCCATGAGGATGACCATGTCTATCCAGTTTAATATTATATTTCCATGGGGCCTGGCACATAATAAGTATTCAGTAAGTATTTGTTGAACAAGTGAGCAAACAAGAAAAGCAATTAATTAATCAAAAGTTTTAATAACACAGTTTTCCACCCCCAGTACTTTCAAGAACCACTGGGTACCTAAACCCTACACCAATGTATATTGATGAATAATGATGTAAGCAAACTTCTTCATCTGCCTTTGAATAGTCCACAAGTTCAAAAGGGCAACATTTGCCAAATGTATGTGATTTTTTTTTCATGACAATGGGATTCTTCACTTTACACACACAAAAAAAAATCCCCTGAAAGACATCTTTAAATAGTGTGTGTTCCCTCTGGTGCCCATAAGCTGTATTAAGAGCTCATTAATTATCTGCCAGGGAGGCTAGAACTAAGAGGCAAGTCATAAGGATGGTTGCCAAGGGAAGAAATGATGATAAATCAGCACTTAAAGGAAAGTGTAAATCATGGGGGAAGTAGGACCCAATTTACAGAAGTGCGATTTGCACACAGCTTATCAGGAACTTTATTATTATGAAGCACACTTGGAGGGGATAGAAACACTGTTGCCTTGGAACAAGATTTCTTCCTTTGAAAGGCATCTTTTCCACTCCGTCTCTGCACAGCTTTCAAAGGCGTCCTTGAGTTGCTGGCTTGGGACTGGAGTGTGTTCGTGCCCCGGCCTCTGCTACCCATCAAACTCTTTGGACCACTCAGGTACCCTTCCCTGGCATGAGTGTAAGATTTTATAAAGGTCCAGTCCACCTTATGCCAGGGTGGTTGGTAACTTGGGAGAGAAGAGGGCACTCCCCAGGCATGTTGTAGGGAATGTAGCGGGTGCTCCACAGAAAAGAATAGCATTTACTGAGTGGTTGGCGTGTGTTAGCTCTTGAGTTCATGCTTCAAAATATCCCTTATCAAAAACTGGAAATAATCAAAAAGGACTGAAAGGAGAATGATAATTTTGGCTGTGTCCGCATCCAAATCTCATCTTGAATTGTGGCTCCCATAATTCCCATGTCTTGTTGGGAGATTACTGAATCGTGGGGGCAGTTTCCCCCGTACTGCTCTCATGGTGGTGAATAAGTCTCACAGGATCTGATGATTTTATCAGGGGAAACCCCTTTAAATTGGTTGTCATTTTCTCTCTTGCCACCACCATGTAAGAAGTGCCTTTCACCTCCACCATGATTGTGAGGGCCTCTCCAGCCATGTGGAACTGTGAGTCAACTAAACCTCTTTTTCTTTATAAATTACCCAGTTTCGGGTATGTCTTTATCAGCGGCGTGAAAACGAACTAATACAGAGAACAAGCAGAGGCTATTGATTCAGAGCTTGCGACTGCAAGGGAATCAGCCACCATCACTTGCATTTGGCAGATTCCAGGGCAGGCAAAGGAGAGGGAACGCTTCATGTTGGGAAAAGGGAAGGCTTCAAGTGTGCCCTGTTTGGAGGCTGTTGACACAGGGAAGGATAGGTGAGCTAGAAGGGTGGAAGAGGAGCATCCCATGCAGTTGTCTAGAGGGGCAAATTTGACTTTCTCTGGTTTGTCTTAAGTTGGAAACAAGGACCAACTTGGGAAAACTGGCAATAATTGATCAAATCCTGGGTGTTTGGGGCCAATTGCTGCAGAGGTTGTGGGTCAGAGTTCTACTTCTCTATAAGTCTGGCGATTGTCACTTTCTGCTTGTATATTCAGCCTCTCATTAGAATGGCACTACCTCTTTAAATTCCACGATAACACCAGGGCTTTCTGCAAGAGCATTTCTTCTTTCACGGGCAATAGCAAGACCTATGTTTCTGTCCTTGGGACATTTCCAGATGCCTTTAAGAGTCAGCAGTCTCTGCCTCTTCCTCCCAGTTGCTCTTCCTTTCTCCGTGCTGAGGTCTGTGCTCACCAGGATTGCTCTATAACAAAATAATCCCTCACTCTCTTTCATTCTGCCCTCCTGCTCTGTTTTCTTATGGCCCTTGGCTCTTCCTTCTGATGTGTAAGGCCTATTGTTCTTGGGTATGAATATATTCATCTCTTCCTCTCAACTCAGACTGTGCCAGAGCCTTGAAGATGGGGCCATGTCTGAGTTACTTTTGTGGCCTCAGACCCAACACATTCCTGGCCCACAGAAAGTGTGTGACAAATGTTACATGAATAATTGAATGAATGCATTGCTTTCACTGTCAGCCCTGATGATAACGAAAGGAAAAGGACAGAAAATAATGAACACAACACAGATGGGGCAATTACAAAACCTCAAGAATTATTAAGAAGGTTCTGCTGTAGTGTCCCTGGTCTTCATGAAACCATAAATGAGCCCAAGATTGGATCTTCACTCTCCTTGTCAGTTTTCTGCCTTCCATTATTAAATGGTTCCAGGTAAGACTTCTCCCCTTCATAATTTTCCCAGCTTTGGAGATCTTATAGTTTTCCTGAATCCCCATATATGCCTATCAAAATACAGGAGATGTGGCAGGATGTCAAAATGCATCAATAATGAGTTCAAAGTGAGTGGTGGTGGGAGAGAGATACTATTTTGAATGACCATGCCAGAGTTGGAAATGGATAAGTTCATAGGAGAGAAATTACCTTGGCCATCCTAGTCCAAGGAAAATGTATTGCTCCCTATATGATGTCAAATGACAACTCAAATGGCAATCAAAATATAATCATTGTGTGATACAAGAGGCAGTGTGTATGTTGAGGTATGGCTACCTCAAGGCTTTTGTTTGGGATGCTGTGAAAAACTGCCAAGCAAAATTCTATTTAACCATGTCACAGAACCCATGTCTTTATAGTTGAGATTATCTAATTAAATCAGGTAAGAGTCCCTGTCTTCCACTTCAGCCAAATAATTAAAGGAAAATCAAAGCTTTGAGCCTGAAAAATTGTCAGCACTCCAATGCTTAGCCATTTGCAAATACAGCAACAGCCAACACCTCTCTCATAACAAAATAGAGATAGATGCCATTTTCCCCATTCCAGTAACCCAGTCTGTTAACTGCAGTTCTGCATGTTGACAGTGCAATGGTAATCATGACCCTCAGGCCCTACAAGATTGAGAAATGCCTTCTGAAGCATCAAACAGAGATTAAATTGTCTTGCCTGTAGTTACAGCGTTAATTTAAATTAGAATTCTTTGAAAACTGGTACTGGATTACCACTACTCAAAAGACATGAAATTTTATCAAAGGGTGACTCTGTATGAACCAGAATGTATGATTAACATGAACATTCTTCTCTTTTTTTTTGAGTCTTTCTAGATGCACAAGACTTTTTTTAGAAAACAATTTATTGAATATAAAAACCACCATTTGGCTGGGTGTGGTGGCTCATGCCTATAATTCCAGCAATTTGGGAGGCTGAGGCAGGAGGGTTGCTTGAGCCCAGGACTTTGAAACCAGCCTGGACAACATAGCAAGATCCCATCTTTAGTAAAAGTATAAAAAAAAAAATAGCCGGGTGTGATGGGCATGTGCCTGTAGTCCCAGCTACTCCAGAGACTGAAGTGGGAGAATCATCTGAGCCCCGGAAGTCGAGGCTGCAATAAGCTGTGATCACACCTGTGCACTCCAGCCTGGGTAATAGGAGTGAGACCCTGTCTCAAAAAATAAACAAATAACAAAAAAAAAAGCCACCATTTACTTTGGAATGGAACATGACAGTTTACAAGTGTTTCCACGTATTTCTTGTCTGATTCCAGTAACTCTTCAGAAATGTAGATGAGTAGGATGTTGAGGATAATGTCAGTGTCCCACCCAATTCCTTTTTTACTTTTACACTCAGACTTTGGTGTGCTTTCATTTCCAAACTGCAGCTCTATTTTGGAGAACTTCCCTTGGGCTATTAGAGAACACTTTGCCCAAATGGGTATAGCACTAGAAGTTTCTGGGAATTTACATTCCCTTATCCTGCCCTCAGTCCTAGCCAGTGACTGAAATGCAGGAGCATGAAAGGTTGGCCAGACATTGGTGGCTCATGCCTGTAATCCCAGCATTTTGGTAGGCAGGGGCCAGAGAATCACTTGAGGACAGGAGTTGAAAACTAGCCTTGGCAACATAACAAGACTCCATCTCCATAAAAAATTTTTTAAAAAATTAGCCAGTGTGATGGCACACACCTGTAGTCCTAACTACTCAGGAGGCTGAGGCAGGAGAATCCTTTGAGCCCAGGAGTTTGAGGTTGCAGTGAACTGTGATCATGTCACTGCACTCCAGCCTGAGCAACAGAGCAAGATGCTATCTCTAAACAAAAAAGAAGAGGAGGAAGAGGAGGAAGAAGAGGAAGAGGAGGAAGAGGAAGAAGAAGAAGAAGAAGAGGAGGAAGAGGAAGAAGAAGAGGAAGAGGAGGAAGAGGAAGAAGAAGAGTAAGAAGAAGAGGAAGAGGAAGAAGAAGAGGAAGAGGAGGAAGAGGAAGAATAAGAGGAAGAGGAAGAAGAGGAAGAGGAAGAAGAAGAGGAAGAGGAGGAAGAGGAAGAAGAAGACGAAGAGGAGGGAGAGGGAGAGGGAGAAGGAGAAGGAGAAGAAGGAGAAGGAGAAGAAGGAGAAGGAGAAGAAGGAGAAGGAGAAGGAGAAGGAGAAGAAAACAACTCTAGAGCTGCCTCCAGAGTTCCCCTGTGGGATCACGCTGGAAGGCTGGAGCTGGCCCCTGCAGGACTTTTCCTGAGATCACACCCTTGCTCTGCTTCCTCCCCTTTCCTTACTACCCCCATTCCACCACTTCCTTAATAAGCCACTCAAACCTGAAGCCACATGTAATAGCTACTCCTGGAGAGTGTGACCTAAGACTCAGGTGTAATTAATTATCAACCTCTTACAAATGGAAAAATGGACTCAGAGGAAGTTAAGTGACTTGTCCAAGATCATATAAGCTGAGTCTAGAGCCCAAGTCTTTCCATTAATCAGCCAATCAATCAATATTTACTGAGCATCTATCACTATACTCAGAATGGGGAATAATAGAGAGATAAACACGCTACAGTCCCTAACTCCATTCAAATGTACAGGCTGGTGAGAAGAAAGGCAAGACTCACCACAATGATTTTAGCTGGCAGTACTTTCCAACCGAAAGGAACTTGGAATAAAAGGGTATAGGGTATTAATTATGTCTTTTCAGGTTGATTTTGTCATGACGCCACTTGAAGTCAGTCAAAAGAGTGAGGATTTTTGCTGAACACAACTCAAGTCACCTCAAGTCTAATCAATTGCTTTCCTGCCCATCAGGGTACCACATTTAAGCAACTGCTGGGGGGAGAAATAGATAGAGAGGGGGCTGGGGAGGATGGGGACTTAATGGGATCCATGATGGAGAACTAGAAAGGAAGAAAATGGCTAGGTCCAGGAAGAATCTGACACTAAAGAGGCAGTGTTTCTGCACATGGTTACCATCCCTTCAAATGCACCCTAGGGCCATGGCCCTCAACCTCTCAGATGCCAGCTTCCTGGAGAAGGGCCGAGCCCACCCTCTGTAAACCAAAAATAAAATTCTAAGCCCCCCTCAACCATCTGAATTGACACCCTCCTCTAGGCCAGGGTGCTCCAAAGTTAACCTGAAAAACTGGTCCAGGCAATGACGGCAAGTGGGGGTAGTGGGGATGGGGCAGGCCTCATGATGCCCTCCTCCCTTTTGGAATTCAGGAAAAACCGACCATTATTTAACATCAACATAGACCTTAAGTCTGATAAGAAACATTTACAATCTGTTCTCTCTGAAGCCTGCTACCTGGAGGCTTCATGTACATGAGAAAACTTTGCTCTCCACAACCTCTTATGTAACCCAGATATTCCTTTTCTATTGATAATAACTCTTCCAACCAATTGTCAATCTGGAAATTTTAAAATCTACCTATAACCTGGAACCCTCTCCTCCACCTCCACTTCAAGGTGTCCCACCCTTCTAGATCGAACCAATGTATATCTTAAATGTACTTGATTGATGTCTCACGTCTCCATAAAATGTATAAAACCAAGCTGTGTCCTGACCACCTTGGCCACATGTCAGCAGGACCTCCTGAGGCCGTGTCATGGGTGTGTCCTTAATCTTGGCAAAATAAACATTCTAAGTGGATTGAGACCTGTCTCAGATACTTTTGGGTTTGCACCTCTTTAGGTCACCCACAACAAAGCCCAGCAGCCTCTCTGGGGCATCACTAGGACCTGGTGGCCCAGTGATCTGAATCTGCATGTCTGAGCCTGGCTCAGTTTGTCTGAGACTGACAGAGATGAAGTTACTCATCTAAGTTTACACAACCTAGTAAGAAGAAAAGCCAAGATCTGAACCCAGGAATGCCTGACTCCCAAGCCCACGCTTGAATACTGAGAAAGAAAAGGAAAGAAGAACAGCATTCTCATGAGTTCTCAGTTTTTCTCAGCAGAATAAACCACACTGGTAAGTTAGGCTGAGCAAACGCCTAAGCATAAAAGGAAATGAAATTCTCAATCAGAAACAAAAAAGCAGAATTAAGTCTTATATCACAAAGAACTAGCCTGGAAAGAAAGAGGAAAGCCTCAAAATGAGATGGAGTATAAAACAACGTAAATGTTCTAAAACTCAAAAGATGTGTCGGCTAGGAAGGAAAAGCTAAAGACAGAAGATGCTGGAGGTCATTTGTGTGGGTTTACCTTTATCTTCATGGTAACTTCACTGCAATTCCTCTGTATCACTTGCTACAAGAAAAGGAACAGCAGACATTAAAAAGGCAAGAAAAAGGTTAAGTAGTATTTTCCTAGTGTGCATCCAAACATGATTAGGATCAGGCCTTTCCTAAAAACTAGAGTACCAAAATAAGATAAATAGTTTTTTTTTGTTATTTTGTTTTGTTGTTTTTATGGTTTTTTTTTTAACATATATTCAAACAAGAGGAAACAGGAGGATGCCAGAATTTGCAAAGCCAATCTAACCTGATGTAGCAGAAAAAAATCTTTGATTACACTAACTTGAGGTTAAACCTTAGAAGAACACATAATATAGGAAATGGGCAGTCCTAAAAGTAGCTGGAAAATGACAACATAAGTGATGTCGAAAGCTAAGGAATACTTCTTTCTGTGGGAGACCACGCTCAGGATCTAACCATTTTCCAAGCACAGAAGAGGCACTCTTTCTTGGGAACGCACCTTGTGGGGAATCACAGGGATTCCCTTCTTCTACCTCCCAACCCCCTAGAAGTCTCTGCCCTCAGATCCAGGCAGAGGAATCTGAAATGCTTACTTGGCTTCCCTCTTGGGACTTGCAGTCTCATTAAAAATGCAGAGAGAGCCTGGGAGGAAAGTAAAGCCCCATTAACTTGAAGGAGGACCATTGAAATTTCCCTGTGCACACAAGTCCTTGCCAGTGCGACCTTGGCCGTTTCCCGGCCTGGAAAAAAAAAAAAAAAAAAAAAAAAAAAGTGGCGACGGTCAAACTCTCTTTTCCATGGTTTGTTGTGAGAGCTCCAAGAACATGTGGAAACACATGGCACGTGGTAGATTCTCAATAGCACTAAGCTCTCCCTCCTGAAATAGAAAAGTGCGAGACACAGGGGAAGAAGTATAAGGGGGATAAGGGAGCAGAGGAGGGGAAAGGGTTGACTAGGGCTCCAGCTGCTCCTGCCCAAAAGGGAGCTACCAGGGAGCATCCTAAGTCAACTGTATTCCATGGCTGGAAGGTGGAGCCGGGAAAAAATGGGGAGCATAGAAGAGAAGTATCTTGATACCTCAACCCAATATAGTCATGTCTAGAAGGGAGACACTTTTCCCAGGGAATGTGTAGATGAGGTCAAGCTCCAATGAGAAGCTGTGAATTAACCATAATCTTCAGAGCCCAGAGCCTGGAGAGATGCTGATGGCACCCGGAAGTAGGAACTGAAGCTCTCCTACCCGTATTATCAGTAGAGCTTTTCCCTCTGTCAAATCAGAATCCTCTGGAGGGCTTGTTAAAGGACAGATTGCTAAACCCCAACCCAGCCTTTCTGATTCAGTAGATCTGGGGTGCAGGCCAAGAATGTGCATTTCTAACAAGTTCCCGTGTGATACTAGTTCTGCTGGTCCAGGGACCACACTTTTAAGAACCGCTGTGCTATACCTTTATTTAATATCCTTATGAGAGATCCTCAGCCTAAAGCTAACAGAGACTTTGAACAACTCCTCCTCCTATTGGCGCCCCTGCACTTGAGTTGAGACATTGTGCTAGCTGACGCCTGTGAGCCCTGCCAGCTCTGGTGTTCTGCGATTTTGCAAGGGTCTAACCAATTCAGTGCATTTACTGCTTAGCTCTGGGCTGGGAATGGGGAGAGAGCAGGCGTACAAGTGTGATTGAGCGACAAGGAGAATCTCCAAAAGACAGAAAGAGCAAATACTGCATTTTTTTCCTATTTCCCTAATTTTGTTCCATACTCTAAAGCACTCTCCTGACTTCAGCTAAGCTTGCCCTGGGATCCTGGGCTTGGCAGATATTTAAAATAAAGAATGAGCTGTTTGGCAAGGTAAAGTTTTCCTAAACGTCCTCCCCACCAAAGATTCTCAGCCCCTATGGCTGTGCTTCTGTGACTCAACAGTGACATCTGGTGGCCATGAAGGTGCATCCCAAGCCCTGATAACACCTGCTCGTGCTTCTGAAAACTACGGCACATACAGGGGATGCCCAAATTGCCGTAAATAAGCTCATTTATCAATCACATATAACATACCCCTACTATCTGCAAGCAAATTGTTCTCTTGGTTGAATGCGAAAAACATTAAAGTATCTGACTTCTATTTTAAATCTCTATTCATTGACCCATTTGAAAGGATACAATCCTTAGGAGGCTGACAACCCACTGTGGTTGATGCATCTTAACTAATATTCACATTTAAACTGTTTGGTTAAAGGAATGCGTCAAAGCATTTGGCAGTGGAAAAACAACACAGCCTAACTTTGCATGCAACAATTTGATCTAAGCAAATAAATAAGTTATTTTCATTTCCAGTTTAACGTAACAAGAATATTTCTACAAGATAATTTGCTTTCAAAAATTCTAGCTGTGAAGTTTAATAACAGAACATGAAGCTTCGTGTCATTTCATATTTATGCTCCAATCCCAGTTTTGACAGTTCCCATGGGCTCTGGACTGCTTGGCTAGAGATATTTTAGGCCATGTTTTCATAACAACAGGTAGAAAACGCAGCCCTAGAGCCAGGAAAAAATAAAGAGCCTTTAATAGGGTTTTAGACATGGGACTTGCTCACCTTTTTCTCCTCCTTGCTACCAGGCAAGTTTACAACTCAAAGAAATGGTCAAGTTTTCCCTTCCAGTCTCCTAAATATATGGTACTAGACGCCTGTTCCAAGCTCGCAGTGTCAGAAAAGTCCCTTCTCTCCCCGGATTGGCTAACAGCAATGGCAGCTAGCTGGTACTGATCAAGAGTTGATGCCATGCTGGGGGTTGTGCCCAAAGCATCATACGAAGCTGGCCAAATCTCCAGGGAATCACCAGGAAGGAAGAACTATGTGTATCTCATTTCACAGATGAGGTAATGGGGCCTAGCTGGTGAGGACCTTTGCACATGGTCTCACAGATAGCATGGGTTCTGAACCCAGACATCTAATTCCAGACTAGGATCAGCCCTGGCCAGGTGTGTCAGGGTGAATCTGACCCATCCTCACCTAGTCAAACCCTTCAAAGGGCAGCTTCACCATTTTCTCTTCCTGCCCTACATTTCCCACCACTCTCACACCCACAAACCCAGCCCCTTCCAATGGCATCAGTGCCTCTTGCCAGTGAAATCTCACCCTGCTTATCACTAGCCCTCCCACAGTCCACCCTTGCTTTAAGTGGGTGACATGAATGTTAAGCATCTTAAAGGCAAGACTCATGTCTAATTTGTGTCTATATTAATCCCAAGCGCTGGCACCGGACATTATAAGCAGTCAGCGGCCAGTACATGTTTGCAGGATGAACAGATGAATAAATGGACCTGGAGAAATGCACTTCCATGCTGTAAGAGATCCCTGGGGTCAGGAAGGGAGCTAATCCCATTGGAGGGCATGGACAGTGATGATGCTAACCCCCAAAGAGTGGACAGGGGAGTGGGAGCACAGGGAGGACATCTAAGGAATGTACTCAGAAGGCATCTCTATACCCAGGTTGTCACCAACAAGCAGAGTGATCCCACCACTGAACAAGACACCTTCAAGGCAGAGTCAGGCACTGCAGCATGAAGCCAAAACAGAGGACTCTGCAACCTTCCCCCTTTAGCCCCTCTGGTGGGGCATTTAGGAAATATACAGAACCCCCCTCTCTTCTCTAGCACAGAAGTACCACCACCCCTTTCTAGACTGTGAGCTCTTCGAAGGCACAGGCTGTTTGGTTCTCTGCTAAATCCTGGATATCCTTGACACCTAGAGGAGGTTCAATAGGTATTCTTAAAGCATTCAAGCCTTAATTTCAGCAGCCACTACAAAGCAGTGGTAAGGGAGAAATCTGTGTCATATCCAGAGCAACACCCAGAATTCCTCAGTCTTTTCTGAAACAGTGATGTATCCGTCTTCATATTTTGTAGATGCTAATTGTTGACAAGATGATTTGGTAGCTCAAAAAATTGGAACTGACACCGTCAACCTGTTTAATCCATTTACAATCTTTGATCATCAGTGCAAGGGACTTTGTCAACTGAGTGAGGCCAGTTTACCTTGTGAGGCCAGCATCTTGTTTCCTATTAGTGATGAGCATTACAAGTAAGTAGATTGGCTTAGCATGTTAAATAGCATCCAACAGCCCAGCAAAAATCACACGCTAATGTAAGAAAATAGAATCTGTGAAATAAGGAGAGGGAGGATTCAAGCCAATGCACATTTACTGAGCAAAAGTTTTGCTAACTAGCTTCGCCACCACTGGACTTGCTGCACCCCATCCTCCACAAATTGTCCAAAGTGATCTTTCTAAATGCCAATTGGCTCATATTGCCTCCCTGTTTAAAATTCTTTAGTAGTTTCTCCAATCTCTTTATCATGTCATCCCAGGCTGTCTGGAATATGGGCCTTGCATACCTCCCTAGCCCAAAACATCTCCCTTTCCTCACTCCACGATATGCTACACACACTCCCCCTGTACTCCAGAAGTCTCATGGTATGCATGAATGGCTGCAGAGTCTCTTTCAACAGGACCTTTGCACATGCTCCTCCCTCCTTTTGGAATAATTTCCTCTACCCTTTCACCTAGCTAATTGCTTCAGGATTTAGACAAACTGTTTATTGCATCCAAGGAGACTTCCCTAATGTAATGGGGTTAAATGGTGGTCTCTAAAAAGATACGTCTACATCCTAAACCCCAGAACCTGTTAATGTGAAAATAAAAAGGGCCTGTAGGGCCTGGTGTGATAGATCATACCTATAATCCACCCACTTTGGGAGGCCGAGGTGGGTGGATCACTTGAGCCCAGGAGTTCAAGACCAGCCTGGGAAACATGGTTGTATTAGTCCATTTTCATGCTGCTGATAAAGACATACCTGAGACTAGGTCATTTATAAAGAAAAAGAGGTTTAATGGATTTACAGTTCCATGTGGCTGGAGAGGACTTACAATCATGGCAGAAGGCAAAAGGCACATCTCACATGGTGGCAGACAAGAGAGAAGTGAGAGCCAAGCAAAAGGGGTTTCCCCATGTAAAACCACGGCTTCTCATGAGGCTTATTCACTACCAAGAGAACAGTATGGAGGAAACCACCGTCATGATTAAATTATCTCCCACCAGTCCCTCCCACAACATGTTGTAATTATGGGAGGTACAATTCAAGATGAGATTTGGGTGGGAACACAACCAAACCACATCAATGGTGAAACCCCAGCTCCACAAAAATACAGAAAAGTTAGCCAGGCATGGTGGCACATGTCTGTGGTCTCAGCTACTCCGGAGGCTGAGGTAAGAGGATTGCTTGAGCCTCGGTGGCAGATGTTGCAGTGAGCTGAGATCACGCCACTGCACTCCAGCCTGGGTGACAGTGTGAGACCCTGTCAAGGAACGAAGGAAGGAAGGAAGGAAGGAAGGAAGGAAGGAAGGAAGGAAGGAAGGAAGGAAGGAAGGAAGGAGGGAAGGAAGGAAAGAAGGCAGGCAGGCAGGCAGGCAGGAAGGAAGGAAGGAAAGAAGGAAGGAAGGAAAGAAGGAAGGAAGGAAAGAAGGAAGGAAGGTAGGAAGGTAGGAAGGAAGGAAGGAAGGAAAGAAGGAAGGAAGGAAGGCAGTCAGGGAGGAAGGAAGGAAGGCAGGCAGGCAGGCAGGCAGGCAGGCAGGCTTGCAAATGTAGTTAAGTTAAAGATCTTGAGATATGATCATCCTAATCTGAGTGGGCCCTAAATTCAATGGCAAGTGCCCTTGTAAGAGACACACAGAGGAGCGGCACAGGGAGAAGGAGGAAAGGAGCCATGAGACTAAAGTGATGCAGCCACAAGTCAAGGAATGATGCCAGGAACCACCAGAAGCTGGAAGAGAAAAGGAAGGGTCTTCCCCCAGAGCCTTTGGAGGAAGCATGGCCCTACTGACACCTTGACTTCAGACTTCTGGCCTCCAGAACTGTGAGAGAATAAATTTCTGTTGTTTTAAGCCAGCAAGTGTGTGGGAATTTGTTACTACAGTTCTGGGAGACTAATACACTCGACCTTACCTTCAGAAGCTCCCTGTTCTGTGCTACCCCAACTCTGCACACACTCCTATCTCTGTCTTTTTTGTATGGTTTTGTGATTGCTATTTGATTTTGTTGCCTTCCACACCAGACCCTGTGCCCAGAAGGCAAAGATTTTATCTTCTGTGCTTTCTGCCATGTTCCAGCACTTCCTTGAATGGTTCGCAAGGCTGTCAGCAGGTAAAGAGCAAAAATGACCAAGAGTCTAACTTGATCTTTAAAATCCCCAAATCGACCACAAATGTCTTCTGAGGACAAGCCTATAAGTTCCCCCCTCTTGCCCCCTTGCTCAAAGCTTCTCTTGATCCTCAGTTAATTCCTGCATTTCTTTGCCAACAATGCCATCACCACCCACTTAGCCGGCCAGATGAATCATGTATCTCCCTCTTTTGTCAAAGGGTGACAAGCCCTTAAAATTATTCATAAGTAATTTCCATTGGTTTTAAGCCTCCATTCACTGTTTCAGGCTTAAGTGCATCTATTGCCTGTGAGTCCAACTTCACTGAGTAGAATGGTAGACTTGCTGTGGCATTAAACTTGTCTTTCTCTTTTTTAATTGCACATTACTAAAAACAGGCATACACCATAACCCTGCATAAAGTGTTAAGTGAACAAATGGAAGAATGATAAATGTGTATTCACCCCAAGCCTCTTGACAAGCTCCCTGAATAAAACCTAGGTAAATAAGGTTTAGTCCTTGGCTGCAAAGGGGTTTATAATCTAGGTTAGTCTAATAATAATAACTGCTAACATTTGCTGCCTCGCCACCAAATCTGTTTTGGTTTTGGTCTTGGTTTTTGATAAAGCACAATTACTTCCACACGTGCCACTAAAAATTTTTTTCAAAAGTTTCCCTTTCCTTTGTTTTTAAAATAAATATATATCAATAATAAGCCAGAAGGTCTATTACCTATTTACAAGTGAGCTGGCAAGTAGAGGTAATGATAAGTCAAGCAATGCGGCACTGCTGCTGGAAATGCAAAATAGGATAGCTGCTGTGGCAAACCATCCTGCAGTTCCTCAAAATGTTGAACAGAAAGTTACCACAGGATCCAGCAATTCCACTCCTAGGTATATAACCAAAGAAATTAGAAGCAGGTATTAAAATATTCATAGCAGCAATATTTGTTACAGCCAAAAGGTCCATCTGCAATGCAAATGTCCATCCACTGATGAATGGATAAACAAAATGCGGTCCATCCATACAATGGACTACTCTCTAGCCACAAAAAGGAATGGAGCACTGACACACAGGAACAGCACAGACGACAATCAAAAACACCATGTGGGTGAAGGAAGCCAGTCGCAATGCCCACGTACTGTGTGATTCCATTTGGATGAAATGTCCAGTCTAGGCAAATTCAAAGAGACTGACTAACAGTTGCCAGGGGTTAGGGGAAATGAGGGTAGAGACGTTGAGAGGCAATGGAGTTTCTCAGTCAGCTCAGACTGCTATCACAGAAACACCATAGACCGAGTGGTTGAAATGGCAAACATTCATTTATCACAGTTTCGAAAGCTGGAAGCCAGAGATCAAGGCGCCAGCATGCCTGGTCTCTTGGTGAGGGCCTCTGCTTGGTTATGTCCTCATATGGCTTTCCTTGGTGCATGCATGCAGAGAAAGAGCAGGCTGTAGTCCTTCTTTTCTTTTCTTTTCTTTTTTTCTTTTTTTTTTTTTTTTTTTTTTGGAGACGGAATATCGCTGTGTCTCCCAGGCTGGAATGCAGTGATGCAATCTCGATCTTGGCTCACTACAACCTCCGCCTCCTGGGTTCAAGCGATTCTCCTGCCTCGGCCTCCTGAGTAGCCGGTTCTACAGGCGTGCGCCACCACACCCGGCTAATTTTTTGTATTTTTAGTAGAGACGGGGTTTCACTGTGGTAGCCAGGATGGTCTCAATCTCCGGACCTCGACATCTGCCCACCTCGGCTTCCCAAAGTGCTGGGATTACAGGTGTGAGCCACTGCTCCCAGCCTCTTCTTTTCTTATAAGAACAATAATCCCATCCTGGGGGCTCCACCCTCATGACCTCATCCAAGCCGAATTAGCACCCAAAGGCCCCACCTCCTAATACCATCCCATTGAGGGTAAGGGTTTCAACATATAAATTTGGGGGGGATATTAACATGCAGTCCATAACATGAAGTGACTGCTAATGGGTATAAGGCTTCTTTATGTGGTGACAAAAACGTTCTGAAATTGATTGTAGTGATAAATGCATAACCCTGAGAATATACTGAAAGTCGTTGAATTGTGCAATTTAAATGGGTGAATTGTATATTGGGTGACTTATATGTAAAAAAAAAACCCTGTTATCAATAAAAAAAGGAGGAATATGAAAAGAAACAATGGAAGAAGGGATTACAACCTCAAAAAGATCAGGAATGAATATATCCTAGAGAAACATACTGTCCTATGAAAGATTCAAAGCCAATATCAACAACACAAAGCAATTGTAGGGAGAAGGTTTGTATCAAATCCAGGACAACTACAGACTCCGTCTTTTCTTGAAAAGGTAATAATGCTCATTAGATGACAGTACTGTTCTCAATGATCTGGAACATTTAGAACATTTAAAATGAGATAATATCATCTAAATCACTAAAGTCTCAAGGACCCTGTGCAGTAATATAATTTCTAGTTTATAGATGAGAAAATTGAAGTACAGAGAAGTGAAATTGCTTGTCCACAATCACTACCTGGAAGCGGAGTAACTCCAAAGTCCAGTGCTCAGCTGGGTAGACAAGATGCACCAATATGAAAACATGAGAAGCATAATATGTGGATCAAGAGAATGGCAAGGACAGCCAATGTCCTCACAGCTCCCCGAAGGAAAAGTGCTTCTGCAGAGAGGGCCTTGAAAGACTTAGTGCAAAGGGAATTTCCAGACACTTGGTGATATGGTTTGACTGTGTCCTCACCCAAATCTTACCTTGAATTGCAATTCCCATAATCCCCACATGTCATGGGAGGGACCCAGTAGGAGGTAATTGAATCATGGGAGTGGTTACCCCCATACTGCTGTTCTTGTGATAGTGAGTCCTCACGAGATCTGATGGTTTTATAAGGGGCTTTCCCCCCTCCTTCAGTCTGCATTTCTCGTTGCTGCCACAATGTGAAGAAGGACATGTTTGTTTCCCCTTCTCCCATGATTGTAAGTTTCCTGAGGCCTCCCCAGCCATGCTGAACTGTGCATCAATTAAACCTCTTTCCTTTATAAATTACCAAGTCTTAAGTATGTCTTTATTAGCAACGTGAGATCGGACTAATACATTTGGACAATTGGAAAGGGAAAGTGAGTTCCTGTGTCTCTGGGCGTTGGACAAATAGCATCAGGAAAAGTGAAGTTCATTCAGACTGTGAGTAGACCCTCAAGGGAAATGCTGCAAGTGGAAATCAAGCACTTTGCCAACTGCACAAGTTGATTAATCTGGTTCCTAGTGTGCCAAGAAGCATTCGGGCAGAAAGCTCCATATTTATTTTCAGGCCCGGAACAAATTTGACTGGGCAGCAAGAACTGTCTTAAATACAGTCTCTTTCTACTGGACACAACTGAAATGTCTAGATCATAGTTTCCCAACTAGTGTTCCATGGAATACTAGTTCTGCCTGTTGCTAAGAGGAGGTTGGGTTGACAGAAAAGAGTTGCATGTTTATACAAACTTCATAAATGCTTGATAAAACTAGATTAACATTTCTTTTTAACTGAGGACTTGTCAGAGCCTCTACTTAGCTAAAACGCATGGAGAATCTTCAAGAGGCTACAATAGATGGCAACGTTCACCTACAGGATCAGGAACCACATTCTCATAACAGAGAATTTGGCCTCACTGAACTCGTTTTAGTTTTTACAAATGTGTATTTTCTCCTTTTTGGGACTTCGCCTACTTTTTCCTTCCCTACTTATTACCTGCCAAACACTTTGTCTCATTCCTTCCAGAAGTCTTCCCTGACCTCTACAAACTGACTTAGGATCTCTTGCTTTACATTCCCTAAACATTTCCCACTCTACCATCATAGCATTCAACACACTGTATTTATTATCACTCATTTGATTTTCTGCTCCTATTGCTAATCCATGAGCTTGGTAATTAAGGGATCACATCTGCCTCACATGTCACGGTATCCCCAGGGTCTAGCACTCTGTTTGGCCTATAGTGGTTGTTGAATAAAATTATGGTTAAATGAATGAATGAGATGCAATCTACCTCCTTATAAACTCCTTTGCCCTCTGAAGACTCACAAGAGCTCTGTCTTTACCAGCAATGCCAATCACTGCTTGCCCTGGCCACAGACTCCCCCCATCCTTTTGTAAGAGGGTCTGCTCACCCACAGTCCAGCTCCCTATGGGGCTGTATTCATAACACAAGGTCTTACCCCATCCCAAGCCACAAGCAGACTGAAGAACCTGACCCAAAGGTGGTCGATCTAGAGGCTGTGCAAAGGTGAACTAGACCCTTCAGATTTTTTCCCTCTGTTTCAGGAATTGAAAATAAGACACACAGAAGGAAGTTGCCAGTTGGTGGTGGATACTAGACAAAGAACATTTGTTCAAAATGTTCTTCGAAATCTACATCTGTACTGTTCAATAAAGTAACCATTAACTATTTAAATATAAATTTAAATTAATTAAAATTAAAAATTCAGAGTCACACTAACCACATTTCAAGTGTTCAACAGTCATGTGAGGCTAAACTACCATATTAAACAATGCAGGTGAAGAACTTTCCATCGTTGTAAAAAGCTCCATTGGACAACACTATCCTGCATCTTTACAGTAGAGCTCACTTACCTTGACCAATGTAAGTACAGTGTAAGAGTCTCTGCTCCTTGTAGAGACTCCAAAGAAGTCTCCGAAGGATTCCAACCAGAACACCATTGCATGATGCAGCCCGTCATTCATTTAACATCAAAGTTGTATTGATGTACAAAGTGCTAGTAACATCTGATCTTCTGAGTGACAGGGAGGCATTAGTGAGCTCCTACCACTGAATGAAACTGGGCAGGGAGGCCCTGGCTGGAGCCTTGGGAAGATGAGAAAATGATGGGTTTTGCACACTGCCTGCTGCTAATCGGGCTTTCAGGTGGGAATGCTGGTGATCCTGGAATCCTGCTTCTAAGCCCCCCAAATCCATTTGAAGCCTCTTGCCTCCTGAACTGCCCTGAACCTGCTTCTGCCTCTCCTATGGCTGACCTAGCTCCTGCTTTGCTCCTTCCAAGCTCCCAGTCCTATAGCTCTGCTCCCCTGACCTTCCTGGGACAGGCCCTACCTCAGTTTTCATCCCCCTCCCTGCCCTTTCCCTGCTCTTCTGGCTGTGCTCACTAATCACAGATGGACTCCCTTGCTCCTTAAAGGTGCCCTAGGAGTTTTTAGAGCTTCCTACCCCATCCATGGAGTACACTCCTTTAGTGTTTTAAGCAAAATTAAGTCAAGATGATAATCAACCCTAAGTTATGGGGGGCAGCAACAACAGGTTAAGCCTTGACTAGACAGTTGATTTTTTCCAATCCCCACTGCTGTCTTGTAAGAATGTCACCCTCAGGTGAGGAAACAAACTCAGAGAGATCAAATAAGTAGCCCCAGAAATACAGCAAGGAAGTGACTGAGTTGGGATTTAAATAAAGGTCTTTCACTCCAAGACCAACATTCTTTCTGTTATACCTTAACTTCAATTCTCTCCTGGGATTTTTGGAACTCAGGGCTCCAGTGGCCTCAAAGATTCCTCACACTTAAAAATGTCTCCTTACTCTTGCTATCTCTCAACCATACAGTCCTTTCTTTCACAAGAAGATTCCAATGACAGATAATAGTTTAAAGCCTGATTCTACTTAGAGAGATTCATATTTCAACTAAGCAAGGAGTAGGCAAGCCATGGCTTATGAGCCATATCTCGCCCACCACCTGTTTTTGTATGACCCACAAACTAAGACTGCTTTTTTATATTTTTTAAAGGTTGGAAAACGTCAAAGAAAAAATAATATTTTGTGACACGTGAAAATTATATAAAATTCAAATTTCAGTGTCCATACATAAAGTTGTACTGGGACGTAGTCATGCCCATTCATTGACATGTCTACAGCTGCTTCTGTCCCACAAAGCAGAGTTGAGTAATTTCAAAAGAGATTGTGTGACCTGCAAAGCCTAAAATACTTATTATCGAGCCTCGATAGAAAATGTTTGCAGACTCCTGAATTATGCTAAGGGTGTCACGTTCTGACAGTGAAATCTCAGGCATTGATCACAATGGAAGCAGAATATGTAAGACTGACATCACATGGTAATCTGGGAGTTGATGGTGTCATTCTCCCAATCCCTGGGTTGGTGACATAGTGAAGAAGGGCCCCATGGAGTGCTTCTAGTAATATTGATTGGGTACGTCTAAGGGAGGTATTCTGACATCCTCAATAAGACAAACTACTTAATCTGATCATACCAGACACAACTTCAAACCTAAGCAACACTTCAAAGGAAATCATACTGGGAAGATGCCTGGACGAAGTATTAATATTAGTAACCAAGAAGAGTGATCCAGCCAATTAGGCCAAGAAACACGCAACAGTTCTGAGGTCTCACCAGTACGGTACCATCTGCTCATGCACACATCATTTTTATCAGCCTCATAACTCTTTCATCTGGGAAGTGTCATTGGTCTTCTAAGCCCATGACCACTGCAAAGAGAACAGTCCCAAAAAAAGATATTATTTTTCTCATTCTAACTTAACTTCTTTCCAACAAGGATAAAACAGAGAAGCAAGCATCCCTCTGCCATCCCTTTCACCCTGGCTGTCACTTCATTCTCATCAGCAAATTTCAAGAGAAGTGATCAGGGCCCCCACTATGACTCATTACTCAGACGTGAAGGCGGCTGTCTTCTTCCTTCTGTTCCTTGAAATATGAGAGATAATAGAAAAGGGGTTTTTTTTGTTTCTTTTTTTTTCTTTGGCTCAGAGCTAAATTTAATGCTTAAGCACCACAACTATCCTTAGCCTAGATTGTAACATCCTAGAATTAGGATTGTAATGTTCTAGAATTATGTCCTAATCATATCCTAATTCTAGGACACTACAATCTTCCTATCTCTAAAGCACTACTCTAATGTTTTGTTCTTACTTCAATAATTCTTTTAATATGTAATTTTCAGGGTCATACACCTTAAATGATTTTTTGAGGTAACAAGAGAATAAGGAATAAAAAGATTATATGTGTATACACAAATATACATTTGTGTATACAATATATAATTGTATGTAATAAACAATATTATACTTAATAAAAAATAACCATTTACTATGCACTTGCATGAGCCAGCCTCTCTACTAGGTATTTTATATACCCCATCTCAGTTAATTCCTTCACAAACCTGTTTCTTATTGTCAGTAGATGAGGATGATTAGCTACCAGGGCCTAATTGCAGGTCTGAGTCAGAATTTCCAAGGTCAAGCCAGGACTTTGGGCAGAAATTGGTTGAGACTCCAGCAAGAGACACTAAGTCTAGGAGGACTTGTCAATTCACCAGATGCTCAGAACATGTAGAGATGTCAGAGAAGGGTGAGAGCTGGGGAGCAAGCTGGAGTTACTACCATATGGCCAAGAAGCATGGACAGGGAAAAACATTCCTTTTCACAGCAAAGATTTACAGAACATCTCCCAACTCAAGGAGTTTAGGGTTGGACAGAGAATATTACAGCTGTCTACTACATAAAGTCCATTGGAATGCTATAGGTAAACTGCTTTGGGAATTCAGTATCCCTTCAGCTCTGGGGAAAACAATACGTGTGGAATCAAAGAATTCAACAGCCACTGATTTAAGTGTCCAATATGCAGTCCTCTGGTCAATGGGATATAAAGATGAATGAGACACTGTAACACCACTGCTCATCATCTTACAAAGATAGAATGTGTACAAGGGAAGACTTCCTGGAGAAAACTTCATCAAAAGTGAGTCTTACATATCCATGCGCTTGGTAGCATTATCTGCAATAGCCAAAAGGTGAAAGCAAACCAAATATCCACCAGCAGATGCATGGATAAACAAAATGTGGTATATCCATACAATGGGATATTATTCAGCCATAAAGAGGAAGAGACTTCTGATACATACCACAACACTGCTAAACCTTGAGGACATTAAGCCAACTGAAATAAGCCAGTCACACACACAAAAAAGACAAACACTGTGATTCTACTTATATGAGGCACCTAGAATAGTCAAATTCATAAAGACAGAAAGTAGAAGGGTAGTTTCCAGGGCCTGGGGATAAGGGGGATGGGGAGTTCATGTTCACCGGGCATAGCGTTTCAGTTTCGCAAGATGAAAAGAATTCCACAGATGGATGGTAGCACAAGAATGTAAATGCACTTAATACTCCTAAACTGTACACTTAAAAATAGTTAAAATGCTTAATTTTATGCTACGTGTATCTTACCACAATTTTGTAAATTTTTTTTAAAGTGAGCTTTAGTGATCAAGTCTCTTGTAGACTTTTCAAACACAGCACCAAGGAGACATAAATAAAAGTCAGAATCAAGAATGATCACAAGCCTAAGGAAATAGTCAAGAAGCAAGGATCTGAGGGTAGCCAGGGATTACTGAGAGCACCGCAACCTTGATGCCTGCGAGAGCTCCATAGTTCAGGCTGTGAATTTTATGTGGAATCTATTTAGGAGGAAATGGTCCCAGGCTGGGCCTTGCTGAAGAAAAATGAAGAGGATATCAGTTTAGATGCAGGGAAGTAACAATATCTAGGCCACTTTTTATAGGGTAGTCACCTGAGAATCATGGGGTTTCGCTCAACTCACCTTTTATCTCTTTGTACCAATGACTTTAAGATTGGCAATTTCAGGCCCCTCCCAGCAAGGCACCATATCATTTCACAGAAGTGTGGAGAAAGCATGAGCAGAAAGGAGAAAAGTTCCCCTCTCTTCATTCATGATCCATGGAAAGGTCCCAAAGTGCTATCTAAGTTATTAGGACACACTCTGCAGGGTTTTGTGGCCTATAAGGCCTGTTTGGGCTCCAGTGAAATCAGAACTTGAGACAAGGACTTGGGTGCATGTGCTTCACTTGGAGGTGATCACAGATTATTAAACAAAAGAAGTGAGGAACCAGGGAAAGTAAGACAGGGAGGACTGGAAGACCAAGTCAGGATGCACACCTAGGGTTAGAGCTGTTGGCCAAAGGGGCTCAATTTCTGAACTGGAACTCCAGAGATGAGTACAGAATGCCTCCCAAAACTACCCATCTGAAAGACAAAGGGCTGGAGCCTTCTTCCACAAACTCCCATCCTCTGTTGGTTAAGGATTGACCTCAAGGGCATTCACTCCCTGACATTTCCAGGAAGCCTTTTCATGAGCCAAGCAGACCCTGGCAGCTCAGATAGACTCCGAGGGCAGAAAGCAGAAAGGAACTCCACACTTCTGTGCTACTGGTAGGATGCTACCAAATGAATCTGAGCTTTCACAGAAGTGTCCCCCACAACCATGGCTAAATCAGACATAGGCATGAGATATGGGGCACCAAAAGTGTCTCTATGTGGACCTTTGGGGTCCTAGGATAATTTAAGGAAGACCGAGATAGTTGCAATGTATGGTGACTTGTGACATTTTATTATTCCAATAAAGCAACAGAGCTGGAGAAGTGACAAGGTTTTTTAATAGGCACTTTAAGCCTATCTCAAAAATATATATTATTGAGATCCTAAGAACTTGCAAATCCCAAAAAACTTCTTCCACAAGGACAATATTACACAACTGTCTCAAATGCAGCTACTTACAGCAAAGTGACATGACCACTCATAATCGGACAAAGTCATGGAGAATGTTGTCAGATGTCACAAGGTATGTGGCAGCCATGAGAATGCCCCTCCTAGCCCTCTACCTAAAGGAATCACAATTGACCAACAGCTCCAGATGCTGTGAGCTCAAATCCATGGATATATTTGTGCCAAGGCCATACTTCCGTGCTTTGCTCCCTGCTGCTTACTGGGTGCAGCAGGGATTCTAAGGCAGGTCCATTGCTGGGAGATGCAGAACTCTTCTGATGAGGAGTGTGACTCATGAACTTCCCTATGGCCTTGCATGAACCTTTAGTAGACTACCCCATCCTTAGACTCTACCCAGCCTGCCTTCCTCTTCTCTTTCACTTCAAGGGCACACGCGTATGGCAATCTGGCAGCTCTCATGGTGTTTCCTGACTCCGTCTACATTTTTCTCTCACAGACTTTTCCTCTAATGAAATTCTTGCCTATTTAATCCAGTCTTATCTGCTTCTCAGAGGACCTAGACGAACATGGGCTGTGCTGAAAAGTCCATGTGCCTATTTTCTCTTGTGAAATCTGTGCTTATTGCACCCCCCTTCCCATAAACACCTAACAATATTTTTCTCATTGTTTTCATACTTGGACTCACCCCTATGTTCAGATAAGTATCAATTTTTACAGATTTTATGTACAATAGAGGAAATATATGTTTAATATTCCACAGTAAGAAAGAGCTGATTACCTCCAGCAAGTATTCTAATAATTTAATAGATGAGAAAATATTGGGAGGAGAGGGGTAATATAATATTGTTTGACCCTGTAGTAATTATGTCTTCAGATCTGCAATGCTTTTGGAGGGACCCAGAAAAATTCCCTTAAACTATACAAACAAATTTCTTGTGCCAGGCCCCAAGGTACACTGCCCAGATCTCAAGTGAGTTTGCCAAGAGCAGTGCAGGCAGCTGGCACCTCTAGCTGCAGAGCATTAGGGGTGTTCCCCAGTGGTCAAGCCAAGGCCAAGGTCTCCCTGGGCAGCTCCCGGCCAATGACTGGACACAAAGGGGTACTAGGGCCAGACAGTTTCTGTCTGGCATACACTGCTCTAATGGGTGATCTCTACTTTGGAGCTACACATCAGTACAGTGAGACCTTCTCAGATTTACTCTACAGGCTGAGGCTCTTTTTAACAAAACCTCCTCCCTTCCCCTCTCTTTCCACAGCTGTCAGATCTTCACTGTGATCTGAAGGCCTTCAGATGATGAAACTGAGCCCCAGAGACAGAGCATACCTGCCCAATCTTTCTCAACAGATCCATGTTCCAGCTAGAAACAGAACCCACATATCTTCAAGCTCCAAAGTACAGTGTTCCACCCACATCTTGCTGCTTCTGCACCCCAGTGAGCCGGCTTGTGGCTGATGTGATCACCACAGTCAAACATCTTATACACTTAGACTCAGCAGTTGTCTCACTAGGTGCTCAGATGGCCAATTACATGTCTTCACATCTCCATTTGCTATACTATAAAATTTAGAAGACACTTGCCTCACATCAGCTCCCAGGGTGAAGAGGAATAAAATACTTTTTGTAGCTGGAAGAAAAGCCATAAATAACACAGAATTGTGCAGTCAGCTTTCACTTATCAGGGTAAATGGATGGGTGCACTAGTGCAGATACATGGCCTGGGGCTTCTGTGACTGCCAGAGCAGCATAGACACAAGAGACCAGAGAGACAAGCAGCCGGGGAGCTGGGAAGGAGCCCCAGATAAGCCTGGGAAGAGTGGCCCTGCTGAGCCGGCCGATTTGAGCCCGATCTCTTAATATGTGCTCTTTTGAATGGAAAAAGAGCATATGCAAGCAGTGCACAAATATATGGCTTTTAAGTATATGAAAAGAGAGATAGTCAAGCTCTCTCAGTCTTGCAGAAACACAAAATTAAACAATAATAATAAGATTAGCATTACAAATTCAAATTAGTAGAGATCAACATGCAATATTGGTGAGGGTGTATAGAAACAATGTATTCGTGCAAATGTAAATTGTGCACATTTCTCCAGAGGAAAATTTGGCAATTTCTACTAAAATATAAAGTGTTTATACACTTGGACTTAGCCATCCCACTTCTAAGACTTTATGATACAGATCAATTTGCACAGATACACGAGTGCACAGGGTGATCATTGCCACAGAATTTGAAATAGCCAGTCCCTGGAAACAGACTCAATGTCTACCATGAGAAGAAAGTTTAAATAAATTGCAGTGAATATGCAATAATGATATGCAATGGAATGTGCTAATATGGAATAATAACAAGCGAACAACAAATAGAAACATGCAGGATGGGTTACTACCTAAAAAAAATACAACATACACATATATGCATATGCTTGTATATGCAGAGAACATTTTTGGAAGAAAACAGAAAAACTGATTGAAGGTATCTACTGTTCTGAGAAGGGACTGATAGTGGGAAGGAGACAGTTTTCACTGTATAACCTTTATACTATATTTTTACCATTTCTTTGTCTTATTTGAAAAATAAAAAACTTGTTAAAAACATATGTTTTCTCCCTATAACACTGCTCATGGCAGCAGAAGTAAAAACAACATCAATAATAACAACCACCAACCTGTGATTAGCACTTTATATTCCATTCAGCATTTCCCACCTATTTCTCTGATGTGAGCAGACAGAAATGATTTCTACCCGTTTCTCAAATAAAAACGCTAGAGCCAAGGAGAGTGCCTTAAGTGCCCAAGGTCACTGGAGAGGTCATCTGGAAGGGACCACTCTTAATTTTACCATGGCTCATACCCACATCTTCAAGAAAGACGTGATGAAGAAGTATCCTAATATCCATGCTCTAAATCCTGGGAGCTTTTCTTTCCACATCTTCTCTCTCTGCCTCGCAAAGAAGAAAATCATTGTCTTCTAATTTAAAAAGCAACAAAGCAACACTGAAGTTTTAAATAAAGGGACAAAATAAATGTTTGGCAAATGCAGAAAAAGAAAGAGTCACAGGGGACTTTCAGGCTACAGAAGGTGGCCTGGAATGGAAGAATGAGCCCAGATCATGTGGGGACAATCCTCCTCCATTCTACATTCTCTGCTGAAGTCTTTGAACTCATTCCCTTCTGTCTACCCCAAAGAGCCAGTAGGGATTCCCTGGGAAATCAGAAGAGAGATTCCAGGGGCTGCTTTTCCACCAGGGATGGAGTGTGGAGGAAAATAATGGAGAGGGTTATCAATGTGGTTAAAATAGAAGGATCTCTGCCCTGCGGGGCCTAAAAGAAATGCTGTGGCTGAGCTCCTGAGATGAGATAACCTTGGCTTGAGACCTTCCTGCTGTTGAATGGGCAAATCACTGCATGCATTCAGCTTCTTTCCTTGGAAGGATTGAGATATTGAATCTTGTCTCAGTATCTGTAACACATCAACAATGCACGATCCTCAGGGGAATGTTCACAATTTAACAGTTTATTGTTAAGTAAGAAGGAAATTATAAGAGTATGTAACGAGACACACATTCACACACAGGCATGCATATTCATTACATATATATAGGATACATGTTATCAGTGGTCTTCTCTTACAACGATTTGTGTTTTTTAGTATTTTCCACATTTTCCAGTTTTCTGTAATATGCTATATTATTTTTACATTCAGAAAATATACATATGTATATATAATATATGTTATAAAGATATATATATTTATATATAATAAAAAGATACATATATATGTACATGTACACACATACATATATATATTTGAGGCAGAGTCTCACTCCCTCACCCAGCCTGGGCTCACTGCAACCTTCACCCCCTGGCTTCAAGCAAATCTCATGCTTCAGCCTCCCGAGTAGCTGGAATTACAGGAGCCTGCCACCACACCCGGCTAATTTTTGTATTTTTAGTAGAGATGGGATTTCGCCATGCAGGCCGGGCTAGTCTCAAACTCCTGACCTCAAGCGATCTTTCTGCCTTGGCCTCTCAAAGTGCTGGGATTACAGGTGTGAGCCACCACGACCGGTCAGAAAAAGTATATATATATATATATTTTTTAAGTATATATTTTTTAAAATAAAGACCATAAATACAATGAAGGAAGCTTAAGAGATCATTCCATTGGAGTTAGGGTATAACAATGCTATATACTTGAGGTCAGGGATCCAGAGTTACAACCACCATGACCAGCATTTCTTCCCCCTTGGTTCTCCAGGATTATGGTCTGTTAACAGGCGTCTAACATTTCTAACTGCCATTTCCATTAAACAGGGTAACCTGATGGTAATCCAGACTTCTTTTCAACTAGATTATGTTGCTGACAGCCTTCTCCTGGTTGGCCTCTACAATGTTAAAATGATTAATTGAGAAGCCATAAGACTGAGGCAGCTCCAGTGCATTGGGTTTCTACATAAGCAAACCAAAACCCAACTCAGTATAAATGGTCATATTTTAGGCCAATCAAAAACTGCTATCTCCTAACTGGGACTTTCCTCTGGAATGATCCAAATAGAGCTACTGCTCCACTTTAACAAATCTTTTTGTTTGTTTTTGTTTCCTATCAAAGCCTTACCCTTGTGCCCCTCCAGTGAATCCCCAAACCAGTTGCAGTCTGGAGCTGCCTGACTCATGAATCACTATTGATTTTAAAATTTATCTTTTTTTTTTTTTGAGACAGAATCTCACTCTGTCTCACTCTGTTGCCCAGGCTGGAGTGCAGTGGCACAATCACAGCTCACTGCAGCCTTCATCACTCCAAGTGATACTCCCACCTCAGCCCAGGTAGCTGGGACTATAGGCATGTGCTACTATGCCTGGCTAATTTTTTTGTAGAGACAGATTTTTACCATGTTGCCCAGGCTGGTCTCAAGCTCCTGGCATCAAGCAATCTACCTGCCTCAGCCTCTTAAAGTGGTTAAGATTACAAACATAAGCCACCATGCCTGACCTTTAAGTTTATCTTTTAACAAAAGTTATTATCAACATGTTGTATTAGTCAGTTCTCACACTGCTATAAAGAACTGCCTGAGACCAGGTAATCTATAAACGAAGGAGGTTTAATTGACTCACAATTCTGAATGGCTGGGGAGGCCTCAGGAAAATTACAATCATGGTGGAAGATAAAGGGGAAGCAAGGAGAGAGAAGAACAAAGGAGGAACTTCCAAACACTCATAAAACCATAAGATCTCATGAGAACTCACCCGTTATCATGAGAACATCATGGGGGAGACCATCCACCAGAGTAGAGAAGTTTGTTAGAAACTTCTCTACTCTGGTCCCTTGCTACTAACAAGTACTGCCTCCTTGACCAAACTTTAGCCAGGCCCCTCACAGAACCCTCTTCTTGACTGAGCCTTGCCCTTGGCCTTTGGACCCAGTTTTACCAAGAATCCTGCTAAGCCATTTAGCAACAATTCTCCCACCCTTGACATCTAATCCAGTTCCTCTTCCCTAACCCTGAATACCTAACCAAGATCTTCTTAATACTTTTCTATCCTCTCCCTCACCCTGCCTGTTGGCTTTAAGTCCCCAGCTGTCCCTTTTATATTTGAAGTTGAGTTCAATCTCTCTCCCCAATTGCAATAGTCTTGAATAAAGTCTTCCTTGACATTTTTCACAAGTATTTGGTGCAATTTCTCTTTAACACTGCTCAAAATGTGGGCCACATTCCAGCAGCATCAGCATCACTTAGACACTCGTCAGAAATGCAGAACCTTAGAGCCCACCCCAGAATTGCTGAATCAGAATCTCCACTTTAACAAGATCCCCAGGTAATTTCTGTGGATATTAAAAATTAAGAAGCACTGCTTTTTTCAACATGGCCTCAGCTCCTTCAATATGTGTGGAGCCCTAATTGTAGACTTTCAGGACAGCCCCCATAGGACCAGCCATTCATGACCAGCTGAGGAGACTCATTGACTTGTGCCCTGTCTCATTTTAACTCTCATCCTTTCAACCTCTTTACTTACCCTCTCCTGGATTCCATTTTCCATGTTCTCTGCCTCAAGCATGAGTTGTCAATCATCCCACTCTCCCCAGTGGCATAGGTCTGAGATAGAAGGAGATCCCTTGATTCCTAAGGGTGGTGGAGGGGAGCAGGGTAAGAAGCCCTCACTAAGGTCTGGCCCTAGAATGGAGTTTCAAAAGGCAATCAGACTTTTAACACACCCAAGATTAACCTCTTGTTGGTATATGTCCTCAGCCAGTGTCTTTTCCCCTGCTCTGCCCTAAGCATAACAAAGATCCCCCTTCTATTATATTCTGGGGAGCGAGGATAGGAACAGGACTGGTGAGACTTTTTTGGCCAGACATGTGACATGGATAATCATTTGATCCAATGAAGCCATGCATCTAGTGCCAATATGCCAAAAGAGTCTGGGTTAGGGTTCCCAGGATATATTTACACTACTATAAAAAGTTATTCTTTGTTCATCTGAAATTAAAATCTAGCTGCTGTCCTGTATTTTATCTGGCAACTCTAGCCTGGCTCTATCAGGAATATTTTCAATGCTCATGAGTGGGATTTCAATGTCACAAGAAGGTAAGATCACAGGACAAGACCGCCTATTATTCTCTCCTAATTAGAACATATATTATTATTGGCAGATTTACCCCTTCTACCACTCTTCCCATCTCTTACATGGATGGGGCTTATGGTAGAAAAGGGAGAGGGAAGTCTAAATTCGGAAAGTATTGGGAAATACTATAACAAGAAAAAATGTTTTTTTAATTTGTACATAGCTCTTTTAAAACACCCTCCCTTATTGCAATTCTGAGATATCTCTTTGTTCAGGAAATATCATGACATCGCTAATATATTCTTAGATTTGGCAAAAGAGACAATTTCTTGATGTTTCTTTCTGGTGTTTCTCTTTGGACTCCAAGGAGGTCATGGATACACGCCAGTGATAAAATTGTGATCCATCCCCCTTCTCTACTTCATACCCCATGACCTTGCCTGGTTAAAAAAAAAAAAAGTATCTCCCCTCCAAACTGAGTCATTGTCTTCTACCTCTCTCAGAGTTCTGTTCCTATGCAGTTTTATGCTATAGTTATGTACGACTTACGAACTTCTATGGTTTAAACTGTGAGCTCCCTGAGGATAGGGGCATGCAGCTCCCCAATCCTGGCCCCAGGTCCTGCCAATGGAAAGACCTTCACAAAAGTTTTTTGAATGAGTCCTGTATGGCTTTCTCTTAAAGCTAAAAACGAGACCCCAGCTGGACTTCCACTTGACTCTACTAGACTGTGATCGGAATGGAAAATGAAATGACATCAGTTTGGTCCAGAATCCCTGCCAGGGCTTACGGTTACAAAAACTACTGGCAACACTCTTTACAGGGCACTCTCAAAGGACTTTCTTTGGCCTCTGAATGTACTGGAGCTTTTGAAATGGATGCAAGCCCTTCCACGCCTGCTGGGTTCCCCTTTATAATCCACTGCAACCATTAATACGAAAAAAAGACGCTTATACGCTACTACTTTAGACACTTTCTTATTCAGAGCTAGGAACGGCCCCAGGAGGTGAGGCCTCCAACCCCTCAGGCAGGAGAGAAATAATAACCTTTTCATACTCTTTGCCCAGACTTGAGGAAGCCCAGGGTGTGAGTACCACAAATCGTAGCCAGCTGCGAGATTCCAGGCCAGCTCAGAATAAGAAACCTACTGCAGAGGGGGCTTTCGCAGAAAAAAGCCCAAGTGCACGAAAGATACCACACTCATCCCCATGGAGATTTCAGGTCCAGCTGAGGCCCCGTATCCCAGTGAGAGTCTCCAGTGGTCCTTGAAGTTGTTCCCACAGTTTATCTAGATCTCATGCTGCCCAAATCACATAATCCTTCATGCCTAGGGGGTTGTTTTCTCTTCTTTCTGAGAAAAAGGCACAGGCTAAGTGATTCTGAGGAGAGAAAGCTTCAACTTGCAAGGTTCACCAACCTCACTCTCTACTCCCAGTGTCTCTCTTGCCACTGAAAGTAATGTCAAGAACCGCAATTACTTTTGCACCAACCTAATATTTATACTTGTTATCCCAGCAGGAAAATACAGCATCCTTTCAGTAATGGACATCGGCTGATTTGCCTGCCCTACATCCACCACTTGTCATTCTGAGGCTGTCAGTCATAGCCCCCTAAGCCACTCCCCTTGGTGATGGCAAGGGTCCCAGATCAGGCCAATCATAATCCACAATGCCCCTGGTGGCTAGTCCGAGAAGAGAGCATGTTACTCAAGATGGGCTGCCCAGAGCTCTTCCCTGGAACTAATGCACAGACATCACATGAAAGCAGGCACTTTCCTTCTGCGAGGGGTCACTGAGCTAGGAGGATGGGAATCCGGGCCTGAAAGCAAGGACCTGCCTGCAGAGAGAAGCCAAACAAAGAAAAAAGAAGAGAGATGAGAAATGGGAAGACATATATACATCTCACTGCCAAGGTTCTGTATCCTGTAGTTCTTCCCTTGATCTTGGAAGCTATTCCACTGTCCATTTCCTCTTTTGCTTAAAGTAGTTGACACTATGTTTTTGTAGCTCACAACAAAAGGAGTCACGAATAATATTCTCCTTGAAGTTCTTTCTAACTGGGATAGACCCTTGAAGAAATACACCCCCCTCTTAATCATTTCAAGGTAAAAGACAAGTGAAAAGAAAGAAGAATGTATAAAACTACAGACTCTTACATAACCGCTGTAGGGTATGGCTATATCTAGCTGAGGGAATCTGTCCTGAATAATAAAGTAAGTAATAACCCAACAACAGGGACAACTAATATTCTGAGGCATTGCTGGCCATGCCCATGGAGAACTTGCCCCTATCCCCCTGGTCAAATTGGATGATGAGAAGTGGACAAAACTTTGATTAAAATGAGTCAAATAGAAAGAGCTGATCCAAAACATCACACAGAACTGAAGTACGAGGCTGCCATCTTGGGGTGTTGCAACAGACCAAATGAAAGTAAAGTGGTCTGAGAACTACCAAGAGAGAAGAAAAAAAAACAGGCACTTCCTTCTTCTTAACAACTCTCCCAAATGAAACACATCATTTGTTTACTGATCTAGTGTAGCCGAACGAAGAAACTACTATTTTAACAGTTGGCACCTATGTATTTATTTTATTTGTTTGGGTATTTTTTTTTTAGAAGAACTCATCTTTATTAAGAAACAACTTTGCTAGATTGCTTTGAGTGAAGAAGGTGAGATCCCAAACCTGCCTTGTAAGGGAGAAAAGAAATAAACAGAACAGTAAACTTAGCTGCAAAAGAAGTCATCCAGAATATTGGAGGTTGGCAAGGGATGTGAGATGGGACCAGACTCTTGGCAGGAAGCAGGAGCCTGCAGACTGGAGTGCTGGTGAGAGGTTCTTTGTGGTGGAATGGTCAAGGAAATTTAAAGAACAGAGCCTCAAATCTATACTTTAAAGATTTTTGTATTTAAGACTCATAAACATCTTTTATATCTTCCATCTTCAATAAAGTCTGACAATACACGTCCATGGGCAAAAAAGAAGGAAACAGGATGAGTACCCTGTCTGGTATGCATGAATGTGAGCAAATAATACACGGTGGGAGATGAGATGGGAATGAGCTCATCAGCAAGAGAAACCTGGTCCTAGAAATAAGATCACCACCACCCCCAATCAGCTTTTCACATTTTAGGAAGAACATTAACTTTTTCACAAAATGTGGGTTAGAAGTCATTTTAAACTTTAGGTTTAAAGACAATTCATTTTAAACTTTAGGTTTCCAAAACCCTTTGCCCATGTCTCTGACGTGAATACTAGACTGTATTTTCACATACCTTGTGGACTCACTAACTTGAGCTCTTTGAGGACAGGGGCATGTCTTACCCATACTAGTGCCTAGAACAATGTCTGGCGTGCATTTTTTAATTAATTATAAGCTTTATATTTCAGAGTGGCTTAAGATTTACAGAAAAAATTGCAAAGACAGTATAGAAAGTTCCCCTAAACCTCACACCAGGTATCCCCTATTATAAACATTTTCCATTAGCATTGTACATTTGACATAATTAACGAATCAATATTCAAGCATTATTATTAACCAAAGCCCACACTTTATTCAGATTACCTTAGTTTTCATCCAATGTTCTTTCAGTATTTCAGGATCCCACCCAAACATGTCTCTCCATGCTCTTCTTTGCTATGACAGTTTCACAGAATTTCCTTGTTTTTTAAGACTTAGACAGTTTTTAAGTTGCGGTCAAGTATTTTGTACAATGTGAAACAATTGGAATTTGTCTGATCTTTTTCTCATGATTAAACCAAGGTTGCAGAGAAGAAGACCACAGAGGTAAAGTGACATTCTCATCACATCATATCAAAGGTGCATGCTATCAACATAATTTGTCACTGTTAATTTTGACCTTAATCTTCCAACTGAGGACGTGTTTGCCAGGTTTGTCAATGCAAAGTTACACTCCCCTTCCTCTCCTTTCCAGACTTCACTCTTTTGAAGAAGTCACAATGCACAGCCCACACTAAAGAAATGGGAGCCATGCTCCAACCCCTTGGAGCAAAGAGTATCTACATAAATTACTTGCATTTCTTCTGCATAGGATATTTGTGTATCCCCCCCATCTATTTGTTTATTTAATCATTTATTTACATCAGTATGAATGCATGGATATTGATTTCATACCTTGGGCTATAATCCAATACTACTCTATTTTATAGAGCACATTGTCCCCAGTTGGCCATTGGGAGCTCTTGCAGTTGTCTTCTATGTCTCTTTGACACACCCAATTGTTGTGGAGTTTTTTGTTTTGTTTTGCTTTGTTTTGAGGGGGAGAGTTTTGGGGTGGGGATTGTTTTTGTGGGATTTTTATTTATTTCAGTCGGTTTTTGGGGAACAAGTGGTGTCTGGTTACATGGATAAGTTATTTAGTGATTATTTCCAATTTTCTGAAAAAGGGATTGTACCCGAAATATACAGGGGATTCTTAGAACTCAGCAATAAGAGAATAAAAAACCCAATTTATAAATGGGCAAGAGATCTGAACGATTACCTCACTAAAGAAGATATTTCCGAGATTTTGGTGTACCCATCACCCGAGCAGTGTATGCTGTACCCAGTGTGCAGTCTTTTATCCATCACGCACTCCCACCCAAAACGTCTGCATGGTAAAAGAAATAAAAAGCAGAGTAAACAGATAACCCACAGACTGGGAGAAAATATTCTCAAACTATGCATCTGAGAAAGGACTAATATCCAGAATCTACAAGGAACTCAAACAAATCAGCAAGAAAATTATAAATAATCCTATCAAAAAGTGGGCTAAGGACATGAATAGAAAATTCTCAAAGCAAGATACACAAATGGCCAATAAACATATAAAAAAAGCCCAACATCACTAATTATCATGGAAATGCAAATCAAAACCACAGTGCAATACCACTTTACTCCTGCAAGAACGGCCATAATTTTAAAATCAAAAAATAGTAGATATTGGTGTGGATGTGGTGAAAGGGAACACTTTTACAATGCTGGTGAGAATGTAAACTACTACACCCATTATGGAAATTCCTTAAAGAACTAAATGTGGGTTTTCTTTTTTTTTTTTTTAGAACTTTCTGGCACATAAGATGCTCCAGGCTTATCTGGTGTATTTCCTGCTCCAAGTCTTTAAATCCAGGAAGACCTAGCTTCCTGGTACCCATAATCTGGGTACCAGGTGCACTGGTTGCTACTGGGACATTGTTGACACTAGGCCCACTCAGCTGAACAAGCAAGGAAATATATGTGTGTATACCAACTCAAGTACATACACATACCTACAAATATTTCTTCATGTAACTATCCATATCTATTAAGCTGACATCAGTTCAATTCCAATACAGATGTGTAAAAGCATCTGAATTGCTAACCCACACTCCCATGAGATACAAATTTATCAACTAAAATACAATAATTCTTTTGCCTCTAGTTTTACAAATTCCACTCATTTCCAAAGTTACTTAGGTCAGTACCTGTTCCCCAACTCCTTTCAGTGAAATTGTTTCACATACTGTGATACAGTTAGACTGTTGTGTCACAGTCTATGTTCCATCCTAAATTTCCATGACTTCCTAAATGCTTTTTTAAACTTGTGTACATTAAGGTTCACTGTTTGTGTGTTAAAGGTCAATGGATTTTGATAGATACATAATCTTATTTGTCACAATTATAGTATTATACAGAATAATATCACTGCCCTAAAAAGAAAACTCTACGCTTCACCTATTCAACCCTCCCTTCCCCTCACCCAAGCCCCTCGCAATCATTTATTTTTGTGTCGTCTTTATAGTTTTGCCTTTTCCAAAATGTCATATCATTGAAATCAAACAATATGTAGCCTTTTAAGGCTAGCTTTCTCCAACTAGCAATATGCATTTAAGTTTCATCTCTCTGCATAATATGCCATAGAATGAGTGGACTACAGTTTACCCACTCATCTATTGAAGCGCATCTTGGTTGCTTCCAGTTATTGGTGGTTATAAATAAAGCTGCTACAAACATTTCTAGGCAGGCTTTTGTGTAAACATAAGTTTTCAGATCAGCTGGAGAAATAACTAGGAGTGTACTGCTAGATTGTGTGGTAACACTGTGTTTAGCTTTACGAGAAACTGCCAAATTGTCTTCCAAAGCTACAGTACCATTTACGTTCCCACCACAAATGAACGAGCATTCTTGTCGCTCCACATCCTTGCCAGCAATTGGTACTATCGGGTGGTTTTCTTTGTTTAGTTTTAGTCATTCTAGGAGGTGTAGTGATATCTCATTATTTTAATTTTCAGTTCCCTAATGGCAAATGATGGTTTGCATTCTTTCATATGCTTATTTACCATCTGTATATCTTCTTTGGTGAGGTGATCATTCAGATCTTTTGTCCCTTTTTAAATTGAGTTTTTTGTTCTCTTATTGCTGAGTTCTAAGGATTCTCTGTATATTTTGGATACAAGCCCTTTTTCAGACATAAGCTTTATACATATTTTCTCCCAATCTGTGGTTTTTCTTTTCATTCTCTTAACAGTGGCTCTTAAAAGTCCACTTTTTCAGACTTTGTTCATTTAATAAGGTCCAACTTGTCAATTTTTCTTTCATAAATCATGTTTTTGGTATTGTATCTAAAAACCCATTGGTAAATAAAAGGTCACGTAGATTTTCTCCTGTATTATCTTCTAGAAGCTTTACAAGTGTGTGGTTTATATTTAGGTCTATGATTCATTTTGAGTCAATTTTTGTGAAAGGTGTAAGGTCTGTGTCTAGGTTGGGTTTTTCTGTTTTGGTTTGGTTTTGATTTGCATATGGACATCCAATAGTTTCAGCACCATTTCTTAAAAAGACTATCCTTTTTCTCTTAAACTGCCTTTATTCCTTTGTCAAAAATCATTAGGCTATATTTGTGTGGGTCTACTTCTAGACTCTCTACTCTGTCCCATTGACCTGTTTGTCTGTTCCTCCACCAATATCACACCGTCTGGATTACTATAGCTTTGTAGCAAGTCTTGCAGTAAGACATTGTTCTTCTCTTTCAACATTGTGTTGGTTTTTGGGGGTCATTTGCCTTTCCACATAAATTTTAGATCAGTGTGTCAATATCTAAAATACAGCTTTCTGGAATTTTGATAGGAATTACATTGAATCTGTACATCAAGTAGGGAAGAATTGACATCTTAATAATATTGAGTCTTTCAATCCATGAACACGGACTATCTATTCAGTTTGATCTTTTATTTCTTATGTCAGAGTTTTATAGTTTTCCACATAGAGATTCTATACATATTTGTTAGATATATACCTAAGTATTTCATTTTGGGGGCACTATTAATATCTGTTATCTTTTTATTCCAAATTCTAATCATCCGTTCCTGGTATAGGAAAGCAATTGACATCTATATATTACCTTATATTTTGTGATCTTGCCATAATTATTGATTAGTAGATTCTTTGTGATTTTCTAAATAGACAATATACAGAACAGAGATAGGTGCATTTCTTCCTTCTCAATCTGTATACTTTTTGTTTCCTTTTCTTGTCTTATTGCACTACAAAAGACTTCCAGTACAATGTTGATTAGGGGTGGTGAGAAAAAAAATCCTTGCTTTGTTCCCAAACTTAGAGAAAACACCCAGTTCTCATTATTAAATATAATGTTAGTGGTAGGTTTTTTTAGATGTTCTTTATCAAGCTGAAGAAGTTCTCCTCTATTCTCAGTTTACTAAGAACTTTTGTCATATCGACATGTGTCCCCACCAGATCTCCCATCAAGGAAAGACTCGTTACCCCAGTTATCATTTCTTTCAGGATCTGCCTCAGCCACAGAGCTACCTTTCCCAAGGGCACATTCTTCCTGGGGCAACGCACATTCAGTGATTGATAGAGGGGTGTTGTAAAGGCCCGACCGTTTTAGTACATCAGGGTCAACTGCGATGAAGAACATATGCTCAGAGCTCTCCCTGGAGTCAGCCAAAGCTTTGCCAGACCTACATTACAGTTCAACTTTTCCCTCTACCCAACCAGGCTTCTTTCTCCTCCATTCAACAGGTGCTGATATCTGATAAACATCCTGTGCACCAAACTCTACCTCAGTGCTGACTTCCAAACACCCAAGCTCTCCCTATAGAGAAAACTTATTTTCCATGCCACTTCACAAATGACAGAGTGGCTTTTTTTTCCTACCAGACCATCAGCTACACACACACACACACACACACACACACACACACACACGAGTAGAGGGAGAAAAAAAACATTTCCCTCACCATTTGGTTATCACTTAAGAGTGCTAAATTTTGATGCTTGGCTGTAGGGTCTGTATCCATTTGACATTGTCACTCAATACAGATTCTCTTAATTCTCCTTGCCCACTTTGCAGAGTAATGCAGCCACATTAGCAGAAATGCTTGGACTCTAAAATGGCCTGGCTCCTACCCCTAGACAAAGGAATTCAAGTAGGCAGATGTCACAACCAGAAAGCCTCTTCCAAAAGCAGCACCGATGCAAAAACCACCAGACACAAAGCCAAAGAGCTCATCAGAAGCGTCAAAAAAGACGAAACACAAGTCAGAATCAGAGGATTGTCACTAAGGGTTTTAGTTCAGGATCAGATGAAACAGAGTGCTACCACCTAGTACAGTATATCACATATAAGAGTATATGCTAATTTTTGTGGGGCTTTTTTGAGAACTCTTTTATATTCTGGCACAGAAGATGCTCCAGGCCTATCTGGTATTAGTTCAATTTTATTGAACAAATTCAATAAATATTTGCCAAGTAAATTAATGAGCACATTCGGAATTAGAAGTTCTAGATCCTGACCCTAGTTTTTGTACACATAGTATACAATCGAGAGCCAACTATAAAACTACATATGGACTGTTTAATTTCCATGCATTCAGCTTACAAACATTTCATCAGCTTTTTCATATTTGTAGATGTTTGGCTGTTTCACAGTAGCATTGTTAGCCAATTAATATTTCCATTTTAGTAGTATCTCCATATTTGAAGGTAAAGCAATGTTTGTGCAATTATACAACTATTTTATTGCATTTGTTCTTATTAGTTTACAAAAATGAGTGGAGAAAGAAAAATGAATGTTGATTCCTGGCATAAGCATAGGTCTCATTAACTCAATACAATAGAGACAAAGATAGAAATCATTAGGCCTGTGGAAAGTGGTAAGTCATTAGCCTCAATCAGATGCTCATTGACTTCAAGCTGGTCAAACTTGTGCTCTATTTTGAAAGGAAATAATAAAATGAAAGACCTTGTATGGAATGTATAAATCATCGAGAATGATGCCTAAAAGCTAAGGTGTAATTAGGGACGTTAGAATGTTTTTCAGCTCTCTAGTAACAGAACCCACATGTAATCTCATTGAAGTTTCATAGCTGACTTTTGCACAAGTTTTTGAAAGAACATTAGGTACAAAATCAGGGGGATGGCTCAACTAATGCACGGCCTTCCACTCTTACAGAGTTGTATATTACCCAGTAGACAATAAAATCTGTGACTGCAATACTGGTTTTTAGTCTGTCATATTTATATAAACCTTGATATTTTGTAAGTACAAATGTATTGGCAATTTTGTTGGCCTAATACCAATCAGTACAAATAGATAGGTGTGGGTATAGGTATAGGTGTACTTATGGGAATAGGTATGGATACAGATGTACATGCCTAGGCACCTTAGCATACTCCCATTTCTGGAATGTAGCCCATAGTGTTTTTTTTTTTAAGAGGAAAATATGGAAGGGACAATGGGGTAGAGAAGACAGAAAGTGGAAGGGAGACTTATAGGCCCAATTCCCAGCCCATCCCCTGAGGTTGACCACCTCCCTTTCTTCAGAACTAGGTCAATCATCTTACTCTGCTCCTCTTTCATTTCCAGGGCACCATTTCTATTATTAAGGCCTGAATCCAGCTACCTTATGATGATTTATTTTAAACAGGACTCTGGTTCACAACCACTCTACAGGATAGATTCAAGCCTGTAAGACGAAGGAAATTCAGTCTTTGAAGTGGAACAATATCTGAGGACAAGGGGTGGAGGAGGCCTCTTATTACCTCTTTTAAACAAAATACTACAAATATTGCAGCCATTTCAATACTTTCATAAATAAATACAAAAAATTGTCATTGTACACCAATTTTGCTGATGACATGAAAGCATTTCAAAGAATACACAGTAGGCATTTTTTCATTTGCAAATTTAACATGCATGATTTTGACAATTTGTGAGAGATCCTGGAGGAGCATGACATGTAGCAATTTGTAATTTTGCTAAGGCACTAATTTGAATCACCTCCACTGTGAGCTAGTGTGTGGGGAATTAGTCATTCAGGTGGTCAATGAGCCAATACCTGCATCGTGATGCTAGTTTGTTGCTCATTGTTGATGAATCTGGGGGATTCTGGAAAGTTTCAAGACAAATATACTACTAGTTGACTACACAGTTCAATACAATTAGCTGTTAGAATTGTATATGTAAAAACGCAGATAGATCTCATTGGGGATGACCCTACCTGACCACTGGAGCCAATTGCAGGTGTCAAGAGTGGTCAAAACCAGATAACCCACCTCTGTTTTACATTCTATCAGGGCATTGGGGTAATAATTGGCATAATAATCTAGCACTTACTTGTTTGCATCATATAAACACTGAGGTGTTTTTAAAAATATTCTGTCCACCAGTGTTGAGTAGTGGTATGCTTCCTCACCTGTGGTAGATACCATTCAGTGCCTGCCAATGCCCATCCTCCACCTCTTTGTTACTCACAGCCCCTCATTGTTGTCCATGACAGTAGTGGATCCAGTATCTACTTTATCTACTCCCCTAATGTCTAGGGGTGGCCCTATGAAGCCAGTTCTGGCTAAAGAGATGTAAGAGGAAGCCATCTGGGAAACTACCAGCAAAATTTCGCTTTCCTATGAAAGCGACGATGTGGCCTAAACCATTGCCCCTGACTTTCTGCCTTGAACTTGGCCATGAGGACTAAAGCTATAGCAGCCTTCTTGCAACCACAAAGCCATAAGCAACAGAGAATGGCTGGGTTCAGGCCTTAATGGAAGGGAGGGTGGCCTGGAGGTAAAAGCAATAAGCAGAGAAATAATGGGAGCAACAATGTGTTCCTGACATTTTTGAGCCACTGAACAAACATTGCCTGTGTCCTTCGTATAAGAAAAATAAAGCCCTGTTCTCTGTCAGCCTTCATAAGTCAGTAGATTTGTTTTCTTATAGCCAAACACAAATACATCACTCATAAAAACACATCATTTGAAAAGATAATACCAATACCTCAAGACTCCAGTCCCACATTCTATGATTATAAAAGGCTAAGAGGTTCTTTCAGTGGAAAGCTTGATCCCCCAGACCTACTTACTTTACTCTACTAGACAGAGCATAGAGCTTCCATAGGAATCTTCTCTCTGATTTCCCCCATATTTCTTTCAGTGGGTGTTCACGCCTCAGGGAAAAGTGGACTTTTATCTATGGTGTGTCATGATATCGCTTTCTATCTGCCTCATGTTTGGTGTCACCTCTCAGTTACCAATGAACTATTTCAGGAAAGAGAAAAATCCTAGGGAAGGAATGGCAAAGGTTGTTAGTGGTTTATTATTGATTTTTTCTGAATCAAATTAGAAAGACTGTTAAGAGCCGTGGAGAGCCTGAAGACTTCAGAAAGGGAACTAAACTCCAGGAAGGTCCTCTCCAATATTCCTGTGACAAGTCTACACATGTGCCATGAAATATGCAGCTAAGCAAATTTTTTTCCAGGAACTCTACCAACCAGGAAGATATAAAGAGCATGCTTCCATTTAAAGGGCAATAAACTTCAACTTAATTAAACTAACTTTTTGGAAGCAGCTACTAAGGGCCAGGTTGTATGAGAGGAGCCAGGTACATAAAAAGGGACAAGGGTCATAGCCGCAAGGAGATCACACTGTATGGTGAGACATATGCTCCTTTGATCGATCAGCTGAGAATTCTCCATTTTCATTTTTATCCAGGTAGGAATGTAATAACTTCATCTTCCTGTATTGTGGTGTTTCTCCGTCTCTATTACTAAGCCAGATGCTGTTTACGGTACCTCATGCTGGGGGTTGAGAGGTAGATAAGCTCATTAACTTACCATTCATCCTCAGCCTATGCCATTCTGCAGGCAGGATGCCCAGCCTGGATGCCAACTTTTTACAAATAACTATTGAAACTGTCAGTTATCTTCATGAGCACTGCTCCGGTGAAAGAACAGCATAATTGGGGTGGGGGGTGGTAAAATGTTAGTGAGCTCATTTTTTTCACCAGCAACAGTAACAAAACATCTTTCTGGGGATAATATATTTACTCTTATTATTTGGTTCATAGCAGGTAAATTCCAAATAATACAAGAGTGAAAAATATCCAATTCCTTAGCTTTTAGGAGAGGTAGGACATACAATCTCTCAAGTTCCAAAAAATACAGAGATCATGGGACCCTATATCTTTTTTTTTTTTTTTTGGTCTGATTTTAAACAGAAAAATCCTGATGCTTATTTTTCTTCTTAGATATTTGTATGCTTAAATACAAGGCAGCAGGACTATAAGAAAACCCCAGTGTTAACCCTCAAGGAAAAGATATAAATTTGAATGATCTATGACATTGTCCTCTAGGACAATGGATGGTTCATTATTAAGTCAACCAAAATGTAATTTCCAGTATCCTTTCCATCCCTCCTAGTCTATAAATCCAAGACTCCAGCAATTTGCCTACTCCTGCCCATCCCTTAAAACTCAGCTCAGCTGCCAAAACCCTAGTGAAGGCTTCCTCTCTCCTGTGAGCATTGCTAACGTTTCTTTTCTCCTAGTCTCCCTTTATCTTCTGCTTTCTCTCGTCTGGCCTTTCTCAAGCCATATTCTAATTGTTATTAACCCTTCTGTCTTTCGCCTTAGTGAGGTCCTAAGAGATAGGAGCCAAGTTTATTCACCTTGTATCCCAGGGCCTGTAGTTCTTGGTATACAGGATATCCTCAATAAGTATTTGCTGAACGGGAAAGGAAAGAATGAATGTGGGAAGGGTGGAGTATCTTGGCAGGTGCTTGCTACTCAAAGAACTAGAGCTCCATGGTGCAGCAAGGGAAAAGGTCTCTGCCTCCCAGCAGAGGGCAGCAGAGAGCTTAGGAGCAGAAACTCCCTGCAGGATGATTAACTCCCAGAGAGAGGGTTTTCCCAGAATTATGGGTGGGAAAGGCCAAGTACCACCAAGAGAGGCAGCTGATTGGATTAGGTGGTAATTGAGATAGTTGAGAGGTGTTTGCAATTAATTTAAAAGGGGAGCCATGTACTTTAGTGTCGACAGGCAAAATCTGGCCAGGTGTGGCTTGTCTGGGCCTCAGGAGGGACAAGGGAGAGGCTAATCCAATCCAATCTAATCTAATCAACTGCCCCTCATGAACAAGATCCCAGTGTAAGCCAAAGTTCAATTAGCCAGGGTAAAAAACAAACCCAAACTCACACATACACTTACGGAACTTTAGGGTGGAGAGGACAAACCCAGTGACACTAAAAATCAGAGACACATCATTCATTGTCAGATGTCACGGTGTGCTCAGGTAGGACATCAAACCTGGCAGAAGTGTATAAGGACGCTAAGAAACAAAAGTGAGTCCAATATAACTGGGTGAATTGTGTTTTGTGGAACAGGGCCTCATCTGAAAGTCCATAGCCCTGGGAATTGGATTCCCAGCAGGGAATGGGCTACAACTGATCTCAATGTCTTGGTATTCATGAGGAAGAGGAAGAATAGAGAGCAAACCTAAACATCAACACAGAATGGGTCACTAATGGGTAGCCAGAATTTTAAAGAGACTTAAATACTAGATAGCCTATGAGGCAGGATCTGAGCAGGGAGACAAACCTTGAACAAAAGTCAGTGACAAAGAGAAGGTTCTGCTGGTCAGCTCAGAAATACCAAGGGCACAGGACCTGAGAGAAGGAGTCTGGAAACAGTTGTGTTTTGAAATCACAAACCTGGCCGGCCGCGGTGGCTCATACCTGTAATCCCAGCATTTTGGGAGGCCAAGGCGGGCAGATCACGAGGTCAGGAGATTGAGACCATCCTGAATAACACGGTGAAACCCCCATCTCTACTAAAAATACAAAAAATTAGCTGGGCGTGGTGGCAGGCGCCTGCAGTTCCAGCTACTCAGGAGGATGAGGCAGGAGAATGGCGTGAACTCGGGAGGCAGAGCTTGCAGTGCGCCGAGATGGCACCACTGCACTCCAGCCTGGGAGACAGAGCAAGACTCCGTCTCAAAAAAAAAAAAAAAGAAATCACAAAGCCTCTCCCTTCACCCTCCTGAGGACCAGACAAGCCACACCTGGCCACGTTCTGCCAGTTGACACTAAACGACATGGCTCGCCTTTTACATTAATTGCAAACACCTCTCAACTGTCTCAAGCACCATCTAATCCAATCAACTGCCTGTCATGAACAAGGTCCCAGTGTAAGCCACAGTTCAATTAGCCAGGGTAAAAAACAAACCCAAACCCACACACACACGCCGTCACAGAGCTTTAGTACCGGGTTGCATTTTATAATTCCAAAGCCCGGGACTTTTACTGCTGACAGTATGGTCTGTGGAGCAGAAACAACATCATTACCAAGGAGGTTGTTGAAATGCAAAATCTCAGTCCCCACCCCAGACCTACTGAATCATACGTAATCTGCATTTTAACAAAATCTCCAGATGGTGTGTGTGCCCATTAAATTGGGGAAGCACTATTCACCACCACCTGATCCCTGCCTGCACCTCCGACTGGAACCGGAGACACTTTCCATCCTGACAACAATGTTCCAGCCATACCAACCTTCTTTCCGTCCCTCAAATATGCCATACTCAGGGCAGGCATGATGGCTCACTCCTGCAATCCCAAAACTTTGGGAGCCTGAGGCAAATGGATCATTTGAGGCCGGAAGTTCAAGACCAGCCTGGCTGACACAGTGAAACCCCATCTCTACCAAAAAATACAATAATTAACCAGGTATGGTGGTGCACACCTGTAGTCCCAGCTATTTGGGAGGCTAAGGTAGGAGAATTGCTTGAACCCAGGAGGCAGAGTTTGCAGTGAGCCAAGATGGCGCACTCCAGCCTGGGCCACAGAGCAAGACCCTGTCTTAAAAAAAAAAAAAAAAAAATCATGCTCATTCCCAACTTAAGATCTCTGTCCTCTCTGTTCCCTCTCTCCACAACCATGGATGGGTTTCCTTGACATTCAAATCTTTATTTTCAGATCAGCTCTGCACAGAGGCCTTCTCTACATACCCAATACAAATGAAATGCTTGAGCAGTCTCACCTACGTTCTGCAATTTGACTTCCATGCATAGCGCCTGGTTGTTTGCCTTGAACATTCGTCAGAATCACCCAGAGAACTGTTACAACCCAGATTCCTGCGTCCACCCCTAGAGTTTCTGATTCAGCAAGTCTAGGGCAGAAGCTGAGAATTTGCATTTCTAACAAGTTCCCAGGTGATGCTGACACTGTTAATCTGGGATCACTCTTTGAGAATCATCGGCACTGTCTCACTACCTGATGATATTTTCCTCATCACTCTTTTCTGTAGTGTCATCCGCACTCCACTGGAGTGTCTGTTCTATGAAAGCAGGGAGTTTGTATGTTCTGTTCACCCTGTATCTCTAGTGCATGATACATAGTAGGTGCTCTTTAATATTTGTTGAATGAAGAATGGAGTAATTAGTAGCTAATCCTTTTCATTGTAGATTTTGGATCATCTGCATTTGGTTTAATCTAATTTTGCAAGAACTTTGCTTTCCATCCTGTGCATATATGTAACAGCCGTGAGAGACTATTCATTAGACACAATTTAACTTACAAAAATGTAAGCCACACACAGAGTTGACATCTGTTATTGACGGTATGTTTTAGGTTGTGAACTTCATTAGTTGTCCTTCTACTTGAGGATAGAGATTCTATCCAACACCATATTTAGAAAATAGCCCCTTCTTTTTAACAACACAAACTCAGTGGCATTCTCTTTAAATTGGGGGCAACATCCTCTTACACACAACACTGAAAGCGGAAAAGTAAACAATTCGATACATTCATACAGTCGTTCTTTCATACTCTGCAGAGTAACATTTCTCATACATCACAATTAAATACATCATCATAAGGTTTAACTAATCACTATGAATACATCTCAGTAACAACCAGGTCCCTGTAGTGCTAGTAAGATTATACTTCACCTATCGATCCATTGAGCTTGCCTCTAAGGAGCCTTAACAAGTCACATGTTTTCCTGAAATTACTGAAGAAACCAGTTCACTGTGCAGTGCCTCAATCACCCCTCCATTTGCAGATTCTGGAATATCCACATGTATGAGTCCACAGATAACTGTGTTTATCTGCTTCTCCTGCTACCTAAACACTGTCATAGCCATTGCTACCTCTACCTCCTCCCCTTCCTAGCTAGTTCCTCCTGGTGGGTCTCCTGCCCACATCTGGCTCTCTGACCCCACCAGACTCTGAATCTCCTCTTCCCTGTGAGACATTTGTTTTCATCTTTTTAATGCTGAGGCAGAAACCCTCCCTGCATAACAAGGGGCCAGAATCAAAGTCCAGGCTTGCAACCTACAAATCTACTGCTAAATTCGCTCTAAAGTTGGCCACTGGGAGAAGCACCTGGGGAGGAAGGATGAGGCATAGCCTTGCTAATTAAGCCAGATTCAAGGTGTCTGGAGTCTTGTGTAAGATGCTGTAGTTAAATGTCAAAGTCGAGGAGTCAGCTGGTAAAATGACAAACCGTCCCTGTCAGAATGCTGACAGGCAAAGGCGGCAGCAGTGGCTGGGGAGACGCCAGCTCTCTGTGGCTCACCTGTGTCACCTCCATCCTTCCTGAACACTCGTGACCAGCGACCACATTGAAGAAAGCAGACGGGCTTCCACCCGGCTACACTTGTAAGGGATCCTTAAAAATACTGACACAGATGACAGTGAGGGTCTCAAAGGAGGTCTCAACACAAGCCAAGGGCTGAGACCAGAATCAAACACAGTATCAATTCAATAAAGCCTATTTGAAGGCTTTGAAGATCCAGTTTTGCTGTGTACCTATATATTACAAAACACTGGCTCAATTCTGAATTGAAAGGCCTTACAATGAATGTTATTTTAAAACACATTGTTTCAGTTTTCAACATAGAAAAAAAAATCTATTCTGGTGCAGGAAACTACAAATGGCCATTAATTCTGGCTTTTGGTCCATAATTCCTTTCCTGTATGGGACCCATTTGCTCATCTAACAGAAGCATTTGACTGACTACTTATTTTTGTCATTTTTTTTACAATAACAGCAATCCTATGAAGTAGAGCAGATTTCAAGTATTTGTTCCTCCATTTTATGGTGATAACCTCAGATTAAGAAAGATCAAGTGACTTGCATAGATTACAGCTATGAAGTGGTATAGCCAGGACCCCATTTATCAAGCAGTCCAGCTACTGGCCATCCGCAGCATCTCAGACTGGTCTCTCCCCTCGGTTTCTTCAATCAGGCAGTGCTCTCTGGCATCTTTATTCCTTGCCAGTGAGCCTGGGGTTGCTGCTTTCACACACAACTCACTGTCAGTGGCTACGACTCTTTTCGTTTACTTTCAGCTGCCAGAAAAGATTCTTCTTCCAACCTCAATGATGTTGGTAACTTCAGCTTCCACTAAAAATATTTTTTCTACTGAAAAAGCTGTGGTGGTTTGTGTAGGGGAAACAAAAATGTAGATCTTAATTGAATATCCTCTGTTCTGTAGGTTCATTTATTTGTGATGAGATGAACTTTCTTTTTCTTCACCCTGGCCCCATCCACCTTATCATCTTTCTAGGGTATGGCACATACAAAGCTTGGTGCCAGAAGGAGAATTTAGTGATAAAATTCAATGTAGAAGAAAAAGAGATGAAGACTATTAGCATCATAACAAACAGAAACTGCCATGGGATCAATGTTGGCAGTATAAAAGATCCAGTTGTCAGGATCAAAACCTACCACAACCACCACTCATTCTAGAGTGGAGCCAAATGGAGCTGGATGGTTGAGAAGCTGCTGCAGAGGCCAAGAAGAATAAACAGGTCTGAAGCTGAAGACAAAAGGGGGCTACTCCAAAATCTTATTCTACCTATGGACTCAGTTCAACTTGAGAATAAAGGATCATTTAGGGTATTCTCTTGAACTGCATGTGCTTGATTCCCAAATGCTAATTGCTTAATAATGGACTGGATCACCATCGCCTCCTATAAACAGGGTCGTAGATTGGGTCATGCTACAAGCATTGCCTTATCATCAACCAAGAACCAGGCAGTGACATGAATAATAATATATGGACTTTCCTTAAGAAACTCACAGTCCCAGGGACTTTTTGAAGATAATGACTATGATGGTTAATTTTATGTGTCAACATGACTGAGCTAATGCATGCCCAGATAGTTAGTAAAATATTATTCCCAGGTGAGTCTAGGAGAGATTAGCATTTGAATCAGTAAACTCAACAAAGAAGATCAATCTTCACTATCCAATCCATTGAGGGCACGAATGAACAAAGTGATGGAGGAAGGGTGAATTCTCTCTCTTTCTCTCTTCTTGAGCTGGGATATCCATCTTCTCCTGGCATTTGACAATGGAGCTCCTGGTTCTTGGGCCTTCAGACTCCAGGACTTATGTCCGCACCAACCACCCACCTCCCCACCCTCCAGGTTCTCAGGCCTTTGGACTTAAACTGAATTACCCCACCAGCTACAAATGGCATATCAAGGGTCTTCTCTTGCCTCACCAAGTGAGCCAGTCCTCATAATAAATCACTTCTCATATCTCTCTTTACATATTCTACTGGTTTTATTTCTCTGGAGAACTTTAATATAATGACCATGGACATTTAAACTTTTAAATGAGCTTATTATTATCCTCTCATAAAATTTTCAATGAAGGTATTAAGACCTCATCAAGACAATGGATACAGATGTCTGCTGCAGTCAAACCATAAATGAAAAGCAAAAATGAAACTTAGAGCAAAACCTTTGAGAACAATGACCTCTGTCCCTCTGAGCACTGAATAATAACTAATATATACCATACTCAATTTTTCATATACCCAATTTCTTATTTTATAATAATATGAATACCTACAAGGTAAGTACTATTACTATTATACCCATTTCACAGAAGAAACTGAACATCAGAAAACTTAATAAACGAGCTCACTTTGCTTTTGCTTTTTCCTGAACTACTAATCCCAGGCTAACACAACCCAGCAGGCGCCTGCCCTCTCTGGATAGAACAGCTGCAAATGCTAAGAAATATTAAAGCCTTTGTTTTAATTAACTTGAGGATTTTTCCAATGTTCTGGCTTGGCATGTGGTTATTGAATCTGGTTACTGAATGTTTGGTAGTAGGCCATTCTGCTTGCCAATTCAAATTTATTCACACTGAATAGCTTTTATTTTAAAACAACAAAATCACAAATAAGGCACTAAAAATACAGAGCCAAACTTTGCGAATTTAATGTCACAACCAAATTCAGGTATTTCTTAAGGAAAAAATGTCAGTTGAGAACAGGATGTATAAAGACTTTATTAAATGCTACATTTTCTAATGCTGCTTTAAATTTATTTGTGTTGAAGTAAATGAAGATCATTCTAATAAAAAATGATATTTTTACAGTTGGAAGTATTTTTTTCTTTTTAAGAACCTTAGTTGTTTTTATTCCTCATAATGATTCTTATGAACATATCTTACTAATTGTTCAATAGTGTTTCCTATCAGAGCTATTTGGGATATATTCCTTGAATGATTACGATTTGAAGCACAACAGAAAATTCATAAGAGTTTCTCTTCTGCAAAACATGTTTTCTAAAAACATAATAAAACACTGGTGAAAATCCTATAACCATGTATACAAAAAAGATAGGAGGGAAGATAAGTATAGTGGATGTGAAAAAGTGAGATAAATCCCCATCTTTCACCCTATACAAAAGTCAACTCCAAATGGATTAAGGACTTAGAGGTAAGACCTGATACTATGAAACTACTAGAAAAAAAAAAAAAAAAACTTTGATCTGGGGAAAGATTTTTGGGGGTTAGACTTCAAAAGCATCAGTAACAAAAGCGAAAACAGACAAATGTGATTGTATCAAGCCAAAAACTTCTGCACAGCAAAGAGAACAATTAATGAAGTGAAAAGACCACCTACAGCATGGGAGAAAATATTTGCAAACTATCCATCTGTCTCAGTTTGTGTTGCTTTAAAGGAATACCTGAGACTAGGTGACTTATAAAGAAAAGAGGTTTATTTAGCTCACTGTTCTGCAGGCTGTACAAGAATCCTGGCACCAGCTTCTGCTTCTGGTGAGGGCTTCAGGCTGCTTCCACTCATGGTGGAAGGTGAAGGAGAGCAGGTGTGTACACAGACCACACGGTGTGACAGCAGGGAAGAGAGAGGGGTGAAAGGTACCACCAGACTCTAAACAATCAGCTCTTTGGAACTAATAGAGGGATAACTCGCTCATTACCACAAGGATGGCACCAAGTCATTCATGAGGGATCTGCCCCCATGACCCAAACACCTCCCATTAGGCCCCACCTCCATTGTTGGGGATCAAATTTCAATAGAAGGTTTGGAAGGTCAGATATCCGAACTATAGCACCATCCGATAAGGAATTAACAACCAGAATATATAAGGAACTCAAACAACTCAAGAGCAATAAAACAAACAACAGCAAATAATCTGATCTTAAAACGGACACAGGCACAGAGGCACATGCCTATAGTCCCAACTACTCAGGTGGCTGAGGCAAGAGGATTGAGCCCAGGAGTTTGAAGCTGGCCTGGGCAACACCCCAGTTGACCCCATTCCTAGTTTTTTTTAATGGGCAAAAAACCTGAACAGCCAGTTCTCAAAAGAAAATATACAAATGGCCGAAAGTTAAGCAAAAAAAAAAAAAAACTCAACATCACTAATCTTCAGGGAAATGCAAATCAAAACCACAATGAGATATCATCTCACTCCAGTTAGATTGATTATTATCAAGAAGATACAAAATAATAAATCCCGGAGGGCACAGTGGCTCACACCTGTAATCCCAGCACTTGGGGAGGCTGAGGCAGGCTGATCACTTGAGGTCAGGAGTTCCACACCAGCCTGCCCAATATGGCGAAACCCTATCTCTAGTAAAAATACAAAAATTAGCTGGGCATGATGGCACACACCTGTAATCCCAGCTACTCAGGAGGCTGAGGCATGAGAATCGCTTGAACCCAGGAGGTGGAGGTTGCAGTGAGCCAAGACCATGCCATTGCACTCCAGCCTGGGTGACAGAACGAGACTCCATCTCAAAAATAAAATAAATAAAATAAAATAAAACAAATCCTGGAAAGAATGCAGAGAAAGGGGAATTCTTGTATACTGTTGTAGAAATGCAAAGTAGTACAGCCATACGAAAAATATTATGGAGATCCTCAAAAAACTAAAAATAGAACTGCCATATGATCCAAAAATACCGCCGCTGGGTATATATCCAAAAGAAAGGAAATCATTATATTGAAGATATACTGCACTCCCATGTTTATTAGAGCACTATTCACAACAGTCAAGATACGGACTCTACCTAAGTGTGCATCAATGGATAAAGAATATGTAGTTTGTATACACAATGGAATATTATTCAGCAATAAAAAGAGTGAAGCCCTGTCATTTGCAGAAACATGGATGGAACTGGAGGTCATTATGTTAAGTGAAATAAGCCAGGCACACAAAAACAAATATCACATGTTCTCATGCCTATGTGGTAGCTAAAAAAAAATAGATCTCATGGCGGTAGAGAGTAGAATAGTGCTTACCAGAGGCTGGGGAGGGAAGGAGGAAAAGGGGGAAAGAGAAGTTGGTTAATGGGTACAAAAATACAGTTACATGGAAGAATAAGTTTTAGTATTTGATAGTTCAGTAGGGAAATTATAGTTAACAATAATTTATTGTAGATTTAAAAGTAGCTAGAAGAGAAAGAATTGTAACGTTCCCAACACAGGGGAAAGAAAAATGTTTGAGGTGATAGGTAACCCAATTGCCATGATTTGATCACTACACATTGTATATAGGTATCAAAACATCACGTGTACCCCCCAAGTACGAACTATGATATGTCAATTTTTTTAAAGTTATGAAACATTTTTAAAGGGAAGTATAGAATAAAAGGGAAAATGAGGAAGAGAAGACTGAAGTAATCAGAAGAGAAAAGAAAGGGGAAAAGGAAAGAAAAGAAAAGAAAGGAAAGATGGAAAAAAAGAAGGTTCTTGCTTTGGCTTTCGGTGTAATCCTGCCCTTTGCCATGCTTATGTCACACACTCACACCATACACACACACATACATCATATACACACCACACACCACACACACCACACACACATACCACACACACTGCACACACACCATACCACACACACATCATACACACACCATACAACACACACACACACATCATACACACACACATCACACACACACCACACACACCCCACACCACATACACAAACCACACATGCCACACCGCACACTCACACACCACACACACCATGCACACGCCACACACACCCCACACACCACATACACATCATACACTCACACCACACACATCATACGCATATGCCACACACCACACACACACCATGCACAGCACACACACACATCATACACACACCACACACACCACACCACACACACACCACACACCACAGCACACACACACCACACAACACACATCGTACACACACACCACACATTCACACACCACACACAATCACATACCCACACACAAACACTATGAACCACAGCACACACACCACGAATCACACAGCACACACACCACACCATACACACAGCACACACACCACGCCACACACCCCACACACCACATCACACACACCACACACACACATCACACACACAAACCACATTCATACACCTCACACACCACACACTACTTCTTTACAGTTGTCTCAGCCCCACACATCTGGCACATGATGTAGAAGTTGGCAACATTTTGATGATCCGAGATATTCCTTTCAAGAATACAAACGAAGGCCATAAACACATCAATTATTTTCAATTGTTTTAAAATTAAAATATAAAAGATTCTCAGAATGAAACCATTTACCAAAACAAGTTTTATGAAAGATGAATACTTAAGTTGCTTTCTATATTTGGTAATCTGCTGTACTTCTTTCTGAGTTTTTCTTAACAAAGAAAATATACTTATTGTGCGAATGGATGGTACACAGTTAGAATAGAAATTATAAATCGTTAAACAGCATAACCCCAGCCAGAATTTGTTTTCCATCCCCCCTCCTGTATACCCACCCACCCTCTGACCCCTTGGAAATGTGGCTTAGACATAAGAATTTTATCGTTGGGGAATATGTTGGTGGTTGACAAAGAAAACAGCATAAAATATTTTAAATTAGGACGGTCACATACGCACATATGTAAGCATCTGAATGCGTGCATACACACACCAGCCCCAGGTACATGGAAACCATACCCACAACCCTCTCATCTACCGATATATAAAAGGAAATTCTGAAATTTGAATTACAGCTTCCACCTTCTCAGTGGAACCTTATTATATTACTGGATGAGCTGTCAAACAGTCTGATAACGCTGTTTAAAATTCACAATTGGGCATATGTTTCCATTTAATCTGAGAAACAGCAAGGCCCACTCTAGCGGGTGATATGCTGTTTATCTGCTGCTTCCGCCGCGGTTGTCAGTGTTTCTGAAATGCCAGTGCTACCGGCAAAGCACTCTGATTAGGACGTCAGTCTGCCTTTGAGCAAAGGCTGCCAACAGCCAGCCTGTGCGGGGAAACAGAAGGGCCCTTAGCTATGGCCCAGGGTTGGGAAGCGCGTTAGAAAGTACCCACCAAAATGGAAGAAATTGCTGAAGAGAACTGGGCTTCCAAAAGGTAGCTTGACCTATCTGGACATGTGAGCCAGTATCGAGAGATGCCTTTTGTCAGGAGACATACTCGGGCGACTTCACTCTCTCTAAATCCCCAGTTTTCATTGCAAATACATAAGTATTGTTTTATATTCTTAAGAGTAAAAGGACAATAACAGAGAAAATTCTTATTCTTTTTCTTATTTAAATTTGAATTGTATAAATAGCATATAGATAATATTCAGATTGTAAAAGATTCAAACATCCAAAAATACACAATTTAAAACATGAGTGGGCCCTTTCCCTGTTCTTTGGCGGGTACTCTCCATTGCTGCATGGATTTATACATGGATCTTTACATATATGAACACACACTTTCTTTTTTTTAAACACAAAAGGAAGCCGGCTCTCCTATCAGTTCTGTGACTTGCTTTCTCCACTTCATAGTGACACATCTCAGAGATCATCCCACATCTGAACACACAGCTATACCTCATTCTTTATAATGACTATGTAGCTTTGCACAGAAAATGTATACGATAATGTATTCACTACACCCTCAGTTATTGACGTGCATGTTGCCTCCAGTTTTTTACTTTTATAACTAATGCTAACACGAACTTCCTTGTACATAGATTTTTATAAAACATGTGCTTGAGGGTTTTTGGTTAAAAAATCTCCTAGAAATGGATTGTTAAGTCAAAAACTATGTGAACCTTAAAATCTGATTTATATTAACGAAGTGCCTTCCCAACAGGCTTGAACAACTCATGCTTCCACCAACAACATATGAGAATGTGTATTTCACTGCATTGTTGTGAAGATCTGGTATTATCAAGCTTTTTGATTTTTGACATTCTAAGGAATGATAATCTTATTTTTTATGTTACTAATTACAACTTCAGATGACCTTATTTCCTTAAATATTTTGGACATTCCTTTTTCATTCCTTTGCAAATTACCCAATCTTTCTTTTTCTGCACATTTTTATTTAGGTGTTTGCCATTTACAGCAACTAATTCATAGAAGTTTCATTATTGGGTATTAATACGTTTTCTGTTACATATGTTGAAAATATTTATCCCAATCTCTCCACTTAGAATGACCTTAATTTCAGCACAAACTTTGTTAATTGGTCTTCAATGTTCTTAATTTTTTTTTCTTTAGGTCATCAGATAACTTTGTCTTTTGGTTATGTAACATGTTAACATTAGGACAACCTGGGAGAAGGGTACACAGGAACTCTCTGCACTATCTTTGCAACTTAAATGTAAATCAAAACTTATTCCAAAACAAAAATGATATACACATGTAAATATATATGTGTGTTTATGTCTGCATTTGCTAAGTTGTCCTTCCACAACTGCATTTTATGCCACTACTAACTTTTCATCACTTTGTACGGAATACATATTTGTATGACAGTAACAGTGATTAAATAAGTAAGTGGACCTTGTAGTAAGTGAGTTATTTCTTTGCTGCCATTATGTCTAATTCTCCATAGGTTATTCCATCTGAAGGCTTTTTAGAATCATAAGTAGCTAAGATCATTTTTCACCTCATCATCCCATTATCCATAATGAGAAAATACTTTTAAATGTGAAGATTACTCTTTCCAAAGATCCCTAGTGAGGGCTCCTATAGGCATTAGAGAAATTTATGAACTGTATGTTTTTGCAGCTGCAGCAGAAGTAGAAAGAGAATACTGAAAGACACCCACACAGTCCTACTGGTGACTCCCAAGAGTCAGGCTCCTTCCAGACTATACATGAGCCTGTTAGGATGATCTTACTGAACTGACCAACCTGCTGCTCCTTATTCCCAAGATATTAATGGGCTTTGGATTCACACCCAAGGTTTTTGGGAAGAGAGGAAGTCTTGATCTAGTGTCAAATTTCCTGGGGAATGTCAGTGGATCTAACCAGAGTCAGTCCAATTGCATAGCTCTAATAACTTTTCCATGTGCTTTCTAGTTTATGAAGGCTTCCACACACATTACCCCCATTTAATCCACTACAACCTGAATCGCAATCATCTGCATTCTTCAGATGGGGGAAATGAGGTCCAGTGACAGTCAGTGTGATTTACCCAAGGTCACCAATACAGTGAACTTTAGAGCCAGAAACCATGCCCAGTTCTTCTGAATTCAGATGCCAGGGGGAGAGAAGTTCAAGGAACAGCTTAGCAGAACAGACTCCAATCTCTGCTTGGCCATTGACAATTTTGCAACTTTGTATAAGTCAGCATTCAAAATGTGTTGGACCAGATAATTGCTGAGACTCCACACTACCTTAATACTCCAAATATAATTCCTAATCTATGTCTGTCAACCCTGGTCCTCGTCCTGGCCCTTTGAGACTGTTTCCAAAGTTTGATAGGATTTTTAGATTTCTGCCTGATTTTCTCCTAGTGTCCAGCAGAACCAAAAAGTTCCATTCAGGTCAAAAAGTTCCAATCTCACCTAAGAGTTCCTGAATCTTCCTAGGAGGAAGTAGAGAAGCCGGGCCTTTTCTCTGCTTGGGAATCCCAGAGCTTTGTGGTTAAAAGGTAAAGCCATATTCATCCTCCCTCACTGTATAAGTTGTGTTTGAAATAGATTAGAAGGTGTTTCAATAATAATCTTTATATTACTGATTTCATAAACTCCAAGCTTCCAAGAAAATATTCACAGGGTGGGAAGTTCTTGACCTCTTTTGGAAAATAAGCTCAGGAATGTCACACTCTTAGGTCAGATGATACAGGAAGGCAACCTAAGTACATCCACTTGTGTTGAAAAATAAAAGGTCAGGTCAAGAGAGATGTCTGTCCTTGGCCTATTTGAACATAACAAATTTATTTTTTTTAGAGTTGAAAATGCATTTCTCCTGAATTGTTTACACTAACTCTAACCAATGATTTATGAAATTTCTTGCCCCCAAGAGAGATACTATGTCATCTTAGATACAAATTCATGAAAAATTTAGGTAGTAGATAAAAAACAGTTGCAACATTCTCTCTCTCTCACTCTCTCTCTCTCCCTGTCTCTTCTTCTCTCAGAAGAGAAATTTTAGTAGCAAGTCTTGAATGCAATATAAAAAAAACAAATTGCTTTGTAGTATTTATTCTACATCTGTTTGTTTTGTTGTTTTTTCTTCTGTTGAACTGAAGAGGCAAGCAGAAACCCAAATGTGCTCAGGATTCTGAGTTGAGTTTGGATACCACTCCAGGCACTGCAATTAGCAATGGATAATTCTTTAATTGTATCCATAAGAACAAATGTAATGCAGAACTTGAGGGGAAAATATTTTGAATAATCACTTGGTATGGTATGGTATGGTATGGTATGGTATGGTATGGTATGGTATGGTATGGTATAATCACTCCAAGCAAAACTGAATTCATAGAGATTCATCTCTTCCTAAAAGAGATGAGAGTGTCCCATGTCCTTCGGGATGAAACATTGATCTTGCTGTGACTTAATAATGCTAAGTCTGGAAAGTCAATAGGCTTATAAATGGATATAGAGCTTGCGTTTATAAGACACAGATTCCAGGCCTGGGTACAACCTTACTGTCCGTATTGTCTTAGGAAAGTAATTCAGGCTGGGTACGGTGGCTCACACCTTCAATCCCAGCACTTTGGGAGGCCGAGATGGGCAGATCACTTGCGGCCAGGAATTCGAGGCCAGCCTGGCCAAAAAAATGACACCTCGTCTCCACTAAAAATACCAAAAAAAAAAAAAAAAGCTGGGTGTGGTGGTGCATGCCTGTAATCTCAGATACTCAGAAGGCTGAGGGAGGAGAATCACTTGAACCCGGGAGGCAGAGGTTGCAGGGAGCCGAGATCGTGCCAGTGCACTCCAGCCTGGGCAACAAAGCGAGATTCTATCTCCAAAAAAAAAAAGAAAGGAATTTTAGGAAAGGAATTCAACCTCTCTGAGCCTCATTTTCTTCATCCATCAAAGACAGCGAATGAACACATCCTAATGAATTAATAGAGCTAGGCATTGAACATCGATGGCTGATAACATCACACACACTTAAAGAAATATCTATATCACAAATTATCAAAAAATGAACCTGATTCTGATAAAGTCTCAAGATCTAACTACCAATTTACAGGAAACACAGGGGACAGAGAACCATATTAAACCATACCACAGGGACACAGTCAGTAAAATTCAGACTGTGGCAAACTTTAAGATAGAAAATGCTGGTATCTCCAACAACAATACAGAGAAAAGAAGGTGAGGGACAAAAAGAGAGAAAAACAGGGAGAAACTATAGATCAAAAGAGACTTAAGGGACATATCAACCGTTAGGTTGTATAAATCTAATTTGGATCTTATCTCAGACAAACAATGGTGGAAAAAACAATTGCAGAGCCTCTAGTTTCCACTTACGGATATAAATACTTGGACAGAGCTTTGCCCTCTCCCGTAGAACAGCAACAAAACAACAAGACAAGACAATTGCAAATTCATTACTTTTTTCAAACACATTGGAGAACTGAGGTCTCAAGGCAATCAGTTGGTCCAAAATACAAGGTCAGACAGATATCTTCAAGGAGAGCGGAGATGTGACTACTAGCTTACCTGGGGTAGATGGAACTGGATGGACACTGGGGAAAAGCGGTCAGCTAGAATAGTCAACATAATACTAGCAAATCAAATCTAGCACTATATAAAAAGGATCATATATCACGGTATTAGTCCCTTCTCAGGCTGCTAATGAAGATATACTCAAGCCTGGGTAATTTATAAAGGAAAGAAGTTTAATTGACTCATGGTTCTGCATGGTTGAGAAGGCCTCAGGAAACTTAAAATCATAGCAGAAGTGGAAGCAATCATGTCCTTCTTCACATGGTGGCAGCAAGAAGTGCAGAGTGAAGGAGGGGGGAAAGCCCCTCAAAAAACCATCAGATCTCGTGAGAACTCACTCACTATCACAAGAACAGCGGTATGGGGGTAACAACCCCCATGATTTAATTACCTCCCACCGGGTCCCTCCAAATGACACATAGGGATTATGGGAACTACAATTCAAGATGAGATTTGGGTAGAGACACAGCCAAACATATCAATCACAATCAAGTGGGATTTATCCCAGGGATACTGATTCAACATTTGAAAGTCATTCAATACAATTCACAATGTGAACATTAAAAAAAAAGAAGAAATATCATATGTAGTCATGAAAGACTGAATGCTGTCCCATTAAGCTCAAGAAAAGGATGTCCTCTCTTATCAGTCCTGTTCAGCATCATACTGGATGTATCATACTGGATGCATCCCAGTCAATGTAATAAACTAAAAAAAGGAAATAAGAGCCTCACAGATTATTATTACATTATATGTGTTAATAAAAAACTTCCCTATTTCCACCTATGCAAAGGGTACATATGAATTCTTTGTACTATTTTTGCAACTTTTCTAAAAGTCTAAATTTACTCCAAAATAAAACGTTTCGTTTTTAATTAACAAAATAGAGGTAATGATAACATCTTGAGTCCCTGGCCTCCCCTATTACCACCTAGCTTCTGTCTATACCATAAACTAACCTACTGCATGAGTCTATCATTTGTTAGACCATCTTGGCCACTGTTTAGTTTCCTGTTGCTGCTGTACCGTGTTACCACAAACTTAGTGGCTTAAAACAACATAAGTGTATTGTCTTGTGACTCTGAAGGTAAGTCCAAAAGTCTTACTGAGCTAAAATCCAGGTGTCGGCAGAGATGAGCCTCCCTTTCTGGGGGCACTAGGGGAGAGCCTGCTTCCTTGCCTTTTCCACCTTCTAGAGGCTGCCTGCATTCTTTGGCTCATGGCCCCCTCCTCCATCTTTGAAGCCAGCAGCGTAGCATCTTCAAATATTTCTCTGACTCTGACTTTCTCTTCTGCCTCCCTCTTCTACTTTAAAAAACACTTATGATTAAATTAGCCCCACAAGGAAAATCCCCCTCTAAGGTCAGCTGACAGGCAACCTTAATTCCATCTGCAACCTAATCCTTCTTTGTCATATAGCCCAACGCACTCACAGCTTCCCAGGATTAGGATGTGGACAACTTTGGGAAACATTATTCTGCCTATCACAGCTACCCTTTGCCAGGAATGCCTGGAACGTGTGCCTCTACCCAAGCCCTCTGGCTAATCAGGTCCCTAAGTCATAAATTCCAGAAACTTGATACTAACTAGTTGGAAATGTTATGGTAATTGCCTCAATTGTGACTTCTTCAGCTCACCCATTCCCAATAAGCTTATTGACTTTATTTATTTATGTTTTTGTTTGTCTGCTTGTTTAATGTATAACCTTTCTATCTTTGACTGCTGTTATCATTGTCTGGCTAAGCCTATAAATTCGAAGGCTGATGCAGACAAGTAAAATAAATGTCGCTGAAAAGAAAACTCATCTTAATGTTTATCTTAAAATATCTTTGTTGAAATGCAATCATATTTCTTCTTGTTTTCACTTTGGCAGTAACAGAAAATAACTAGTCAATATTCACCATATAGAAACCTTTTAAATTTACTCTTTCTAATGCCAAAAATGCCCATCAATATTTCAACCAACCAGCCAATCCAGGATAAACACAAATCCAGGATACAACGTCAGCTTCAAGATGTCTTTTTGTTTGTTTGTTTGTTTTTGTTTTGTTTTGTTTTGAGACAGAGTCTGGCATGATCTCAGCTCACTGTAACCTCCACCTCCCAGGTACAAGTGATTCTCCCGCCTCAGCCTCCGGGTAGCTGGAATTACAGATGCCCGCCACCATGCCCGGCTAATTTATGTACTTTTAGTAGCGACGGGGTTTTGCCATGTTACCCAGGCTGGTCTTGAACTCCTGACCTAAGGTGATCCATCCGCCTTGGCCTCCCAAAATGCTGGGATTACAGGTGCGAGCCACCGTGCGTGGCCTCAAGATGGCTTTTGAAATGATGGAGTGACATAGACAAGCCCTAAGATAAACAGCCACCCACAAAGGTGACCTATGTGATAACTCCAACTTTTCCCCCTTAGTCAACATTCATCCTGGCCTATTTCCTGAAGTTCTCATAGATCTGACTCAAATCCTTCATGAGTCTCCTATATAAGTTCAACTTGGATCTGCAGCTTTTTCTTCTCCAACTGGCAAAATTTCAATCATCTTTCAAGACTTCCCATATAATGCTTTTCTCTCCCCCAGGAACAATTAGTCAGCCTCTTCTCTCTGCTCCTGTGGGATGCTCTGGGAGTTCATACCTCTAACACAACCTTAACTTATGGTGTTATAACTGTCTATATTACTATCAGTTTTTTTATTTCAAGTGTGGTTATTAGTCAATAAATTCCAAGAATGCAGCTACTGTGTTTGTTAAATGAGTCCTCCTGGATTTCTTCCTACCTCTCTGGCTACCTGAAAATTCAAGTAAAGGAGAATTCAATTTCAATTCAATATTGGAATTCCTCCACACTTTTTCCTTGGTTCTTTGATCTTCTCACTGTATATTCGTCTCCCTAGTTGATTTCATTCATTCCATCGGTTTCAAATACTACCTTTATGCAAATTACACTCAAAGTGTATTTCCAGCCCAGAACTCACCAGTGAGATTAAACCCAAGTGTCCATCATATTTTGAATATCTTAAAGGCACCTCAAATACATCATGTTCAAAACACAACTAAGGAACTAGTCATGGGAACTTGTGGGTACCTTCTGATAGGGTTTAGATCTGTGTCCCTGCCCAAATCTCATGTCGAATTGTAATCCCCAATGTTGGAGGTGGGGCCAGGTGGAAGGTGATTGGATCATGGGGACAGATTTCTGTATTGGTGCCGTTTTCATGTTAGTAAATGAGTTATCACAAGACCTAGTTGTTTAAAAGTGGGTGGCACTTCCCCCCCACCTCTTTCTCCTGCTCTGGCTGTGTAAGACTTCCCTACTTCCCCTTCACCTTCCACCATGATTGTAAGTTTACTGAGGCCTCCCCAGAAGCAGAAGGTGTTTGCTTACTGTACAGCCTGCAGAACCATGGGCCAATGAAACCTCTTTTCTTTATAAATTACCCAGTCTTGGGTATTTCTTCATAGCAGTGTGAGAAAAGACTAATACACCTTCCCAGCATCAATTTTTCTGTTTCTTACAGCAGCAGTATCCTAATTTCCTTTAAGGACTTTATTCCTCCAACTCTTGGCCAACCTGGTCTCTGTGAGGTTCCTCCACTCTCACCCACTACTCTGGCCAGGGTGACTCTTGGGCTGTGAGTATATAATCCAATCAAACCAAGCAATTCACAGTGATGCCTTAGCTGGGGCTGCTAGAAAGAGAAGACCTTGCCCTTTCTCTGTACTTGGTGGAGTGAGTAGAGTATATGGTCATCTTGTTTCCATAAGTGGACAAAGGTACCCAAGGGAAACAGAGCAAAGAGATTGATTCCTGTCATATTCTTTGACCACATGCCATGCCTAATGCCAATATAACATTTTTTCCAGTTTAGTCAACTAAATCCCTTTCTGTATAAGCTAATTTGTGTTAGATTTTCTATCACTTGGATCATAAAGAACTTTAACTGATACCCTCTGCTCTACACCTGATCTTCCAGAGTCTCCAATTCAGTAAACTATATCATCATCCATCCAGCTAAGGAAATCAGACACTTAGGAGTCATTTCAAATTCCTCCTTCTCCCTTGCCTTCCATATCCAATCAGTCACCAGGTCCTGTCGATTAGAGGCCCTAAATATTCTCAGATCTGTCTATTTCTTTCCACTTTTATTGTCCCCACTCCATCCCAACTATCTTAATATTTGCCGGGACTACTAATGCCTACTAATTACTCTACCTTCACCTACTCTTGTCTTCCTCCAATTAATTCTCCACACTACAACCAAAATGATCTCTTTGAAGTGCTGAAGTATTAACTTCAGGCCAGTCATGGTGACTCATGCTTGTAATCCCAGCACTTTGGGAGGCCAAGGTGGGCAGATGACCTGAGGTGAGAAGTTTGAGACCAGCCTGGCCAACATAGTGAAACCCTCTCTCTACTAAAAATATGAAGAAAAAGAAACACTAGCTGGGCATGGAGGCACACTCCTGTAGTCTCAGCTACTCTGGAGGCTAAAGCATGAGAATGGCTTGAACTCAGGAGATGGAGGTTTCAGTGAGCTGAGATCATGCTACTGCACTCCAGCCTGGGTGACAGAGTGAGACTCTGTGAAGGAAGGAAGGAAGAAGGGAAGAAAGAAAGAAAGAGAGAGAGAGACAGAGAGAGAGAGGGAAAGAAAGAAAGAAAGAAAGAAAGAAAGAAAGAAAGAAAGAAAGAAAGGAAGGAAGGAAGGAAGAGGGAAGGGGGAAGGGGAAGGGGAAGAGAGAGGGAAGGGAGGGAAGGAAAGGAAGGAAGGGAATGAAGGGAAAAAAGAAAGAAAGAAGGAAAGAGAGAGGAAGGAAGGAAGGAGAGAGAGAGAGAGAAAGAAAGAAAGAAAGAAAGAAAGAAAGAGAAAGAAAGGAAAGAAGGAAAGAAGGAAAGAAGGGAAGGAAGGAAGGAAGGAACAGGGTTCCAAGATGACCAAATAGGAACAGCTCCAGTCTATAGCTCCCAGAGTGAGCGACACAGAAGACGGGTGATTTCTGCATTTCCAACTGAGGTACTGGCTTCATCTCACTGGGGCTCATCAGCCAGTGAGTGCAGCCCACCAAGTGTGAGCCAAAGCAGGGTGAGGCATCGCCTCACCCAGGAAGCGCAAGGAGTCAGGGAATTCCCTTTCCTAGCCAAGGGAAGCGGTGACAGATGGCACCTGGGAAATCAGGTAATTCCCACCCTAATACTACACTTTTCCAACGGTCTTAGCAAATGGCACACCAGGAGATTATATCCCTCGCCTGGCTCAGAGGGCCCCACGCCCATGGAGCCTCGCTCATTGCTAGCACAGCCGTCTGAGATGAAACTGCAAGGCGGCAGCAAGGCTGGGGGAGGGGCACCCACCATTGCTGAGGCTTGAGTAGGTAAACCAAGCAGCCAGGAAGCTTGAACTGGGTAGAGCCCACCACAGCTCAAGGAGGCCTGCCTGCCTCTGTAGACTCCATCTCTGGGGACAGCGCATAGCCAAACAAAAGGCAGCAGAAACCTCTGCAGACTAAAATGTCCCTGTCTGACAGCTTTGAAGAGAGTAGTGGTTCTCCCAGCATCGAGTTTGAGATCTGAGAACAGATAGACTGCCTCCTCAAGTGGGTCCCTGACCCCCGAGTAGCCTAACTGGGAGGCACCCCCCAGTAGGGGCAGACTGACACCTCACATGGCTGGGTACCCCTCTGAGACAAAGCTTCCAGGGGAACGATCAGGCAGCAACATGTGCTGTTCAGCAATATTCGCTGTTCTGCAGCTTCTGCTGCTAATACCCAGGCAAACAGGGTCTGGGGTGGACCTCCAGCAAATTCCAACAGACCTGCAGCTGAGGGTCCTGACTGTTAGAAGGAAAACTAACAAACAGAAAGGACATCCACACCAAAACCCCATCTGTACGTCACCATCATCAAAGACCAAAGGTAGATAAAACCACAAAGATGGGGAAAAAAACAGAGCAGAAAAGCTGAAAATTCTAAAAATCACAGCACCTCCCCCCTCCAAAGGAACGCAGCTCCTCACCAGCAACGGAACAAAGCTGGACGGAGAATAACTTTGACGAGTTGAGAGAAGAAGGCTTCAGACAATCAAACATCTCCAAGCTAAAGGAGGAAGTTCGAACCCAATGCAAAGAAGCTAAAAACCTTGAAAAAAGATTAGACGAATGGCTAACTAGAATAAACAGTGTAGAAAAGTCTTAAATGACCTGATGGCACTGAAAACCATGGCATGAGAACTACGTGACAAATGCACAAGCTTCAGTAGCCAATTCGATCAACTGGAAGAAACGGTATCAGTGATTGAAGATCAAATGAATGAAATGAAGCAAGAAGAGAAGTTTAGAGAAAAAAGGGTAAAAAGAAACGAGCAAAGCCTCCAAGAAATATGGGACTATGTGAAAAGACCAAATCTATGTCTGATTGGTGTACCTGAAAGTGACGGGGAGAATGGAACCAAGTTGGGAAACACTCTGCAGGATATTATCCAGGAGAACTTCCCCAATCTAGCAAGGCAGGCCAACGTTCAAATTCAGGAAATACAGAGAACACCAAAAAGATTCTCCTCGAGAAGAGCAACTCCAAGACACATAATTGTCAGATTCACCAAAGTTGAAATGAAGGAAAAACTGTTAAGCGCAGCCAGAGAGAAAGGTCGGGTTACCCACAAAGGGAAACCCATCAGACTAACAGCTGATCTCTCAGCAGAAACTCTACAAGCCAGAAGAGAGTGGGGGCCAATATTCAACATTCTTAAAGCAAAGAATTTTCAACCCAGAATTTCATATCCAGCCAAACTAAGCTTCATAAGTGAAGGAGAAATAAAATCCTTTACAGACAAGCAAATGCTGACAGATTTTGTCACCACGAGGCCTGCCCTACAAGAGCTCCTGAAGGAAGCGCTAAACACGGAAAGGAACAACCAGTACCAGCCACTGCAAAAACATGACAAATTGTAAAGACCATCAAAGCTAGGAAGAAACTGATCAAGTAACGAGCAAAATAACCAGCTAACATCATAATGACAGGATGAAATTCACACATAACAATATTAACCTTACATGTAAATGGGCTAAATGCTCCCATTAAGAGACACAGACTAGCAAATTGGTTAAAGAGTCAAGATTCATCAGTGTGCTGTATTCAGGAGACCCATTTCATATGCAGAGACACATATAGGCTCCAAATAAAGGGATGGAGGAAGATCTACCAAGCAAATGGAAAACGAAAAAAGGCAGGGGTTGCAATTCTAGTCTCTGATAAAACAGACTTTAAATCAACAAAGATCAAAAGAGACAAGGCCATTACATAATGGTAAAGAGATCAATTCAAGAAGAAGAGCTAACTATCCTAAATATATATGCACCCAATACAGGAGCACCAAGATTCATAAAGCAAGTCCTTAGAGATCTACAAAAAGACGTAGACTCCCACACAATAATAATCGGAGACTTTAACACCCCACTGTCAACATTAGACAGATCAACGAGACAGAAAGTTAACAAGGATACCAAGGTATTGAACTCAGCTCTGCACCAAGCAGACCTAATAGACATCTACAGAACTCTCCACCCCATATCAACAGAATATACATTCTTCTCAGCACCACATCACACTTATTCCAAAACTGACCACATAGTTGGAAGTAAAGCACTCCTCAGCAAATGTAAAACAACAGAAATTATAACCAATTTTCTCTCAGACCACAGTGCAATCAAACTAGAACTCAGGATTGAGAAACTCACTCCGAACTGCTCAGCTACATGGAAACTGAACAACCTGCTCCTGAATGACTACTGGGTACATAACAAAATGAAGGCAGAAATAAAGATGTTCTTTGAAACTAATGAGAATGAAGACACAACATACCAGAATCTCTGGGACACATTTAAAGCAGTATGTAGAGGGAAATTTATAGCATTAAATGCCCACAAGAGAAAGCAGGAAAGATCTAAAATTGACACCCTAACATCACAATTAAAAGAACTAGAGAAGCAAGAGCAAACACATTCAAGAACCAGCAGAAGGCAAGAAATAACTAAGATCAGAGAAGAACGGAAGGAGATAGAGACACAAAAAACCCTTCAAAAAATCAATGAATCCAGGAGCTGGTTTTTTGAAAGGATCAACAAAATTGATAGGCCATTAGCAAGACTAATAAAGAAGAAAAGAGAGAAGAATCAAATAGACGCAATAAAAAATGATAAAGGGGAAATCATCTCTGATCCCACGGAAATACAAACTACCATCAGAGAATACTGTAAACATCTCTACGCAAATAAACTAGAAAATCTAGAAGAAATGGATAAATTCCTGGACACCTCCCAAGACTAAAACAGGAAGAAGTTGAATCCCTGAAAAGACCAATAACAGGCTCTGAAATTGAGGCAATAATTAATAGCCTACCAACCAAAAAACTCCAGGACCAGATGGATTCACAGCCTAATTCTGCCAGAGGTACACGGAGGAGCTGGTACAGTTCCTTCTGAAACTATTCCAATCAATAGAAAAAGAGGGAATCCTCCCTAACTCATTTTATGAGGCCACCATTATCTTGATACCAAAGCCTAACAGAGACACAACAAAAAAAGAGAATTTTAGACCAATATCCCTGATGAACATCAATGCAAAAATCCTCAATAAAATACTGGCAAACTGAATCCAGCAGCACATCAAAAAGCCACTTAACCATGATCAAGTGGGCTTCATCCATGGGATGCAAGGCTGGTTCAACATACACAAATCAATAAACATAATCCAGCATATAAACAGAACCAACGACAAAAACCACATGGTCATCTCAATAGATACAGGAAAGACCTTTGACAAAATTCAATGGCCCTTCATGCTAAAAACTCTCAATAAATTAGGTATTGATGGGACGTATTTCAAAATAATAAGAGCTATTTATGAGAAACCCACAGCCAATACCATACTGAATGGGCAAAAACTGGAAGCATTCCCTTTGAAAACTGGCACAAGACAGGGATGCCCTCTCTCACCACTCCTATTCAACATAGTGTTGGAAGTTCTGGCCAGAGCAATCAGGCAGGAGAAAGAAATAAAGGGTATTCAATTAGGAAAAGAGGAAGTCAAATTGTCCCTGTTTGCACATGACATGATTGTATATTTAGAGAACCCCATTGTCTCAGCCCAAAATCTCCTTAAGCTGATAAGCAACTTCAGCAAAGTCTCAGGATACAAAATCAATGTGCAAAAATCACAAGCATTCTTATACATCAATAACAGACAGAGAGCCAAATCATGAGTGAACTCCCATTCACAATTGCTTCAAAGACAATAAAATACCTAGGAATCCAACTGACAAGGGATGTGAAGGACCTCTTCAAGGAGAACTACAAACCACTGCTCAAGGAAATAAAAGAGGACACAAACAAATGGAAGAACATTCCATGCTCATGGATAGGAAGAATCAATATCGTGAAAATGGCCATACTGCCCAAGGTAATTTACAGATTCAATGCCATCCCCATCAAGCTACCAATGACTTTCTTCACAGAATTGGAAAAAACTACTTTGAAGTTCATATGGAACTAAAAAAGAGCCTGCATTGCCAAGACAATCCTAAGCCAAAAGAACAAAGCTGGAGGCATCACGCTACCTGACTTCAAACTATACTACAAGGCTACAGTAACCAAAACAACATGGTACTGGTACCAAAACAGAGATATAGATCAATGGAACAGAACAGAGCCCTCAGAAATAATACCACACATCTACAACCATCTGATCTTTGACAAACCTGAGAAAAACAAGAAATGGGGAAAGGATTCCCTATTTGATAAATGGTGCTGGGAAAACTGGCTAGCCATATGTAGAAAGCTGAAACTGGATCCCTTCCTTACACCTTATACAAAAATTAATTCAAGACGGATTAAAGACTTACATGTTAGACCTAAAACCATAAAAACCCTAGAAGAAAACCTAGGCATTACCATTCAAGACATAGGCATGGGCAAGGACTTCATGTCTAAAACACCAAAAGCAATGGCAACAAAAGCCAAAATTGACAAATGGAATCTAATTAAACTAAAGAGCTTCTGCACAGCAAAAGAAACTACCATCAGAGTGAACAGGTGACCTACAGATTGGGAGAAAATGTTTGCAATCTACTCATCTGACAAAGGGCTAATATCTAGAATCTACAAAGAACTCAAACAAATTTACAAGAAGAAAACAAATAACCCCATCAAAAAGTGGGCAAAGGATATGAACAGACACTTCTCAAAAGAAGACATTTATGCAGCCAAAAGAAGACACATGAAAAAATGTTCATCAACACTGGCCATCAGAGAAATGCAAATCAAAACCACAATGAGATACCATCTCACACCAGTTAGAATGGCAATCATTAAACAGTCAGGAAACAACAGGTGCTGGAGAGGATGTGGGGAAATAGGAACACTTTTACACTGTTGGTGGGACTGTAAACTAGTTCATCCATTGTGGAAGACAGTGTGGCAATTCCTCAGGGTTCTAGAACTAGAAATACCATTTGATCCAGCCATCCCATTGCTGGGTATATACACAAAGGATTATAAATCATGCTGCTATAAAGGCACATGCACATGTATTTTTATTGCGGCACTATACACAACAGCAAAGACTTGGAACCAATCCAAATGTCCATCAGTGATAGACTGGATTAAGAAATGTGGCACATATACACCACAGAATACTATGCAGCCATAAAAAAGGATGAGTTCATGTCCTTTGTAGGGACATGGATGAAGCTGGAAACCATTATTCTCAGCAAACTATCGCAAGAACAAAAAACCAAACACCGCATGTTCTCACTCATAGGTGAGAACTGAACAACAAGAACACTTGGACACAGGAAGGGGAACATCACACACCAGGGCCTGTTGTGGGGTGGGGGGATGGGGGAGGGAAAGCATTAGGAGATATACCTAATGTAAATGACGAGTTAATGGGTGTAGCACACCAACATGGCACATATATACATAGGTAACAAACTTGCACATTGTGCACATGTATCCTAGCACTTAAAGTGTAATTTAAAAAAAAAGAAATCTTCAAAAAAAAAAAGAAAAAGAAAGAAAGACAGAAGGAAGGAAGGAATGAAGGAAGGGAGGGAGGGAGGAAGGGAGGAAGGGAGGAAGGAAGGAAGGAAGGAAGGAAGGAAGGAAGGAAGGAAGGAAGGAAGGAAGGAAGGAACTTCACCTGTCCAAACATGCAATTATTTTCCATTGCTCTTAAGACAAAGACAAAACTCTTTAACATTGTATCTCTATCTGGCTTACCCCAAAACAGCAGGTCACAAAAGTGTGCCTGCACATAGTTTTATTTGGGACATGACACCAGGGAGCAGGAGTTCATGCATCATGGAAACTGGGTAGAACAGAGAAGGAGGAAATGAAAGAAAGAATAAGTTGATTACCAGTGTGAGCAACTATGACCAATTCTGTGAGGAATTTCTTAGGTACCATGGGGAATGTGTCTCAGAACTGTCCACCAGAGACAAAAGGTAGAAGCATTCACCCACTGCCTTTCATCCACCAATGGTTGAGAGTTGCTCCATGGACACTAACACCCTGGTATGTGTGGGTTGCTCACATATGGCTGCCAGGTCTGCAAAGGCCTAGGCCTGGAACCAGAGAAGCTCCAGGACAAGGTCAGCATAAAGCTGATGGGAGCTGGTGTGGCACTGTTCACCGTAGCCTTGGCTGGAATTAGAGTGGGAGTGATGCGGCGTAGCACAGGTACCTGATGCTGTGCATGATCTGGCCTCTACCTATCTCTCCAGCTTCCCCTCGACCTCTAACTTCATTCAAACCATGCTAGTCTTATAGCTCCTGGACTCCACATGTTCTCACCTACCACCAGGTCTTTGAAGGTGTTTCCTCTGCCTGGAATACTTTTTCCTTCCCTCTTCTTCTGGTTCCCCCTGCTCATTCATCAGAACTCAACTTGAGCAACATTTCCTCTGGGAAGACTTCCCTGACTGTGTCAAATCCACCAATCAGGGGCACTCACAGCTCTGTGTGCTTCTTCTGTGAGACGCATATGAAGGCTGCAATTGCCCACTTGTGTGATCATGTGAGGTCATCCAACTGCTGCTGGACTGTGCGCAACATGAGGAAAACCACAGCATCCCCAGCATTAACATGGTATATCATAGTTGAAAGGATAAACAGATTTATCTTTTTACTCCTGTTAGTGTCTGGAACATCTAGTTGTGCAAATATTTTTAACTTAATTAATCAATCAATAAATGAATCTAATACTTTAAGAAGCAGAAGTGTTACTTTCTGGAGAACTGTATTTAACTTTCACTGAATTTCATTCTATTTCTTAAAATTGTTATAATGAGGCTCTTGTCTTGGAAGCCCTAGAACAGACACTATATCAATTTCCCCTTTTTAAAATGTGTAATAACTGTAAACAGCAACTGTAGTCCCCAAGAAAGAATAGTTGAGATAAAGAAAATAAGAGAAATCATCAATGTAGCTAAGAAAGCTTCACTGTGAAGTAAGACAGGGGTGCTATCTAAAGCAAATTAATATAGGTTATTGACCATAGAAGAATAAAATTTATTGGTATGTGAAAACAAACTCCCCAGAACCACTCTGAACTTTCCCTGTTAGCCAACACCATCAATTATTATTATTAAGTGCCTGCTCAGCTGCTGCTTGGTGGAAGAGGTAGGGAGGTTTGGTAGCTAGGCAACGAGCTGGAAACTCAAAGGGTAGGAGCTGTGATTCTGGCTCCTCCATAAAAGTGATAAGTGGCCTTGAGTAAACTCCCCCTGCCTTGTTTTCTTCATGTGAAAAATAGCATCACCAGTCTGCCTTTTTGCACTGAGGGAAGAAAAACAGAGAATTGCACCCTGCAATTACAGAAAAGTGAGCTTATGGGGGCTGGGAAATGAAGAACACATCAGGGAATCAACTTTTCAGTCAAATCACCACTTTATTACTAAAGGTTTGAGCCTGAGTATTCTGTGCCTCAGTTTATCCATCTGGAATGATTCACAGATAATGGTCATGTCCTGGCTTAAAATACAAGGTAAAGGTATGGCTTTATTTCGGTAGGATCTAGGGGAAAACTTGCATAGAAAAACCTCTCCCACAAAGTGCCCTTGTAATTTCTCAAATACCCCTTGCCCACCTGCTTTGTCCAAGCTCCAACAATACCTTGTTTGTATCCCTATTAAAAGTCTGTATTGTCTTGTGGCTTTTTTGTTTAGACATCTGACTCACTTGTGAACTCCAAGAGCCAGGCCATGCATCCATGTCTGAAGCTTTAGCACTAGTTTCTTATCTAGAGTGAGTGCTCAATAAATCTTCGTTGGAAAAATGAATAAAACAATGAGTGAATGGATGAACAGGAAAGAATGAACCAGCTGACCTCCTCACACATCAACAGCCTTCTCCTCACTTCCTCATGCTGTTCCCACCTTCCTCGAATGATGACACTGTGCTGACTTTGAAGAAAGGCAATCATGAAGAATGACGGAGTCTGGAAAACCAGGAATGGGGGTGGGGTTTCCAGGTGTGGGTGATGGGTAGAGGAGTGAGAGGACAGGAAGCAAAAGCAGAGGTGTGGAGTTTCCTTCAGAGACCACGGAAATCCCACTGGGAGAACAGAAGAGCTGGCATGGAAAATAGAAGTGGGGCAGGCAACAGGAGAGAACTGTGACAGCCTGAGTGGAGTAGGGCAGGACCCTGGAGCCCGTAGATGCACTTGGGTCAGGGTGATGGGGGTGACGGTACACAACTGAGGATAGAAGAATTCAATTCATCTTTTGTTTCCTCTCCTGTTGGTTTTTTACACATAGGATGAAAAAACCTACTTTGGGAAAAAAATAAGCAAGTGGACTCAAAGGTTTACAACAGCACTATTCACAACAGCCAAAAGGCAGAAACAGTACAAATGTCCATCAATGAATGAATGGATAAACAAAATATGGTCTATCTATACAATGGAATATTGTTCAGCCATAAAAAAGGATAAAATACCGATACATGCTATAACATAGATGAACCACAAAAACCTCATGCTGCGTGAAAGAAGCAAGTCACTAAGGGTTACATATTGCATAATTCCATTTAAATGAAAGCTCCAGAATATGTAAGTTCATGGACATAGAAAGCAGGCTAATGAGTTTCCAGGGGTTTGAGTGACAGGGAGTAGGAGTATGATGGAGCATAATGGGTACGAGCTTTCCTTTCTGGGTGACGAAATGTCTCGGAACTAGATAGAGATGGTGGTTATACAATATATGAATGCACTTAATGCCACTGAATTGTACACTTTAAAGTGGTTAATGGTTAATTTTATGTTATGTGAATTTTACTTCAATTAAGAAAAATAAGCTGGGCCAGGTGCAGTGGTTCACGCCTGCAGTCCCAGCACTTTCGGAGGCCAAGGTGATAGAATCACTTGATGCCAGGAGTTTGAGAACAGCCTGGCCAACATGGTGAAACCTCGTCTCTCCAAAAATATACAAAAATGAGCCAGGTGTGGTGGAGCACGCCTGTAATCCCAACTACTCCAGAGGCTGGGGCAGAAGAATCGCTTGAACCTGGAAGGCAGAAGTTGCAGTGAGCGGAGATTATGCCACTGTACTCCAGCCTGGACGACGGAGTGAGATTCTGTCTCAAAAAAAGAAAAAAAAAAAAGAAGAAGCTGGTAGAAAATACCTCCCCTTTGAATGAACCCATTGTTGGAGGCTTCCTCCATTTTATGGAGAGAGAAGCTGCAGTTAAAGCAGAACCAGGGCCTCTCCCAACTTACAGTCAAAATGTCACTGACAGTCCCTGCCTGGCTCTGTCGTAGGAAAGTTATCCCTTGTGACTCCTAGATCTTCCTTAGCTTTCTCCCTCCCTCCCACAGAATGTAAACTCTGGGAGGTCAGAAATTGGGTCTATCCTGCTCAGCTGCCATTTCCCAGCACCTAGCATGGTGCCTGATGTGGTGTATGACTACTGTGCCCTCTGATCCATTCTCCACACTGTAATAGGTGATCTCTTCAAAGAGAGAATTTTCTTGGGTCCCCTTCCTTCCATTTTCAACCCTAATGGCTTCACTGGCTCTAGAATGAAGACCAACGTTTTGCCCTGAGCCATAAGCTAAGCGTAATCTGGCTCATGCCCAGCTCACCTTGAATCTGCCCACCTCTATGACCCAGGCCCGTGACCTACTTTCAGCGAAGGTCACCACACTTCCTCCAGTGATGCAGCCTTTCCATGTGCTACCCCTCTGTCTCCCTTCACTTCAGCCTAATTAACTCTTACTCATCCTTCATTTCTGTGCCAAAGACTGTCCCCTCTGCCCACCAGCATCCATTCTTATCTTCCTTTTAAATAGAACTCCCACGCACCTAGCTATCACCACTAACAACATCTTCTGGCCTACTTTGTAGCTAGGTGTGGTCATGTGACTAAATTCTGGCCAAGAAACAATGATGTGTACAGCTGCCAAGTCACCTCTTGAAAGCCATTTCTTTCTCCCCTCCTTCTGGCTCAAAATGATATCCACAGAGGTAGGATTGGAAGCCAGATGTTGAAGATGGCAGAGCTGCCTACCAACCCTGAACTGCTCACCTCTGTCATATAAAAGAGAAAGAAATTTACATCTTATTGAAGCCATGACAATGTAGCATCTTTGTGACAGAGCTTAGCTTGTATCATAACTAATCTATACCTTACCTCAACCGAATCATATCAAAGCCTTTCCCTGTCCAGTGTAATCAGTCTGATCAGTCTGACTCTTCCTATTATGTGTTCTCAAGCCACCATAGACCTCTTATTTCTATCACTGTGTGTGTGGGGAGAGGAGGGGAGAAAGAGAGACAGAGACAGAGAAAATTTTTAACTCCTGCCCCTCTCCTCTAGATTATAAGTCCCCCAAAGGCAGAGGTCACATCTACCTAATTGACCGTGCCAATCCCAGCACACAAGCCCCAGGCCGCGTCTGGCACACAGTAGGTGTTCTATTACGCTTAATTCATTAAATATTTAAACAATACCATCTCTGTAAATAGGAAGAAGATGATATACATTCTTAAGTAAAGCCCATAACTAGTGCTGAAAGGAAAAAATTCCACTGAATAACTTTGGAGAAAGTGGCCTTGCTTCATCTGTGCTCTTGGTGAAGATAAGTCCTTGCTAGGTCATAAATAGCCATGAAATGAGATTGCACTTTGACTGATTCCCTTTTATTATTTTTACTATTATTTAGAACCATCCCAAATAATACAGTTACAGCCCAGCAGCGTCCTTCCCTTCAAATATAACTGTCATTCCTGTAGGGTAAGTTTCAGAAATGTTTATATATTATCAAAATTAAGTTTCAAAATGAGCTACAGTATCTGGGAAAGGGGGATAATAATATTTCACAGAAACTAATTGGAAACTTGTTTTGAAATAAAGTAGTTATTATTTCCATCATGGAGAGATGAAAGCAGAGAGATTTTCTTTTATCTCACCCAGGCTAGTATCTTACATTATTTATTCAAACTAAAATTAAAACCTGGACAAATCCTACTGCGGCATTGCATACCAGTTAGAGATTATTCTTCTGGAAATGAACTTTTTTCACAAATTTCATTATGAAGTTCCAAACGACTATTATTAAAGTGTAACATATAAAACTAAATTGTCTTTCCTTTTTCTGGCCATGTGCAAGATTCACTTTCCTATGCAGTATGATTCTTTTCTTCTGAACTTGGCAGCATGTTGTCTACTGGCCACGGCCCAAGCATCCAGAGAATCACACAAAACCTGCTCCACCGTCCCGCTGACCTCCCTGCCGACAGGCTTGCTGGGTTCTCCACCAAAGTCCTGGGGACCCCCTCAATGCCATTGTATTGCCCCACCCCTTGCATCCCAAGGAACAAACATCAAGAAATGTTCACCTGGTGACTTTGTCAAGACTTGAACTTTTTTCTACAGACTCAAACTCATGCAAACTCACTACCTGCAAAAAGTGCCTGGAGTGTAGTGTTAACCTACTTTCAGATTTCTGAATCCTTAACTCTGAAGCTCTTTCTCACCTATCCCCCAGGCTTTCCCACATCCTGCTCACTTGGCCTGGAATGTTCTTCCTTGTTCCTTGATTGCCTAACTCCAACTTGTCCTTCAGCTCTCAGCTTCGACGTAATTTCCTCCAGAAATATTCCCCTAACCTCACTCCCAGCTACTGGGTCAGGTATGGCCTATGTGTTGCCATGATACCCTGTACCACTTAGCACTTGCAACTTTTTATTTATTATTATTATTACTATTATTATTATTATTATTACTATTATTATTATTACTATTAATCTTAGAGATGGTCTCTCACTCTGTTGCCCAGGCTGGAGTTCAGTGATGTAATCATAGCTCACTGCAGCCTCAAATCCCTGGGCTTAAGCAATCTTCTGGCCTCAGCCTCCCAGGTTGCTGGGACTACAGGCCCTCGCTATCATACCCAGCTAATTTTTTATGTTATGTATTTATTTTTTGTACAGACAATGTCTTGCTCTGTTGCCCAGGCTGGTCTCAAATTCCTGGCCTCGAGTGATCCTCCTTCCTCAGCCTCCTAAGGCACTAACATTACAAGCATGAGCCACTGCACCTGGCCTACAACTTTTTAATTTGCTCCACCTCCTTCTGAATTGTAAGCCCCAGGAGGGCGGGAGTTAGGTTGTCTTGCCCCCCGCCCCCACTCTATCTTCAATACCCAGCACAGTGATGGGCACAAAGCAATTGATCAATACATGTTTCATTCATTTTTGATTTAGATTCAACTCTGATATCTGGCCCCTGGAAAAAACAATCCCTAATCTGCATCCCAAAGAATACTATCTTCAGGCTTTCCTGGCATTAACTCTGTGGCTCACCACCAGAGTTCTCTCTGGTTCTTCATCTTGAGAACTAATGTCTCCTCTGCTCATTTCCTTCTACCCTTGGAAGGTCCTGCCTAGTGCATCCAGGGTCTTCTCTTCTGGTCAATTAGTTTGAATTATGCTCATTAACTAGTTATTAAATCTGGCCCTATTTTTTGGGTCATTTGCATCGATATGCCATCTCCTGTACATCCAGGCCATCGTTTATCTTTCCACCCTCCAGTCTACTCTAGTTCTCTCTGGCTTAAAAAGGATTTAAGCCTGGTTTATACTCCTTAAGAGGAGACAAAGGATGTCTCTAGCTACTGGATGGTTGTTGCACAGACAAAACTTTAGACATTTCCTACCTTCGTTTCTTTCCATCTATATGACCTCTGCTCTTGATCCTGCTCAAACTTTCTCTTTTCCCCAAGCCAATGAGATTCCTCCATCTTCCAAGTAATAAAAAAGCCTCACACTCTATCCACAGAAAGAAAGTCATTTTCCAATCAGCTCTGTTTAGCTTTTGCCTCTGCCTGCATGCTGCCAGCAGCTCCTTTTTCATCACAGCTTCCTAGATTTATGTTTTGTTTGTTTGTCTGTCTGTTTGCTTAACTATGATGAAAGGTGGAAAAAGGGCAGGTTTTCCCAGAGGGAAGTCAATCAGATCCTTTTTTCACAGGTTGCCTAAAGACTGTCAGATCAATTAAACAATTCATCTCTCAGATGTATTCAGCTGAAGAATTTGTCCCTGGGTATTTGTACTAGAACATATTGAAACCAAGTCAAAACATCATATTATCTAACAGGAAATTCTTCTGACGTATATGGTAAAAGGGAATTGAAAGCATTGTTTCCAAATCAACCCCCAAGACATAAATTTGGCCAAACATTAGTCCAGCATGGTGCAATGAACTCCTCTCATGATTTTACACTTTGCTTTACTTTCTTTCCAATAGAACTCTGTGTGTTTTGGGTAAACACACGAAGAAGTGACATGAAACAGAAGTTGGAATCATTATGGTTAACCTGAGCATGTTGGAAACCAAGGATCAGCAGAATGTTATTATACACAACCCATAAATTGGAGTGAATGGTAAAACTAGAACAAGCATGAACTACTTACATTGCAAAATAGGCAGCAAAGTCTGGACAAAGACACCAACAATTTCCAAATAACCAATAGCTGATTGATGGTTAATATCTATGACACTAAAAATCCATATTTTCCTCTCCAGAGCATGGCCTCAGTGATGTTTGATTTTGATTGACTCATAGGGATAAATTGTTCAACTGGTCCAGACTGTCTTGGTTCACATCTTGGTTACATGTAAAGAAAGGAGCTAATGACTATCGCTTACCTTCACTCTTCTTGTTTGCACCATTTGAGGTACGAGCAGATCAATAAATAATAGCTCTCTCTTCCCTTCTCAAGTTAAGAACCTATCGAGAAACAAGACACAGAAGACAGACACATAGAGATCAAAATATCAGCTTTATTATTATAACTGATAAGACTAAGAGAATTTCGCTGGAGAATTGAGAACAAATGGACTTGCTAATACTCCTTAATTAGTCACATTTACCCACCAGTCCAAGGCATCCCTCCAGTACTCTAGGGCCCTCCCTACACAGGCTGTGGCTGCTTCTGTAAGTTTCTGACATATGTCAGTGTCCTGGAAATAGGAGAGGTCCAAGAAAGACAGTTAAGCAGATTTACTTCCTTCTTCAATCAAAGGCCAGGAGGGTCGGGCACCATGGCTCATGTCTGTAATCCCAACACTTTGGGAAGCCAAGGTGGGCAGATCACCTGAGGTCAGGAGTTCAAGACAAGCCTGGCCAACATGGTGAAACCCGATCTCTACTAAAAATACAAAATTAGCCAGGCATGGTGGCGCATGCCTGTATTCCCAGCTGGTGTGTGCCTGTATTCGCAGCTGGTGTGTGCCTGTAGTCCCAGCTACTCGAGAAGCTGAGGCAGGAGAATGGCTTGAACCCAGGAGGCAGAGGTTGCAGTGAGCTGAGATTGTGCCACTGCACTCCAGCCTGGGCGACAGAGGAAAACTCAGTCTCAAACAAACAAACAACACCAAAAACAAACAAACAAACAAAGAAGGCCAGGAATGTGACGATGGCTGTTACACCAAAGGCAATTCACTACGAAAACGTAAGTACACAGGCACTCCATACAGCAACCAATTAAATTCTATCAAATGTCCCACCAACAGCTATCATATGGTCCAAAGGTCGATAAGCTGAGGATTCCCTAAGTGATTCAAATTTACCTTGTAATACAGATATGAAACAAAATTTTAGGATTCCCATGAGGTTTTATAGATTTGTTTGGCCTTATGTGGGACAAAGGTAAGTTTTTCCTTAAGCACTCGAACTAAGCCAGAACGCTTGAAAATGGGTATGTTGCTTATTTGGGTTCTCTGATTAAGAAGACAATTCTTTCATCTATGCCTTCCAGAGCCCCCCAGACAAGCTCAGATCTATTTATGGCTTCTATTAGTTAGAGCAAGAATATTGTAAAGTCTCTGTTCTGTTTCAAACCAGACTTGGCTGAGAGCCTTTGTAAAATGCATCCATTCACTTTGCTCCCGCCATGAGTACATTAAATGCAATTTCATATTTCTTTGATGATTTATGCTCTTTGAGAGCCTCACATCATCATTTACATCAATGCTCACTGTTTGGGCCTAAATACACAGAGATAGAATATACAAACAATTGGATTAAGTGTGTCCTAACCATAAGACAAACTGTGGCTGACCAGGAAGACCTCTGAAATATACATATGAAAGATGATAGGAATACATTAAAAAATGATGATGGTGGTGGTGATTAGCACTTACTATGTGCCAGACACTCTTCTAAGCCCTTTATGTACATTCAATCATTTACTTTTAAATTTTTTTTTTTTTTTTTTTTTTTTGGAGTCAGAGTCTCCTTTTGTCATCCGGGCTAGAGTGCAGTGGCACGATCTCGGCTCACTGCAACCTCTGCCTCCCGGGTTCAAATGATTCTTATGTCTCAGCCTCCTGACTAGCTGGGACTACAGGCGCACGGCACCAAACTTGGCTAATTTTTGTATTTTTACTACAGACCGCATTTCGCCATGTTGGCCAGGCTGGCCTTGAGCTACTGACCTCAGGTGATCCACCTGCCTCAGCCTCCCAGAGTGCTGGGATTACAGGTGTGAGCAATCGTGCCTGGCCTCAAGTCCTTAAGTATTATTACCTCCATTTTATAGATAAGGCCAACTCAGGTTCATGGAAGTGAACTAACTTGCCCATGCTATAGGAAGTGAACCGCCAGGATTTGACCATGGATGGTGTGGTTATAGAGCCTTCATGTAAAGCCACAAACTGAAGCAAGGGAAAATATGTATTGAACTGAATCAACAAGATGGGAGAATTCATCCCTCAGTAAGTTGAAGTGAAATATGCTTAAGCCTTCATCCGCAAACTCAGAAACATACGCATGCACACACACACAAACACACATCCCTCTTATCAGCTACAATCAAAGTAAAAAGATAAACCTAAAAATCACAGACTCACTGCTTGGGGCAGAAGATATAACATTAACAAATAACAAAGAGAAAGTCATATATCTCCACTCCTGTTGTATTTCCACCTTCTTTATCAGGGACAATGATCTTTAAACCCAGGAGAGTTGAATAAATGTAGTTTAGAAGGAACTGAAGTATGAGATAGGTAAGGTGATAGCAGGAGACCATCTTGTTGTTTTAAATGAGTTTTTGTCTCCAGGCCTAAACAAATTACGTCCTGGAGTATGAAGAGCCTTTGCAGATGAAATCTAAGAGTCACTGTCAGTAATCTTTACAGGGTCGTAGAGAGTTGAAAAGGTGCTGGGGCAAGGTATTAGAGACATGTACTAGAGACGTGTAGAGCTAGGAAATTAGTATTCTAATTTTTCAAAATGAGGTGGAGGAAAGTGTATTCTGTGACCTACAGATCTGCACGCTTGATTTTGAAACAGGGTATGACTAGATGGTGTGTCAGCCCTTAAAAAGGAAGTGGTGATCACGAGGAACCAGGATGTATTCACTAAAGAAAAGTAACAGATTCTACATGCCTTCCTGTGTGTGTAGCTTTAAGGACTGGTGACAGTGAGGATGTCATGTGTACAGTAAGTGGTGGGAGAGCAACCTTGATGGGGCTCCCATCACCCCAAGGGCCACAAGGGTTGATTCATTCGATCTGGCTGGGTGATGGGTCCCCTCCTTTACTTTATGTTCCATGAAGTTGCACACTTGCTCAAGGAGAAACACCAGAGAGAGAAAGGCCGTCACATGGGCAAGGGAATACAAACCCTGTGCCTCCCCAGAATCCCCAGACAAGCTCAGATCCATCTGTGGTTTAGACTAGTTAGGGTAAGCATATTTACAAAGCCTCTTACTATTCTTGGAGATCTGATGGATAAGACAGTGCTTTTAAGAGAACAAATACCTGGTTGACCATTCATACCAAAAAAGCTTACATTTATGAATCAATGTCCTTCTGATTAGAACACTTTTCCTTCAGAGAGTTGCGCAGCTCATGGCCCCCCTCCATTAGGAGTCTACCTCAGTTTCACCTCCTTAAAGAGATCTTTAACCGTATGATATAAGATAGCATTTGCCCTCTAAATACACTGAATACCTTGTTTTCTTTTTCTGTATGGTTCATGTCATTATCTGACATCATATTATATATTCTAGCTCTTCTCACTATCTGACATTGTATTATATACAATATTATATATATTATGTATATATGTACATATACACATAATTTGTCTCTCTCCTGCTCTTGCAGAACCAACAAATTCTGTGTGAATTATGTCCCTGTGTTATTCAGTAGCCCTGGCCTTTTGAATGTGAACTCCATGAGGCCAGGGACTTTGCTGTCTTTTTTACCACTGAGTTCCTAGTCACTAGAAGAGTACTAAAACATAGATGTGCTCAATAAATATTTTTTGCTCAATAACATTTGTCAATTTGTGAATGTCAACCTGGAGAATGGTCTCTAGTGGCTACAGTGTTCTGTCCTTGGCCTTATCCAAAATATTAACTCTGACAGAAAAGAAGAAAGATAACAAGAAAATTGATTCTGATTCCCAGTCAAGAAAACATTTATCTTTATTATTGTTATTACTATCATCACCATTACCTACCATGTGATAGGCACTGTATTCTGCTCTAACACTATTGGAGATGCTCACAACAAAACTAAGAGGTAGAAATTATCATCTTCACTTTGAGATGAGCAAAACTGGGTTCAGGGAGTTTAAATAAGTGGCTAACATCAGACAGCAGTTACGTGATGAAGCTGGGATTAAAATTCGAGATCTGTCTCACTAAAAATTGTGTCCTTTTTTTTACAAGATGATGATAACACTTATAAAAACATGAGAAACCTACCTTAATTTGCAGCTGACTGGAAAAACTAGTACATCAGATGAAAAAAAATCAAGATTTTATGAGAGTCTGAGATTTGAATGGCAGGCCAGAATTCAAAAATATATATATATTAGGTATGAAGATGAAGTTCCATATACCAATTCTAAGCATCATATGCACGGATTGGGGGGAAGGGGGGAGAAGGGGGTGACGATAGTCATTTATTTGAAATAGACCAAGAGGCATCAATTGACCACAAGATTAGTCTAAACCAATAGTAATATGTGGCTGTAAAATGAACTAAAACAATCTTAAACTGCATTATCATGAATTTTTTTAAGGGAAGAGGGTTCCAGTTTTATTCTACAAAAGCTAGACCAGGAAAATGAAAGTTAAAATAGTGTTAAGACCCCTGGAATGGTGAAAATCTCATTATGAATGACATGATTAAAGGGCTTGGTAAACCTTGGCCTGGGAGAGAGAAGACTCAGAGATATGAAGATATCTATCTTCATATCTGAAGAACTGTCAAAAAAAATAAGAAAACATTCTCTGTTGTTCCTGATGAGTGAGACTATAGGAAAGAGGTTTGATTAAAAATACAAAGCTTACTAATAATTAGATGCCTTCCCCGGTATAAGTGAGTTTCCAATCTATTAGGGGAGATATTCAAGCAGAGGCTGTGTCACAATCTGGGCTGGAAACTCTAGTATCTACCCAAAGGGGTAGAAGATTAGGTTGATTTTAGGGGTTTGTTTTTTCAGTTCTATCTCCTACATGTGGTGACCTTAGTTTCTGAACCCCAAACCAAGACCTATGATCCTATAAAAGACTTTTTGTGTTGCTTCCAGATTTGAAAGACAGTCTAGCAGGTACAACCACCAAAATATCGTCGTTTCTAGGAGTTATCAGTGATGAAATAATGGGGAAAATATATGAAATTGGAACTTTCCAGGAAAGAGGAAGAAGTGAAATCACACTACAGCAGGCATTTACTTCTCTTTGAATACTCATGTTTCAACCAAGAAGGCAGAAACTCTGGGTAAAATTTCCTTTTTTTTTTTTTTCTTGCACAGCAAGTTTTCTGGAACTAATACTTCTTCCTCCAAAGGCTGAGTGCCAAAATATAATTACAAATATAATTATAATCTAGCTCATTCACATTAAGAAAGTCAAGAAGTCATTGGAAAAGCTTCTTGGAGCATCATCAAGATTTCCAGGCCCTACCACAGGAGCCATGCTAGCCCTTCCTTCATGACTTTGCTTCCACCTTTGTGCACACAGCAGATGTTCTAGTCTGCAGCTCATCAAGAGGCCAAACTATCCTTGTTCCTCCACCCTGGACCAGAGTGACTCCCCACCAACTCCCTATTTTGGGTTCTTGTACTAAGAGGTGAGGGGCCAAAGACTCCCCCTTGGCCAAATCTGGACTCTACTTCACCAGTAAGGAACTATTCAGACTGATTAAGATATTGTAATTCTGGATATCATGCATTGGGCTGGTATCAGCTGTTCCCTATTAGACTTAGACACAATGTTCTTTTCAATAGACTACTTTGTTTCACACTGACAGTCATTTTTCACCCCGCAGAATTTCAAAGCCAAGAATCCTGTATTACAATGTAAACAAACAAAATTAGACTCAAAATTGCCTTTTCTGATTTTGATATATTAATCAACTCTTCAGGAAAGCTTCTAAACATTTTCAATTACATCAAAACAGGCTGGCAACATTTTCCAACTTTAAAAAAAAATCAGGCTTAGTTAAAGGTTTGTTTTCTATTCCATTGATACTCTATACTACATATTTGCAACTGTTTCTGTTTTAGTACACATTGATTAATAGCATTAGTCCTCAAATCCCAGCATGTTCACACACACGCAAAAAAGTATTTCCATCTGTAATCTTCATTAAGGCAAGAGAAATCTATCAATTTTGGCATGCTTGCTGCTTCTTTCAGCTGCAGTCTTGAGTCCTTGCAAATGTCTGAGACTATGAGCCTCACAGCTGCCATTAAATGCTAATTGTAGGGCAGGTGTGCACTCTAGAAATGGAGGCCAAAAAGAATGGAGCAAAAGAGCCAAAGAGAAAGAGAAGTCTTGACACCTGAAAGATGCAGCTCCCTCTGTGCTTTACACCTTACTTGACTGGGCAGGAAAACTGGCATTTGAACTAACAATGAAAATATGCTAAACAACCAAACAAGAAGCAGGTATGATCCACAAGGGATGTAAAAAAAGAAAGGGTATACTGGACAATTATGTGCTTAATAGATTAGATGACGACAGCAGCTAAAGCGCTTAAATTACATCTATTGTTACCTTCTTTAAGAAGTGGAAATCATAGGAATAATGCTACCAAGACAACTGAAATATTTTCACATCCTTCCCTAAATGTATTCCTTAAGAAAAAAGTTTACGACTGCTCCTGCTGCTACTTGCTGAAGTTTTTCGTAACCTTTAAAGAACTGTCTCATCTACAAGTTAAAACTGGCTAGTTATCAGGATTTACTGAATCCCTGCAGTTTGCAATATGCGTTCTGTGCAAGAATACAAAAAGAATTAGAATACAAATCTGCCTCCTCAAAAGGGGTTACAATCTGTAGTAGAAACTGGATTTGGAAAAATGCTTGCAAAACATGTAAAAATACTCAAGTGTGAAAAATAACATGATCTATTATATAATTAAATGGGGTTGTGTGTGCCACTACATTGGGAATTTCACCTCCTTTATTAAAATGAAATGCAGAATTTTCAGCACTTGAAGGAGCTTCTCCAAGAGGATACAGGGGCTGGCCATTTCAGCACAGCTCCACTCTGTGGAATTTCTCTGTCTCTCTCTCTACCCCACCCCCAATGCCCTCAGACACACACACACACACACACACACACACACACACCCCACTTTCCTTGGCAGTCCTTAACATAAATGAGATAGACAAAAATTTTCAAAATTATTTTATTATTTCACTTTGTGCAAGATGCGTAAAAGCAGTCAAGCTTATACAGTCCAGCACAATAGCTACATAAACCCCCTGACCCCCAAGATTCTTATACAATAAGAATATCCCCATCCTTATTCCCCCAAAAGAGTTAGTGATTTAAGACTAATCTGAGACTGCTGGCATTAGTGCTAGTTCTACGATATTACAAAATTAGGAATCTATCTCTCATCTTCAGCAGAAAGTGTTCTTTAATTCTTAATATCATGATAAGGAAGAAATTTCAGAATGTCAAAAGATAGAGACTCATAAAAGGACCTCACATGTTTCTTATTTCCTGTCAAATGCAATGCAAAACAATATCTCAGTATTATTCTACTGCTTCCAGTATTTTTGCCTAAAGATGGGAATTTCTAATCATGTAAACCTGGTATTGCTCAGTTAGGGAGTGAAATGGAGTTTGGAAAAAAGTTTCACCCCTACCGGTAAGTTTCTATGAGGACTGAGTTGGAAGGGGGTTTCCCAGCATGTAAAACCAAGACTCCTGAGAAAGTTTTACATTTCTATCAGCAGAAATTGAAAACCCACAGTGACATTGACACCCAGTCACACCTTTGTTCTGCCTTATATTGGACAGGAAGGAGTGAGTTTCTCACCAATCTCTCTCCAGACATACCTACTAAAAAGTGCTAGCAGGCAGAGGTATTCTAAATAAACAGGCTTTAAGCATAAGCAGATATACATCTTAAGCTTTATTAGATATTTCTTATTTTCTTCATCAGTGTAGATATAAAGCAGGCTGTCTATTAAAAAAAGGCTTAGGAGTTTGGTTCTTTGATTAAGAAAAATAATCATGGTCTGTTAGTCTATTTATTACCAAGAGAAGAAGAATTTGCTATATGGCAATGTTAAGGATTGCGGCCCCACCTGGAGACCTTCCTAAGGGTCTCTCTTAACAGGTCCCATCTGTTCAGTTCACTTCCAATTTGCTTTGCCTAAAGTGCTGACAGAAAGACTGACAGAAATACCTGACTTCACAGTGCCGCCTTTAAATGAAACCCCATTCCCTACATTCATGGTTTGGTCCTTGGTGGGTCAGAAGATAAATCTCTAGATGAAACCACAACATTTAAAGAAGAGTTACTCACATAGTGAATGGGGATACTATTCTGTCAGTAACTGTATTAGTCTTTTCTCAAATCACTATAAAGAAACACCTGAAACTAAATAATTCACAAAGAAAAGAAGTTTCATTGGCTCACAGTTAAGCAGGCTATACCAGAAGCATGGCTGGGGAGGCCTCAGGAAACTTACAATCATGACAAAGATGAAGGGAAAGCAAATACATCTTATATGGTTGGAGCAGAAGGAAGAGAGACAGGAGGGAGGTGCTACACTCTTTTAAATGATCAAATCTCATGATAACTCTCTCACTATCATGAGAACAGCACCAAAGGGGAAATCTGCCCCAACGATCCAATCACCTCCCACCAGGCTCCACTTCCAACTCTGGGAATTATAATTTGACATGAGATTTGGGCAGGGACACAGACCCAAACCATATCAGTAACTATACATGGTACGGACAGGTAAAATAATAGTAGCCAAAATGCAGTGACTTATTCAGGAATGAAAGGAAGGATGATTTTCTAAAGGCGGTAAGACCTCCCTACAGACTTGGTCATTATGTAATTGCACTTATTTTTAAAAGGCTCCCATAAACTGTAACCCTGGTGATTTACATGAATCAATTAACATCTATGTATAGTAATCATTCATCCAGCTGAAAAAATATATTATATATATGTCAAATTATTTCTTTGTTTCATTTAACACAACACCAATCTCAATTCACGTATGTTCACTCTTCTTCTTCTTCTTCTTTTTTTTTTTGGAGACAGAGTCTCGCTCTGTCACCCAGGCTGGAGTGCAGTGGTGCGATCTCGGCTCACTGCAAGCTCTGCCCCCCGGGTTCACACCATTCTCCTGCCTCAGCCTCCCGATTAGCTGGGACTACAGGCGCCTGCCACCACACCTGGCTAATTTTTTGTATTTTTAGTAGACACAGGATTTCACCGTGTTAGCCAGGATAGTCTTGATCTCCTGACCTGGTGATCTGCCCGCCTTGGCCTCCTAAACTGCTGGGATTACAGGCGTGAGCCACCGCACCCAGCCCTGTTCACTCTTCTTAATCCACAGCTGCTATTCCATGATTCTGTACTCATCACCTTTAAAAAAAGAGAAAACTTAATTTTAAGAAATCTAAATTAAGCATTCATGTTAGAAAAACAGTACGTCAGCTCAAAGGAGATGGTTGTGTTAATGTAACAAAAGGTTTACCTCATTCCTTGTGCTCACTGAGGTAACCCTCATTCAAGTTGATACCCTTAAGTGAGCTGTGCTAAAAAATGATTGTATCCAAGGAGCTTAGTAGGGGCAAAGGAAACTGCAACACAAAAGGAATCCTACGAGATTAATTTTATTATTTAATATTTATAAGATTGTACCTAAAATGCTAACTCAAGAATAAAGAAATGTCACCGGTTAACATAAGTTTAAATATTTACAAATATTGAAATAGTGGGAACTGTCAAGTGAAAACACAAGAGACAAGGGCGATGTTATGCCTGATCCTATCAGCATCACCAGCTAATTCTGACAACTATGATCAAAGAACAAAGAAAACCCAGAATTATAATGAAGTGATTTTACATGGTTTTGGTTAGTGTGTTTTCTGTTGGAAATAAAAGAAGACAAACTAGAATTAGCTTAAATAATGACTTTTATGATATCACAAAGCAGGAAGTCCAGAGCTAGAGTGGCTCCATGGTGAGTTCACTTGGTAATTCACTGATGTCAAAAGAAACCTTCTTTACAACTTACTACTCTTCCAACCTAAGCATGTTGACTTTCCCTCTGAGACTGGTTTTCTTCAAGATCCTTAAGATGGCTTCTGCAATTCCAGGCATCATATAAGGATGACAATCGTCAGAGGCCGAATCATTTGCTTCTAAGTGTAAATTTTACACAGAAGCACCATACGCCTAAGCCAAAGACTGCCCCTCAATACTTTTTGGACAAAATTATATCACAAAGCCATGTCTAAATCAATCATCGGAAGGGTAATAATTAGAATTAGAATGTCTGATTTAGACTATTCAATATTCACCTCCTCTCAAGGCTGATGGAAACCCTAACTTCCCCTAAAATACATTACTACACAATATTTGAGAAAATTTAGAATTCTACCAGTAACAAATAAGGCTGGTGAGAATGACAATGGGGTAGACAGCCTGAAGTATCAACCACATATACCTAATAGAAATAGATCAGAGCTTAACTCACTATGCTATGGCTCAATTCATAGAGTTGACACAGTTTAACAGGTGGACAGTATCATGTATCTAAGATTAGTCATTGTTGTTATAGCAATATATCTTCATAGAGAGCTGGAAAGACATGAATCTCTCTTTAAAAGGCAGTAAGTGATTATAATTGAAGCACAAATCATTGCTAAATCCATATCATGTACATGGACCCAAAATAGATATTTCCTCTTTTATTGAAAAATCAAGGGTTCCTTTTACTGGAAAGTTGAGTTCCAATGAGTTTCCAGTAACAGTTTCACATTACAGACGTGCATTTGTAATAAGCTTAAATTGGTTAATTGGGCTCAATTTATCTAATGGGCTACTAAAGTGGTCAATTGTTATGCAAATTAGGGAACATGGCTGTATTAAAAAGTAATGTATTGTATAACATTACCTGAATATATTCAGATATACATTGTTACATTTTTCATTTCATTCTAAATTTTCATTTAACATATCACCATCTCCCATATAGAAAAAATGGCTACAACGATACTTGTTAACTGTGTGCTCTTTTCTAAAATATTTAATCAATTCCAATGAGAAATAATACTATTGAAATATTTTACTCCGTTTAAGGGAAGTCGGGAAAGACAATGTGGCGTAACAATAAAGCAATCAACTGAGAGGCAGGAAACAGAATTCTAATTCTGATAGCATTTATAGAGTACTCACTATGTACCAGGCACTTTGCTAAGTGTTTAACCCGTATTCGTTTCTTTAATTCTCCCAATAACTCTGTAAACGAGGTACTATGATTATCCCATTTTCAGACTGAAGCACAAAACTGGGGCACAGGGTCACTTGCGCAGGCTTACACAGTTAGTAAGTGGCAGAGGCAAGATTCAAACCCAGACCACATGACTTCAGAGCCAAAGCACGTAATTGTGGTGCAATACCACCTCTCTAGTTCTGGAATTGGCACTAGCTGCTTAAATTGGTGGGAGGTGGGGGTGGTTACAGTTTTCTAATGAATTAAGAATTTGAGATATTGGAGAACATTTCCAGCCCTAACACTAAAAATGTCATGAAAGCCATGACCTTACAGACAATCTCCTCTGCCATATGGTTTATATTAAGATTACATTTATGAGCCAGGCACGGTGGCTCACGCCTGTAATCCCAGCACTTTGGGAGGCTGAGGCGGGCGGATCACCTGAGGTCGGGAGTGCGAGACCAGCATGACCAACATGGAGAAACCTCGTCTCTACTAAAAATACAAAATTAGCCAGGCGTGGTGACACATACCTGTAATCCCAGCTACTAGGGAGGCTGAGGCAGGAGAATCGCTTGAACCTGGGAGGCGGAGGTTGTGGTGAGCCGAGATCATGCCATTGCACTCCAGCTTGGGCATCAAGACTGAAACTCCGTCTCAAAAAAAAAAAAAAAAAAAAAAGATTACATTTATGACACAACTGAACACCCACCTCTGGACTTTCTAAGTAACAACAACTGCAAGGTAATTCATCAGAAGGAAGAACGAAAAAGCCAACCATGACATATAAGTCACAGAAAAAATACATCCCCTTGGAGGGAAAATGTTAGTTTATGAGACCTAAATTCATAAGGTATCCCAGACACTGGCGGGAGACCCACCTAGAAGATAGGCTACAGAACTGAATTTCCTACACTATGGCTCCTGAATTAACCAAATATTTTTTAAAGCACACCATAATGTTTCATGACAATAAACAGTGGACAATTCTTTCCACTCAGAGCAAAAATTCTTTCATCTCTCTGAGCCTCCTAAAGAGTCAGAATTAAGGTATTTTGAAAAATCTCACCAAACATAATTATGAGTATTCATAGGATTTCTCAAAATATCCTCTTTGGCTATACCCAAACTGAGGCATAGAGATCTATACATTTGCAGAAGAATTAATATTAAATTTTTTTCTCCAAACACTGTGAACTAACTACTCACTAGAAGGGCCTACCATTCAGCTTATCTGAAGAGTGAAATTTGTAATCTAAATGACTAAAGTATCTAATCTTATGTTAAGGATACAAGCAGAATTGTGCAATATCTTCCTGCAGTCTGTGAAGTTCATCCTTGATGTACTTTCTCACTATGTGTCAAGAGCGTCATTGAGTGGTCTAAGTTCTGGAAAGTGTCCTGGTCAGAGGTGTTTTCTCAACCCAGTCCCTATGGCCCCTGGTGGAATGGCTATGGCACAGAAGTGCAAAAGATAGAAACATTTTATTCTGAAACAATCACTGGAATATAAAACTCAGCCAACTTTCTGTTAACGATCAATTTTCTTTGGGGTATAGACAGTTCCCTTTTGGGTGTACAGTAATATCTCAATTATCTCCAATAGATAAGGGAAATAATAGTGTGACTATGCAAATAACTCATGTCTCATAATATGTGTTTGTGTGTACGTGGACATATCGTTTTGTGGATTTTGTTTTGCAATCCCATTCTTCTTATATTACATAATAAAGTTAATTTGTTATTCCTGAACAAAAGATGACCAAAAGGTTCCAAAGCATTGTGGACGCTAAGGTCAAGTTGTGAAAAATAAATTTGCTACAGTATGCAAGGGCTAATCCATAACAACTTGCTTAAAAAGATAGTAACAGCTTGTTTACAACTATAATGTGAAATGTATTCCAAATAAAAGTGCTGTGCACTTCTATTCCCATATACTTGCTATGTCTTTGTCCTAGGTTTATGGAATAGATAAATTAAAAGGAACTTTATGACATTTTCCACTGACAAAAAACTTTAGGCAGCTGAGGCACAATACAAAAAGCCATTGATGACAAGAACCACCTGCTTGTCATGTAAATGTTTCCTAAATCACAAAAGGCATGAAGTTCCTTTTGTGTTGTTTCTCCCTTTCATCTTTCAGGCCAATCAGATACTATGGACAAGGGATAAAATGGGAGGAATTACTACTCTGTCTTGTCTGAGCCATTGAGTTCATAATAAAATAAGGATAATATGGCAATTCAGCAACAAAAGAGGCAAACAAGTATGAATTGAAATAACAAAATTCATTTGGTAATATTGAGACTTCAGAACCCAGGGAAGCAGAATGATCAATGAAGTGAGTGGAGCAATGGCCAGGGAGTCCCACCAGCTCAGGACCAAGCCTGGGTCAGACTCTTCCAAACCTCTGGCAAGTAATTTCTCTGCTCTAGATCATGTTTCTTTTATTTCCTTTTCTTTTCTTTTTTCGTTTTAGATACAGGGTCTTATTCTGTCACCCCAGGATGTAGTGCAGTGACTCAATCATAGCTCACTGCAGCCTCAAATTCCTGGGCTCAAATAATCCTCCCATTTCAACCTCCAAGCAGCTGGGACTACTGGCATGCACCACCACACCTGCTATTTTTTTATTATTATTTTTTATTTTTTTATTGTAGTGATGAGTTCTCACTGTGTTAACCGGGCTGGTCTTGAATTCCTGGCCTCAAGCAATCCTCCTATCTTAGCCTTCCAAGCCAAGCACTGGGATTTCAGTAGATCATGTTTCTTAATCTGTGAAATGGGAATAATAACAATACCTACTTCAAAGGGTTGTGGTGACAAATAAATCACCAGCTTGAAAGCACTTATCCCAGTGCCTGGCACATGGCCAGCAAGCTATACATGCCAGCTGCTACTCCTATTAACCCAAGAGTAAGATCATCCAACTGAGGGACAATATTTGGATAGCACACCCTGCCCTGAGAATGTCTCTCATTTCACATTTTAACAAAATATATGCAAGTTCTTCCTTTCATGAATTCTCCTTTGAAAATTTAATTCGGAAAGTAATATACATTTTCAGCCAGGCAGTGGCCCATGCCTGTAATCCCGGAGGATGAGCTCGGCGGATCACTGGAGGCCAGGAGTTCGAGACCAGCCTGGCCAAAGTGGCGAAACCCCATCTCTACTAAAAATACAAAAAATTAGTCAGGTGTGATGGTGCAGGCCTATAATCCCAGCTACTCACAGGCTGAAGCACAAGAATTGCTTGAACCCAGGAGGCAGAGGTTGCAGTGAGTGAAATACTTCCATAGCTTCTATGGTTTCACTATTGCATTTGAGTTTTTATAGCAGTGAGCCGAGATTGCATCACTGCACTCTAGCCTGGGCAACAGAGTGAGATTCTGTCTCAAAAAAAACAAGTAATATATCTCAAAAAAAAAAAAAAAATATATATATATATATTTAGAAAAAGATTTTGTTAATGCAGGTTTTAAAGTGAGAGTCTCTTCCCTACTCACAATATCAATTGTAATCATTACTTTAAATACCACAGTTCTTGATTTGCGATATATGCTTCCAACCTTTTACAAATTTAAACAAATATAGATATCATTTTTATAATTTTTTTTTTTTGAGACAGAGTCTCACTCTGTCGCCCAGGCTGGAGTGCAGTGGCCCGATCTCCACTCACTGCAAGTTCTGCCTCCCAGATTCACATCATTCTCCTGCCTCAGCCACCAGAGTAGCTGGGACTACAGGCGCCCGCCACCACGCCCAGCTAATTTTCTGTATTTTTAGTAGAGACAGGGTTTCACTGTGTTAGCCAGGATGGTCTCGATCTCCTGACCTCATGATCCACCCGCCTCGGCCTCCCAAAGTGCTGGGATTACAGGCGTGAGCCACCGTGCCCAGCCTCATTTTTATAATTTTTAAAATAGAAATAAACCATGTTATAGAATTTATTGCTACTTCCTCTTTCACTTAACGTATCCTGCATATCTTTCATAATATGTTAGTAGGTATAGATTTCTGCTGTTGACATAATCTAATATTAAATTTTAAATGATAAGGAGATAAATGATAAGATAAATGATGAAAACAGAAGGATCATTAAAAAGTGTTCTTTCATTGTTGCTTAGCTTTTAAGTGTGATGATGGCATTGGGATTATGTTTTGTTTTAAGTCCTTACCTTTTAGAGATATCTACTGGAATATTTACAGATAAATTACACAATGCCTAGGATTAGCTTCAAACTGAAAGAGGGATGGAAAGAGGAAAACTTGGAAACATAAATAAAACAAGATTGGCCATAAATTGATAATTAAGCTGGCTGATGACCATGTAGGGATTAAAGTATTCTCTTCTTTGTACTTTTGAATATTTTTGAAATTTTCCATAGCAAAAAGATTTAACAGTTTCCCTCCTTAAAACTGATCTACTAAATGCCAAATAGCCATATCTTTAAACCACAGCAATTAATTCCTCCTGACTGGTTAGATAATAATTTAATCTACAAGACTAATCATTCCTAACACACATCCCCTAAGCAGCACAAACCAAATGCAACTCAGCTTTCTTATAGTTTGAATGATGCTATAAAAATTCAAATGCAATAGCGAAACCATAGAAGCTGGTTATTGTATTTCACCAATGTTAAGGGAGCTATTTATCAACAAATGCAAATTATAAACTATTATAATTATTTTTTTAGAGTTAATGAAGTATTTTCCTTTTCCTCTTACACTGGAATTATTGCAGCTAGATGAAAAAACAAAAACAGTTGTTTAGTCTAGGTACAGTCAAGAAATCAAGAAGATCACATGGAGTGTTCTGTTCATCCAGCTAGGAGGACACATACAACCTGGAGTGTGTTCACCAAAATTTTGCCATGCTGAAGCCAAGAGAAGTTATTTGTTATGCCACTGGAGCAGAATAATGTTTTGAGTTTCATGTTTTACTCTATGCACACCTCAACACTTCCAGGAAGGTGGCCAGGCACTTTGTACGTCTTATCTCTGGGGCAGGAGAGGAGGTTTATAGGACATAGAGGGGAACTGCCTGAATCCTATAGCTCCTCTTGGCTTTTGTAAAAGTCTACACTGAAGAGGTATGTCCCTGATGCCCAGAGGCAGACAGGAGAGACAGTACTTTCTAGGGCAGCAAAAGGGAAGAATAAGTTTTTTCAATAATGGGTAGAGGTCAGAGTTCAGAAGATCCAGTGAGACAAAGAATCTTACAAGGCAAACAGTGTCTGTATTGTGCACGCAGTAATGTTGGATGCTAGACTTCCAGTCCTCTCGAAGATTTGTGACACCGAACGTGGACTGGAAGCAAGGGAGAAGCAGAATCTAAAAAGATTAAGATGAATGGAAAATGGATATCTCTGCATTATCAGTGAGATAAGGACATAATTCATGATCAATGACAAGGAGATCTTCACCTATGATTTGGCATCATTTAAGACCCTGAACCCTTGGACTATGCTTGGGGCAGGACATCACTAATAAATATTTAAATTTAATTTCTGCCAGCCCATAAGTATAATTAGATGTTAGATTTAACTTTAAGTGGATTTAAAGAAAATAAAAATGTCCAATAGTACAGATCTTAGTTTGTGGTAGTTAATTCATACAGGCTACTCCATTAAAAATCCACCATGCCAATAAAAGAGACTATAGAAGCAATCTACCTCCATTCTGTAATAACCATCCTTTACATCTTCACAGCTTTGTATTTGTAAGGTGTTTTCACACACGTTGTCTCATCTGATCCTCACAGTGTTCAGAGGGTTCAGCGGCTCTTGAGCAGTTGAGAGTAGATGGGCAGGAGTGAAATGGCTCAATGGAAGACAGGACTTTCTCAACTGGTCACTAGTCATTTCTTTTGCTCACTCGCTCTCTCACTCTCATGCTTGCTAGAAACAAGAGGAACCATTTATTCAACACTTCATTTAAAAACATCTGTGCAAACCTGTCACTTGTAAGATGGATTTTATGGAACCTATTGTCAAGGATGAATTCACTTCCTCAGGGGTGGCAATTTAGGCTGCCATCCAATGGTGGTAGTTAAGTCTTGGCCAAATGTTACTCAGCAGAGAAATATTAATATAACAAAACAATTGTTTGTAGGTATATTTAAGAAGGAAAAACAATTATAGCACTTTGCAGTGCCTTCTTACTATAAGAAACAGATACTTTTCTTAAAACAATTCAACAGAAAAAAAAGTTCACTTAAAGAGCATTCTTTTAGTGCAAATTTTTGAAGCCAGAAGATTTAATGGAAGTTGCCCCTAAGGAATGGGAGTTGGGGAAATGAAGTAGGTGAGACTTTCATTTTTCTAATTTGTACATTTCTTTATACATATATACACACACACACATATATATCATAGTTTGGAAACTAATCTTTTTTAATCAAATGAATCTAATATCTAATTGGATTCTTTTCCACTTTATCACATCATTGCTAACAAAATATCTACAAACGTAAGAATTCCTTAATAACTTACAGGGCTTTAAAAAGAGAACTTTGATTCCTAATTATTCACTTTTGTCACGAAAACCCCTGCCCTGGTTTGTCCATGCTCTTTAGGCCAGCAATTTCTAACTATGGTAAGAACACCAGTGGGATAAAGGAGTCTTCAACATCAGCATCAGGATTAAGAATTCACTTTCCATCAACCTACGCCATCTGGTGAGTATGCAAGGTTTAATGCACCTGCCTTTGATTTTTCAGGCATATTCTCAGCATACAAGTCGTAATCCAGGAGAACAGTTTTTTGTTTCTATTTTAAAGTTGTAACAGGAAAAAAATTCTCCGAAAGACAAAATGCATTTTTAAGTCTGCAAAACTTACTACAGGCTTTCATGGCTAGAAATCCTAGAACCAAGATTCAAATTCAAGTCTTTCTATTTCTAAAGATTATGTTCTTTCCACTCCACCGTACAACTTCCCCTAGAGATCATTTTCATAAATTTAGTTTTCTTTAAAACAGTAAATTGGATTTGCAGAGTTTTTTTCAGCCCCTGCTGCTGTGTGAAACAGAGAAAATGTCTCATTGTTAGGGTCAGCAGTGCCTGGGTACCACCGGAATGTGCCGGGATGATTTGTGTCCAGGTATATGTGATGGTATCCTTCTCCAAAAGCTGTGAGCACCTGCATGGCTTGAATTCGGCTTATGTGGAGCTCTCCAGTAGCCACAGAACAAACAAGCCTTCCCAGCACAACTAATAAAAGAAGAATTTAAAAAAAAACTTACTATAAATAATAAATAAAATAACAAAACTTAAAGACATGTAACTGTCCTTATAAGAAAAATATTGGCTTTCTGTTTTTTAATGGTGGGAGGCATATTCTTAGAGTAGTAGAGGGATATAGGAAGGTGAGAGCAAGAGCCCTTGACTCAGTCCACAGGCCCAGCAGCCTTCTTTTCAGCTGGCAACGGCTTCTATAACCTGCTCTCTCCTTTTCTAGGAGTAAGGATCCGTTGTAGGTAAAGAGAAGACTGTTTGGCCTCTCCAGTCCTCTGATTTAAGACCTTTCTTTTGTTCCTTCTCATTAGTAAATACGACAATTACTCCCTTTCCTTGGGAAAGTAACAACCCTATGTCAGCTATGGCCAGGTTTCCAGTTATAACATATTCCCCTAACACTTCATTTCCATGTGCTTCCTCTTTCTGAGAACCTCCTCCATCCCTCCCAAATGTCTTCCAGGTTTAGACCTTTTGGCTTCATTTGCATGAATTGATTATGTTTTTTAAATTGTTTCTCTTCATAATCCCCATAGCAACTGGCTTCTTTAGAAATTTCCTCACAGGCCAAAGATATCATACCTTTTAACTGAAAATAACATTTTAAATAGAATTAGTACAGGAAAATAAGCTGTTTTTTTACCTCATCCTTGACTTTTCATTTCTTTAATTTTCTTTGGTAAAATTAAAAATTTTTTAAAAAACCTGTCAACTCAGCTGGATGGAATTTGTTGGGTATTGTGGGGCCTGTAAGTTATTAAAGGATGTATATAATTTTTTAAATGCTGTCTCACCCATTTTACAGAGCAGGCGGTTTTTCACTTATTCATTCAATAAGTGTTTTTTTAGTATCTTAAGAACTGTGTTTAAAGCTGTGAAACATTTAAGGTGAGTATAAAACCCAGAATTGTCCTCCTGCACCTGAAATCGTTTTAGTTAACAATGAAACGTAGTGTGTAATTAAACACTGAAACTATAACACAGCCCTATCATCATTTTCAGTTGATGTAAGAAGAAGGTGAAATTTGAATTGGGCCTTGAGGAGTAGGATTTGAAAAGTTGAAAGAACACCAAAAACATTATTCCAGGCATCATTCCAGAAGAGAAGGCAGTATGAAATTTATATGAAGGATAAATATGGAATGTTTGGAGGGACAGTAAGTAGATCAACTTGGCTAGAGGAGAGTACGTTGAGACATATAAGACAGATGAAAAGCTAGAAGATAAGGCTAGAAGGCAGGTGTAGAAAGTCTTACCCATCAAGTCTCGACCTGGGTTTGGATTTTATCTCAAAGGTGATAGGATGAACTAGATAAAATGGAAGATTAATCTACAGGAAATTACGAAGTGTAATCTAAAATAATCTTTAAAATGGCTTGAGGGTCAGGCTTTCTCCTTGTCTTCTGCTTTGTTCTTCCTTCCTCCATTTCCCTTCTCCACTTTAGCCAGTGATCTTAAGAATCACACAATTCTATTGTGCAATGTTTAAACGGTGTCACTCTACTGCTTAAAACAGTTCAATAGCCTTGCAGAAACTTTCAGATAAAATCCTACCAATTTAATACATGGCCTTTAAGATCTGGCCGTAACTTGCCTCCCCAGACTTGTCACCTATACAACAAGCATCACTTTAACCCTTTTCTATTGGACTTCACTCCTCCATGCCCCTTTCCATTTTTTTGTCTCACAAACGTGTAACTCATCTTGAGGTTTCGGCTTAGCTGTCACTTTCCCAAGGATGGATCTCAGAGCGCTTTAAATCCAGATTATGCTGCCTTCCACATCTTCCATCTCTATGACAGTACTTAGGATCCATATCGTTGTCTTGGGCATACCCATGGCGGGGGTGGTTTCCCTAGTACCTAACAAAGCACCAGAAACATAAGAGATGCCTTAAAATTTTTGGTAAATAAAAGAATAAAAAATGAAGAAGGCAGAACAAAAAATAGGAGCCTATGGCAATCAGACAGTCATAACATAGTAAGATTTAGGCATAAATTCTGGGATAGGCTTGCAGCAACAGAAAAGAAGGGATGGATGGAGGCACAGTAAAAAAAAAAAAGCTAGGTGGAATGCTAACAAACCTCAATTCTGACTGAGCTGACATAATTTGGTATACATAATTAAAAGGTCCAGCTAACTCTATATAGTTTCCAAATACTGGCTGATCATCAGAATCATCCAGAGAATCAGCAATGTTTTTGGTTTTGATGTGTTTTAATTTTTCATGATCTTTCTCATAACAACTTACTGATGTTTAGGAATTACCTAGATGTCATATAAGGCCATTTCCAGTACTAATGTTCTGATTTAACCAAGACATCCACGAAAAGGTAATAAGTAACCGAAGGTAAGAGCAGAAGGAATGCCTTATACTACTACATTGTTAGGCTGGTTAACCTGGAGTAACAATTTGCATGTAACAGGTAGCCAAAAAAAAAAAATACTTGATGAATAAATCAGGGAAGCAGAAAGAGGGAGCACATTTTGCGAGATGGATTTGATGTTGGACATGAGTTCGGAACTCACACTCAACCATTTGTCTGTCCTTCCAGCTGTCTCAACAGAACTCTCATCCTGCTTTAAGTGGATATGTCCTTGGCATTGCTGTTGTGGCTAGTATAGTGACTATCTCTGAGGAACAGCACCCAATTTCTCTTTAAAGAATTACCCTCCCCCATTGTGTATAGTCTTCTTGAAATTGTAAATCAGGTCCTGCCCTCCCTTAGCTGAGACATAACAAAACTCTCTCCTTGATTTTGAAAACTTGAGTAAAGTGTCCAAAGAGCAGAGAAATCAATTGGTGCTCACCATTCTTGCTGTGTCATTAAGTTCCTTGGAATGCCCTGGTTTCTGTTCTTTTAACTTAGCCTTGTTATCAAGCCTTCTCAACACCTATGAACTACCCAGTATCCTTCTAAATCACCATTTTGTTTAACAAGTCTTTTCAATATCTGGTACCTACAAACAGACAAATGAACAAAAACTAATACTTAATATACCACCTTCATTGTCTCATTGCATAAAAGAGTTCCTTCCTGTGCTCACCCCAGATTCTCCTCCAGTTTCTGCACTAGGAAGGTATGCATAGCCATTGCAGTATTTAAAAAAAAAAAAGAAAAGAAAAAAATGCAAGCCACACATGTAATTTTATATTTTCTAGCAGCCACATTTTAAAAAGTAAACAGAAACAGATGAAATTAGTTTTAAGGCTATATTTTATTTAAACAAATATATCTTTATTATTAATATATAATATGAAAAAATATTGAGATTTTTTTTAGAGTAAGTCTTTTGAAGTGTGGTATGTCTTTTACACTTACAGCACATCTCAATGCAGATGCTAAATTTTGAAAAGTTAAAGTGATATATGTTCCTTCCAAAACAATATAGCCTCATATACAGAAAAATAACTCACACTGTTACTTTTAACATTTAAATTGCTGGGCATGGTGGCTCAAGCCTATAATCCCAGCATGTTGGGAGCCCAAGGCAGGCAGATTGCTTGAGGCCAGGAGTTCGAGACCAGCCTGGTCAACATGGTGAAACTCCATCTCTGCCAAAAATTCAAAAATTAGCTGGGTGTGGTGGTGGGCACCTGTTATCCCAGCTACTCAGGAGGCTGAAGCATGAGAATTGCTTGAACCCAGGAGGCGAGGTTGCAGTGAGCCAAGATTGCACCACGACACTCCAGCCTGGGTGATAGAGCAAGACTCTGTCTCAAAATAATAATAATAATAATAATATAATAAAATTTAATTTAAATTAACTAAAATATTCAGTTCCTCAGTTGCACTAGCCCCATTTCAAGTGCTCACTAGTCACATATGACAAGCATCTATGCACTAGGCACCACAGCCTTAGATCTGCTATGGGAGTGAAGAGTCACAGGGAACCTTTTCTTGATGGATATAGTAGTTGGCAGGAATTGGAGGCTTTCATACTTCCAACAAATTCCATTATGACAGGACTCAAAACTGTGTGAAGACCTATTTGAAACATTTCTTCCCTCAAAATGATGTTTCTTTGGCTGGGTAACTACAACAGGTTAACACATTATTGATTGTGAGATCTATCCTCTGTGCTCTGCAATTCAGGTGCATAGAAAGATCAAGGAATTATCTTGTCAGGTAGTTTTCAAAGTTAAAATTACACTATTACTCTTAAATCACTTCTCATTTATAACATGTTGAGGGGTGGGAAAAGACTTGGGGGATTCATTTTAATTATAAGGATTTTCACCATCAAATAGAAAAATAGAATTTTGAGTGGCAGGTTGAAGAAGGTGAGCTTTATCTCTCAGACAATAACAGATATTGTAAATTTTAGAGTGAAAGAATAACATAATAATGTCAATGTTTCAGAAAAACAAATCAGAACACAGACTGGTACAACAGGGGTCCATAGAGAAGGTGTGGCGCTTCCAGCATCCTTACATGATAGATATATGCTCTTATTTCGCCGGGAATGCTGTTTTCCTCTTCTGAAGCTGACAAGACATGTGTTCATCCTAGTTCAGTCGCCCCTTAGTTTCCCAAGTGCAGAAGGCAGACTGAGTCACTTCTCCCTTCACCTCTACTCTCACAGCAGTTCTTTGAGAATCCCACAGAAAAACCAAACTTATAGAGACAGAAAGTAGTCGTGAGGACCTGAGGAATTAGTGTTTAATGGGAACAAGAGTTTTCATTTTGCAAGATGAAGAGTCCTATGGTGGTAAAAGCAGCATAACAATGTGAATGATTGGTGGGCCTTTTCCCTGATTAACTCCTCTCTACGTTTAGGAGAGTCCTCATTTCCAGGCCAGAATGGTTTAGGTACCCTCGTTGTACCCTTTCATGACCCTCAAACTTTCCTTACCGGGCTCTCATCACAACTGTCATCTACAGCTAATTGTATGGTATATTAGTCTGCTACGGTTACTATAAGAAAACACTACACACTGGGTGCCCTATACAGACTGGTTGTGATTTTCTCACAGTGCTGGAGGCTAGAGGTCTAAGATCAAGGTGTTGGCAGGTTTGGTTTCTCCTGAGAGATTTTTTAAATTTTTTTTATTTTTTTGGCTTTCAGATAGTCTTTCCTTTATGCAAACACAACCTTGGTGTCTGTGTCCAAATTTCCTCTTCTTATGACGACATCAGTCAGACTGGATTAGGGCTCACCCTAAGGGTCTTGTTTTAATCACCTCTTTAAAAAGGACTGTCTCCAAATACATTCACATTCTGAGGCACTGGGAGTTGGAACTTCAACATATGAATTTTGGGGGATGCAATGTGGCTTATGATTAACCTCTACTGTTTCCACTTGTAAAACTTTTAACACGGACTTTGTCTTGTTCATATCTGAGGACCTTTACAGTTGATGCTGTCTTCTGAGCACACTCTACCTCCAACTCTTCATAAAACACGTTTTTCTCAACTTTCAAGCCTTAGCACCATCATCTGACAAGGGCCGTTCCAAACCACCTGGTCTAAAGTAACCCTAAGCGTTACTCTGTCACATCACTGTTTTCTCTCTTTCATAGCAGTCGCCACTTACTTACGTCCAGAATATCAGCTTCAGGAAAGGTGGGGATATGTGTTTTTACACGCTATTATACCCCCGGCATCTCACACACAGTCACAAGTGAATGAGATTCTGTAGCCACTTGGTACATTACAATGATTTTATTTACCCCTGGGAAAACCTAAAGGGCTTTTAACATCCAAATCGGTGTTTGAATTTCAGCTCTAACATGGATTAGCTGTGTGAACACCAAGTGCGTTACCCACTCTGTGTCTCAGAATCCTTAACAACACGATGACAATACCTTCTTTCCGGTTCTTATGGGGATTAAGTGAACTAATTAGCCCTAAGGTGACCAGGTCAACAATCTGACGTAGAACTCATGGTATCAGCCGAGATGCTATTAGCTTGAGGGTGTTCCAAAGCGTCGGACCTGGGAATGGTTTTCGAAAACGTGTTTAGGTGGTACCCAGAGCATTAAACACCAGGGTAGGAACGCTACCCTATTTTCAGTGGTTTTTTAAATTCTTTTTTGTTTTGTTGTTTTGTTTTTGAGACAAAGCCTCACTCTGTAGCCCAGACTGGAGTCCAGTGGCGGGATGTCAGCTCACTGCAGCCTCGACGTCCCGGGTTCCAGTGATTCTCCAGCCTCAGCCTCCCAAGTAGTGGAGACCACAGATCCGTGCCACCACACCCAGCTATTTTTGTTGTATCTTTTGTACATTTTTTGTATATTTTGTATATATTTTTTGTATGTATATTTTGTATATTTTTTGTGTATATATATATATATATATATATATATTTTTTTTTTTTTTTTTTTTTTTTTTTTTTTTGTAGAGGTGGGGTCTCCCTATGTTGCCCCTCGCTATGGTCTTTTCAATTCTTTGGATCAAAACCAGGCTTTGTTCTCATTCATGTGTCTTTGGCACCCATCCCTGCCTCCATCCCTTGCCATTTCTTGAGATTCTTCTGTTTAGCAGAGATCACTCGGCCAGACACGCATCGGCAGCAGCCTGGGAATGAAGCCAGCCTGCCTGGGGCGGCCCCCGCCGCGCTCCCCCGGGACTCCGGGCTGCTGTGAGGAAAGCAGCAACTCGTGGGGTCCTGGTGAAGAGAAAACGACCTGGACCCTGCAAAGCGACCCAGAACAAAGGGAGCCCGCCACCCACGTTATGAAGACAAAACACGTGGGTAACACGGCCCAGGCGGGTGGCAGGCGTGGCGGAAACCTCTCTGAGGCTGGCGAGGACTACTGAGTGTGGAGGGGGTCCCTGAGGAAGGGAGTCCCCGAGGGAGGATGGGCCTCCGAGGGGGCCAGGCCGACGTCCCGGGAAGGCGACCCGCGGCTCGGGGAAGCCAAGTTCTGGGTCGTCCTCTGACTTCGGCTTTTTTGCGGTCTGCCGCGCTCATCCCCGCGCCCGCCACCCCGCGAGCTTACCCGAGCCTCTCAGTCAGCAGAGCGCCCGCTGAGTGGCCGCGCCCGCGCGCAAGACACAGGGGAGGGGCGGGGCGGGGCGGCGCGCACTACGCGAGGGACGCAGCTGCGCACGCGGCTCCGCGCATGTGCGGTGAGGCTCGCGGCCGGAGTGCGGCGCTGGGCGGAAGCTACCATGGCGGCCGAGCGAAAGACAAGGTTGTCCAAGAATCTACTGCGCATGAAGGTGCGGGGACGCTGAGAGCGCCACTCCGGGCGGTAGGGGCACCCGGTCCTTCCAACCTGGCCGGGGCCGAGGCGGCGGGCGGACAAGGGACACCAGAGAGGCCTCAGAGGGCTTCCAGCTCTCGTGCTCATTCATTCACTTAGCGCCTGCTCTGCACTGTTTACTGGGAACCAGCTTACGAATTAGGCCGACTCTCTCAGGAGGCCCGCGGGCGGATGGGAGCTTGAGTACACAGAAGCAGTCAGGGTACAGCTTACCCAGTGCAGTGAGGGTAGAAGCGCTGGGGACCTTGGGGACTCACCGAGCTTCTCGAGAAGTTGTTGCTTACTTATATATGCAATAAATATGATATATGGGAAGTGTAACTCCTTAGCTGGGTAATTTAGGTAAATTCACTTCTTTCTCTGAATATCTCTTTTCCTCATCTTTAAAAAGAAGAGCATTAGGCTACATGAGTTCAAGCTCCTTTTTAATTTTGATAATACTTCTTTTAGTAGAGTTCTTCAGAGAAACAGAATCAACAAGATGTATATGTGTATATATGTGTATGGAGAGAGGGGGTATTTTTAAAACTGGATCACACGACTGTGGAGATGCAAGTCTAAAATCTGCAGGGTGGGCCAGTAGGCTGGAGACCCAGAGAAGTACTCAGTCCAAGTCCAAAGACAGTCTGCTGGCAGAACTCCCTCTTCTTCCAGGGAGAAGAGGGTGAGTCTCGCAGGGTAGTCTCTAGGTTACTGGGAGGGTGGAAGGCACAGCGTCCTAAACTAGGAGAAACTGAGTTCAGAAGTCTGAGAGGCAAGAAAGAAAAAGAAAACCATGGAAATTTCCAAGAATTAGAGACAATTCAGTATGTCTGGAAGGCAAGTACTAAGAAATGGGGTTGCAGAGTAGGCAATGGTCACAACGTGCAGGGAATTTGAGGCCAGATTAAAGATATTTTCCTTTATTTTGTGAGCAATGGAAAGCTATTGAAACGGGGAACAGTATCAAGAAAATGGCAAATATTTATAGTACTAGACAATGATTGAAGTGGTTTGCGTATATTAACCTATGCAATTCACATAATGACACTTTGAGGTGACTACAGGCAGTAACTCTCTTCTTACAGCTAAGGCAACTGAAACAGAAATAAGTAATTTACCCAAAGTTACACAGCTAATAAGTAGTGTAGACAGGACGGGAATTCAGGCAGTCTGGCTCCAGAACCCTGGCTCTTTATTACTACTCTGTACTCTGTGATGCCTGTCACTAAGCACTACTTCTAGAGAGTAGCAAACTGTTACATGTCATGTTTAAAGAGGTGGAATTTCCAAAAGAGGGAAGGAAGCATTCATAATGTTTTGAAAGATAGGCCATTCGCAGTGGCTCATGCCTGTAGTCCCAGCACTTTGAGAGGCTGAGGTAGACAAATCGCTTAAGCCCAGGTGTTTGAGACCATCCTGGGCAACATGGTGAAACCCCATCTCTACAAAAAATACAAAATATTAGCCAGGCCTAGTGGCACGCACCTTTAGTCCCAGCTACTTGGGAGGCTGAGGTGGGAGGATCACTTGAGCTTGGGAGATCAAGGCTGCAGTGAGCTGAGATGGCGCCACTGCACTCCAGCCTTGGTGACACAGGGAGACCCTGTCTCAAAAAAAAAAAAAAAAGAGAGAGAGTAAACATTATATGGGCAAGATTTGAATGGAGTTGAGCTAGGATGGAGTTAGGGATGAATGGGTGAATGAGGGTGGAGGACAAATTGCAGCATAACTTAGAGTTTGTCAAGCACTTTCATGCATATTAGCAAAATTTGAATCTTTACTGAACAGAGTTTGATTTTATGGTTGGTAATAACATTAACTTCAGAGAAGTGGAGTGAATTGGCCAAGCAGATATTGGAAAGATTTTAGCAGTTGTTTTAGCTCTTGGAATAAGCCAGATGATGTACTGGGTGACTCAGGCTCAAACTAAATATCCGAGTTGCAACTAAGAAGAAAGAAATTAACTTAAATGTCCACCCCCACCAAATGGGGAGACTCAACTGGACGTTGGAAGCAAAGGAGAAGGAAAAAGATCACCCACATTCTCTATTTGGTTTAGCAGCTTTGGTCATTGATAAGAAAAAACTTACTGGCAAGATAGCAGGAGACACTGTCTATACTGATAGAACAGAGTATACTGTGAGAAGGCATGGAGTAGCTGCACTTAGGGTGCCTTAACCAGAGCTAAGTCCTATATAGCATGGGTCCCCAACCGCCAGGCCATGGACCAGCACCAGTCCATGACCTGTAAGGAACAGGCTGCACAGCAGGAAGTGAGCAGCGGGCAGGCAAGCGAGCGAAACTTCATCTGTATTTACAGCTGTTCCCCATAGCTTGCATTACCACCTGAGCTCCGCCTCCTGTCAGATCAGTGGCAGAATCCTAGATTCTCCTAGGATCAGAAACCCTACTGTGAACTGTGCATATGAGGGATCTACCTTGCGCTCTACTTACGAGAATCTAATGCCTGATGATCTGTCATTGTCTCCCATCACACCCAGATGGGACTGTCTAGTTTCAGGAAAACAAGCTCAGGTCTTCCACTGATTCTTCATTGTGGTGAGTTGTATAATTATTTCATGACATATTATAATATAATAATAGAAACAAAGTGCACAATAAATGTAATGCACTTGAATCATCCCTAAACCATCTACCCTTCCCCTCTCCACCACCCGTGGAAAAATTGTCTTCCAGGAAGCCCATCCCTGGTGCCAAAAAGGTTGGGGACCACTTTTTAGGCAAGTATAAGAGGGTTGAGGATTTAATCCTGACTCACTTCAATGCCTCTGACTTGGTCAGCCATTGCAGGGTGATCCTAATGGGAAGAAGAAAAAGAAGGATGTGGATGGAAGGTCTTCCAGTATGGAATGGTTGTAGAGGGTGCTTATTTGTGATTTTGGCACTGTTAGACTCTCAGAACAGGGCTTGGCAAACTTTCTGTAAAGGACCATATGATAAATATTTTGGTCTTATGAGCCAGACAGTCTCTGTTACAACTACTCAGCTCTGCCAGTGTTGTTCAAGACCGAATGACCATGGTTGTGTACCAGTAAAACTTTATCGACGACAACAGACATCTAGCCTGAGGACTGTATTATGCTGATGCCTGCTCTGAGTCCTCACTAGTTTTGGAATGTGTTCTGAAATGCTCTAGAGTAGGAGAATCGAACTTGTACCTAAGTCTGGAGGTGCTTGATTCATATTCACAGGGAGTTCTGTCCTTTCTATGTGTACAGAACATATGTATATGGCTGTTGTATACCAAAAGAATAGGTACATGACTAAATGGGAGAAAAAAGGGCAGTTGGGCAGTATTGATGAGTTTTACCACGAGGAATATTAGTGATGAAATGAGGCATCTGCATTTAAAGAAAACCATCCCAGAAAGAGAATCTGGAAAAATAAGATAGGTCTAGGTTCATTTCCATTCAGAGAACTTTCACTGAGTGAGCTCTTTTGTGTACCAGGGGTGCCGCCTAAGTACCAATGATACAAGATGAACAAGAGTCATGGTCTATTCAGAATCGTAGTCCTGGGAGACACCAAAGCAGCACGATGGTGAACAATATTCCAGTGTTGATGAGGCTGTCTTGAGAATGTGCTTCTTTATAGGAGCAGACCTAGGAAGAGCCAAGCCAAATGCCAACCAGGAAGTCTTACCAAAGGACACACACTGTAGGCTTAAAAGAGTAAATATTTTGCCAGGCAGAAAATGGAAACGTGTTAAGTCGCAAAGGCAAAAGGACTGGGAAGTATAGCGTGCACATTCCAGAAACTGCAGTTCTTTCCTGGGATGAGGATGTACACACAGGTAAAATGGATGACGACTGCAAAACACTAGTCTGCAAACTTGTTTTCTTTTACTTTTTACTTAAAATAGTGATAGATTCACAGGAAGTTGCAAAAAGTGTACAGGGATATCCCGTGCGTCCTTCATGCCACCTCCCCTAGCGGCAACATTTTACAACACTAGGATATGATAAAGAGCCAGGACATTGACAGTGAGCTGACGCAGATTTCACCATTTTACACGCACTCATTTTGCGTGGACGGTTGCTGGGTCATATGGTAAGTGTATGTTTAGTTTGCTAAGAAACTGCCATGCTGTTTTCCACAGTGGCTGTACCATTTACTTTCCCACCAGCTATGTTTGAGTGATCAGTTTCTTCACATTCTCTTCAGCACTTGATGTTATCACCATCATGTGTTACTTAACACATGATTTAACAACAGGGATACGTTCTGAAACATGCATTGTTAGGTGATTTCATCATTGTGAGAGCATCATAGGGTTCATCTACGCAAACCTGGATGGTATAGCCTACCACACACTTAGGCTATATGGTACAGCCTGTTGTTCGTAGGCTGCAAACCTATACAGCATGCTACTGTACTGAATACTGTAGGCAGTTGTAACACAGTGGTGTCTGTGTATCTAAACATATCTAGATATAGAAAAGGTACAATAAAAATGCAGCATTGTAATCTTATGGGACCACTGTCATATATGGGTTCCATCGTCGACCAAACATCATTTTGCAGTGCATGACTATTTTATTCGTGAACGTTAAGGTTTTTTCATTTAACTTAGTAGTCATTGTTAAAGTGCTTATGCCTAAAAAGGCTTATGTTTGGAAAAGGTGGAATAGAAGGAGGAGAAATATGGGACCTGGGCCGGGCGCAGCGGCTCACACCTGTAATCCCAGCACTTTGGGAGGCCGAGGCGGGTGGATCACAAAGTCAGGAGTTTGAGACCAGCCTGGCCAAAGTGGTGAACCCCCGTCTCTACTAAAAACAGAAAAATTAGCTGGGTGTGGTGGCAGGCGCGTAATCTCAGCTACTCGAGAAGCTGAGGCAGGAGAACCTCTTGAACCTAGGAGGCAGAGGTTGCAGTGAGCTGAGATCGTGCCACTACACTCCAGCCTGGGCGACAGAGTGAGACTCTGTCTCAAAAAAAAAAAATAAAAAAAAAAATAAAAAAGAAATATCGGACCTGAATAAGGGAAAGAAATGGGGGATACATAGAAACCAGTGGAAGCTGAAACCTAACTGCTAGGAGGCTTCTGGGTATTTTCTGATTTTATTTTCTCCAGTGTTGATATTTTATCTTGTTGCTGTGGTTAGCCTCTTAAGTTTGTTCACTTGTTCCCTGAAGAAATACAGGTATTCATGCTAGTGAGAGACTGGCAGCAGGACTGTTATTTACTGCCATATTTTGAGTCAACTTTCTGCAGATTTGATAAGAGCAGCTCAAGAGTTTAGCAGCATTTCAGAGGAAAAATAAAAACGAAGAGCAGACTTATAGATGTACCTTTGCTTCTGCCTACATTTATCGGGCTCTTACTGTGCTTCAGTCATCATATTGGGACAGATGAAGGAGATGACCCAGACACCCAGTCCTTAAGGTCTCCAGAAAAGATAGATGCTCAGAAAGTTCAGATGTGGTGAGTCTATTGGAGGGAGCCATGGAAGCATTTAGGACAGAGGCACTGATTTTACTGGCACTCATAGAAGTCTAGTAGCTTTACCTATGTCAGACGGGCGAGGAGTTGGCCAGGTGGAAGAGGATAAGAAGGGCATTTCAACCCCAGATCAGCAGGTGCCAAAGCCAGTGGGCTCTGTGGGTGAGCACAAGACCTTCGAATGTGGTGTCTTAGCCCTTAAGTTTTCCGAAGGAAATATACATTGTGCATTTTCTCATGCCCTGACACAAGCCCTCATCGTCTAGTGTAAAGTTGGAAGGGTAGAGCTAAACCGTTTGATCACTTGCCCCAACCCTCAATCTTGAGATGGGTTCCATAGATAAATGAAGGAGAACAAGTAGAAGAAGAAAATTATTTGGGGTTTCCTCAGTTCTAAAATGGGAAAAGTTTCTGACATTGATTTTGTTTGTTTTCACAGTTTATGCAAAGGGGACTGGACTCAGAAACCAAGAAACAACTAGAAGAAGAAGAAAAGAAAATCATTAGTGAAGAGCACTGGTACTTGGATTTGCCAGAGCTTAAAGAGAAAGAGTAGGTTTATTAAAATTGATACTGATGATGCTTGTGGCATTCAGAAGGAAACTCCTGGTAAATTTAACTCATCATTCCGGTGACATAAAGCCCATGAAATTGTTTCTGTTCAGTTTATTGATTTAGTAGCACAACTAAAAAATATTAAACCTATAGAAGTTGTACATGGATTTATACATTTTTACTACTCCCCCTCCCAGCCACTATTTTGTCCTTTTTTACATTGAATGAAGGAACCTAGCCCACATATCTCTGATAGTAACAGCAGACCTTTGGGGAAGCTGTAATGTTCTCTCTATCACCTTAAGTTCTAAAGATTAGGGGTGTACTTCAGGTCTCTCCAGTTTTGTTTCGGTTACAGAGTTCATTAGGTTGAGCATTTTAAGGCAGGTCAGAAGTTTTTGTTTCTTCTTTTAAATTGTTACTACTTGTAATACCATCCATTTTAGCTAACATTTACTGAATCTATAGTGTGTACCAGGAACTGGGCTAAACACTTTACATCTGTAGTTATTGAATCTTCGTAGCAAACTTAGGAACTGCCTCCTATGATTCTGTCACTTTGTAGTTGAGGAACTGAGCTTAAGGGAGGGTAACTTGCCCAGCTTCACCCAGCTAGTCAGTGCTGAAGGCTGGGGTAGACAGTTTCTGGCCCACCCCTAAGCTTGGCTGGTGCCTGATCAACAATTTTGAATGAAGGAGTGTTGGATTTATTTCATCCATTAATTTAGCTGAATCCTTCTGGAAGCTATTTTTCATTTTTCCCTGATACTTTCCTCACCTTAGTAAGCTCTGTTGTATGGTAGTTTTACTTAAACTTTGGTCAAATGACTGAAGATGCTGCTTACTGTCTTGAGGCACATTTATGTGTTTCCATTCTGTACCTGATGTTTGGGCTTTGATTTGGAATGTTATATTCCCCTGTTCATTTGGCTGACCTCTGGACATTGTTTGAAGGTTAGATACCCTTCTCTAAAGATAGAAAGTATGTCCCACCAGGAGGGATCGGGAGAAGGTACTTTTTTTCTCTGCTTCTCAGAGGAAGCAAGATGTTGGTGAGGAGGGAGAAGATAGTGCCAGGGGCAGGGTCACAGGGAGGAAGGGACCTTTGCTGCTGGAGCTATAATTTACTTTTATGCCTTAAGTAAACTTGCCAAAGTGTTCCTTCCAGTTGTTTATTAAAGAGCAGGACTGTTTCTATCTTGTTTCCAGTATTTTTCCCCTAATACAGCATATTATTCCCAGAAAATGACCTTTACATTTCTTTCTGGGAAGGTAAATAATGCCTTTTTGCCATTACTCAGCATCCTGTTTATGTATAGGTGTGTATATCAGCTCAGGATGTTGGCAGGAGAAGATGACACTCTCAGACTGAGGAGAGACTATCAAGGTGTGGGTGGGGCATAGGGGGGCCCCTCGGGGCAGTGCAGCACCTCCTAGCATGTGTAGTGGGAGTGATTACCACCTGAGCTTGCAGAGTCAACGGGTGGGTGGGGAATAGCTGCTACCGAATCTGCAGATAAGTTGTGTAGAGAGAGCACCTTACAGGAGCTGCTACCTCCATTCACGGGTACGGCCAGCCCAAGGTCATCCTAGCAAGGGAGCCAGGTACCTGGCAGCAAAGGAGCCCTTCCGTGCATTACGTTCAAGTCAGCCTCCCAGGCCAGAGAAACAGGTGAAGACGGGAAGTAGGTCTGGAGGGGTGAATGGATGACATGTCCTTGGTATACGTGTTGTATTGAGTTGTTGTTTTTAACACTCTAAATAGGGAGATCATGGAATGGATTGGTTGATTAAGCACATGGGCTCTGAAGTCAGGCAGACCTGGGTTTGATGCCCAGCTCCGCCAGTTGTTTACTTGTCACCTTGGGTGAGTTACTTAACCTGTTTTGTGTCATTTGTGTATTGGGTATGATGATAGTACCTGTCCAGTACATTCCGAGAAGTAGATGAGGTAATATATGTAAAACAGTCACCATAACACCAGGCATAAAGCACAGTGATTGTCACCATTGTGTGTATTTCCTTATATCTGAATATATGAAGTACACCCATTCCTTTCTACTCACTTATGTTTGTGTATCCTTTTTTGCTAGTGTTGTCTTAACTATTCTGTGAATTTGGAGATTGCATGTGTCTGTGCTCTGAAAGTCTCGACTTTCCCATTTTTAATGTCAGCCGTATCAGTCTGTAATTCAGTGAAGATAATTAGGGCTATTCAGTGTTAACACTGCCTCACAGGGGACACTTTTAGCCAGTGGCTAGACCATGTAGGGGAATGATGATCTAGCTGCTGTGCCTCAACTTGGAACAACTGAAGGGCATTCCTGACTCCAGAGCTCTCATATGTGGCTGAGGCCTTAGTGTAGCCACATTGCCCATTATCTTCTCCCTCTGCCCAATCCTTCTTTCTCTGTTTTCCTAGAAGGGCATCTGCTGAACAACACTGCCTGCTAAGTTTTCTGCATATATGTCTGTCTCAGAGTCTGTTTCCAGGGAACCCGATATAGTGTGAATTCCTAGGAGTGAAATTTACCAGATGAAAGATTTTGCTATCTATTGCCTTATTGTTTTTTTCCCCAAGGATATGGTCCAGAAAGAGTGTGCAAGTATAGGCAGTTTAATTCCTCCTTTGCCGTAGCAAGTTGTTTAAGAAGTATTTTTGGCTATTGTACATCTTATACTTGTGTTTTGTGGTCTGTTTGGAGTCAGAAGCTATAGGGACCTGAAACTAACAAGTTAGCCTGCCACACTTTCACTGATGCTGGTGGAAGATAGGAACCTTCTGGGTCTGAGATGTAGGGGAGGGACAATAGCCTTTCCTTCCACCCATTTGAAGTTCATTAGTTGGGGTCCCTGTAACAAAAGACAGATTAACAAAGAGAAAGGTATACACTTTTATTTCACAAAAGTTTTAGGTGACACAGGAGCCTTCATAAGAAAATGAATACCGAAGAACTGGTTGAACCTGAGTGTTTTTATGTTAGCTTTGATGAAGAGTGGAAAGTTGTGAAGAAATATGATGGGAGCAAGGGGTATGAACGAAGAGTAATAAGCCAGGAGAAACTTAGCAAGTCTTTTGTTCAGATTCCTCTCTCTGTCCCTTCTTCTGAGATAAGGATGTTGCTTTCCTCTGAGTGTAGGGAGGGCACCTCTTATGTGAGATGCTTTTATGACCTGCTTCAGGGGACAGTCAGAAAATCCTACCTGCACGTCATTTTTCAGATTCCTCCAGTGTAAAATTTTCAGTATGCCAAGATGCCATATTTTGGGAGTAGTGTCTCCTGAACACCATCAGAAACAAAGGACTTACTGTACAGCAAGCAGCACAAGCATCAAGTTTGCGTCATTTCTCTTTTGTCCCCAACTCCTATGAGGGATGGCGTGAAGTGGCCCAGGTGGATGCTGTGCACCCAGTGGATTTGCATCATAGCTGAGATCTCCTGAGCTTAGAAAACTGGAACCTTGGATAACGGACCACAAGCAGACTTGCCTTCGGCCCCAAGAGAGGCATCTGTATTATGCTGGACAGTAAGCAAATCTGCCCTTCGCTTTAGAGGAAGACTGTTTTTCAAGGCTGCTCGCTATGCAGATATCCTTGCAAAGATAGTCCAGAGCAACCGGGCAGTTAGTGCCTCACTCAAAAAATGTGCAGGAATGTGAGACCCACTGAGAAGGGTTTTCTAACTGGAGTTTTGCCATGGTATTTGTGGCTTTAGGCAAGTCCAGCTTTTTCTGAGCAGTAGTTTCTCATCTGCGAAATTTATGAAATAATTTTGTGGGTGTGTTTTAGCCTGAAAATTATCCTCATTAATGAAAATTGGATAATTAAAATACAAAAAGAGGTAAGTTTTGAAATATTTCACTTGCTTGCCAACTCTGTAATTAATTTTTCTAATTCTTAAAACCATGCATGTAGATACAAAACACCTGTGCTCCTTTTTATATTAAAGATACGGTGTCAATGCAAACCCGTGGGAAAAACCTCTGAGGGGCCAGTAGTCCTGCTCTGAATCCAGTCCTGACCTCTGGAGGTTGTCTTTCTCTGGGTCCCTCCTTTGCCTTAAGTGAAAGCTTTGATGTATGGTGCTTTCCTGAGAGAGATGATTTACTTTGGAATTGAGGAGGTCTCATCAGCTGCTCCCTCTATAAGGAATAAGATTGGGCAATTGAGAGGGAATCCCAAGTTCATAGAAAAAGCTGAACAGCAAGTTCTGTGCCCAAATTTAGATTCCCTCAGGGAGAGGCGGTTCTGAAGTAAGTGAGTTTCTAGCCAGACTAGAGGGCCAGTGAGAGAGGAACCAAAATCACAGTGGTTCTCAGAGTTTTGGAACTCAGAAGCTATTTGCATTTATAAAAATTATTTAGAACTCCTAGGCCGGGCACGGTGGCTCACACCTGTAATCCCAGCACTTTGGGAGGCCGAGGCAGGCGGATCACGACGTCAGGAGATCGAGACCATCATGGTTAACATGGTGAAACCCCGTCTCTACTAAAAATACAAAAAAAATTAGCCAGGCATGATGGCGTGTGCCTGTAGTCCCAGCTTCTCAGGAGGCTGAGGCAGGAGAATCACTGGAATCCAGGAGGCGGAGGTTGCATTGAGCCGAGATTGCGCTACTGCACTCCAGCCTGGGCAACAGAATGAGACTCCATCTCAAAAAAAAAAATTTATTTAGAACACCTAAAGAGTGTTTTGTGTGATTTATATTTGTTAATATTTACTATGTAAGAAATTTTAAAAATTATTTAAATAACAAATTCATTACCTAACACATTTTTAATGACAAATAACTTTTTCAAGACAAAAAATTTAACGAGAAGAGTGGCACTGTTTTCTGTTTTTGCAAATCTCTTTAACATTGTGGCATAATAGAAGACAGCTAGACTCTGAACGCCTGCAGTCAGCCTGTTAAAGCATGTTGTATTGGTTGAAGTATATAAAGAAAATCCCCCTCACACAGGTGATACAGTTGAAAAGAGAGGAGTATCTCAATGGCCTTTTCAGATAATTCTTTGGTACAACTCCAAAACTCAGTCAGTAGTAGTTTCTTCAGAGTAAATTGCAACGTGGAATCTGAAAACACCAGTGAATTTTTCATGTCTTGGTCTGTCTTGTATTCCAAATAGATCTTTTACCTGTATATGATTTCTTAACATCCTGCATCTGTCATTTGGAAAATGAGTTGTATAGATTTTCCCAGTGTTAACTCATCTTGTTATACAATATCAAAAATCACATTCATTAGTATCACCGTGGGTTTCAACAGAAAAGTCTTTTAAGTGTTGGGAAGCTATCAAGCCCAAGATGACAGATAAAAGCTATTCGGAATTCTAACTTTTGCTTGAAAGCTTGAATTTTGTTATTGGCAGTAAATAGTGTCAGTTATTCCCCTTGAAGTGTCAGGTTCACTTTATTTATTTTCAAGAAAATGTCTGCCAAAGAACCCAAACCCGCAAAACCATAGTTACGGTGTGACATTGAAAAAAAGTGTCTAATTCATCTCTCGGTTCAGTCACACAAGTGCAGTTAGATTATTTGACTATGATGAAGTATCTTTTTTTTTTTTTTTTTTTTTTTTTGAGACGGAGTCTCGCTCTGTCACCCAGGCTGGAGTGCAGTGGCGAGATCTCCGCTCACTGCAAACTCCACCTCCCGGGTTCACACCATTCTGCTGCCTCAGCCTCCAATGTAGCTGGAACTACAGGCACCCGCCGCTATGCCCAGCCAATTTTTTTTTTTTTTTGTATTTTTTTAGTAGAGACAGGGTTTCATCGTATTAGCCAGGATGATCTCAATTTCCTGACCTCGTGATCCTCCTGCTTCGGCCTCCCAAACTGCTGGGATTACAGGTGTGAGCCACTGCGCCCGGCTAAGAAGTATCTTATATATAGAGTTTCAATTTCGTATACCGAATATTTTTTAAAGTAATTGAGGGCTAAGATTAACAGAAATAAATTTGTGCTGTGTCATCAAGAACATTCTAATGTGAAACTGGCATTTTTCTTTGAACTGTGAGGGCCTGGCAGTGAAGAATGTAACTACCAGGGTAGTCTGGTATCACTGCTGCTTTCACTCATGCTAAGATTCGTTTTACCCAGAGTTGCTTTTGCACAGTCTGCAAATGTCAACACAGTAAAAGATGACATCTTAATGTTATCATGCAAGTAACTCTGACCTCCTGCTACTACTCTGCATTGTCTCCATTCCAACTGCAGGGGCTTTATGTTTCTCAGGCAGGTTAGATTCCCTTCTCAGGGCCCCCACTTATGGGGACTTCAGGTGTTCTTCACCTGGGCATCCTCATATCTTGCTTCCTCACTGCCTCCTGGTCCTTGCTCAGATGTCACCCCTGACAAGAGGCCTATCCAGACCACTCTTTTAAAAGACGCCTCTCCTCTAGTCTGCCCTCAGTATCTCCCCTTAAACTGTGTGCACGTGTGGGTGTGTGGGTGGTGGTTGCATTCAGTGGAATGTACTTAAGTCTACAGCTGTATGTGTTTTGATAGTGCATGCATCTTTGTAAACCATACTCCTATCAAGGAAACATTTCCATCATCACGTAAAGATCTTCATCCCTCTTTCTAGTCAGTCTCACTCCTGCTCTGATGCAAGCACTGTTCTGATTTCTTAAACCGTAGATTAATTTTGTCTGTTCTTGAACTTCATAAAAAAGGAATTGTGCAATATGTGCTTAACTGTGTCAGCAAAATGTTTTGGATATTCATCCTTGTTTTGGAACATCAGTAATTTGTTTCTGTTGCTAAGTGGTATTTCATTTTACAGATACACCACGGTATATCTATTCATTCTTCTATTAATGGACATTAATAGAGAAGTGTTATAACACTTTCACTAAGGAAGTATGAGAGTTCAACATTTGGAGTTAGATATCTTTTTAATTTTATTCTAGTGGCATCTCATTGTGGTTTTTAATTAGCATTTTCCTGATGACTAATAATGTTAAAGAACTCATGATTGGGTTGTTTCCAGTTTTTTATTTTTTTATTTTTATTTATTTATTTTTTTTGAAATGGAGTCTCGCTCTGTTGCCCAAGCTACAGTGCACTGGCGCAACCGCGGCTCACTGCAGCCTGCTTCCCAGGTTCAAGCGGTTCTCCTGCCTCAGCCTCCGGAGTAGCTGGGATTACAGGCGTGCACCACCATGCCCGGCTAATTTTATTTTTAATAGAGACCATGTTGGCCAGGCTGGTCTTGAACTCCTGATCTCAGGTGATCGCTGGCCTCGGATACCCAAAGTGCTGGGATTACAGGTATGAGGCACCACACCCAGCCTGTTTTTTTACGCTTATGGATAAAGCTGGTATGACATTCATACTCAAGTTTTGTTTTGTTATGTTTTCATTTCTTTTGTAACTGTGGAATTGTACTTTAACAGAAATTTTCAGACTAGTTTGTTCTATGATTTTACACTTTCACTAAGGAAGTGTGAGAGTCCAACATTTGGAGTTATGTATCTTTTTACTTTTAACTATTTTAGTGGCATCTTATTATGGTTTTTAATTTGCATTTTCCTGATGACATAATGTTGAAGAACTTCTTCCTTTTTGGCCATTTCCATATCTACCTTTGTGAAGTGCCTTTTCAAATATTTTGGCCATTTTAAAAATTGAGAAAGTTTTGTTTTTGTTTTGTTTTTTTAAATATTTTATATCACATATTTGTTCATCCCCCATCCAGCCATCAGTTTATTGTATTTTTGATGCAGTAAGTTGCAGACATCAGTATATTTCTTTCTGAAATATTGCAGCATGCACATCATTAACTCAAGCTCAGTGTTTCTAGGGTTTTTTTGAGACAAAACTTACATACATCTGTGCATGTAGGAGTTATTTATGTTCTGAATACAAGTTCTTTGCCACATATATATATAGTGAATATTTTCTTCTAGCCTGTTAATGTTGTCTTTTGATGAGTTTCTATTTTATCAATTTTTTCTTTTATGGTTAATTCCTTATGACTCTCGTCTAATGAATCATTGGCTATGCCAAGATGGTAAGATATTTTCTGTTTTCTTCTAGAAATTTTGTAGTTATAGTGCTGACATTTTTATCCATGGTTTGCCTCTAACTTTTTGTGTACAGCATGAGGTAGAAATCAAAGGACATGTCTTTCATAGATAACCTGTGATCCTATTAACTTTTTTTTTTTTTTTGAGACAGAGTGTCACTCTGTCACCCAGGCTGGAGTGCAGTGGCGCAATCTTGGCTCACCGCAACCTCCACCTCCCGGGTTCAGGCGATTCTCCTGCCCCAGCCTCCTGAGTAGCTGAGATTACAGGTGCTGCCCCACCACACCCGGCTAATTTTTGTATTTTTAGTAGAGACACTGTTTCTCCGTGTTGGCCAGGCTGATCTTGAACTCCTGACCTCAAGTGATCTGCCCACCTTGGCCTCCCAAAGTGCTGGGATTACAGGCATGAGCCACTGCACCTATTAACATTTATTGAAAAAATTTTCTTTGCTTATTGCATTGTTTATCTCTAAGTCTGTCATAGTTTTATATATCATAAATAGAGTTTTTTCAAACTTATTTGTTGTGTGTATGTATGGGGTGGAGGGGTGTGTAGAAATTGAAGGTTGTACGTTGACTTCGTATTCTGTAATGCTAAATTGACTCACTGACAAGTAGTTTTTTTGTGGATTCCTTAAGATTGTTTACATGCATAATTATGTCATCTGCAAAAAAAGACAGTTATACATTTTATCTCCTCTTGTTGATTTATTTCATGGCTAAGGACCCAATACAGTATTGAATAGAAACGACAAGAGTAGTCCTTGAATTGTTTCTGATCACAGTTGGGAAAGCATTTACTTTCTCTCTATTACACATGAAGTGCTGTTTTCGTCAATGCCCCTGATCAGTGGTCAGAGATACTCCTTTATTTTCGTAGTTTGCTGAGGGTTTTCATCATAAATGATGTTGAATTTTGTCAAATAATTTCTTATGAGAAGATCATGATTTTTATTTTGTTAATGTGTTGAAAACTATTGACTTTTGAATATCAGAACAGCCTTGTATTTCTGACATACACTCTACTTGGTCTTCATATGTAACATTTAAAATTTTTAAATTCAATTTGCTGACATTTTATTGATGATTTTCACATCTATATTTAAAAAAGATATTAGACTGTAGAGTTATTGTAATGTCTTTGGTTTTGGCCATAAAATGAGTTGGAAAGTGTTCCTACCTCCTCTTCTTAGTTCTTGGTTTGTGTAAAATTGAAATTATTTCTTCCTTAAATGCTTGGTGAAATTCACCAGTGAAGCCATCTGGATCTGAAGCTTTCTCTGTGAAAAGATTTTTAGTAATGAATTCCATTTATTTGATAGATATAGGACTGATCCAGTTTTTCACTGCAGTTTTTTTTTCAGTTATATAATTTATTTTTTTAAATTGTTTTTTCCCTTAATTATATAAGTTCTATTGGTGTTTTTTTGCAGTCTCTATTTCTTAATTCAGGCTTTCTGTTTCTTTCTTCATTGCATGCATGTTTTCGTTTAAATCCTTGAATAAATTTACAGTAACTATTCTAAAGTCCATTTCTACTAATTTCATTTTCAGTTGTTTTCTTTCTTTCTATGAGGGGATTACATTTTCTTGCTTCCTTGCATGTCTAGGAATTTTTTATTGTGTGCTGTACATTTGTATGTATTACATTGCTGACTACCTGGATTTTGTTATTTTTCTTAATAGAGTGTTGAATTTTGTTTCATTAGGCAGTTGACTTACATGCCAATCAGCTTGATTTTGTTAGGGTGTGTTTTGTAGCTAAATTGTCTCTACTCCTAAGGTGTGGCCTTTCTACTAAATATCACAGAGTGTTTAGCTTGTTCTCTCCTCTCTGGCTAGGCAGAACTCAAACATTTCCTTGCTCTGTGCAAGCTCTGTTATTTCTTCAACATGCAATTGCAGGGTAAATTTTTTTTCCCCAGGTATGGTAGGCTGGAAAATGGTCTCCCAGATAATATCTAGGTTTTCATCTCTGAAACCTGTGAGTGTTACCTTATGTGGCAAAATTTACCTTGCTGGTATATGAGTAAATTACAGATCTTTAGATGAGAGATTATCCTGGATTATCTGGGTGGGCCCTAAATGTAATCACTTTTCCTTATAAGGAGGAGAGGTGAGGAAGATTTGACACACAGAAGGCCTTGTAACCGTGGAAGCTTCTGGAGGGATCCCAGGCCTACTAACATCTGGATTTTGTACAGAACTGTAGGAGCATAAATTCTGTTGCTCTAAGCCACCAATTTTGTCAGCTTAAATTTGTTACAGCAGCCACAGGAAGCTAATGCAGCAGGTGTTCTCCCAGAAATCATCTCTCCAGCAGTTACTTTTTCCCTAAGTCTAAAGACTCATCCTGCACATGTGCAGCTTCATGGTCAGCCAAAGATTCAAGGGAACCCAGTATGCAGGTCCTGAATTCCATAGTGTAGCTCCCTTTCAGTGGTATCCTCACCCAGATATTCCAGCCACCACCATAACCCCAAACTTCAGTTTGTGCCTTTATTTTTTTCAACTAAAGCCCCAATGAAACAGTTTGTCTCTTAAGCTCAGCAAGACAGGGTTTTGTGTGAGTCCCCCACTCCCTGCTCCACAATCTGGAAATTGCCTCCAGGCAGAAAGCTCCGCATTCATGGGGTCTACTTCATTTGATTTTCTTCTCTCAGGCATCACAGTCATATGCTTGGATTTGTTCATTATCTGAAAATGGTCATTTTATATTTTGTCCTGTTTTATATAATTATGGTGCAGGAAAGCTAGTTCCATACCAATTACTCCCCTACAGCTAGGGATGGAATAACCTGCTTTATTTTCATCCATTGTGTGATATAAATGTTTCATGTTTCATTCATTATTTGGCCCCTCTTTCTATAGACTGTAACCTCCAGGAGAGCAGAGGCTCCTTTTTTTTCTTTTTTTTTGGAGGTGAGTGTTTGACACTGTCACCCAGGCTGGAGTGCAGTGGCACAATCTTGACTCATTGCAACTTCCACTTCTGGGATGCGAGCAGTTCTCCTGCCTCAGCCACCTGAGTAACTGGGACTACAGGCATCCGCCACTGTGCCCAGCTGAGGCTCTTTTACTGGTGGCTGTTTCCGCAGTTTGATTTAATACACACAGTTTGGTTTAATAAGTGTTTGTTGCATAAGGGAATCTTTATGAGAATCAGAGCCTACTCCGGCAAACAAGCCTTAAAAGCCACATGTTTGCTTTCCTGCCATGCTTTAGGGTTTATGGCCAGGCTGGAGATAGATATGTCACCTTGGATTTACGGTCATGTGGTGGTGACTCAGCAGAGAAATTCTGCTGCAGACAGAAACATCCTGGTCCAGGGAACGCAACCTGCCCCAATGCCATCAGTGGTGTCGTGCTCAGCCCCGTCAGCAGCAACAGTGGTTTTCCTAGGGTCATTCTCTAGCATGATTTTGGTTCTGGTGCAACCACCTAGCGACCGTTATTTCTGCCCGTCTTCCAATTCTGCCCCTTCAGCCTTCCCGGTGATTCTGAGATGCCCAGTACAGCTGGCTCTTTGTGTCACAGATTTTGATATCTACAAGGGGTCCTGGAACCAGTCCCCCTTGGAAATGAAGAGCCTACAGTGTTCTTACAGTAAATTCCTTCTCTGCTGAAGTCATCCAGGGTCAGCCTTTGGTGTTTATAGCTAAGAGCTCTGACTGATAACACTGTTAAAGCTGCTCAAGCCTCTGATTTCCCACTACTTCTCCTGGATTTGTAATAAGAATTTGGTGGGGGCCAAAATCTCAGAAGTCACCACTAAAGAACTTATCCATGTAACCAAAAAACCACCTGTTCCCCAAAAACTATTGAAATTTTTTGAAAAAAATCTGTGTATAAGTGCACCACACAGCTCAGACCTGTGTTCAAGAATCAACGTAAATGCAAGTACAAAAAAGACTGGAAGGAAATATTCAAATATACTAACAGTCCTTTTTATCCTCTTGGTAAGGAGCTTACAGGCAGTTTATAAACTCATACTTTATTCTGCTTTCCAAATTACGTTCCTTAAAATGTGCTGCTTTGATAATTAGAGAATGGAATTTTTGAAATCCCTGAGAACGAAAGACAAAATATGCCAGAAACTTTATTAAAATGATTTGGAGTAGTGTGTCACTGTATACTGTATGTGTATTTTTACATACATATTATTTCCTTTCTGAAAAAGAATTGGAAAAAAATATGGTGAGGGGATGTAAACACAAAAGAAACTTTGCTTCAACTTTGGCAAATTCAAGTTTATTGTCAATACTTTAGATCTTTATATTATGTAGATATTTATGCAAATTAAATGTGGTGTTTAAGAGAGGCTGTGCCTCTAGCTTGCTGCTCTTGTCTCCTAATGCCTTTGCTGACCAAATTAATCAGATTTTATTTTTAACCCTAAGTTAGAAATCTTACTGTATTTTTACTTCATTCTACTGAGAACCATAGGTTGATTATTTTTTTTATTCAAAGTGTTGGCTTTTGTTTGCTGTGCTTTATATATGGAGAAATGCTATTTTTATTTTCCCATTTAGGAGTTTCATAATAGAAGAGCAGAGTTTCTTACTATGTGAAGATCTTCTCTATGGAAGAATGTCATTCAGAGGATTTAATCCTGAGGTTGAGGTATTAAATATAATTGCTTCAAATTAAAAATTTTTCCAATTGAATTTTTTTCTGCTAATAATTGGGCTTAGGTGTTTCTCCACCAGGTACCATTTCTACTCATTATATAGAAAATAACAAGTCTTGAAATATCGCCATAGCTATTTAAAGAAATTGGAGGCATTGCAGTCTAGTTTTATGGTAGAGGTGAGTAGATAATTTCATATAGCAGTATACAGCCCTTGACAGAGCCACCATAAATATTAAAATTTCAAGTTGTGTCTTTTACAGGAACGTCAAGATTTTATTCATATCATGCTATTATGAAAAGTTATTTTCTGGCACCTATACATGTATTTTTTCTAACGGAAAAATGTTACTTTAGAATTATGTCATTTGACTTTTTAATGGACTGTTGTAATCCAAGCTTGTAAGTAGATTTTTAAATGAATCCTTTCGACAGTTTGTTTGAAAAATGAATATTTGCCTTATAACTGAGCTATTCATTTGAATTTTCCTGCTCCAGGATAGAGAAGCAGACCTTTATTTAACAAATATTCATTAGAACTCTGGCTCATATGTTAAAAGCCATCCTATCAAGTACTTGATGAACCAAATGGACACATGAGATATAAATCTTTAGTTTGGTAAATATTACTTGAAGCCAGTGTTTCTTGCCCTTGGCAGTGTTAACATTTGGGGCCAGATAATTCTTTGTGGTGGTGGCTTTCCTAAGAGAATGACGAACCACATCCCTGTCCTCTGTTCTCTACCAACTAAATATCAGTAGCACACACACACCCCACCCTCCTACCCAGCTGTGACAACCAAAAATGTTTCCAGACATTTTCACAGGTTCCCTGGTGGGGAAAATCATCCCCAGTTAAGAACCACTTCTCTAGGAGCCACAGTTAACTAAGCCAATTGCCAGAGTTTATTGAAAGATTCTAGGTTAGTTTTCCTTTTCTTTTTTGGCGGAGTGGGAGGAGGCATGTGTGATAATTAAGGTGTTATGTTAGAAGTGTTTGTTTTTAATATATGCTGGTCTCGCTTTGACTTTCTTTAATTAAGCTTCAGATTGAGAAGGAGAGGGGCTGGGCAGTGGGGTGAAGAGGGAAGAAAAAGGCAGGGATTATGAAGATGTGGTATTCAAAGAGTAGGGTTTGGATAGGCGAGCATTCCAAAGTATGTCTGCTGCAATGGGAAAGGAGAGGTGCCACTGCCCGCAGAAATTGATGGGGGGCAGGGACGGGTGTTAGAAAATGGCCCTAATTACTGGATTCTGAAACACTGAATACACTCCCCCTAGGAAAAGGTTTTAAACTATTATCACTCTTTTAAGCCTTAGAAAAACTAGTTAAGACTGATTTCTCATCTTTTATTCCTTCTCCTCTTGCTAAAAAGAAGAGATTACACATTTAAAAAAAAAAAGGTCAGAGGATAATTATCACAAAAAGGTTTATGTGAAAGAGTTGGAGGAGAGACCCTGTGGTGCATGGATGTTACATGGGATGCATTATCCACTCTAAAGTTTAGGAGGGTAAGGCTGAGGTGCAGATTCCCTCCATTAAACAGGGCCAGCCTTCCACTTCTCCCACCTCCTCCACTCACCACCACCACCACCAAGAGATGCATTTAAAATTATTACTGACGACTAGTGTTTCTTCCATATGGCTTAAAGATGGGTGGGGGAAGTTCAGGGAAAATCTGAAAGTTTATTATTTCTTCCCCCACTCACCGGAATGTGTCAGCAGTATGCCTGCTTTAAATATGAGTAACTAATACTAAGATTTATGATCTTAAATACACTTTAAATTCACCCTAAGTATAATTCAGTGGGGCTTTGCCTTACTATTTTTTTGACTCAGAGCTTACTTCTCTTACACCATTGTGGTATCAAGTATTACAGAGAGTCCCTTATCAATTTTGACTAGTTCTCTAGATTATTTGACTTCAGTTTCTCTGCCTTCAGGTAAGTTTGACATCAGTTCCTTTCACAAGCGTTTTCTAGCCTGAAGGTCAGCACTGGTGTATTTTTCAGAAATTGATGCTTCAGATGAATGCTAAGCACAAAGCAGAAGAAGTTGAAGATGAAACAGTAGAGCTTGATGTGTCAGATGAAGAGATGGCTAGAAGGTAACCGTGCTGCGCAGCAGCCTTCTAATCTGGACCTAGCATTCATTGGCTCTCCCAGGAATGCTCCTCTTACCCCACAGTGCACGGCAGCTTTCAAGGGAGTCCCCCAGTAGGACGATGACTGTGATCGGCCTTCTCTTAATGGCCTACGGGGGCCACAGACCTGTCTCAGGCTGCCAGTTGAGGGCCCATTTCCAGAGCTGCTGGAAATGTGTATTTTAAAATGTACATCTCTATTTATTTAGGGTAATGCAAACACCAAAATGGCAAGGAATTTAATCACTCTTAGAGAAGTTCATAAATTGTTAAATCAGATGGTTTCTTTTAATGATAGTTTTCTTTTTCGTAATCTTTTTTATTGCATATTTGGTCTGATATTCTTGACAAGGCTTGATCCCTACCTTTTTATTTGAAATTAAACGTGTGCTGCCTGTCCTCTTGACAGATATGAGACCTTGGTGGGGACAATTGGGAAAAAGTTTGCCAGAAAGAGAGACCATGCCAATTATGAAGAAGATGAAAATGGAGACATAACACCAATTAAAGCAAAGAAGATGTTCTTAAAGCCCCAGGATTAAGATGGATGCCTTAAGCGATGGCCCAGGGGTGCTTGGTGGAAGTCAGCAGGGCATCTGGAGCTCATCCCAATGGTGTCTCTATAGTTATTAATACTGTAACGTTTACTTGTAAAGAGATTATCATTTTAGAAACATGCTGTTTTTGAAACAGATGTGTGATGGATGTTGTACATCCTTTGCTTCTTGGTATTCATTCAGAGTGGATTTTTAGCCCCTGATCTACAAATGTACATTGTTACAGGGCTGCTTCCTAAAGATTTTTTTTACCTCAGGTTTCTCTTAATATAGTTCTCCAGTCACTGACCTTGAATTGACTTACATAAACTACTGCCAATGTTTAAATTGCCCTTATGTTTATATTTATTATGTCAAGCCAATTCGTACATACAATTTGGAATCAAATGTCATAAGAATTTATTATATAAATTTATCAAGAATAAAAATGCCTCTCCAGCCTTAAGTATTTACATGCTCCCAGGTCATTGTCAGTTTATGGTATTATGTTGTTTTATTTAAAGCATTGAATTGATAGAAAAATTTGCTCTGTAATAAAAATCTACTTTCACATACTTTTTATATTTTCTTGTACTTTCAAATAACAATTTTAGTCTAATTCAGTAATATAACTTTTTTCCAAATAATAACTTTAAAAAACAGCCATTGATCAGAATATAGTGATGTATTAGGTTGAACCATAAGAAATTGCCTTTTACAGGTCAAAAATAACCTTTAGTTTCTTACGGTATAACCCAACAGAATTTACCACTGACCAATGGTACCATCTCCTAGTCTGAACTCTATTCTAAATGCTAAGTACAGAAAGAAGCACATAGAATTAAGTGTGTGTATGTGTGTCTGTCTTTCTGTCTGCAGATAAGTACCTAGGACTTCTGAGAACTACTGATTTAATTTCGCTCCCAGGAAGTGAATGAGGTACATGTCTCCTCTCTCCTCAAATCTCTGTAAGGAAGGTTTTATTGCTCTGTGACCTCAGTTCTCTGGTGAGTTATGAGAAAAGATAGGACTTTGAAGTTAATCTGGCCTTTTTTTTTTTTTTCACTGTGAGTATGAGAATGATGCACCTCCCAACTCTGGGAAGTAACGAGTTCTTCCCAGTGCCTTACCAGCACCACAATCCACGGACTTACTACCGGACTTACTACGTGTCTTATGTACCTGTCTGCACAGTCGACTTCTGATTGACAAACTCATTTCACCATAAAAGAAGTGGGGTAATGGGGGCTTATGCCTCTTGAGTGCACTGGTCTTAGCATATCCCCCATCACCCAGGAATAGCGGGCATAATAGGACGATGGAATGGTCTGCTGAAGACACATTTATGGCCCTAGGTGGAATACAACTCCATCTGACAAATGTAACGTGTGCTTTGATTGAGTGACCACTCCATGGGACTGTTCTTGGTCAGAATGCACGGTCTGGAATCAAGCAGAGGTAGATGGAGTGGTCCCACTCATGGGTGATTTGTTTCCTGCTTCTCTTGAGTTCCCAAGGGAGGAGTGCTCCCGCTAGGGGACACAACAATGGCTCCATTGAGACAGGAATTGAGACTATCCAGTCATTTCAGCACTGAACCAACGGGCTGGAGGTTACTGTTTTGGCTGGTGCAAGTGATCCTGGCAACAAAGGGGCATTTATGTCGTTCCTACACAGTGGATGGTGAGAAAGGCATCTGGAACCCAAGGATTCTCTAGGGCATTTTTAGCACTTCCCATGTATGCCACTAACTTCTAAGGGACAGCTATAACAGTCTCAAAGAGGGGAATGATTGAGGTCCTTTAGGGAATGATGTTTTGGTACACCCCACCCCGTATAAATCCTGAGAAGCTGAGCTACTGGCTGAGGGAAGAGGAACCATGGGATGTGTAAGGAAAGAAGGAAATTTATTATTTCAGCCTTATGACTAGCCAGTTACAGAAACAAGTTACTGCAACTGTTACATGGAGGGTTGGCACTCCATATCAGTGAGTTCCAGATATCGACTTGACTAACCACAGAAAGTACTCAAAAAATAAAAATACAATAAAAAATAATATAAAGTACAATACAGTATGACAACTACATAGCATTGACATTGTATTAGGCATCATAAATCATCTAGAGGTAGTCTAAGGGATACAGGAGGATGCACGTAAGTTATATGCAAACATGCTGTCTAAGGTAAGGGGTTTGAGCATCTGTGGATTTTGGTATCTGCAGGAGGTCCTGGAACCAGTCCTTGGATACCCAGGGATGACTGTTTTCTTCTGCGTGTGTGTGTGTGTGTGTGTGTGTGTGTATGTGTGTGTACTAATTTCTTCTCTTACCTCCTTATTTTGTTTTCTTAGGGCGTTAATTTCGCTATTTAGTCGTAGGGTAAGAATATTAGGTGGGTTTGTGATTAATTTTAGGTGTAATTAACTGATAGAATGTCTGCTGGGACTTTGTGTCTCCTCATTTTGGAGAAAGGCTGAGGGTATCTTGTACAAAGGATGTTTGCAGTGTATTCGGTAGAAACAGTTGTTTTCCTTGTTGCAGGAAGTTTAGGTTAGAAGTCTGTGGATGCTAAATGGCCGAAAGGGCAGGTTGTGGCAGATTCAAAGCTGTTGCTTCACAGAATCAAACTCACCCTCTGTATTCAGCTTTTAGTGCCGGGCTGGGACTGAGCAAACCCCATGTCTCCTATGCAGCTGACTTAATTAGGATCAGCCAGTGGAGGCCCAGCTGGAGATGGCGAGGCTAGAGGAAGAAGACAGGATGTGTCCCTTCTCTCTGCTTCCTCTTCTTTTCCTATTTCTTTGTCACCCTCAAAACACCTGCACCCCAGCAGAGGCTGGTATTCCAGGAAGAGTTGTTAATATGAGTTTAGTCTTCCCAACACTTGCTGCAACAGCCTCATAGCAACTCCTCAGAGACATCACCAGCACCAACCACCCTGTATTCATTCCGACATCTGTCCAGCGCCTTGGCCACAGGGTTCCCCCACCCAACCCAGAGACACTGATATTAGCAGAATAACAACTTAATGTCAGAGGTCTGAGTTTTGGCTCTTTGGGGCCCCTCCCAAGTTTCAAAAATTGAACAATTTCCCTCTCTTCCCTAGGAGTCGCAGCTTCCTGCATGATACCTCAGTGTTTTCCTTTTGCCTCGTTTAGTTCTTTAATACCCAATTAACAATTCTTAATATTTAATTTCCTCTGTTAAAATAAGGGTGGCTTTTAATCTCCTGACTAGATTTTAACTGTTACCGACATCCTAAAGCAATAATATCTGAAATCATGGGTTTGCTAAGCTTAAAATGCTAATTTTTCTAATCTGCATTCAAGCGTATAATGATTAAAGTTGAAATGTTTATCTATCTACAACTTCCTGGAAGTTATCTCATGAATCCAGGAATTAGTATGCACTTTTTAAAAAACACTGCCTCTGTATTTTTTTTTTTTTTAAGTTTGAGTCAACTTTATTTTTTTTAATTTTTTTATTTTTTTATTATACTTTAAGTTTTAGGGTACATGTGCACATTGTGCAGGTTAGTTACATATGTATACATATGCCATGCTAGTGCGCTGCACCCACTAAATCGTCATCTAGCATTAGGTATATCTCCCAATGCTATCCCTCCCCCCTCCCCCCACCCCACCACAGTCCCCAGAGTGTGATGTTCCCCTTCCTGTGTCCATGTGATCTCATTGTTCAATTCCCACCTATGAGTGAGAATATGTGGTGTTTGGTTTTTTGTTCTTGCAATAGTTTACTGAGAATGATGATTTCCAATTTCATCCATGTCCCTACAAAGGACATGAACTCATCATTTTTTATGGCTGCATAGTATTCCATGGTGTATATGTGCCACATTTTCTTAATCCAATCTATCATTGTTGGACATTTGGGTTGGTTCCAAGTCTTTGCTATTGTGAATAATGCCGCAATAAACATACGTGTGCATGTGTCTTTATAGCAACATGATTTATAGTCCTTTGGGTATATACCCAGTAATGGGATGGCTGGGTCAAATGGTATTTCTAGTTCTAGATCCCTGAGGAATCGCCACACTGACTTCCACAATGGTTGAACTAGTTTACAGTCCCACCAACAGTGTAAAAGTGTTCCTATTTCTCCACATCCTCTCCAGCACCTGTTGTTTCCTGACTTTTTAATGATTGCCATTCTAACTGGTGTGAGATGGTATCTCATTGTGGTTTTGATTTGCATTTCTCTGATGGCCACTGATGACGAGCATTTTTTCATGTGTTTTTTGGCTGCATAAATGTCTTCTTTTGAGAAGTGTCTGTTCATGTCCTTCACCCACTTTTTGATGGGGTTGTTTGTTTTTTTCTTGTAAATTTGTTTGAGTTCATTGTAGATTCTGGATATTAGCCCTTTGTCAGATGAGTAGGTTGTGAAAATTTTCTCCCATTCTGTAGGTTGCCTATTCACTCTGATGGTAGTTTCTTTTGCTGTGCAGAAGCTCTTTAGTTTAATTAGATCCCATTTGTCAATTTTGGCTTTTGTTGCCATTGCTTTTGGTGTTTTGGACATGAAGTCCTTGCCCATGCCTATGTCCTGAATGGTAATGCCTAGGTTTTCTTCTAGGGTTTTTATGGTTTTAGGTCTAACGTTTAAATCTTTAATCCATCTTGAATTGATTTTTGTATAAGGTGTAAGGAAGGGATCCAGTTTCAGCTTTCTACATATGGCTAGCCAGTTTTCCCAGCACCATTTATTAAATAGGGAATCCTTTCCCCATTGCTTGTTTTTCTCAGGTTTCTCCAAGATCAGATAGTTGTAGATATGCGGCGTTATTTTCGAGGGCTCTGTTCTGTTCCATTGACCTATATCTCTGTTTTGGTACCAGTACCATGCTGTTTTGGTTACTGTAGCCTTGTAGTATAGTTTGAAGTCAGGTAGCGTGATGCCTCCAGCTTTGTTCTTTTGGCTTAGGATTGCCTTGGTGATGCAGGCTCTTTTTTGGTTCCATATGAACTTGAAAGTAGTTTTTTCCAATTCTGTGAAGAAAGTCATTGGTAGCTTGATGGGGATGGCATTGAATCTGTAAATTACCTTGGGCAGTATGGCCATTTTCACGATATTGATTCTTCCTACCCATGAGCATGGAATGTTCTTCCATTTGTATCCTCTTTTATTTCCTTGAGCAGTGGTTTGTAGTTTTCCTTGAAGAGGTCCTTCGCATCCCTTGTAAGTTGGATTCCTAGGTATTTTATTGTCTTTGAAGCAATTGTGAATGGGAGTTCACTCACGATTTGGCTCTCTGTTTGTCTGTTGTTGGTGTATAAGAATGCTTGTGATTTTTCTACATTGATTTTGTATCTTGAGACTTTGCTGAAGTTGCTTATGAGCTTAAGGAGATTTTGGGCTGAGACAATGGGGTTTTCTAGATATACAATCATGTCATCTGCAAACAGGGACAATTTGACTTCCTCTTTTCCTAATTGAATACCCTTTATTTCCTTCTCCTGCCTAATTGCCCTGGCCAGAACCTCCAACACTATGTTGAATAGGAGTGCTGAGAGAGGGCATCCCTGTCTTGTGCCCGTTTTCAAAGGGAATGCTTCCAGTTTTTGCCCATTCAGTATGATATTGGCTGTGGGTTTGTCATAGCTCTCATTATTTTGAAATACGTCCCATCAATACTTAATTTACTGAGAATTTTTAGCATGAAGGGTTGTTGAATTTTGTCAAAGGCTTTTTCTGCATCTATTGAGATAATCATGTGGTTTTTGTCTTTGGCTCTGTTTATATGCTGGATTACATTTATTGATTTGCGTATATTGAACCAGCCTTGCATCCCAGGGATGAAGCCCACTTGATCATGGTGAATAAGCTTTTTGATGTGCTGCTGGATTCGTTTTGCCAGTATTTTATTGAGGATTTTTGCATCAATGTTCATCAAGGATATTGGTCTAAAATTCTCTTTTTTGGTTGTGTCTCTGCCCGGCTTTGGTATCAGGATGATGCTGGCCTCATAAAATGAGTTAGGGAGGATTCCCTCTTTTTCTATTGATTGGAATAGTTTCAGAAGGAATGGTACCAGTTCCTCCTTGTACCTCTGGTAGAATTCGGCTGTGAATCCGTCTGGTCCTGGACTCTTTTTGGTTGGTAAGCTATTGATTATTGCCACAATTTCAGATCCTGTTATTGGTCTATTCAGAGATTCAACTTCTTCCTGGTTTAGTCTTGGGAGAGTGTATGTGTCGAGGAATTTATCCATTTCTTCTAGATTTTCTAGTTTATTTGCGTAGAGGTGTTTGTAGCATTCTCTGATGGTAGTTTGTATTTCTGTGGGATCGGTGGTGATATCCCCTTTATCATTTTTTATTGTGTCTATTTGATTCTTCTATCTTTTTTTCTTTATTAGTCTTGCTAGTGGTCTATCAATTTTGTTGATCCTTTCAAAAAACCAGCTCCTGGATTCATTAATTTTTTGAAGGGTTTTTTGTGTCTCTATTTCCTTCAGTTCTGCTCTGATTTTAGTTATTTCTTGCCTTCTGCTAGCTTTTGAATGTGTTTGCTCTTGCTTTTCTAGTTCTTTTAATTGTGATGTTAGGGTGTCAATTTTGGATCTTTCCTGCTTTCTCTTGTGGGCATTTAGTGCTATAAATTTCCCTCTACACACTGCTTTGAATGCGTCCCAGAGATTCTGGTATGTTGTGTCTTTGTTCTCATTGGTTTCAAAGAACATCTTTATTTCTGCCTTCATTTTGTTAGGTATCCAGTAGTCATTCAGAAGCAGGATGTTCAGTTTCCATGTAGTTGAGCGGTTTTGAGTGAGATTCTTAATCCTGAGTTCTAGTTTGATTGCACTGTGGTCTGAGAGATAGTTTGTTATAATCTCTGTTCTTTTACATTTGCTGAGGAGAGCTTTACTTCCAAGTATGTGGTCAATTTTGGAATAGGTGTGGTGTGGTGCTGAAAAAAATGTATATTCTGTTGATTTGGGGTGGAGAGTTCTGTAGATGTCTATTAGGTCTGCTTGGTGCAGAGCTGAGTTCAATTCCTGGGTATCCTTGTTGACTTTCTGTCTCGTTGATCTGTCTAATGTTGACAGTGGGGTGTTAAAGTCTCCCATTATTAATGTGTGGGAGTCTAAGTCTCTTTGTAGGTCACTCAGGACTTGCTTTATGAATCTGGGTGCTCCTGTATTGGGTGCATATATATTTAGGATAATTAGCTCTTCTTGTTGAATTGATCCCTTTACCATTATGTAATGGCCTTCTTTGTCTCTTTTGATCTTTGTTGGTTTAAAGTCTGTTTTATCAGAGACTAGGATGGCAACCCCTGCCTTTTTTTGTTTTCCATTTGCTTGGTAGATCTTCCTCCATCCTTTTATTTTGAGCCTATGTGTGTCTCTGCACTTGAGATGGGTTTCCTGAATACAGCACACTGATGGGTCTTGACTCTTTATCCAATTTGCCAGTCTGTGTCTTTTAATTGGAGCATTTAGTCCATTTACATTTAAAGTTAATATTGTTATGTGTGAATTTGATCCTGTCATTATGATGTTAGCTGGTGATTTTGCTCGTTAGTTGATGCAGTTTCTTCCTAGTCTCGATGGTCTTTACATTTTGGCTTGATTTTGCAGCGGTTGTTCCTTTCCATGTTTAGCGCTTCCTTCAGGAGCTCTTGTAGGGCAGGCCTGGTGGTGACAAAATCTCTCAGCATTTGCTTGTCTGTAAAGTATTTTATTTCTCCCTCATTTATGAAGCTTAGTTTGGCTGGATATGAAATTCTGGGTTGAAAATTCTTTTCTTTAAGAATGCTGAATATTGGCCCCCACTCTCTTCTGGCTTGTAGGGTTTCTCCCGAGAGATCCGCTGTTAGTTTGATGGGATTCCCTTTGAGGGTAATCCGACCTTTCTCTCTGGCTGCCCTTAACATTTTTTTCCTTCATTTCAACTTTGGTGAATCTGACAATTATGTGTCTTGGAGTTGCTCTTCTCGAGGAGTATCTTTGTGGCGTTCTCTGTATTTCCTGAAACTGAACGTTGGCCTGCCTTGCTAGATTGGGGAAGTTCTCCTGGATAATATCCTGCAGAGTGTTTTCCAACTTGGTTCCATTCTCCCCATCACTTTCAGGTACACCAATCAGATGTAGATTTGGTCTTTTCACATAGTCCCATATTTCTTGGAGGCTTTGCTCATTTCTTTTTATTCTTTTTTCTCTAAACTTCCCTTCTCGCTTCATTTCATTCATTTCATCTTCCATCACTGATACCCTTTCTTCCAGTTGATCGCATCAGCTCCTGAGGCTTCTGCATTCGTCACGTAGTTCTCGAGCCTTGGTTTTCAGCTCCATCAGCTCCTTTAAGCACTTCTCTGTATTGGTTATTCTAGTTATACATTCTTCTAAATTTTTTTCAAAGTTTTCAACCTCTTTGCCTTTGGTTTGAATGTCCTCCCGTAGCTCAGAGTAATTTGATCGTCTGAAGCCTTCTTCTCTCAGCTCGTCAAAGTCATTCTCCATCCAGCTTTGTTCCGTTGCTGGTGAGGAACTGCGTTCCTTTGGAGGAGGAGAGGCGCTCTGCGTTTTAGAGTTTCCAGTTTTTCTGTTCTGTTTTTTCCCCATCTTTGTGGTTTTATCTACTTTTGGTCTTTGATGATGGTGATGTACAGATGGGTTTTTGGTGTGGATGTCCTTTCTGTTTGTTAGTTTTCCTTCTAACAGACAGGACCCTCAGCTGCAGGTCTGTTGGAATACCCTGCCGTGTGAGGTGTCAGTGTGCCCCTGCTGGGGGGTGCCTCCCAGTTAGGCTGCTCGGGGGTCAGGGGTCAGGGACCCACTTGAGGAGGCAGTCTGCCCGTTCTCAGATCTCCAGCTGCGTGCTGGGAGAACCACTGCTCTCTTCAAAGCTGTCAGACAGGGACATTTAAGTCTGCAGAGGTTACTGCTGTCTTTTTGTTTGTCTGTGCCCTGCCCCCAGAGGTGGAGCCTACAGAGGCAGGCAGGCCTCCTTGAGCTGTGGTGGGCTCCACCCAGTTCGAGCTTCCGGGCTGCTTTGTTTACCTAAGCAAGCCTGGGCAATGGCGGGCGCCCCTCCCCCAGCCTCGCTGCCGCCTTGCAGTTTGATCTCAGACTGCTGTGCTAGCAATCAGCGAGACTCCGTGGGCGTAGGACCCTCCGAGCCAGGTGTGTGATATAATCTCGTGGTGCGCCGTTTTTTAAGCCGGTCCGAAAAGGTTAATATTCGGGTGGGAGTGACCCGATTTTCCAGGTGCGTCCGTCACCCCTTTCTTTGACTCAGAAAGGGAACTCCCTGACCCCTTGCGCTTCCCAAGTGAGGCAATGCCTCGCCCTGCTTCGGCTCGCGCACCGTGCGCGCACCCATTGACCTGCGCCCACTGCCTGGCACTCCCTAGTGACATGAACCTGGTACCTCAGATGGAAATGCAGAAATCACCCGTCTTCTGCTTTGCTCACGCTGGGAGCTGTAGACCGGAGCTGTTCCTATTCGGCCATCTTCGTTTGAGTCCGCCTCTGTATTTTAATGCCCTTTGACTTGGTTGCCAAGTCATCCCGTTCATCCCTTTAGTTGCCAAGTTACTGTCCTCTAGGGGAGGGCCCCTATCTTATTTCATTTGCTCCTGTGTCTAGCAAGAAATATGGCCTATATTGAAGCTTTTAGTAAATATTTCTTCAGTAAGTGAGTGAATGGCAGTTAGAATGATTTAGAAACCAACTGGCTCACAAAGTCTATTTAAACTATAGTACTGAACAAAGACCAAAGGAGAAAAGCAAAGGCTATCGATTCTGAGCTTGCTATAGCAAAGGAGTCGGCCACCATCACTAGCGTTTGCGCAGAGACTCAAAGGCAGGCAGAGGAATGCAAAAGCTTTAAGACCCACGGAAGAGAAGGCTCAGGTGTGCTGATTGGACTGTTGGCGTGAAGAAGCTGGAGGTAAGCTAACTACGTGCAGGGCACCCTGTGTGATAGGTAAGAGGTACATGTTTGACTTTCTTTAGTTGGTCCTAAGTTGAAAGCAAGGGCAAAATTAGGGAAGCTTCAGTTATTAAGTCCTGGCCATCTGGGGCCGATCGTTACAGAAATTATTTACCTTCCAAGATAGCAATCTGGCTTCCTGCAAGTGTGGTTTATATAGCAGGCTGGATTCCTGGGTTGCTTACTGTAAATAGGGGTTGGTTTCTTGGGCAGGTTGCTGCAGGTGACGGGTCAACATTCTGTTTTTATATATGGTCTGGTCATTGTATATTCAGTTTCTCAGTCCTCAGCTTTATTTCTAATCATAACATGCAATGTTTGATCGTGTCTGTATGGAAATGTGCACCCAACTTAATAGGAAAACGCCACCAGTGGGATCAGGAATGTTTGTGGCTCTAGCCGTCAGCAGAGGTGCCTATTCTGGAGGCAAGTACTTCAGCAGTTAGCACCACAAAGACAAAGCCCACAGATCAAGGGAACTTTCACTATCCCAGATCCTGAGGGAAAAAACTGAACACCACACGGATATAAAATTCAGTTTAACAGATAACCATTGTTTCACGCCGACATACAACCATCCAATCACTGACATTCCCATTGGTTGATGAGCTTAATCCAAGTGGGCTTTCTGGGGAAAGAGAGATGATGTAGCTTTAATGGTAGTTTCAAGAAAATCCCTAGAGACCTCTCACTTTTTAATATGTCTTTTATAAAGGTATCAGTTTTCCCCCCTTGCCTGCTGAGACACATTTTCGCAGTCTTGGCCTCAGAGAACACGCAGATGCCTTATCATCTGAGTCCAGGGTGTCTTGGCAGCCTCTTAAAGAGAGACTGGAGTCTGACCTCCCATAGAAATAGGCTTGCATAAGCAGTTTATTAAAATTATTTGATGGTTCTGTAAGTTCCTGCAGGGCTGTAAGCCCTACTACAGATGGTTTACATTTTAATTTTAATCGTTATGGAAGCCATTAACCCAGAATCTTACCTTGTTCAGCTCTGTTTGGAAAAAAAAATCATTTGCACAGAGAGGTCACTGCTTTTCAAACCAGCAGCTCAATGTTATATACCAGAGTTTCCTTCCAATATATTTTGCTTGTTTTTTTTGGATGGCTTTGTGTTTTCATTTTCCCCAGGGAAAAGATGCACTGGGTTTCAGGATACTCAGGAAGTAAGAGTCCTGGACTCTTACTTCGTGCAAAGTTGGACTCATTCATGCAAAGTTGCACTGATCTCTGTAAGATATATTTGATCTGGATGGTATCTCTTGCTAATATCTCTTTCATCAGCATTGTCTGGATGGGGAGAGCAGGGGTGACCCTACATAACTGCAAAATTGCGGCAGGAACTAACAAGACCATTGAGGTCATGAAGATGACAATCTGCCAAATATTAGCAGACTGCATGTTACTGTGACATCCCTCCCTCCTCTCCCGATCATGGCAGGTTCTCACCTCCACCACTCTTCTCTGACCTCTGCTCTGATCCCTGTCCCTGATGGATAGTTCATCATGTATAACACCTGTATCAAACAAACGCTCTCCCTGAACCGAATCCTTCCTGCTTTCACCTCAGAGCTTCATTTAACCTCACTAGGATGGCCACAAGTCAAACATAGAGAATGACGCAGGAACAGGTCTGCAGTTCAAACCCTAGAGCGCATTCTGTAGTCCATAGGAACAGAAAACGAGCTATGTTAGGAGGGTGTGGCACAAAGCCACACTTGGCTATCTGAGCTCCTATCAGGCATTCAGTCAAGAAGTTAGCAGATAATGACGGGAACAGGACATTATCTGCAGGAAAATAAAGCAAGGTGGAAGCAGCTGCTCCGATGGGAGCTCCCCAAAAGAGTAACCATTGTGACAACCGTGCAGTGGAGACCTGTCTGTAAATGCCAGGAACATTTGCGACGTCATTCACCGTAACGATAATAACAACTCAATAATAAATACTGAGTCTTGACACTGGGCCAGGCACCGAATTATGGGGGGGGGATGTAAAGTATTACCATGATTTTACCCATGAAGAAACAGAGGCACAGAGACATTTGGTACACCCAATGTCACACAGCTTTTAAGTGATAGAATCAGGATTTGAACCCAGATCAACTGATTACAAAGCCAGTGCTCTGTCTCTTATGTCATGCTGTTCCTGACCAAGCCAAGGGTCGGGCTACTTATTCTCGCAGCCCAATAACGAGATGCAGATGAACTGGGAGAGAATCAAGTTTTTATTTCTGTAACCAGTTACAGGGAGAAGGCCTTGAAATTATCCCCAGACCAACTCAAAACTACAAAGTTTTCCAGAGCTTGTATACCTTCTAAGCTATATGTCTACATGTAAGTGTGCATTTGTGCATTCATCTAAAGACATAAGTGATTAACTTCTTTTCATCTATAACTAAGGTCTGAGTCTTGAAGCTCTTCCTCTGGAACCTGAGTAAATTTACTTAACCTAAATGGGTCCAGGTGCTGGGGTCAATACCTTTGTCTTGTCTCCTGCTAAATCATGGAGGTTTGGGGAGTTTCTTTAGTACCCAATAAGGCTTGTTTGTGGAGGCCTGGGGAGTTTCTTTGGACCCCCCAATAAAACTTATTTACTCCTAAACGGGTCCCGTTAAGAATTCCTTCATTATCCTGTCATGATTTAAGGCCCAGGAAAGGCCGAGGCAAAGCTCTTGATGGGCTTTTGTGACATTCCAGCCTTTGCAGAAGGGCACTGACTCTCTCAGCTGTTAATATTTGATGGAACCACTCGGTCAGTGCTGAAACCGTTGTTATGGAAGCCTGAGTTAGTGAAACCTGGCCTGCCACAACGTGGTGAAGAAAGCAAAAGAAAATAACTGGGAAAGAGGTATAAAACCTAGCCCCATAAAACGTTTTTTTGTTCGTTTGTTTGTTTTTTCCAAACAGAATCTTTCAGAATCCTGTTGTTCTGGCAGGTATTTTTTAATATTTCCTTCTTACAAATTTCCTTTTTACAGATGATATGCATTATATTGACATTAACAATCAATCTTAGACACAAGTGATTGTTTTTATAAATAGGATCTCCTCAATATTAGTGATCCTATATTAAGAAAGATAGTACATGTGAACCAATGGTAACCAAAAAGAATTTGAAAAGCAATAATTTAGTGGGAGCTCACTTGGAATATAACTCTATGTCATCATGTATTTATTTAAGTCATATTCTATGAAATATCCTATTTGAAAGCAAGGACACCCTTTGGTTGCAACCCCAAGTTACTCATGCAGTACTTCGTAAAAAAGAGGTGTTGGCTGGGCGTGGCGCCTGTAATCCCAACACTTTGGGAGGCCAAGGCAGGCAGATCACTTGAGATCAGGAGTTTGAGATCAGACTGGCCAACATGGTGAAACCCTGTCTCTACTAAAAATACGAAAATTAGCCAGAGCAAGATTCCATCGAAAAAAAAAAAAAAAAAGTATGTGTTTAACAGATAATAGTGAATTGAATGAAAATATCATTCTATTTACCCAACCTCATATAAATGTTAAATGTTTCCAGTGAGTCTCTTCTGTAAATTCATTTAACAAATATTGGACTCCTCAGAGGTTTTGCATGTTTCACTGTTTCCCAAGGTAATCCTGTCTGACAGCATGTATTCACAAACTCAACCTCTTCAGTTGCTCAAGGCTCAAGAGTAATGGAGTAGAATGTCAGTATTTTCCCCGGAGACCAGCGTTATGAAATTCATGGTTTGGGATGTACCGCTCCCTTCTCGTTGAATCCTGGCACCAGACTCGATTCCCTTCTAACACGCAGAAGGCGCGAGGCAGTTGAGGTGGTTTCTTCCCAGAAATTAACTCTACAGTTCATTTGATCTGATAAGATCTAGCTAGGGAAATTTCCAGGCAGAATGTTAAACATGACAGATTGCTTTCTCTGGCTTCCTATGGTAAAATACAAGATAGAAAGGAATTGTTCCATTTTTTAGCAGAATTTCAAGAAACATTGAGGCCCCATGGTGGTCTTTCTATACTAGCAATCAGAAAGTTCTCAAAGGCAGAAAATTCAAAGATCAAATCCAGCATGTTGTCAGCAAAATTTGATCTAAGGATAAATATCGAGGTAAATCCTCAAATGAAGATGCAGCTGTTAAACCATTTTTTGAGATGTCAGAAAGATTTCAGAATGTGCCTCCTAGACCCTCCTTGCTATGTAAAAGAGATTTCATGAATCTTAAGGGCATTGTCATTAATTTGAGGGATAGTTTGTTATGCAGCAATACATAACTAAAACACCAACTTTTAAACGTTTGCCAATCTTATGTGTACAAGGTGTAGCATCTCAATGTTACTTCATTTGCATTTATCTGACACTAATAAGATTGAGAAGCTTTACATGAATCCCTGTGAACTCCCCCACCGCCAGAATTGAATGACAAAGTTTGGAGGGGAAAAAAGTTTCTCTGAATTAGCTAAGATAATTCAGAGAAATAACAATAAATCAACAACAGGGGATAAACTATAGTGCAGTTACTGCTGGAGAGAAATTTCAAGGGAAAAAAATAATTCCAGAATGTTAGGTTGCCCTCTGGCATTGGTGCACCTTATACAAGATAGTGGTAACGTTGTACCTGCTTTCAAGAGAACACTTGTTCAACGGATTATGGCCTCTATCTCCTTGATTCTAGGAAAATTGGTCTCTGGATTGTTTGAAAGTACAGCTCAAAATGGCCAAACGCACAAGTCTGAGGTTGCTTCTGTCACCACCAGCAAAAGTGGCAGCAGTACCTGAGAGCCTCCTACAGAAATCTAACAGGAAACCACAGGATCTTAAGTTTCCTTGGTGAAAGGAAGTGAGGTTGAAATCTAGCCTCATGATGAGGGAGCGAAAGCTGGGGTATTAAGGCTGGGGACGGCAGAGGGCTTAAAACACCTTTCTCCAGCCTGGGCAACATGGTGAAACCCCATCTCCACCAAAAAGTTAGCTAGGCATGGTGGTGCACGCCTGTAGTCCCAGCTACCCAGGAGGCTGAGGTGAGCCTGGGAAGGTCAGGCTGCAGTGAGCCGTGATTGAGCCACTGCACTCCAACCTGGACAAGAGTGAGACCCTCTGTCAAAACAAAAAACAAAACAAAACAGAACATAACAAACAAACAAAAAACATCCTCCAGCACTCATGGATTAGCAGCTAATCATTTTTAAATCTGAAATTGGATATTTCCAGTATTTATACCTTGGAGCAGTAGAGCTAAACTAAGAAATGCCCGTGCTGGGGCCTGGCGCGGTGGCTCATGCCTGTAATCCCAGCACTTTGGGAGGCCGAGGCGGGTGGATCACAAGCTCGGGAGATCGAGACCATCCTGGCTAACACGGTGAAACCCTGTCTCTACTAAACATACAAAAAATTAGCCGGGCGTCGTGGGTGCCTGTAGTCCCAGCTACCGGGGAGGCTGAAGCAGCAGAATGGCGTGAACCCGGGAGGCGGAGCTTGCAGTGAGCCGAGATTGTGCCACTGCACTCCAGCCTGGGCGACAGAGCGAGACTCTGTCTCAAAAAAAAAAAAAAAAAAGAAAGAAAGAAATGCCTGTGCTTACTTCGCTTCCCAGATAAACAGATTACAAAAAAAAAAAAAAAACGAGAAAGCCACTACATATATACCAATAATTTCAAATGTGGGAGGAAGTAATAATTATGAAACTAGTAAGAGCTCTCTCTCGAATATGAATTATGCATATTGGAAACTCATTGGTTTTAATACATAAAGTGCCAGAATTAGTAGTCTTATTCCAAAAATTCTAATTCATATTAAATTAATTCTTAGAATAAAAATTCAAATACAAACTAACTCATTTTCCGTTTCCTTGATGAAGAGTATTTTTATTCTTAAAAAGAAAAAGAAGAGAAAGAAAAGGAAAAGAGGAGGAAGTATGGAAAGATTTTACTTCATTGAAAAGGAGCCAAGGAAGAAATGGGCTTCAAGTTGAAGATTTTAACAGTAACCCTTTTGAAAATATCAGAAGCCGGGGGAGGTGGCTCACACCTGTAATCCCAGAACTTTGGGAGGCCGAGGCAGGTGGATCGCCTGAGTTTGGGAGTTTGAGACCAGCCTGACCAACATGGTGAAACCCCATCTCTACTAAAAATACAAAAATTAGCCGGGCATGGTGGCACATGCCTGTAATCCCAGCTACTCCGGAGGCTGAGTCAGGAGAATCGCTTGAACCTGGGAGGCGGAGGTTGTGGTGAGCTGAGATTACGCCATTGCACTGCAGCCTGGGCAACAAGAGCAAAACTCTGTCTCAAAAAAAAAATAAAAATAAATAAATAAAATAAAAATATCGGGACCAAATCTTTACCTTATAGGTCTCTTTTATCTTAAAGCTCTGTCAACTGGCAAAACAAATTATGTTGTTTTTAGTCAGCATTGAAGTATTTATTTTGCATGCAATAAGATGCACCCATTTTAAGTCCCAGGTTTTATGAGTTTTCACAAATGCATTCACCTGTGTAGCTATTCCCATAATCAAGACATAGAATGTTTCCACAATTCCTGGATTTCCCTCTTGCCCCTCTGTTGCCAATTCCAGAGCCTCTATACTAGGCACCCACTGATCTGCTTCTATTATGTTAGCTTTGCCTATTCTAAAATTTTATATAAATGAAATCTTACGGTATGTAGTTTTTTCTACCTGTCTTCTTTTACTCAGCATGATGTTTTCCTATTTATCCATGTTGTTGCATGTTTCTGGAATTTTACTCTTTTTATTGCTGATTAGTATTCTATACCACCACTGTGCAAAATGTATTTTGTCCCTTTATCTGTTGATGGTCATTTGGTTGTTCCCAGTTTCCTTCTATTATAAATAAAATGGTATAGACATCTGTATATAAGTGCTTGTGAAAATATATTTTCATTTTTCTTGGATTAGGATCTAGAAGTGCAATTCTTGGATCTTATGATGTGTACTTATTTGTATAAGAAACAAACTTTTCCAAAGCAAGTATGCCCTACTAGACTCCCATCCTCAATATATGAGAGTTCTGCTTGCTCCTCATCCTCATCAGCAATTGGTGTTGTCAGCTATATTTGATATTAGCTATTCCAGTTGTACTTCATAGTGGTTTAATTTGCATTTCCCTGGTGAACAATACTGTTGAATGAACATCTTATCCTACACTCATTGACTATTCTGTATCTTCTATTGTAAAGTGTCTGTTCAAATATTTGCCAATCTTAAAAAATCCAATTGTCTGCCTTCTTGTTAATTTTCAAAGTATTATTTAAATATTTTGATAGTTAAGTCTTTTCAGACATGTATTTCTAAACATTTTTTCCCTAGATCATAGCTTGCCTTTTCGTAATTGCAATGCTATCTCTCCAAAGGCAGAAAGTTTTAATTTGATGAAGCCTGATTTGTCAGGATTTTATATGATGTATATTTTGTTTCTTATCTTTGCCCACCTCAAGGTTATGACAGTTTTCTTCTAAAAAGTGTATAGGTTTAACTTTTACATTTATGTCTATACTTTATTTAGAGTTTATTTATGTTTATGGTGTAAGTAAAGGGCTGAGATTCCTGGTTTTGTTTTGTTTTGTTTTCATACAAATATTCAGTTGCTCTAGTGCTACTGGTTAAAACACCACACTTTTCCCTACAGACTATCCTTGGTACTGATTACGCTGCTGTGGATTTATTTCTGGACACTCTGTTCTGCTCCATTTATCCATATGTCCATTCTTACACTAATATTTACCTATCTTGATGACTGCAGCTTTATATTAAGTCTTGAACTACAGTAGTGTATTTATCCAACTTTGTCCTTTCTTTTCAAAATTGTTTTGAGTGCTCTAGGTAATTTACAATTTCATATATGTGTGTGTGTATGTGTATATACGCACACATATATACACACGTGTGTGTATATATACACATATATACACGTGTGTATATATGCACATATATACATATATACACACGTGTGTGTATATGCACATATATACATATACACACACGTGTGTGTATATGCACATTTATATACACGTGTGTGTATACGCACATATATACACGTGTGTGTATACACACATATATACACGTGTGTGTATACACATATATACACGTGTGTGTGTATACACATATATACACGTGTGTATATACACACGCATGTGTATATATACACACATATATACACGTGTGTATATATACACATATATATACACATATATATACACACGCATGTGTATATATACACATATATACACAGAGTGATAACTTCTGATTATCACAAGGACAGCACCAAGCTATTCGTGAGAGAATCCACCTCCATGACCCAAACACCCCCCACCAGGCCCAATCTCAAACACTGGAAATTACACGTCAACATGAGATTTGGAGGGGACAAATATCCAAACTATATCAGTGGCTGGGATCCAGAACAGTGTTAATCAGTGGAGTATGGCTTTTTTCCCTTGATTCAGGGAAATTGACACCTAGATTTTTAGAAATTAACAAATTTACAAGATTACTTTTATCTAATGTGACCCTGGCACCTGAGAATCTTTGGCACTGAAATCAGAAGCATTGTTGATTAGAAGTGAGGTTGAAATCTGCTGTGGTGGCGGAGGCCACAGGGATCAATAACAAGAATGGTACCAGTCTGGGATTGGATAGTCAGTTGCTGAGCAGATGTCCTCACAGAAGTATTTTTGTGTAAGGTTGTGATGGCCTTTGTGCAAGGTCGTGGTTTTGGCAGAGTGTTTGTGATAGTTTTATCAGGCACTTAGTCAATGAAAACCCTCCCTTCATGACCTTTCCCAGTTCTGTCAGGATTTTCTTTTTTTTTTTTTATTTTTTGAGACAGAGTGTTGCTCTTTTGCCCAGACTGGAGTGTAGTGGCATGATCTTGGCTCACTGCAACCTCCGCCTCCTGGGTTCAAGCAATTCTCCTGCCTCAGCCTCTAGAGTAGCTGGGATTACAGGTGCACACAACCAGGCCCGGCTAATTTTTGTGTTTTTAGTAGAGATGGGGTTTCACCATGTTGGTCAGGCTGGTCTCGAACTCCTCACCTCATGATCCACCTGCCTCGGCCTCCCGAAGTTCTGGGAATACAGCGTGAGCCACCATGCTCGGCAGGATTTTCTTAACACAAGTGACTCCAATGATTCTGACAACTTTAACATTCCCCCCTTTTTAATCAAGGTATTTCTTTAAAAGCATCGCTGATCAATCATCCTGTGGTTAGATTTTGATTTTCTCTTGGTGTTGGGATGGACCTTTCCTGGGTTGTTGGTATGATCCCACATTGGAGGGAGTGATTGGCAGTTAGGGTTCAGTGTCAAAACCCTTTAGCCACATTTGAGAAACAAGAAAGGTTTGAAGGAAGTGGTTCTCAGGCTAAGTCTATCTGGAGCCCACTATTAAGTTTAATTTTCTCTGTTCCACACTCTTTTGCAATCACCTCAAAGTGCTGGGCCAGCAGTATTTTTTTAAGGAGGTGTACTTACGCAAAAGTTTAACATGTAACAAATGCAAAGTTTAAAAAGAGAAAATACAAAATTAATAGTAATATGTACATGTTGGAGTTTGGTGGCACAATCACAGCTCACTGCAGCCTCCACCTTTGCGGGCTCACCTCAGCCTTCCAGGTAGTTGGGACTACAGGTGAACACCACCAGGCCCAGCTAACTTTTTTTGTATTTTTTGTAGAGACAGGGTTTCACCATGTTATCCAGGCTGGAGAAGGGTGTTTTTAAGCCCTCTGCCATCCCCAGCCTTAATACCCCAGCTTTCTCTGCCTCATCATGAGGCTAGAAGATTTCAACCTCACTTTCTTTCACCAGCAAGACTTAAGATCCAGTGGTTTCCTGTTAGATTCCTGCTGGGTACTCTCAGATACTGCTGCCACTTTTGCTGGTGGTGACAGAAGCAACCTCAGACTTGTGCATTTGGCCATTTTGAGCTGTACTTTCAAAAAATCCAGAGGCCACATTTTCTAGAATCAAGGGGATAGAGGCCATAATCTGTTGAACAAGTCTTCTCTTGAAAGCAGGTACAATGTTGCCACTATCTTGTGTAAGGTTCACCAGTGCCAGCAGGCAACCTAACATTGTGGGATTATTTTCTTCCTTTGATATTTCTTTCCAGCAGTGTCTGCACTATAGTTTATCCCCTGTTGCTGATTTCCTATTATTTCTCTGAATTATCCTGGCTAATTCAGAGAAACATTTTTCCCCTCCAAACTTTGTCATTCAATTATAGGAGGTGAGGGGAATTCACAGGGATTCATGGAAAGCTTCTTAAATTCATTAGCAGTCAGATAAAAGCAAATGAAGTAATATTGAGATCCCATACCTTGCACACATAAAATTGGCAAACATTTAAAAGTTGGTATTTTGGTTATGTATTGCTGCATAACAAACTACCCCCCAAATTAATGACAACATAAGGTATTCACCTAAGTAAACACCTTAAAATTAAATATATGGGTATTTTATCAATAACTCAGAAGATTTATTCAACCAACAATATTAAATTAGCCATATGTATTACACAAAAAAATACCCTTCTATCTTTCAGAGGGGCTTATAGTTTTATTTTATTTTGTTTTTATTATTTTATTTTATTTTTTGAGATGGGGTCTCTGTCTGTCACCCAGGCTGGAGTGCAGTGGCATGATCTTGGCTCACTGCAGCCTCCGCCTCCTGGGTTTAAGTGATTCTCCTGCCTCAGCCTCCTGAATACCTGGGATTACAGGCATACACTACCATACCCAGCTAATTTTTGTATTTGCAGTAGAGACAGCGTTTCACCATGTTGGCCAGGCTGGTTTCAAACTCCTGACCTCAGGTGATCTGCCCACCTCAGCCTCCCAAAGTGCTGGGATTACAGGCATGAGCCACCAAATCCATCCAGGGGCTTATAGTTTTATAACCTTAAGTCAGCTAGCAGGGACAAATATAAAACTATCTGACCAGTAAATCCAGGCAAAAATGTATGTGGACAATTTTAAAGACATTTCTATTTTTTTAATCAATAATTTTAAAATCAGCTTATTCGTTAAAAATTTGCTTCAGCCACATGAACTGAAAGCTATTTGGGTTAATTACTATATATTTTTAAAATTTTTAGGAACACTCATTTGTTTGAACCTATCTGAATAGAATTCCTTAAGGGATTCCTGGCCAACTACACCAGATTTTACCGTGTAAACACACATACAACATAATAAATGTACATATGCATAAACACACCTAAGTGTATGTAGGTACACATACACACACACAAGGATCTTAGAGCTCTTTAATTGTATCATTTTAGTCATGAAATAGTAATATAAACACACTAGTTTGTAAAAGATAATTGAATCAAAATTATATTTCTGACAAAATGGGACAAGTTCATATGGCCAAATTTTCATTGCCCTGATAGGTAATCTGATGAAGGCTGTGGACCAAATTTTTGAGTAAAGCAGCTTGCATAGCAGGTTGACTTCTTAAAAAGACATCTTTTTTACCCTTTTATTCCTTCTTCTCAGTTTCAAATGAGTTTATAGTTAAATTATTAATGTTTGTGTTAATATTTTAAGTAGGACTGCCTGAATTCCATAAAAAATAAAATTTCCCTGTGGCCTTGAATTTTTAGTAACAAATCTATCTTGTTTGCTCCTCTGGTTTTTTTTGACTAGTCAGTGCAGGTGAGGATGCAATTAAACAGGATGTTTTGCTTTTTCTGACTCCTGTACAGCACACAAAGCAACTTTGTATCAAACAGCAATACCATGTATTATTACTCCAAGCTCAAGATTTTGACCAGTCTGATCTGAGAGCCTTTTAAGAACATTTATCCGGTTCTTTTTCTCTTAGACTATCAATCCTTCAATTAACAGTTCCATCACCCTAAGCAATTGTTAGTGAGGCAAACCCACATTTACATTTCCAAAGGGTATCTAGGTTGTTGGTTGCCATGGAGCTGTTAGAATTTTCAAATACATTAATATGGAATCCCTTTAAGACTTTTTAACAAATATCATGGCTGAAGTGCCATAAGCAGTGAGTTTTATCTCAACACCAGCAGAAAAGTCAACAGTTTCAAAGTAGGAGGGGGGTAAAAAAAGAAAGAACTTGGAAGGCTGAGGCAAGCGGATGGTTTGAGCTCAGGAGTTTGAGACAAGACGGGGAATAGGGTGAAATCCCATCTCCACAAAAAATGCAAAAGTTAGCCAGGTATGGCTGCACACACCTGTAGTCCTCTCTACTGGGGAGACTGAGGTGGGAGGATTGCTTGAGCCTGGGAGGTCAAGGCTGCAGTGATATATGTTCATCACACCACTGTACTCCAACCTGGGTGACAAAGTGAGACCTTGTCTCAAAAAAACAAAAACAAACAAACAAAAACTTAGAACGTTCTACATGTTAAATGTAAAGTCAGTTTCTTTTTCCTCAGAGTTTCTGATTTGTGTGTCAGGGGGGTTACATAATAGGCATATATATATGTATAGGCTACATAAGATATTTTGATACAGACATACAATGCATGGTAATCACATCAGGGTAAATAGACTGTCCAACACCTCAAATATTTATCCTTTCTTTGTGTTACAAACAATCCGAATATACTCTTTTAGTTATTTTTAAATGTACAATAAATTATTCTTGACTATAGATATCCTGTTGTACCATCAAATACTAGATCTCATTCATTCAAACTATATTCTTGCTAGCATTGACTATCCCCCTCCCCCCACCACATTACAGTTACCAGACTCGATAACCATCATCGTACTCTCTATCTCCATGAGTTTAATTGTTTTGTTTAGCAGCCACAAATAAGTGAGAACATGTAAAGTTTGCCTTTCTGTGCCTGGCTTATTTCACCTAACATAATGACCTTCCAATTCCATCCATGTTGTTGCAAATGACAGAATCCGATTCTTTTCTATTCTGATTCTTTTCTATGGCTGAATAGTACTCCATTGTGTACATGTATCATATTTTCTTTACCCATTTGTGTGTTGATGGACACTTAGGTTGCTTCCAAATCTTGGCTATTCTGACTCGTGCTTCAATAGATATTGGATTGCAGATATCTCTTTGATATACTGATTTCATTTCTTTTGCATATATACCTAGTAGCTCTATTTTTAGTTTTTTTGAGGAATCTCCAAACTGTTCTCCATAGTGGTTGTACTAATTTACATTCCCACCAACAGTGTACAATGGTTCCCTTTTCTCTAAATCCTCACCAACATTTGTTATTGCCTGTCTTTTGGATAAAAATAATTTTAACTGGGATGAAATGATACCTCAATGTAGTTTTGATTTGCACTTCTCTAATGATCAGTGAGGTTGAGTGCCTCTTTATATGTCTGTTTGCCATTTCTATAACTTCTTTTGAGAAATTTCTATTCAGATCTTCTCCCCATTTTTAATCAAATTATCAGATTTTTTTCTTTTGAGTTGTTTGAGCTCCTTATAAATTCTGGTTATTAATTCCCTGTCAAATGCGTAGTTTGCAAATTTTTTTTCATTCTGTTCGTTGTCTTTTCACTTGTTCATTGTATTCTTTGCTGTGCAGAAGCTTTTTCACTTGATGTGATTTGTCCGTTTTTCTTTGATTTCCTGTGCTTATGGGGTATTGCTCAAGAAATGTTTGCCCAGTCCAATGTCTTGAAAGATTTTTGTAAAGTTTTCTTGTAGTAGTTTTATAGTTTGAGGTCATGGTTTTAAGTATTTAATCCATTTTTATTTGATTTTTGTATATGTGGGAGACAGGAGTCTAGTTTCATTCTTCTGCATATAGATATCCAGTTTTCCTGGCACCGTTTATTGAAGAGATTGTTTTTTCCCCAATGTATGTTATTGGTATCTTTGTCAAAAATGAGCTCACTGTAGATGTACAGATTTATTTCTGGGTTCTCTAACCTGTTCCACCGGTCTGTGTGTCTGTTTTTATGCCAGTACTATGTTGTTTTGGTTACTGTAGCTCTGTAGTATAATTTGAAGAGAGATAATATGATTACTCCAGTTTGGTTCTTTTTACTCAGGATAGCTTTGGCTATTCTGAGTCTTGTGGTTCCATATACATTTTAGGATTTTTTTCGGTTTCTATGAAGAATGTCATTGGTATTTAGATAGAGATTGCATTGAATCTGTAGATTGCTCTGTGTACTATGGACTTTTTAACAACATTTATTCTTGCAATCCATGAACATGGAATAACTTTTTTTATCCTCTTTGATTTCTTTCGTTGATGTTTTATAATTTTAATTGTAGATATGTTTCACTTCTTTGATTAAATTTATTCCTAGGTATTTAATTTTATTTGTAGCTATTATAAATGAGATTACTTTCTTGATTTCCTTTTCAGATCATTTGTTCTTCGCATACAGAGATACTACTAATTTTTTATGTGGATTTTGCATCCTCTACTTCTACTGAATTTATTGCTTCCAATAGTTTTTGTGTGGAATCTTTAGGTTTTTCCAAACATAAGATTATATCATCTGTAAACAAGAATAATTTTTTTTCCAATTTGGATCCCCTTTATTTCTTTGTCCTGTCTGATTGCTCCAGCTGAAATTTCCAGTATTATGTTGAACAACAGTGATGAAAGTGGGCATCGTTGCCTTGTTCCAGATCTGAGGAAAGGCTTTCAGTTTTTCCCCATTCAGTATGATACCAGCTGTGGATCTGTGATATATGGTTTTTATTGAGTTGAGGTATGTTTCTTCTGTACCCAGTTTTTTTGAGGGTTTTTATCAAAAAGGATGTTGAATTTTATCAAGTAGTTTTTCCGCATCAATTGTAATAGTCATATGGTTTTTGTCCTTCATTCTGTTGATATAATGTATCATATTGATTGATTTGCATATGTTAAACAAACCTTGCTTCCGTGGGATAAATCCCACTTGGTCATGATAAATGATCTTTTTAATGTGTGGTTGAATTTGGTTTGCTAGTAGTTAGTCTAGAATTTTTATATCAATGTTCATCAGGGATATATTAGCTTGTAGTTTCTTTCTTTTTTTTTTTTTTTTTTTTTTGATATGTCTTTGTCTGGTTTTGGTATTACGGTAATACTGACCTCACAGAAGGAGTTTTTAAGCATTCCCTGCTCCTCTATTTTTCACAATAATTTGAGTAGGATTGGTAATAGTTCTTCTTTAAATATTTGGTAAAATTCTGCAGTGAAACCATTGGTTTCTGGGCTTTTTTTTTTTTTTTTGCTGGTAGACTTTTTATTACATCTTCAATCTCATTAGCTGTTATTGGTTTGTTCAGGTTAAGGAGTTCTTCATGGTTCAATCTCAGTAGGTTGTATGTGTCGAGGAATTTATCCATTTCTTCTAGATTTTCTAATTTATTGACATACAATTGCTCATAGTAGCCTTTAATGTTGCTTTGAATTTCTGTGGTATCAGTTGTAACATCTCCATTTTCATCTCCCATTTTATTTATTTGGATTTTCTCTCTTTTTCCTTAGGTAATCAGGATAAAGTTTTGTCTATTTTATCTTTTCCAAAAACCAACTTTTTATTTCATTGATCTTTCATAGTTTTTTTTCCTGTTTCAATTTTGTTTATTTCTACTCTGTTCTTTATTATTTCTTTCTTCTACCAATTTTGGGTTTAATTTGCTCTTGCTTTTCTAATTCTTTAAAAGGTTGTTTATTTGAAGTTTTTCTAGTTTTTTGATGTAGCCACTTATCAAAAGAACCTATCACCTTCCCACTTAGTACTGCTTTCACTGTATCGGATAGGTTTTGGCATGTTGTGTTTCCATTTTAATTTGTTTCACCTTAGGCCTCTTACTAGCAATGGAACTCAATCCTTAAAACCAATAACCTTAAATTAAGGTACCCACTAAAGACATTCAACTTCTCCAGTATACTAGGTTTTTGTTTGTTTGTTTGTTCGTTTTTTTTGAGACAGAGTCTCGCTCTGTCGCCGAGGCTGGAATGCAGTGGTGCGATCTCGGCTCACTGCAAGCTCCGCCTCCCAGGTTCACGCCATTCTCCTGCCTCAGCCTCCCGAGTAGCTGGGATGACAGGCACCGGCCACCACGACTGGCTAATTTTTTTGTATTTTTAGTAGAGACAGTGTTTCACCGTGTTAGCCAGGATGGTCTTGATCTCCTGACCTCATGATCCGCCCACCTCAGCCTCCCAAAGTGCTGGGATTACAGGCGGGAGCCACCACGCCCGGCCCAATATACTAGGTTTTTATTCAATCACAATTCACCGTACAATTCACCCACTCAAGCCTATTCACAAGCCAAAATATGGGCTCACTTCTTCTAGACCTAATTTTACTAGAAAAGTCTACGCCAAAGACCATTTCACAAACCCAAGTTTCAGCCTCCATTACCGTATCTACTCAAAAAGTCCTAATTAAACTCTTTCTCTCTTTTTTATTCCATCCCTTCTAACCTACTCTTAATTAATCTATTACCCCAAGTAATTTCAGTTGCAACATAAATACTAACAAATAATGATCAACCAGCAACTACCACCAATCAACACCCATAACTGTACAAGGCAGCCACACCCACAGAATCCTCATACAATAACCCCACTCCCTCACCCTCAAAAATCATTCAACTCTCTATGCTATTAAAATCAGTCATAATTACCACCCCATCATACTCAACTATTCACCGAACCAACACCAACTCTATTAATAACCCTAATAATAAGGCCCCTCAAATGTCAATATTTGACTCTCATGTTTCAGGGTATTCCCCAATAGCCATCGCCGCAGTATAACCAAAAACAACCATCATACTGCCCAAATAAATAAATAAATAAAAACTATTAACCCCACGAAATCTCCGCCAAAATTCAACACAATACCACAACCCACAGCACCACTAATAATTAACCCTAGACCTCCATAAATAGGAGAAGGTTTTGAAGAAAAACCTACAAACCCTGTAACCAAAAGTACACTCAATAAAAATAATGCATATGCCATTATTCCCACATGGACTATAACCGTGACTAATGACATGAAAACTCATCGTTGTACTTCAACTATAAGAACACTAATGACCAATACCAGCTAAACACACCCGCTAAGAAAAATTATTAATTACTCATTTATTGATCTTCCCACACCCTCTAACATTTCTACATGATGAAACTTTGGCTCACTTCTTGGTACCTGCCTAATTCTCCAGATCATTACGGGATTACTTTTGGCCACGCACTATACATCAGACAGCTCAACTGCCTTCTCTTCAGTTGCCCATATCAGCCGAGATGTAAACTCCTGCTGAATGGTCCGCTATTTTCATGCTAACGGCACTTCAATATTTTTCATCTGCCTCTTCTTACACATTGGCCGAGGCTTATACTATGGATCATTTATATTCCTAGGAACCTGAAATATTGGCATTATCCTCCAATTCACAACTATAGCAACAGCATTTATAGGCTGTGTTCTCCCATGAGGCCAAATATTATTCTGAGGCGCTGCAGTAATTACAAATCTACCATCAGCCATCCCATATATTGGAACTGACCTTATACAATGAATCTGAGGCGGATTCTCAGTTGACCAAGCCACCCTTACATGATTTTTGCCTTCCATTTCATCTTACCCTTCATCATTACAGCTCTAGCAACTATTCGCCTTTTATTTTTACATAAAACAGGATCTAATAATCCTGCAGGGGTTTCATCAGACCCTGACAAAATCACTTTCCATCCCTACTATACAACCAAAGATAATCTAGTTTTCATTTTTCTCTTCCTCTTTCTAATAACTCTAGCACTATTTTTGCCTGACCTTCTGAACGACCCAGATAATTACACTTTAGCCAACCCCCTCAACACCCCACCACACATTAAGCCAGAGTGATACTTTGTGTTTGCATACGCAATCTTACGATCCATCCCTAACAAACTGGGAGGCGTACTGGCCCTTGTATTCTCCATTCTCATTCTAGCAGCTATTCCCATTCTTCACATGTCTAAACAACCAAGCACAGTATTCAGCCATTCAGTCAATGCCAATTCTGAATGTTAGTCGCTGACCTGTTTACCCTCAGATGAATCGGAGGGCAGCCAGTCGAATGCCCTTTTATTGCCATCGGAAACACAGCATCTGTTATGTACTTCTCTACCATCCTCACCCTCATACCACTCACTACCTTAACTGAAAATAAACTACTTAAATGAAAATGTCCTTGTAGTATAATTCAATACTCTGGTCTTGTAAACCAGAAATGGAGAATTCCCTCCCCAGGACACTCAGGGAAAAAGCATTCCCATTTCATTGTCCACACCCAAAGCTGAAATTCTAATTAAACTGTTCCCTGAACTTTTCTCAGCACACACTTCAACTACCATGCCAGTCCTAATCAACTAGCAGTAACACATTAGTGCTTTTATGTACTTCATGCATTACTCTTAGTCCCCATGGATAATATATAGTACTATAATGGCTTATTTGTACATAGTACATTCATATATGAGAGTACATTATAAATCTAGTCCACATACATATAAGCACATGTTAACAATCTCTTAGCCAATTATTGCACATCTACTATTTTGAACCGTACAACAAAACCTAATCCATATGAATATTGACCCGTACTAAAAATCCTTAATATTACATAGTACATACATTAGTACATACATTCATTCATCAGACATAGCACAACTCAGTCAAGAAATCCCTCACCAACATGGATATCCCTTACCAAATTTTGGTCACTTAATCTACCAACCTCCGAGAAATCATCATCCTGCTCAGGAGTACTACTCCTCGCTCCAGGCCTATAACACTTGGGGGGTGACTGTTCCGAAACTATAGCTGGCACCTGGTTCTTATTTCAGAGCCATAACATTAAGATCGCCCACATGTTCCCCTTAAATAAGACATTTCAATGGATTAGTGACTACCACCCTGTTAACCAATCACAGGAGCACTGTCATGCATTTGGTATTTTTAACTTTGGGAGATGCTGTCACTCAGCATCACGGAAGGTCTTGTCTCCTCAGAATCCGCTGTAGACAAACTCAGATTTGATTCCTGCCGAATCAATTGTAGAAGCTGTTCCCCTAGTCCTGGGTAGATCCAGAAATTCTGTACAAGAGCCAGGGCCTGAAGTCAAGAACCTTAGGAATCTACCTGGTGCTCTATTCTAGTGTAGCTGAGCTGTCACCCACGCCTCAAGACAAAGCGCTTCCCACTCTGCCCTCCCCTTTCTTTAAGCAGAGGGAGTGCCTCCCCATTGCCAGCACTACCCCAGGCCTGCAGCAAGTACTTACTGGCTACAGCTGATGTTCACTCAAGGCCCAAGCACTCTTTAGGAACATAAAAATAACCAAAAGTAAATTTACCACAGAAGACATGCCTTGCAGACAGATGTAAATTCTATAGAAACCAGAGTACTCAAACCAGAAGGGCACTTATCTTTATGCCAGAAAAGACAAAAAGTCTTTTATCATCCCAGGAGTGTTTTAAGGTCCTTTATTAAGGCAGCCTTATCACCAAAGCAAATCCAAAATGAAGCCAAACACCTCTACCAAAAAGAGGGAGGCTTGGTATGAAAGAAGACTCACCAGGGCAAGAAAGGCCAGCCATAAAAGGCAAACCATGGAAGTGGAGCTCCAAGGACTCAAGTGACTACTGAACACTAACTCCACGAGTTGCCAATTCCTCCTGATAGCGATATTTCTTCAGGTTCCCCTTCCAACACCATTTATGTCAACCTAAATCACTAACAGAGAGAGCCTCTCTAAAATAAAATTATATTTATTTGGAAACAGGGAATTGCAATGGGAATGTATATGCCATAGTAAACTATTAAGTTGGTGCAAAACTAATGAAAAGCAGTGGCAAAAACCGCAATTACTTTTGCACCAACCTAATATGTGCATATTCAGGGAGGAAAAGGAAGATAGACATTTTTAAAGGAAAAACCAAGAGGATTACATAATTCTTTTGAGATAATAATCCTTGGCTAAAAGGATCAATAACAAGGGTGGTGCCAGTTCAGGACTGGACAGGTAGTTGCTGGGCAGATGTCCTCACAGCAGGTTTTGGGTTTTTTTGTTGTTGTTGTTGTTTTGGTTTTGTTGTTGTTGTTTTTGTTGTTGTAAGGTTGCAATGGCCTTTGTGAAAGATTGTGGCTTTTGCAAAGTGTTTTGTGATTGTTTTTATCAGGCATTTATCCATGAGAACCTCCCTTCATGGCCTTTTAAGGCTCCATTTGTCAGTTTTCTGTTTTTTAGCACAAGTGACTTTATGTTTATTAATTTATTTTGTTTTGTTTCATTTTTTGAGACAGGGTCTTGCTCTGTCACTCAGGCTTGAGTTCAGTGGCCCAGTCTTGGCTCACTGCAACCCTCCGCTTCACCGGTTCAAGTGATCCTCCCACCTTAGCCTCCAGAGGAGCTAGAATTACAGGCGCACACCACCACGCCCAGATAAGTTTTGTATTTTTAGTAGAGATAGGTTTTCACCATATTGACCAGGCTGGCCTAGAAATCCTGAGTTCAAGCAATACTCCTGCCTCACCCTCCCAAAGTGCTAGGATTACAGGCGTGAGTGGCAGCACCTGGCCATGTGACTTTATTTTTATACTGACAACTTCAACAGTGCTATCTTTACTGTAAAATTCTAATTTATCTATCTTCAATTACTCTTAAAGTATCCAGTGTTGCCTAGTTTACTCTTTATTTTCTTACTGAAGACCAAACAGAAAAACAAAGAAATGAATGCAAAGGGAAGAAGACAGGAAGAAAGAAAAGAAGAAAGGGAGGGGGAGAGAGGTAATAACAGAAAGAAGCAGAAAGAAAGAAAGAAAGGAGGAAAGAGCCATCAGAAGGAGCAAAGAGGTTCTCATCCCTGTTGTACCCTCTCTGAATACCTGCTCCACCAACTCATAGGTGGCCAGAGACTTAACTTTTTCTGAGAATAGCCCTCAAGCAATTACCAACCCAACTGATATCAAAACATCCCATCAGGTGGAGAAATTCGGAGATGTGTGTTTACACCATTTCATAGGATTTTCCTAGTGATTAAGCTGCAGTTGCCCTCAGTGCTGGCCTGCTTGATAAGACAGCTTGTAAGACTGCTTTCTCTTCTCTTTACTCCCTTCCAAATTTCTCCTACACCACCAGAGGAACTGCTGGCACATGAATCCTCATCTCAAGGTCTACTTCTGGGGGATCTCAAATCAAGACAGCAACTCTGAACCAGACATTTGAATAATAGTTATTGGTAATGTAATAATGGATAGACAGGCAGATTAATAGATCGATAATAGCATGGACAGATGGATGAAATAAATGGATGGATAAATGGGGATAGATTATTAATATGTAAATCAAGAAGAGAATCTTTGGAAAGGAGAAATATTACAGACATTTTTATCTGGAAGTTCATATTAAGTAAATTCATGTTTTCTTACTGAATGCTTTAAAATTGCTTTTTTTTTTAATGATCTTTGAAAATTTTAACCCTATACAATAGTAGAAAAACTACTAGTATCATAAATTTCCATATATCCATCTTCTAGGCTTCAAAAATTATCTACTCATAGTCATCTTGTTACATTTCTACCTCCACCCACATATCCCACTCTATATTATTTTAAATAAAATCACAGATGTCATACAGTTTTATCTGAAGATATTTCACCATATATGTATAAAAGATAAGGACTCTTAAATAAAAATCACAGTATTATTATCACTTCTCAAGTAATTAACAATTTCTTAATATCATAAAATATCCAATAAGTATTCAATTTTCAAATTGTCCAATTTATTTATCTATTTTTTTTTTTTTTTACAGTTTTTAAAAATCATGATCCAAACAAGTTCTCTACGTTGTGGCTGGTTGATGTTTCTTTTAATTCTCTTTTAATCTGTGTATCTCTGCTCCATCTCTCTTTTTTTTCTTGTAATGCAGTTCTTGAATAATTACTTGATACATTTTAATTTAACAAAAACTTGGCCAAATCGAATGCAAATTACATTTTTGCTTCCTATGAGTCATGCAATTTATAACCCAGGGTGAAGCCAGTGCTTTGACTTTATTTCTTACTGTCTGAAGACTAATAGTGGAAACTGTTATTTATATTGTGGAAAGCATTCTTGAAATGTAAATGCTTGGAGGCTGTGGAAACAGACATATGTATATGAAAGTAAAATTAGGAATTCTCAGAAGCTGGATAATTAAAGAGAATGAGAAAGCCAGCAGTAAATGCCAAATTACTGTGCTTTATAAATCTGGAAATTGATCATGCCATTTCCCTGCTTAAAATATTTCTATGGGTTTCCATTACATTGAAAAGACGCTCCAAACTCCTTATCCCGACCCTATGTGATCCTGGCCTGTCTCCCCATCTACAAGCTCTCCCTCTCCCTCACTACACTACAGTCACATGGCCTTCTCTCTAAACCTTTGATCACATTATGCACTTGTATTACAGGCCTGGATAACATTGTTTCTAATTCTAAAAATGCCTGCTCACAATGGAGAACTAAAAAAGTGCAGAGTATTTCTCAAGTTTAAAAACATATAGCCAAATGTGATATATATATATGTATATATATATGTAAATACATATACACACATATGTGTGTATATATATGTAAATACATATACACACATATGTGTGTATATATATGTAAATACATATATACACACATATATATGTGTATATATGTAAATACATATATACACATATATATGTGTGTGTGTGTGTGTGTGTGTGTGTGTGTATATATATATATATATATATATATATCACATTTTCTTTATCCACTCGATCGATGGGCCTTTGGGCTGGTTCTATATTTTTGTAATTGTGAATTGTGCTGCTATAAACATGCGTGTGCAAGTGTCTTTTTCATACAATGACTTATTTGATTTGAAATTTTACAGAATCTACTATGTGCTAGTTACTATGCTGGGAAGGTGGCGGGGATGGTCACAGCAATTAACTAGATGCATATATATACATATATATGTTTGTATATATACGTATATATTTGTATGTATGTATATATACACATATATGTATATATGTGTATATATACACATATATGTATATATATCACATTGTATGTATATATAAATTACATAGTGTGTGTATATATCATATATATGATATATATAGTGTGTATATATGTATATATAGTGTGTGTATACGCATATCACATACTGTGTGTATATATATAGTGTGTGTATATATATGTACATATACAGTTTGTGTGTATATTTATCACATAATATGTGTATATATACATACATATACATATATATACACTCACACTATGGAATACTACTCAGCCATAAAAAGAAACAAAATAATGGCATTTGCAGCAACCTGGATGGAGCTGGAGACCATTATTCTAAATGAAGTAACTCAGGAAGGGAAAACCAAACATTGTATGTTCTCACTTATAAGTGGGAGCTAAGCTATGAGGACACAAAGGCATAAGAATGATACACCCATTACCCAATGTGTAATATTTTATTCCTCACCCTCCTCTCACCTTTCCCCGGACTTTAGGGACTCAGGGGAAAAGGTGGGAGGGAGGAGAGGAATAAAATATTACACGTTGAATAATGGGTGCGCTGAAATCTCAGAAATCACCACTGGAGAACTTATCCATATAACCAAACACCACCTGTTCCCCAAAAACTATCCAAATAAAAAATATAATAAAATAAAATTTCAAATCAACTTATTGGGTCATGTTGGCCTCCTCACCGGCAGATGCTTGGACTACTAACTAATCTCCACACCTTCAACTCTACAATACCATCAAGTCTTCACTTTCCTTTATTTCATTCTCATTCAGGCCAAGTAAACTTAGCCTGGGGCCACATGTAGGATGACCTCCCAAACTAGCTGGGTCTTGGGAAACATGGAAGGGCTTACAGAAATAGTCTTGATTCCCTAAACCTAGGTACTATCTCCAAGGAGGTTACTGTCATAATTTTGGGAAGCTATGGGACGATGTGGTCACTCACTCGGCAAAGTGCCCGTTCAGAAATTTCATCCTCTCAGCCGTAGGAATGTCAACCCACTAAAGAATCTGCAGGCATGGTAGACTGATTGCATTAGTGGCCCCAGTTATATATCTTTCACTGCATACATGCCCTTTGCCATGTGACTTTGCAGCTCCTGTCACTGAAGAGGCAGAGTGTCTCTTGACTTGCTTTGGACAATAGGATATGTTGATCATAGCAGGGTGCCAGCTCTGAGCCCAGACCCCACGGGGCCTTGTGTGCATCCCCTTGTTGTCCCTCATGCCACTGTCATTACCATGACCTAAGGCCCGGGCTGGACCTCTGGAGAATAAGAGCTATTAGAAGCAGAACTGAGTCATCCCAGTTGGTCCTGCTGAGGCCAACCTGCCTCAGTCAACAACCAGTCTACCCTATATATGCGAGTGAGCCCAGTCAAGATCAACAGAGCCACCTAGCCACATAACCCCACAGACCTGTGAGCAGACGGGGCTTCTTGTTGTGTGTTTGTTAGGAAGTAATAGTGTGTCAGTTGACAACCTAGTCAGCAGGAGAAGAAAATTACATTGATTAAGTGCCTGTTAGGTACTATGCACTCTGAATGGGTGCTTTCAATATATTTTCTCACTCAATCCTTTACCTATTGTAGATGAAAAGGTTTTGCAAACATTATTTGCCTACAACCCACAGTTAATACATAGCTCAGCCAGATCTGGACCTAAATCTATCACCAAAGCCCAGACTTTTTTCTCTATTTAGGAAGATCTGCTGAGTACTCGTCAGAAGTGCTCTCTTAAGACAAAGTTGTTTGGCGTTTGAGGAAGTGTCCCCACACAAATGCACATGGACCCAGATCCTGTGGGTGTGACCTTATTTGGAAATAGGGTCTTTGCAAATATAATTAAGTTAAAACGAGGGCATACAGGAGTAGGGTGGGTGTTAATCCAGTGACTGGACACAGAAAAGGGAAATATGGACATGAAGACACACAGACACAGAGGGAAGGATATGAAGTGAAATCAGAGGTGGAGGCCTAGTGCAGAGGTTCACACCTGTGATCCCAGGTCTTTGGGAGGCTGAGGCCAGCTGATCACCTGAGGCCAAGAGTTCAAGATGATCCTGGCAAACATGACAAAACCCCATCTCTACTAAAAATACAAAAATTAGCCAGGCATCATCACACATGGCTGTAACCCCAGCTACTCAGGAGTCTGAGGCAGAGAATCACTTGAACCCGGGAGGCGGAGGCTGCAGTGGGCTGAGATTGCGCCACTGCACTCCAGCCTATGAGACAGAGTGAGACTCCATCAGAAAGAAAGAGAGAAAGAAAGAGAGAAAGGAAAGAAAGAGAGAGAGAGAGGAAGGGAGGGAGGGAGCGAGGGAGGGAAGGAAGGAAGGAAGGAAGGAAGGAAGGAAGGAAGGAAGGAAGGAAGGAACGAAGGAAGGAAGGAAGGAAGGAAGGAAGGAAAGGGAGGTGGAGATTGGAGTGATGCTACCACAAGTCCAGGAACATCAAGGATGGCCAGCGTCCACTGCAGCTGGGTGGCAAGCAAGGATCCCACCCTAGAGACTTTAGATGGCATGGCCCTGCAGACACCTTGATTTCACACTTCTAACCTTCAAAAATAAATTTCTGTTGTTTTAAACCACCAAGTCTGTGGTGCTTTATTACAGCAGCCCCGGGACATTAACAGAGTGTCTTCAAAACTAGTAGCTTTAACACTTCTTTTGCTTTTGTTTTTGTGTTTGTTTTTTGTTTGTTTGTTTTGTTTTGTTTTGTTTTTGACAGTTACCAATGGTAAGAAATAGAAACCGTTGCAAAGAGGCAGAATAACAGAGTTGCTAAGAGCATGGTTCCGGCTCCAGAGATCTCTTAGGCTCAAATTTCAACTTCCCCACTTGCTAATTATGTGATCTAAGGCAAGATACACAATCTCTTTGTGCCTCAATTTTCCTCTCCATAAAATGGGACTGATGCAACAAATTCGATGAATCTCGAAGGAATCATGCTGAGTGAGAACTGCCAGTCCCATAAGCTCACGTGCTCAATCGATTCCATTAATATAATATTCCAGAATTGGCACAATTTGAAAACTGGAGGACAGATTAGTGGTTGCCAGGGTTGGGGACACAGAAATGTGGTTGATATGACTATGAAAGGGCACCATGAGGGATGCTTGTAGTGATGGAAAGGTTCTGCATCTTGACTTTATCAGTGGCAATTTCCTGGATGTGAGACTGTGCTAGAGTTTTGCAAGATATTACCATCAGAGGAAACTGCGTCATGGGCACAAGGGATCTCTCTGTATTACATTTCATAACTGCATGCGATCTGCACTGATTTCAAAATAAATACGTCAACTTTTAGAAATGGAGCTAATAAGAGTATTCACTTTATAATTTGTGTTAGTTTGTATCCTGATGAGTGAATGAGTTAATACATGAAAAACAGGTCGGACAGGGCCCAGCAGAAGTGCTCATGGGTCTTTATCATTATCAGTTATTTTTCAGTACCACATCCTGTTTCAGAACCTTTTTCAGTCTTGCATCTTGAAATGTACCTGTGCATGTGACACCTGGACTCCGTCTCTACTTTCTCATTGCCATGAGGCAATCTGAGTAGATGGCCATTCATACAGGTGAGTCACAGGTTATGACAATTGTCTACAGGGCCCAGAGCCTTTTGAGTATCGTTTCATCTATGCAACTCTGGAAAGAAGGTGCTTTCCACACAGTGAGGAATCCAGCAGCTGTGTGTGGATGCTTGCAGCAACCAGTCAAGGGCATGTCAGCATGGGTCTGAGCACACTTGGTTCTCTTGGTGTGAGATGCAGTCCTTTACTCTCAGGGATTATAGCATTATAATCAGGGATTGTAGAATACTCTCAGGGATTATAAAGTAACCATCAGCTGCATGTAGCCGTGAGACATTTCAAATGTGGCTGGTGCTGAATGACATATGCTGTAAAGTGTAAAATATACCCTAGATTTGGTTGAGTTAGTACAAAAATAAAGAAGCATGTAAAATGCTCCATAACTTTTTGGAGGACACTGCCTACTTCCCAGAGCAGCCCATGGAATTACTGAGCACAGAGCTTTGCAGGCAGCACATGGCAAGTGCCCTGTAAATGGTATTAGGAGTACTTAAGGCAGTCTTCCAAAGTTGGAAACACAGTTGTAGTTTGAGACATTCGTTTTCTGTCCACCCTTCTCTCTTCCCCTCCCCATTCCCAACCCCAGTGTCTGAGAAGTCTTTGTAATTTAGGAGTACCCATTTTACTGGGTGGCCAAACCCGAGGGGGCTGGTGTTATCTGAACTCAGCACTTGTTTATATTAGAGAACTAAGTCAAAATCTCCATTGGAGACACAGACCTTATACTATTGCTATCATGTCAGCACAGAGACCTGGAAGTTTTAAATTCCATGAAATTCTATGCTCAATGATTCCCTCCTTTATAAACTTTTTATTGGAGTACAAATCATAGTGTAAGCCTCAATGAATTTTCACAAAGCGAGCATGCTTGTGTAACCAACGTCTGTACTTAAAACAAAAACAGAACATGGCCAGCCTTCTTGAGGCCCCCTCAAGTCCTCATCTAGTGAAGATTCCCCTCCACCCAAAGTAACTACTATCCTGACATTTATTTATTTATTTATTTATTTGAGATGGAGTCTCGCTCTGTCACCCAGGCTGGAGTTCAGTGGCTCAATCTCGGCTCACTGCAACCTCCACCTCCTGAGTTCAAGCAATTCTCCTGCCTCAGCCTCCCATGTAGCTGGGATTACAGGCGCCTACCACCACACCTGGCTAATTTTAGTATTTTTAGTAGAGACGGGGTTTCACCATGTTCGTCAGGCTGGCTTCAAACTCCTGACCTCAGGTGATCCACCCACCTTGGCCCCCCAAAGTGCTGGGATTACAGGTGTGAACATGAATTAGGTTTTTCTTTTTTAAAAATGTATATGAATGCTTGGGGTTAAAGCAGAACTCCCTTCTTTTATAACAGTGTGGGCCAGGTGGGTAGAGGGGATGACTAGGACTTGGCTTGGCCTTTGGCTGAGCAGCCAGGAGTCGCAGGGCAGAAACACTGGAGCTCCCGCTGGGGTAAGTGGGATGTATCATGTACGAAATAGTGAAGTTATGAAAAGCTTCATCCCTTAGCGTCTATTTTGGCTGGTATGAGTCTAGCTACACCAACTTTTTAAAAAATTAGTTTTAGCACGGCATATCTTTTTAAAAATGTTTTTACCTTCAATCTTGGGATGTTTCTCTTGGGGACCCTCGCTTGTTTTCACTTTCGTGGTGGACATTGACCCTCAGAAGTTTGAGGAAAGTGCATTCCTGTTCACTACAAAGTGAGTTCTGGGAAGGGGGGTGGTGTTGTCTCTGTTCTGACCTTCTCCAGCTTCTCACCCAGTGCTGCTGCTTTATGATTTACCAAAGTGGGGCTGCCTCCCATCTTTCACCAAGCCAGGAATCTCACTCTCAATTACAATGAAGCAGAAGTCACAGGACACAACGATATAGAGATGGGTCAGGATGTTGCACTCTCCTTTTACCGCACAGCAATTATGATGCCAGGTGTTACTGGCTCTGCCTCCTTGTGCTTTTCTTGTGCTTTTCTTCAACCGCCCTTTCACAGCTGTCCTGAGAGGGAGAATGTTCTGTCCCTTTTATCATTTCAATCAGGATAGAAAGAAAAGATTCATGATGACACTGAATTAGTGTACTTTTACCTTATTTGAAACACTGATGAGGCATCTTTTCTCCAATTTTTCAAAACATATAAATGCCGACGGTAATTTTCAAACAGGAAAATTTGACAATTTCAACAATGCATTATTATAAGAAATAACATCTCCACAAAAGGCATTTACACACCACTTATATCTTCTCTCTTCCTGCAGATGAACATGTCTTTATTGGAAGGGGCATACAGACTTTGGAAATTTGTTACACTTAGTACCAGGAGGTTTCATGATCCTTCTCAGGAGGAAAGACTTTCTGACACCTCCTAGTAGATTTCAGTAAAGCTTGGCACATAGTAGGTGCCAATGGATGCCTTGGAATGAATGGAGGATGATTTCTTCTCCTCCTGAGTCCTAATCTTCCCATTTTTCTTCAATAACAGTCCCATTTACTGGGTAAATAGACCATACATCTCTACAAGGTCACTAGCAGCACCCAATGTAACTATAAATCTTGCATCTCCTGACATGGTTTGGCTGTGTCTCCACCCAAATCTCATCTTGAATTGTAGCTCCCATAATTCCCACGTGTTGTGGGAAAGACCCAGTGGGGCATAATTGAGTCATAGTGGTAGTTTCCCTCATACTGTTCTCATGGTAGTGAATAAGTTTCACAAGATCTGATGGTTTTATCAGGGGTTTCCCTTTTTGCTTGGATTTCATTCTCTCTTCTTGCCTGTCGCCATGTAAGACATCCCTTTGCTCTTCCTTCATCTTCTGCCATGATTGTGAGGCCTCCCCAGCCATGTGGAACTGTGAGTTCATTAACCCTTTTTACTTTATAAATTAGTCAGTCTCGGGCATGTTTTTATTAGCAGCATGACCAATACACCCTCCAAGCTCCTCACCCATTTAATGTCAACCCTCTACACCTTAATTAAAATAACCCATCAACATGTGAGATAAAGGGCTCTGAAACCATGCAGTTTATACATGAAATCCTGACTTAGAAAGAGAAAGTGAACTTCCATCTAGGATAGAAAAGAGAGAGCTTCCTTTGACCTGTCACCGCTCTTCAGTGAGAACTGATGCTTCTCTTGGTCTCTCCTGGTGGCTAAGTTGGAGCTCTGAGCGAGTCATCAGAAATAGCCTCGGCCAGCCGTGAAAGAAGCTGCCTGGAACATCTAAACCCTGTTGTCATCAAGAGCTGGATGGCAAATCAGTTTCCTTTCTCACACAAGTTGTCATCAACTGCTGGTGGCTGGGTGGGCACGATGCTGAAAGAGTCGGAGGCCATATCTAGGCTTGGTGGAAAAGAGTTTCCTGGTCACTTAGCAATCTCTACCCTGGTAATTGTTATGAAAAAATTAACCAAAATTTGGAACCAAGGCAAAAAATACATGTGTAATGTTTTTAGTATCGTGTAAACAATGCCAGAACATTGTCTAAAAGCCCACGTAAGGACAACCTGACTCTCTGAGAAAATGTGACTTTGCTTGCTGTGCAACTTATATATTGGCCCAGTTCTGTAAAGGTAGATGTTAACTTGGAGAAACTAATAAGAGTGCCAATTACTTTTCAATTTTTTTAATTTTTATATTTAAGTTCCAGGGTACATGTGCAGGATGTGTGGGTTTGTTACACAGGTAAAAGTGTGCCATGGTGGTTTGCTGAACCTATCAACCCATCACCTAGGTATTAAGCCCAGCATGGATTAACTATTTTTCCTAATCCTCTCTCTCCCACAACCCTGCCTCCCAGCAGGCCCCAGTGTGTGTCATTACCTCCCTGTGTCCATGTGTTCTCATTGTTCAGCTCCCACTCATAAGTGAGAACATGTGGTGTTTCGTTATCTGGTCCTTTGTCAGTTTGCTGAGGGTGATGGAGTGCCTGTTACTTTTATCCCATAGAGATGCAAATAATTTCTGACCAGGATAGAGCCTAGACCCAGATGATAAGTACATTGCTCCATAGAACCGTAATCTGTTCTTTAGTTTTATATCTGATTTAGCAATCTAATTCTACCATCATTTTTTAAAGGACACTCTATTTATATAACAGCTTCTCGTCTCCTCTCTGAGACCAGCTTTGCCATCCTGCTGGTTATCTCATTAATGAGTTAAATAAAACTTTGATGTCTGCTCATTGTATGTTTGTATGAGATTTTAACATTTTCTGAAAATTATTTCTTGACCTTGTGGAAAGAGGAGGGAGGTAGCATGAAAGTCATGAGTTTTCCCTTCCTGGCCTGGGGTCCAGTGGAGGAGAGGGGCCTGAGGATGTGGCCTACACAGGCTTGCACTGTGGACCTCTTCCCAGGCCCTCCATGCTAGGGAGCCAACCCTGTAGAAAGAAATGCACGTGTGTGATCAGTGCCTGCTTGGACCACCCAGTTATCTACTGATCAGAAAGATCATGTTGCCTTTCAAAATCATTTAGTGACCTGCTGAAACTTTACCACCATTGTATAAGGAAATGATGTATTGCTTCAAGCCCAGCTCAAAGAAGTAAGCTTAAATAAAACTTTACATAGTCCAAAGCCTTCTCCGCATCACAACATCTTTCCTAATGCTTTCTGCTCATGTTTTGGTTTTTCTTCCATCATTACTATAGCACCCTATAATTAGCCATATGAATAACAACTTATTGTGTGCCTTCTAGAGCCAAGTAAGCTCTAAGTACTTAATATAGATTAACTTATTTAATATTGTAACCGCTCCATGAGACAGCTGCTATTCATCATCATCCTCTCAGCCGGGTGTGGTGGCTTATACCTGTAATCCCAGCACTTTGGGGGGCCGAGACAGGCAGATCCCTTAAGGTCAGGATTTCGAGACCACCCTGGCCAAAATGGTGAAACTCCATCTCTATTAAAAATACAAAAATTAGCTGGGAGTGGTGGCAGGCACCTGTAATCCCAGCTACTCGGGAGGCTGAGGTGGGAGAATCGCTTGAACCTGAAAGGAGAAGACTGCAGTGAGCCGAGATTGTGCCACTGCACTCCAGCCTGGGTTACAGAGCAAGACTCCATCTCAAAAAAAAAAAAAAAAAAAAATTATCCTCTCCACTTTACAAATGACAGTTCTAAGGCACTAGGAAAAAATCAAGTAAAATCCCCAAGATCTCATAGCTCATCAGTGGCAGAACTGTGACTTGAACCCAGAAAACTGGCTTCAAAAAGAAATGAACCACTGCGTAATTGCTACTTTTTAAAAACTGAAGTTGAACAAGTTCAGATTAAAAATTTTGCTCAACTCCACTATGTCCTAGGTGTGTGACTTTGGACAAGTTAACTTTGTAAGTCTGTTATGTTATCTAAAAATTGGGATGAGAATACACCTACTTCATGGAATCATTATAAGGATTGGATTGGTATATCCAAGTACAGTTGTCCCCGTTATTCACAGTTTCACTTTCACTGGTTTCAGGCATCTGAAGTCTACCATGGTCTGAAAATATTAAATGGAACATTCCAGAAACAAACAATGTATAAGTTTTAAATTGCACTCTGTTCTGAGGAGCATAATAAAATCTCACTCCATCCTGCTCCCTTCCACCCTGCCCTGCATAGGGGGGATTCATTCCTCTGTCTAGTGTTTTCACTCTGCCAGCGCTCCCCACCCATTAGTCACTTAGGAGGTATCTCGGTGATCAGATCAACACTTGCTGTATTGCAGAGCTTGTGTTCAAACAACCCTTATTTTATTAATAATGGCCCCAACATGCAAGAGTAGTGTGGCTGGCAATTTGGACATGCCACAGAGAAGCTGTAAAGTGCTTCCTTTGTGTAAAAAAAAAATGAAAGTTCTCAACTTCATAAGGAAAGAAAAAAATTGTACGCCGATGTGGCTAAAAGCCACAGTAAGAACAACTCTTCTGTTTGTGAAATGGTGAAGAAGGCAAAAGAAACTTATGCTAGTTTTGCTGTTGCACCTCAAACTTGAAAAAGCATATATAGGTCTGTACTACCCCCTGTTTCAGGCATTCACTGGGGGTCTTGGAACATACCCCCTACGGATAAGGGGGGATGACTGCGAAATTGCTCAACACAGTCCCTGGCATGTAGAAAGTCATCAATGATTGTTATCTTAAAATAAAAGAAGAAAAAAACAGGCAGTAGGGATTTTTATCAGGAGGAATAGGAGGTATAAGCCTCATTGTTTGTTCATATTAGGTTGGTGAAAAAGCAATTGTGGTTTTGCCATTTAAAAAAAAAAATGTAATGGCCAAAACTACAATTACTTTTGCACCAACCTAATAAACGATTCTCCTGTGACCTAGTGGGAGGGAGAAGCATTAGCCAACCAACAGTGAAAGGCCCCATTTGGATTAGGCTGTTCCTGATGTCCTGGGTACAAATTCAGAGCCATGTTGACCTTCTCACTATCTGGCCTCAAGCTAGAAAGGACAGACCAAAGTGACCTCTTGATCTCGTCTTCATTTAGATACAAGAGAAGAAAAGTATGACGATTACTACCACATTCATGGAGCCCTTATTAAATGCCAGGCACTGGCTGAACCCTTTGCATTATCATCACAGTTAATCCTCACAAACAACTTTATGAGATTATCGTTACCACTGCACCTGTTTTTAGAGTAAAAAGCAAAAACGAAACCTTAAGATGCAGAGAAGTTGAGCAGCTTACTTAAGGTCACCCAGCTGTTGAACAGTAAGCCCGAGATTTGAACCCAAGTCTTTGTGTCTTATTCAGTTGGTGCTTCTGTAATAAATTACCATAGACCGGGTGGCTTCAATGACAAACATTTGTTTCTTACAGTTCTGGAGGCTGGAAGTCCGAGATCAAGGTGCCGGCAGACCCGGTGTGTGTTGAGCACCTACTTCTTGGTTTGCAGACGGCCGTCTTCTTGTCGTGTCCTCACATGGTGAAGGGAGAAAAGCAAGCTCTCCCTTGTCTCCCTTGTCTCCTCTTGTGACAGCACTAACCTCATCACAAGGACTGCATCCTCACAACCTAATCACCCCCCAAAGGTCCCACCTCTGAATATCATCCCATTGAGGGTGAGGATTTTGACACATGGATTTAGGGGGCATGCATTCAGACCATAACACCAGGTGACTCCAAAATGCCCATGACATACTGCCTTGTTGATCTGCCACCAAGAATGTGACATTTGGAGCAATATTAACCAGGACTGAAACCACAAAAACAAAAACAAAATGCATCTGGCATGCTGGGGTTTTGGGGAAGGGTGAGCAGTTCTTTGACCTGAAAATAAGGAGAGCCACCTTGGGTTCCCACAAGTCCTGTTTGCACATTGCCTCATCCCTCTTCATCCCAGCAGGTGAGGCAGAGTCCTAGCCAGAGAGAGGGGAGGGATGGGAACCTGGAATGGTGCACTAGGGGAAACTCACATCCCATCATTTTCACATGTAGGGCCTTTTAGAGAGTGAGTTCTTCTTGGAGCCATTCATCCTGAGGACCCATGAAGATGTGGGCCTGAGTGTTAGCCATAAGCCTTTGAAAACACTTTGGCAATGATATTGATGATAATGATGATGATGGTATAAATTAGAATGCGGTGCTTGCAAGTAACGTAAAGTGAATTCTGACTGTCTTTTACCAAAAGGAGAGTATTTTTGAATGTATATATTATTCACATAATCAAGGCAAGCTTGGAGGACTGAGCTTAAAATGTTGGATTAGGGGGAGCCGAATGTTTATAAAGGACCAAGAAATGGGAGACACACCTTCCATTTGTGGGAGATTGTCAGCCTCACCCTTCATGTTGACATTCCATTCCCTAAGAGGGTCATATGTTTCTTCATATGTCCAAGTCCTGGAGCTAAAATGCTGGCAGAGGCAGGATGTAGACCTTATGTCTTCTATGGTTGGAAGAAAATAGCTGCTTCCCATCAAGATCTCACATCTGGGCAATGACCCCCAAGTAGGAAAGTAAGTGGATACTGCACAGCCACACCCCCTCCAAAATATCCAGCATCATAATGGCAATGGCGTGTACTGGCCTAGCTCTCATATAATTTTCAGGCCTGTTTTGCAACTCATCTTAGATATTCAACATGGAAGTGTGTGCTTTTTGTTCGTCAGTGAAAATTTCTTGCCTGAACATTTAAGCCTTACCAAAAAACCCTACCCAGGCCAAGAACAGCATGTTTCTATTTAGAACCTTCTCTATGTGGAATTAGTTCACCTCTGACAGTCAGGAGACAGAGCACAGGGCAATGCTAAAGAGAGGGGTGATGTTGTGTCCAGCAATGAATCATTACCTGTAATCAAAATCGGAGAAAGAACAGAAAATGGAGCTAAACAAAAATCTCTCTATAATAAAATTCTCTGGGCAATTACCTGGTGGCGAGAACATCTTCACACAGATGGAATTACCTGAGAGGAACAAATAATTTGCAACAAATGCCTGGAGTTTCCTTGATCTTCCTGATTCCCATGGTAGTTTGGGATCTCACTTTAGTCATCTCTATATTTTGCAATATGGTAGATAAGTTTTACTGCCTTACTGTGCTAGACACAATGTACATTATGCTGTTATCCTAGCTGAGCATGAGTCCAATAATCTAGGATTGCCACTGGTCAGCTAAAATCTTTGATTTCCACCTTGAGGCTTGGTAAGGATTTTAATTCATCTTGTTCCAGAGGGACTGTGTTCATAGACTTTGGGGATGAGATCCCAAAATAAATTTTAACAGAAAAGTTGCTTTTCTATGGGAGAGGGTCACTAAACGGTAATATCACTTACCCTAACCACTTTCTCTTTTCATGTTTACTCTCATCACTTTCGTTCTCCCCTAGGACATTGAAACATTGCCCATTTTCTCTGTTAAGCGTTATTTTATTCCTCATTCTTTACTAAATCTATTTCAAGACTGTATATTTGTCAGAAATTAACTTTGTTGCAAAAAATAGAAGTTCAGCTAGAAATAGTTCAAAGAAAATGTATTCATTCACACAATTTGGAAATCAATCCAAACGGTAGGTCTGCAGGTATGGCGACATCAAGGGGCTCAAACTATGTCATTAGATCTGGGTTTTTCTTCATTGTTCTGCTCCATTTTCCTTTCTCCTGGCTTAATTCTCTAACAGATTCTCTCTCCTTGGTGGGCTCTAGAAGCTTCACTTGTTACCATGGAAAGTACAGTACAGCAGCTGCTCATTTCTCCCAGTTCCCATTAGTAATCTTCCGACCAAAAATCTTTGATTGGCCCTTTCTGTATCACATGCCCACCATGAACTAATCACTGGAGCCAAGGATATAGGTTGGTTGCTCAGCCTGGGTTACAGCCTGTGGTCGCTGGGGTGGGGGTCCCTTGAATGACAGTCTCACCAAAATCCCAAAAGGAAGGAAGGCAGGACAGGTAAGAGAGTAAGCAACTTTACCCTACAAACATATTGAGGTCTCCCTATCTTGAGCCTTCACATCTTTCCCCAATTTCTCTCTTCCTTTTGCTTCTATTTCTTGATGTGGAATTCTGAGCTGGCTATTGTACTGGGATTCAGAAACACCCATCCAGTTCTGCCATGTCCACCAATGATCTTGGAGATCTCAGAAGGAGATATTGGCCTACAAGACAAATCAGTAGAGAAACACTTTATTTTGAGCCCCTCCAGAGCAGGTGTGTTCAGGAGTTCTAAACCCCTGCATGGAGCATTATATGTCGGCTGGACTAGAGACTTTTACTGGGCAGGAGTTACAACCACCCCATCAGAGCTGTTTGCATGGAATTTCTCTTTCTCCGAATTATACCATCCAGACATCCAGAATGTCATTCCAGAACGTGGTCTTTATCACTAGTATAATGAAACTGATGAAATTTAATGTTCTATTCCAATACTATAATAGAATTTATTTGTAGGCCTTTTATCGCCTCCCTGTGTAATAAAAGAAATCAGATTTTCACTGGATGCTTTTCCTAACTTATCCTGGGTCTGCTGTGAGGATGGTCCATTTTCCTGCTGGCAGCACTGGGAAAACAGAGAAAGGGAAGAGAAAAAGAGGGTAGATGGGTTTTGTCCTTGATGCTGTATAGCCAGGTATTAAAGGCACCTTGCATCCTACCCTTGAGCAGAACAGCAGGACTGGGGAAGGGGAAATTCTTTTAGCCAGGAGTCCTGTTGTTGAACCACCGTTTCATCATGCTTTCCCCCAGGAATACAATGCATTGTTGATGTACGGAGGGCTTCACTCTGCCCTTGGCTCTTACTGGTTTCTTACAGTAAATCAGGGATATCAATTACTGTGTAGACATGGTCAAGGCATGAAGGTATTTTGTATGTAACACTTGTCTCTTTTGTTTTCTGATAAATTGTATGTATTGCTCTAAAGTGAAGTATATTTGAACCTTTATTAATGCATTCAGGCATCCTTGTCTCTTCTGCTTTAAAACAGATACATTTGAAGCTAAATTCAAGATTCTCTTCCCTCCGCCTTCTCTTCTCCTTGCTCTTTTCCTCAGGGTCTAGATTTGTCGGGGCTGGTGTATTCTCCTGGCATTTGGGGAAACAGCATTTGTCTCATCTTCCAGTTGAGATTTCTCATCCTCACTTTGGCCCAGGTTCAAGGCTGCCCACCCAGCGGCCTCTGCTATGGTGTTCCCCGACCCACATGCTGGCACCTTGATTCTTCCAAGCTCTGTTCCCTACTCTCCTAAGGAGCTCCAGTTGACTTTTCCCAGATCTCCTCACTCCCACCCAAAGCCAAATGAGTCATGATGGGGGCTAAGGTCTGTATGTTTGTGTCCCAAAAAAATTAATATGTTAAAACCTAATCCCCTTAAGAGGTGGGCCCTTTGGGAGGTACTGCCTTCATGAAAGAGATTAGTGCCCTTATCAAAGAGATCCCAGAGATGTCCTTCACCTGTTCCACCATCTGAGGACACAAGGAGAAGATGAAAGTCTATGAATCAGGAAGCAGGCCCTTACCAGACACCAAATCTGCCAGCGTCTTGATCTTGGACTCCCTGAGAACGGTGAGAAATAAATCTCTGTTGTTTAGAAGCTATCCTGTCTATGGTGTTTTGTTGCAGCAGCCCAAATGGACTCTGACAATGGGGGTGGCAAGAGAGGTTGTCAATCTTTCTCTTGTTAAATAGACCACCATGTGGTTTATTTTGCTCCCAGGTAACCCCAAAAATCATGTGGAAGCCCTTCTTCAGGGAACCCAATATGAGCTTCTCTGATCTGGGGTTCTCAGACCCATGGGGGTGTCTATTCAGCATCTTCTCCTGATGGCTTACAGAGTTTTCAACTCTTGGGAAGCTGCACAAGAGAATAGATGCCACGCTCTCATGTCAGCTCTCTTGATGTCTCTCACAAGAGTCTTCCCTGCTTCTTCTGTAGCCTGAGCACATACCCAACAGCCTGCTCACTCCATGGCTTGGAGGAGTGGTTCTCAAATGTGGGTGTGCCTCACCTGGAGATCTCCTTACAACACAGGTTGCTGGCTCCAATCCTGTTTCTGATTCAGTAGCTGTGGTCAGTAGGACAATGGTCTTCGATATGATTGGGGCCTATGTCCCCACCCAAATTTTATGTCAAATTGTAATCTCCAATGTTGGAGGTGGGGGCTAGTGGAAGGTGATTTGATTATGGGGATGGATGTCCCCTTTGGTGCTGTTTTAGTGATAGTGAGTGAGTTATTGTGAGGTGTGGTTGTTTAAAAGTGTGTAGTACCTCCCCGCCACTCTCTCTTCCTCCTGCTCTGGCCATGTGAAGATGTGCCCGCTTCCCCTTCACCTTCTGCCATAATTGTAAGTTTCCTGAGGCCTCCCTATCCATGCTTCCTGTACAGCCTGTGGAACTGTGAGGCAATGAAACCTCTTTTCTTTATAAGTTACCCGGTCTCAGGTATTTCTTTATAGCAGTGAACAAATGGACTAATATAGTCCTTAACAATGATAATAGTGTACGAATCCTCAAAGCCTGTGAATCCGTTATCTTATGTGGCAAAAAGGACTTCGCAGTTGTGATTAAATTGAGGATCTTGACATTGGGAGATTCCACTGGACTATCTGGGGAAGCCCAATGTAATGAGGAGGGCCTTATGAGCGGGAGGCAGGAGAGTCTATCAGAAAAGATGTGACAATGGAAGAGGAGATTGGAGTGGTGCTGCCATAAGCAAAGGAATGCAGGCCTTTGAATGCTGCAAAAGGCAACAGATGGAGTCTTCCCTGGAGTCTCCAGAATGAACACAGGTCTGCTGACCACTTGATTTTAGCATTGCAAGACTCATTTCAGAATTCTGACCTCCAGAACTGAAAGGTCATGCCTTTATGCTGCTTTAAACTACTACATACATGGTAATTTGTTACAGCAGCCATAGGTATGTAATACAGAATTGGGGTGGCTCCTGAGAATCTGTGTTTCTAATAGAGTCTCAGGCGATGCTAATGCTTCAGGTCCAGGGATCACTCTTTGAGGACTGTTGGCTTTTAGGGAAGCACACCATCCTCAATGCTCTTCCAAACTTTGGACTATAAGCTAAATAAATCGCTTGTTCTCTCAACAACACTGGAATCATGCAAATAGAAGTGTTGGCTTCAACAACACTTATCCCCAGAAAGTGCCTACTAGGGAAATCAACACTTAGACTGATTTTTTTTTCTTTCCATTCTGCTCTGAAGCAATGGTGGAGAGCCACTGGGCTGTCAGTTTGACTAGCCATTAAAAATATATCGTGTTAGTATTTTATAAATGTTTATCTTGCTATATGGTTATTTATTATTTTCTCTGGGAGAAAATTGCAGAGCATTGTCATAGTATATACTTTGATGAAATCGCCAAGGAAAATAGGAAAAGAGCCTCCACGTTTTAGAAAGGAAATGGAACAGAGAGGTTTGCAATGAGCAAGATATTCTGATTCCCTTTATGTACGCTCTGCTCACCAGCTCCTCCCCTTTTGCCATACCCAACTGACCTTGGCCATACTTCTATAATTATCTGACATTGCTCCCTTCCACTAAGCTCTTCCAGGTAATGATACTGGCTTTTCCATCCCAGTATGCTCGGATGGGGGTAACATAGTAACAGTGCTGGTTACTATGGGCACTAAACCAGTCAGCCACATTCCCTAGATCTGCCAAGAGGTCTCCAGCGTTCTGCTTGAGATAGGACACCTTATCCTATTGTCTCCAGTGCTCCTGGTAGAGAAAAAAAAGAGGAAGGAAGAGAACGAAGCCCTGATGATTTACCATGAATCCAATACCTTGGGTGCAGTAGTCACGGAATATCAATGCACAGTGAGGAAGACTTGCAAGATCCATTGGACTGTTGCCCTTGCCATTTCTGCCTCCTCCTTTCCTTCCCTCTCTCTTTCTCCTTGTCTCTCTCTTTCTCTTCCTCTTCTCTTGGCAGGCAGTGGAGTCCAACTCAGGATTTGAATTCTGGCCCTGCCTTTTGCTAGAGTGTGACAAGAAATCTCTCTGATTATATTAAGTAGGGGCAAAGATACCCACCTCAATTCTCTGATGAGAACTAGATGAAAGAATACCTGTAATGTATCTGGTGCATAGTAGGAACTCAATTAACATTCTCCATGAGGCTGTTGCTATTCTCCAGCCTTCTCACTACAAAGTACTATTCAATCAATGAATTTCACAGAGAATACAGAGTGGGAAACAACTTTAATGAGAAACCCAGTTTCCCAGTTTCCCTTTCATTTCAAGACTATGACATTCCGACTTCTTTGAGGGCTTCCATTGCCTAGGTGGCCTTTTTCTTGTAGTTAGGCATTCTTAGAGCTCTGGGCATGGGCTTGTCTTGGCCAAAATGTCTTTTAGCAAAGTAATCATATATGCCAATAGGCAAATAGTGAGCAAGGCAGATCCACAAGTAAGCGCCTTTCCCTGGCGTGTAATAGGCAAAAGGGCTCTTCGCCAAGATAGCATGCTGGATGTCCCGCAGCACCGGAGAGAAGTCCTTGCTGGCTAACGAGTTGATCAATAGGAGGAAATTCCGCTGTGCTAAGATGTAGTCCTGGCCGTAGTCTTCCTGTACCTCAGCGGGGAGGTGGTCCAGAATGTCCTTCTCCAGCTTTTCCCACTTGTCACTGGTGCCTGCGATATCTGGGGTGAAAGGAAAGGGAAGAGTCAGATCCTGGGAAGGCCAAGGAAGTCAGGGAGCAGGCGCTTGTCTCTGTTGGGAAGGATGGCCCTTTGCAAATGACGTTTATTTATTTATTTTTTTATTTTTTTATTTTTGGGATACAGAGTCTTTCTCTGTCTCTCAGGCTTAAGTGCAGTGGTGTGATCTCAGCTCACTGCAACCTCTGCCTCCAGAGTTGAAGTGATTCTCTTGCCTCAGCCTCCCGAGTAGCTGGGATTACAGGCATCACCAACATGCCCGGCTAATTTTTATATTTTTAGTAGACACGGGGTTTTGCCATGTTGGCCAGGCTGGTCTTGAACTCCTGACCTCAATTGGTCCACCTGCCTCGGCCTCCCAAAGTGCTGAGATTTCAGGCGTGAGCCACCACGCCTGGCCTGCAAACGCCTTTTAAAATGTGTGCTTTATAATGGCATTTATTATCATTTCTAAACCTACATACAGAAAAGTGCACACGTAATTGGATTTTTCCAAACTGATAGCCCATGTGACTAGCAAACAGATCAAGAACAAAACAAGTCTGGGCACCGTGGCTCATACCTGTAATCTCAGCACTTTGGGAGGCCCAGGAAGGGGAATCGCTTGAGCCTAGGAGTTCAAGATCAGCCTGGGCAACATAGCGAGATCCCATCTCTAAAATATATATATATATGTGTCTGTGTGTGTGTGTGTGTGTGTGTGTGTACACATATATAATGTGTATATATATATACACACACATATATATGTGTATATATATATACACACACACACACATACACACACATAGACATAGACATAGACATAGACATAGACATAGACATAGACATAGACATAGACATAGACATATACACAGAAATTTAGCTGGGCACAATGGTGCTTATCTCTAGTCCCAGCTATTCGGGAGACTGAAGTGGGAGGACCCCTCGAGCCCACGAGTTGGAGGATGCAGTGAGCTATTATATGACTGCACCACTGCACTCTAGCCTGGGCAACAGAGCTACACTCCAATTTTAAGAAAAGAAAAAGGGAAAAAAAGAAAAAAAAAAACAAAACAGAACAGGACCAGCCTTAAAATCTCTCCTTTCAGCCCACTTCTCAGTAACCATTTTCCTGATTAATAGGACAGATTCATCTTGGCTGGTTTTGAACATTTATATAAATGGAATCGTATGAATAGCACTCATTGTTTAGCATCAGCTTCTTTATTCAACAGTATATTTGTGACATTCATCCATGCACTGTGTGTTGATTCTCCTTTCAGCATAGTATTCCGTTGCATAAAAATGCCATGAATTATTTATCCACTATACTGTGATGGGCACTGCGCTTATTTTCAACTGGGCCTTTAGAAATGCTGCTGCCACAGACACTCATCTTTTGGTGACTATTACATATATAATATATCATGTAATGTCTACAATATAATATATACTGTATATAATATAGTATATATACACTCATATAAGCATACACACGTATAATTTTTTAAGATATAGAAGTAATGCCTACCAATTAAATATAGGATTTTAGGCTGGGCATGGTGGCTCATGCCTGCAATCCCAGCACTTTGGGAGGCCCAGGTAGGTGGATCACCTGAGGTCAGGAGTTCAAGACCAGCCTAGCCAACATGGTGAAACCCTGTGTCTACTAAAAAATACAAAAATTAGCTGGGCATGGTGGTGGGTGCCTGGAATCCCAGCTACCTGGGAGGCTGAAGCAGGGAGAATTGCTTGAACCCAGGAGGCAGAGGTTACAGTGAGCTGAGATCGCACCACTGCGCTCCAGCCTGGGTGAGAGAGTGAGACTCCATCTCAATAAATAAATAAATAAATACAGGATTTTAAATATTTAATCTACTTAATGGATATAATTTTCATTTATGTTTTTAAAAATATATGAAGTGTAATTTTAATATAATTCACACATAAATTTTAATACACAAACTACATGCAATTAAGTATAAATATATTTTTAAAATAAAGACAATACCTGCTTATCATATAAAATTAAATAATTTATTTACTTTAAAATGTAGCAGCTCTGCCTCCTCATTATATAAAGTGAATAATAAGGAGATGTGCATATTTTTAAAATTAATCTCCTCTAAGGTAACTAACAGTTTTGTGTGCCCTTCTACATTCCTTCCTTGTTCATACAAACATACATACACATAGAAGAATTTGGTTTAATTTTTTTTACCAGGAAATAACAAAAACAAAAAGGATCATACTATGGTGTTTATATTTTCCATGAATTTGTTTTGGCTTAGTAATAAATCACAGACCTCCCTTCTTGTCAATGTCTATGGATTAAACCAGAGCAACAGAATTTCCCATTGAACAGCTTTTAGCCAATCACTTCCCTATCCAATGACCTTCCAGTTGTTCCTATAGGTTTCAGCATTTCAGGCACTGCTGCAGTAAATCGACTTTCACCACCTATTCGTTTTTACTTTGGCTTTATTTCTGTAGGCAAGAGTCCTCAAAGTACAGCCTGGTCGAAGGCACATTAATTTTGAATTTTAATAGCTACTGCCAGATTACTTTCCAAAAAGCTTGCGGTCTCCCACGCTGTCTCCTGCAAAGTGCTTGGTTGTTCACATAGCTGTGGGGATGAGCCCTTGCTAGCTTCGGTGACTCCTGGATATCAGGACTGCAGAGAAGGAGGGATGCTCACTTGGAAATGTAGGCCAGTGAAATCCAATTATACTTATGGAAATGCAAACGGAGTTTCAATTGCTCCTTTCTTTTCAGGAAGGCACACACCGTGCTTAAAGAAATGATTATCATGACAATTACTCTGGAGGTTTCTAGGTCCTGAAAAACATGTTTTCGTGAGCTACTATTCCTCCTCCTACCTCTCCCCTGTCCCTGTCTTCGTGGGCTGACACCTCATTCTTCTTTAAACACCTCATGGAATTTCTGGCCACTCTTGTGGGTAACCTATCCAGAGTCCCCAAAGCTGTCTCTGTGAGTGACAAAGCCATCAGCCTTTTGCCATCAGTCCGTCATCATCTCCCACTTTTGACAGACTCTCCCTACCCATCCCTCCCATGCCACTTTGGTGCTGCACACAATGAAGTTATTGATATGACCTGTATCAAAATCCCATCTCTGCCTCCTATCAGCTCTATGGCTTTGGAACTTCCTTAACTTCTCTGAGCCTCCATTTTCTCACTGCAAGATGGGGCTATTATGATGCCTACTTCACAGGTGAGGATTAAGGGAGATAATGCACATAAAGCACTTAAAATCTGCTAATCTAGCATGCAGTATGATTTAGCTATCTTTATTTCAGGGCACCAGAAAAATCTGGAATGTCTCTTAGAATGTCTTCAGAAGCTCCTTGTCTGTGTCCCTGAAGATTCCTTTTCTTGCCCCTACCTTCAAATAAATATAAGTATGAAGTGTCATTCTCCAAACATGAGTTCTCAGCCTTCTGCTCTTGGGCTTCTTGCCTTGAGAGAGCTCATCAAATAGCTTTAAACTGGGGGGCAGCCTGATATAAAAGGAAGAACCCAGGCACTGCATCTCAGGATCTGATCTCAAATTTTCCACCATCACGGTGTACGTGGGATACCAGATCCCCACCCAAGGGCATGTTATCCACCCCAACTCAGCACCATCACCTGGAGAATAATGTCAATGAAACCTGCTCCTCAGAGTTGTGGTGATTGGAGTATACATAGAAAGGGTAGAGGTATAAATTGGAGCAATATTTTAGAAAACAGGTTGGTATGATTCAGTAAAGCTGAAGACAGGAAAACTCTATGATCTAGTCATTCTTTCAGAGGCATTTGAACAAGAGTAACTCCATCTTGAATAGGGGCTGGGTAAAATGAGAATGAGACCTGCTGGGCTGCATTCCCTGGAGGTTAAGCATTCTTAATCACAGGATTAGATAAGAGGTTGGCAGGATTGGTATCACAAGATACAAGTCATAGTAACTCTGCTGATAAAACAGGATGTGGTAAAGCAGCCAGCCAAAACCCACCAAAATCAAGATGGCAACAACAGTGACCTCTGGTCATCCTCACTGCTCATTATATGCTACTTATAATGCATTAGCATGCTAAAAGACACTTCCACCAGCACCAGGACAGTTTATAAATGCCATGGCAATGTCCAGAAGTTGCTCTGTATGGTCTAAAAGGGGGAGGAACCCACAGTTCCAGGCCATCCCTCCCACTTTCCCAGAAAACTCATGAATAATCCACTCCTTGTCTAGAATATAATCAAGAAGTAACTATAAGTATACTCAGTCAAGCAGTCCATGCTGCTGCTCTGCCTAAGAAGTAGGCATTCTTTTATTCCTTTACTTTCTTAATAAACTTGCTTTCACTTTACTCTACAGATTCACCCCAAATTCTTTCTCACACAAGATCCAAAAACCCTCTCTTGGAATCTGGATCAGGAGCCCTTTTTGGTAACAATTTCACTCTGCAGCATGTGTCATGGGAAAATTCAAGCACACAAAAACCAAAGTACATGTACCAGAAAGTTCATAGCTGCATTGTTCATACTTGTTCAAACTAGAAGGGACTCAAACATCCCATCAACAGTAGAAAATCATGGCATATTCACAGAATACTGCACAGCAATGAAATGAGTGGACTACAGCTACACACAGTGCAGATAAATTGTCTAATCAGAATATTGAGTGAAAGAAGCCAGACACAAAAGGATACATACATATTGATTCCATTGAAAGTGCAAAAGCAGTTAAAGTCAAATGCTATTAAGTGGGCTGGATGTGACTCTACAAAGAAAAGCAAATAAATGATCATTACAAAAAGTAAGAGGTGATTACCTATTGGGAGGTTGGAGAGGGCTGTGATGGTAGAGGATCATATAGGGGCTTCTGGGTGTTGGTAATGTTTTATTTTTTGATCTGGGTGTTAAGTACAAGAGGATTTATAATAATTTGTTGAACCCTGTGCGTATAATGCTTTTTTCTGTTTATATATTTCTCGATTTTAAAAATTAAGATCAACATCAGTAAAGAATGTATGGTAAGTGGGTGAGAACAGCTCTCCAGAACTATTATGCATAGCAATTATACTGAATCTCCAAAATCATAACCTAACTGCAGGATTGCTCTCTCGTCTAAATGGAATTTTACATCTGTGTGTTGGAATTCTCTTTGGGCTGTGTCACCAAACACTCAATCCTCCTGCCAGATTCAAAATCAAATTCACCATTTCCCTCTTGTACCAGCTCTCAAGCAGCTTCCCTCTCTTTGTATCCCAGTCTCTCAGTCCAACCAGCACATTTGGCTTCACCTCTGACCCATGTCTCTTCTCCATCTCCTCTCCTCAATTCTCCTCCCAACCCAGGGAGTCCCCAAGTTGGAAACCCATCTCAAGACTTCATCTTCTCTGCATTTCTATCGCCCTGGTCCTGCCTGTCATCGTGTTGACCCATATCCCTTTCTCTGGGTCTCTGTCCCTTTCTCTGAGTCTTGCACCCCCTCTGCAACCTTAGGAGGTTCTCAGCTATCAAGTGTTTCAAGCCAAAATTTCAATATTTCTGTATAGATTTTATCTTTTGCATTTGGGATAACATTCAAACCTTTAGGGTTTGTTCTTTCGTGCATTTAGCAATACCTCCCAGTCTGTGGTCTTTTATTAGACATACTTTTTACATCTTCACTTGAATCATCGGTTAAATGTTTGATGGCCCAGAACTGAAGACTGAGCCTTGGGGTAGGCTGCCTCTTCCCAGAGTTCAGATATGCAGGGAGGGGAGTGGAGAGAAGGGCCTTCTCCTCTTGGGGTGGAGGGGAGGTGGGTCATATTCTTCAGAGGGAAGGAGAAAAATATTGTTTCTGAAATATAAAGAAGCTGGGGAAGGAAACCTTCTTGGCCAATGGCAGCAAAAGACTAATAAATGTTACTCTGACTATCTGCTCAAACTTTTAGATGAAAATAAGCTCTGAAGCCAAATAAAGAAACCTAGTATGAAACTAATGGATTATACATTGTTAAACAGGTTTGGGTGGGGCAATGAAAATAATCAAAATTGGTGAGAGTCAGTTAGGGACCATTTTTGAGCTGCGTTCCCACAGACCAAATACAACTCTACCATTGAGGGAGGGAGTGTGTGTCCCAGAAAGGTCCCGCTCAGAGCAGGCACCAGGGGACCAGGGTTCTAACCCAGTGTGGCCTCTGCTTGCTGATGACTTATAAGCCAACGCAATTCCTTTGTGAAAGGAAGCAGGGGTGAAGCCATACATGGAGAGCATGGCACTTAGAAGAGGCCCATGCAACCCAAGCCCTGCTGGGTGGACACTGAGAGCTGGAGAGCTCTGGATGCATGACAACCCCTTCCCAACCCCCTGCACTAAGAGACTTAACGAAACTCCAGCACAGTTTCTAGCAGCATAAGGCCCTGTCCCTTGGATAACACCAGCCCCTCCCTAAAATGCCTGCCTAAGAAGGCTCAACCTTGCCAGAAAATTTTACTATTTGTTCTATCCAAGACATCCCTGAGAGGTCCCTGACTTCCCTTTCCTGAAATACTTACTAAAAAAGAACTTTAAATTGTAAATATATAGCTCTTGCAATGCAGAAGCATTTCTCTCCAGGATCTGAGAGCCATTCCTTTGGAACTGAATCATCAAGGATCAGACCTCTGTTTCTCTGTCTCTGTGGGAAGACAGAATCTGGACTTCTTTAATTGCCAGCTGGCAGACACAGCTGGCCCCTCTGCATGGACACTGATGGACCCTTGTACTTTTTCACTAATCTGACTTACTGAGCCATGCTTTCCCCTCTCCCTGGTTTTCCTTTTAAAATGTTTAAAACACCTTCGCACAAATCAGAATGGAGCTTAGCTCTTTCCCCTACTGTCAGCAGTTACTGAATCAAACCTGTTTTCACCCCTTTAACTGATCTCTGGCTGTGCTCATCTTTGACAACAATGAGGGGTTCAATGTGTGCTCTGTCAGACCAAGAGGACCTTCGGGGTTCCTTCCAGGATGAACATCACAGGTTCTTGGGCTCAGAAACCTACTTGTTAGGAAGCCTCCAGGTTGGATGGAAGCAACTTTAATTCCCCACTTGGAAAGCTCCAGTCTCATAACTGATGAGAACATGGTCACAGCCGCCTTTGATGAGCCATAAGATGCCAGCCTTTCCATTGGGGCCCCTCCTATGGGAATAATGGGAGAAAAAGAAGCAAAGTTAGAAATGTTCATTTGTTCATCCAATAAATATTTAATCAGTGTCTACTGTATGTAGGAACTGGTATCAGTGACTTGGGCAGACAAAGGCAGGCAAGGCCCCCTGAGCCCAGGTGAGCAATGTTCTTGCTCATTCCCACAGTGTAGCTTCATTTGCTTCTGCCTTCTTTGGCTCCCCTATTGCAGCTGGTATGATGACAAACCAAGTTGAAGGCTCAATCTTGTCCAACTCCTAAGCAAAATGTAATTTAGGGCTGGCCGCAGTGGCTTATGCCTGTAATCCCAACACTGTGGGAAGCCAAGGTGGGCAGATCACCTGAGGTCAGGAGTTTGAGACCAACCTGGCCAACATGGTGAAGCTCCGTCTCTACTAAAAACACAAAAATTAGCCAGGCGTGGTGGCGCATGCCTGTAATCCCAGCTACTCATGAGGCTGAGACGTAAGAATCGCTTGGACCCCAGGGGGCAGAGGTTGTAGTGAGCTGGGATCACGCCACTGCACTCCAGCCTTTCGAAAGAGTGAAACTCCGTCTCAAAAAAAAAAAAAAAAAAAAAAAAAAAAAAAAAACAATGTAGTTTAGGTAAGATGAAGAGCACCTACCGACCAGGCCCTGATCTTCTAGCCTGACCAACATACCTTCTGAGGTTCCTGGTAAACATATCTTTTTGTGGGGAGGAGGGTCCACTATTCAACCCACTACAGCACCTGTAATCGAACAGATTGTGCTCAATACTTGTTGCAACGAGGAATAACATACATCCTGGGAAATGGTGGGGCATCTCTTTAAGAGGATGTGAGAAAGGACTTATTCTAGGGCTAGAGCAGATGCTCTGTTTCCCACCTAAATCATATTTAGCTTAGAAGCTGGTGAGATTGAGCCTTAAACTGAGTTTGTCACTGGACCAGCTATAAGGAAGTAATGGAAGGCAAGATCAAAGGAAGCCAAGAAAGGGAGTGATCCACTTGGAATAAGAGTCTCTGAAGATGTCACTGAGGCAAGGATCTCTAGGAAAGGCCATCCTGGATTAGGATGGGCCCTAAATCTAATTAATGATGGGTGTCCTTATCAGAGACAGAAAAAGAGAAGGCACAAGGGAGAAGGCCACATGAAGATGGAAGCAGAGATTTGGGTTATGTTGCCCAAGCCAAGGCACACCTAGGGCCACCAATAGCTGAAAGGGGCAAGGACAGATTCTTTCCCAGAGCCTCGAGAAGGAGCACAGCCCTGCTAACACTTGGTTTAGACATCTGGCCTCCAGAACTACGAAAGAAAAAATTTCTGATGTTTTAAGCCACTCCGTTTGTGGTGATTTGTGACAGCAGCCCCAGAATATGAATTGAGGTGCATTCCTGGTGGTCTTCAGCAGGAAGACACTGATGTTATGAAGGAGCAAAGACAGTAGGGCTCACAGTGCCTCATGAAGTCTCACACGAAGACTAGACCCATAACAACAGGGCTCCCAGGCTTGGCAAAGATTTCCCAAGTGAAAGAAGCATCCACTGGGTGAATGGATAAGCAAACTGTAGTCCAGCCATATGATGGAACACAACTCAGCCATAAAAGGGAATGAACTTGATACATGTAACAATATGGATGTCTCAAAACAATTATGGGCAGTGAGAGAGCCAAACACAAAAGGGTATGTACTCTTTGGTATAATTCCCTTCATGTAAAGTTCAACAAATGCAAATTAATCTCTAGTAAAACAGATCAGTGGTTACCTGAAGGGTGGGGGTGCTATGAACATTGTGCCCACCCCCATCAAAATTCGTATTTTGAAGCCCTAACCCCTAGTGTGATGGTATTTGGAGATGGGGCCTTTGGAAGGTAATTAAGTCCTGAGGGTGGAGCCTTCATGATGAGAGGGATTAGTGCCCTTTTAAGAAGAGACACCAGTGAGCTTATTTATTCTTTCTCTCAGACAATTGGTGAGCTAGTAATTTATTGTCTCTCAGACAATTGAAGAGCTAGTAAATTCCTCTTCCATTTTTGGTGTAAGCTAACTTGGGGTTTGGCCCTGTCACTTAAACACAAAAGGTCCCAAGGCTTAACTGATATAATTTTAACACGATGTCTGGCATCAAGCAGACTCTCATTAAACTGGTTAATCTTGCCACAGATGGCCAGCGGATTTTTATGTAAGTGATTTATAGTTTCATGAAATCTTAGCGTTTGAAATCCAACTCCTTTCTATTACTAATAAGGGAGGCCAAAGAAGTTACAGCAACTTGTTCAAAATCACAGCATGGGCTGTGTGGCAATCCCAGTTCGTGGGGTTAGCCAGAGTTCTCACTTCTCCATGACCTTTATAGATGTTGAAGGTTGGTCAGATAGAAGACAAACAGGTTAGCAGAGGAGCCAACACTGACTGCATTCAAATCCTAGCTCTGCCATTGATTAGCCACCTGTTAGCAGGATAGTCACTTTATATTTGGTCTCTGCCTTTTTATCTGTAAATTAATAATGATGGTCCATGCATCATAGGATCGTTGCGAAAGTTAAATTAATAATATATTAGAATAGTGCCTGGCACAAAGTAGCTCCATATAAGGGCTTTCTACCATTAGTGCTACTCAGGCTTTTCAAAATAATATCTCAATAGCCCAAAAGGCTCCATATGTTCACGGTTTCTTAGAGTAATAAGTGCACCTGCTTCAGAATCTCCAGCAGCCGTTGTTTACTATGTGGATTACTAAGAGCCACCCTGGACCCACTGAATCAGAATCTGCACTTAATACTTATTCAAGTAATCTTTTGAATATTAAACCTTGAACATTAGAGTTTTGTCACATATTTGTGCACATGAGCTTTTGTGATAATGCACTGCCTTATGGGTAAGCGCTGTGGTTTGAATGTGTCCCTCCAAAAGCGTATGTTGAAACTTAATCCCCAATGAAACAGTGTTAGGAGGTGGGGTGCACCAAGAGGTGATTAGGCGTTGAGGATGGGGTGAATGGATTAATGCCATTATCTTGAGAGTGGGGTCGTCATAAAAAGGGGATTTTGGCCCCCTTTCGCTCTCTTTCTCTTTCTCCCTCTCTCTTGCCCTTCCACCTTCTGCTGTGGAACAGCACAGCAAGAAGACCCTCACAAGATGCCACCCCTTTGATCTTGGACTTTCCAGCCTCTAGAACCAAGAGCCAATCAATTTCTGTTCATTATAAATTACCCAGTCTGCAGTATTCTGTTATAGCAACACAAAACAGACTAAGACATGACATATGAAGTTTGTTGACAGTAGATCATATACCACATTGACAATCTAAACAAAAAGCATGCTTTGAATCAAACATTTAAGACTCATTTGTCTTTTGCATTAATTTGAACCCTGCAAGAACTGCCAATATTAGACCATGTCTTACCTATGAAATGGCAGTATTGTATGGTTCAACCTCATCCATCCAATCTTGCCGTTAATGTTTAAGATGACGTAAGATGAGATAAATATAGGTGTCCAAAGTTGCTGATTAAGAGCCGCTGTGTCTTAAGGCTTTTTGACGTTATGTAACCCTTCATTGTCTGTCCAGTTACAGCCTCTAATTTTTTAATTTAACTTTTAATTTTCTCAAGGTAAAAACACTTAATGTGAATTCTACTTTTTTAACATATTTTTTAAGTGTGCTATACAGCTTTGTTAACTATTGGCACAATGTTGTATAGCAGATCTATGTAACTTATTCCTCTTGCATTACTCAGACACTTTGAATAACCTAACATTAGGTAACTTAAGAGAACACACCTTGTTATGGACTTAATGTTTGTGTTTCCCAAAAATTCCTATCTCAAAGCCCTAATCCTCAAGATAGCTGTATTTGGAAATGAGGACTCTAAAAAAGTAAAGTTAAATGAGATCAGAAAGATGAGGCCCTTGATCCAACAGAATTAGTGTCCTTATAAGAAGAAACACCAGACACCTCACACTCTCTCCTTGAACATGCACCAAGGAAGGGCTATGTGAGGACACAGCAAGAAGGTAGTTGTCTGTAAACCAGGAAGAGAGCCCTCACCAGAAAACCAACCATGCTGGCATGCTGATCTGGGACTTCTAAACTGCATAACTGTGAGAAAATAAATTTGTGTTGTTTAGGCCACACGATTTGTGATATTTTATTGTGACAGTCTGAGCAGACTGACATACGTAGTCAACAACAAGACCTGCCTTAATCAATAATGTACAGAACTATGGACTCTTTCCACTCTTCCTAGACGTAGACTGCACCCTTTCTATCCTTACTTAGCATAGGCACGAAAAATCATCCCCTCTTCTAAGTCATATTCCCCCGAATGCCTCTGTGAACTATTCAGTCAATTTGTTCCCTGGGCTGTGTTCCCTTACCTGGCAGGGGAATAAATTCAGCATTCACTTTGTTGATTATTCTGGTGGTCATTTTATTTCCTTTACATTGTGATATATTGTTGACAGTAGGCTAAAAATAAGGGACTTGAAGTTACCATTCTGAAGCTTACAAAAGAATTGTGAAGACCCTCTCTCTCCCCACCGTATGTGTACTTAGCATCATGTTTTCAAGGTTCATTCATGTTGTAGCGTGTATCAGTACTTCACTCTTTGTAAAGCTGAAAAATATTCCTTTATATGGATATGCCACATTTTATTTAGCCAGTGATCCTTTTATGTATTCTTAAGTTGTTTCTACCTTTGGCTATTGTGAATAATGTTGCTATGCCCATCTATGTATGAGTGAGTTTTTGTTTGAACACCTCTTTTCTATCTCTTACATATACACCCAGGAGTAGAATTGCTAGGTCACACAGTAATTCTAAGTTTAACTTACTGGGGAACTGCCAAATGTTTTCCACATCTGCTGAACCATTTTATATTTCTACCAGTAGTATAAGAGGGTTCCAATTTCTCCACATTCTCACCAACATGTGTTTTTTCTGTGTGTTTTTTTTTTATTATAGCCATCTTAGGGTGTATATTATATTATGGTGGTTTTTCATTACGGCCATTTTAGGGGGTATGTTATCTTATTGAGGTTTTGATTTCTAGCAATTGTGTATTTAGAAGCCCTCCGGTGATTCTGATGCATCTCAAGCTTGAAAATGTGGTCCGGGGATTAGTACCGCCAACATCACTCAGGAACTAGTTATAGACATGCAGAATCTTAGGCTCCACCCAGACCAACCCAGTCAGATTCTGCCTTTTAGCAAGATCTCCAAGTGATACCCACATATGTCAGTGTTGAGAAGCAATGGAGTAAGAGACAGCCCTAAATTGCCAACACTTCCTGATTACCATTTAAACAGAACAGAGTTAGGGTTTTTTTTTTTATGCCCCTCCTTGTCTGACATGTTCTTGCTTAACAGCCTGGAAAAGTAGAAAGCACATAGTACTTGGAGTAAAACAGATCCCGGTTCATATCCTGACTTTATCACTTACCAGTTACACAAACTTGGGTTACAGAGTGCTTGATCTAGAAAATTAATTAATATCTGCATTCTGTGGATGTTAGAATGAATTGACTATAGGCATGTAAATCTCTCACACAACCCAGCATGAGGAGGTTCACTCAGTCTTGCTCTACCCACTTTCCCCCTTGTCCCACAATCTCCCTAAAGAGTGTCAGGGAAGAAAATCTCAGCCTAGGCTTCCCATCTTGCCACTGAGCAGCTGAGAGACTGGCTGAATGACTTGCCAAATGATTCTTTTAAGGCAGCTGGCTCAGCAAGGAAAAGTCCAGGAATGATCCCACAGTCTGGACTGAGACAGAACTCAAGGCTGAAACTGTGAACTCTTCTAGATCTTTTAATTTGTAGACTTGTAAGAATCTCTAAGATTGCTTGCTTTGGTATAAAGTAATTCTGAAGTATTTTAAATAGCTTGGGACGGCCTCAGTAGCTCATGCCTATGATCCCAATACATTGGGAGGCCAAGACAAGAGGATTGTTTGAGGCCAGGAGTTCAAGACCGTCCTAGGCAACAAAGTGAGACCCCATGGCAAAAATAAATTAGCAGATGTGATGGCATGTGCCTGTATTCCCAGCTACTCAGGAGACTGAAGTGGGAGGATCGCTTGAGCCCAAGAGTTCAAGGTTATAGAGAGCTACTATCGTGCCACTGCACTCCAACCTGGGCACCAGAGGGAGACCTGTTTTAGAGGGGTTTATCTTCAACTCTTCTTATTCAAGCATAGCATGCAATTATACACAGGTGTTTACTCTGCGATTTCTGGAGGAAAACTGGCCCGAGAAAGGTTTTGGGCCTCAAACAGAACAATTTTCCAACTGTCCTTTGTACAATTAGAATTGTTTTCCACTTCCTCTAATTCTAGGTAAAAAAATAAAAAAAATAATAATAAAAAGAACAGTTTGATGTGGCAGGCAACTGTGATTACTCTCTCTCCGTTGAGAGGTCCCTTTTACTTGGATATTTCCTATATACCAGTAACTGTGCTAAGCACTCAAAACCCATGGTTCATTTAAATCTGCAGCCAAGATCAGAGGTTTTCAACTGGGGGTGATTTTGCACCCCAAAGATCATGGGAAATATCTGAAGACGTGTCACAATTAGGGGTGGGTGCTACTATTATCTAGTGGGTCAAGGACACATATGCTGTTAAACACCCCGTAATGCACAGGACAGTGCCCTTACAGAAAGAATTCTCCCCACCAAAATGCCAGTAGTGCCAAGGTTGAGAAATATTGCCCTGGACTCAGGTGCTACATGACCCTCATTTGAAGATAGAGACATGACAAGTAAGGTGACCTGACCCAGGTCACCCAGCTAGTAACCGAAGAGCAAGATTTAAGCCACAATGACACAAAATCTCTGAGGCCTGGGTCATTTTAGCAGGGCTTGTTTTTGAGCATAGCATGCAATTGCACACAAGTGTTTATGCGAACATTTCTGAAGAGCAAAACTGGCGACTTTAGGCCTCAAAGAGAAAGATTTTCCAACTGCTCTTTGTACCATCAGAGTTGCCTCCCATGCCTCTGATACTTGGTTAAATATTTATCCAACTGCCTTGCTGGGATTTGGGTTAAAGAGCTATGCTATTTATGTGGGAGGGATAATCAACATGTTATTACAATGGGGAAAAGTCTCCTGTAGTAGACATGGTCAAATCTGGAAGGAGTTACCTGTTGGGGTCATCTCCTCAGGAGCTAGTAAGTGACGGGGCAGAGGATGAAGGGTAATTCGGTGTCACAGTCAGAGGTGGTGATACCAGCAGCTGGCAGATTAAGAAGCTGCAAGCATACAGACTGTCAGCTGCTGCCCCAGATCCTCATGGTGGGATGGTTTTTGGGTCGCTAATGCTACTGGACCATTCACTGCATGCCAAGCACAAGACTGATGCTTAAACATGTGTTATTTCATCTCATCTCTCCATGGACCCCAGAAGAAGCAATTACTATTATCCTTATCTTATAATGAGGAGGCTGCAACTCAGAGGTTCAGAACTGTTCCCAAGGTCACGCAGTTGTCATTGGTAGAGACCGGATTAAAACCCGGGCAGTCTGTCTTCATTCTGCTTGCCTGGCATCCTAGAAGATTCTTACCTGTATTCCTACATGATGTCTTTTACTCTTTCCCTTTCATGTTCCTTTCTTTAGGGATGGAAGATGTAGGAGGGAAGGACACCGGAGGGAAGGACATGGTTGACTCTAGATTGCATTTCTTAGAGAAGAACTTAAAGAAGTAATGTTTCTCCCCATCCCACTCCTGGAACTTCCCACCCGTAGGAGTGTATTTAGAAGACATGGGTTATGTTGACTTTATTTCCACACAAGAATGGGAGTTGGGCTGGAACAAGCATCTAACAGTGGAGCTAGTAGAAAGCAAAAAATGGTCAATAAGGTACCACTGGGAAGAGCATCTGAGACCCTTTGACTTAGTGTTTGATGTGGTGGTAACATATGTTTACACTGAGTCACCAGGGAAGGAGGTGGCTTGGTGAGTCAGAACATGAAACTAAAGTTCAAGTTCAAGTTCTAGCTTACAGGCCAGTCACTGAACCCTTCTGACCTTGGTTTTTATAACTGAAAAATGAGAATAGCAACATTACATAGGTTATTGGGGTCATATACCTGAGAGCATTCAACAAATGCCTGAAATGTAATGGATCCTTCATAATAACTCTTAATGTTTATTAGGTGTCTACTATATGCCAAGCACTGTTCTGAGCGTTTTAACATCAGCTCTGAATGTATTTAATGGTCACAACTGTCATAGGAGGTAGATTCTAGTATTATCCTCAGGAACCTCATTTTTAAAAATGAAAACACTAAAGTGTATAGGGTTTAAGTGACTTTCCCAAGGACACAGAAAGTGATAGAAATAATAGCTAACACTTACATAAAATTTATAGTGTCCACACAAAAGCTTGTACAAAAAATATTCAGAGAAGCATTATTCATAATAGTCAAAAGTTGGAAAGAACCTAAATGTCCATCAACTGATGAATGGATTTTTAAAATGTGGTTATATTCATATGCATATTCAAAAAGCTGCAAAGAAACCTATTGAAGAGGACATTTTGGGAGTTTGAACTTTCAGGCAAACATCCTTTTAAGCAATGTGTACATTCCAACTCTGGCTACCTCTGCCCAAATGAGAGGCACATGGAACTTCTCACTGAGGCTGGACAAGCAGATAGAAGGTCAGGAGAAGGTGTGGAAATTCTGCCTGATAGAGACAGCAAGGAGGATAAGAAGTGGCCAGTGGGCACAGGGAACTGAGCAGTCTTTAACGGAAAACAAAGGAGCCAAACTTTAATGGGTTAATGAGGTTGCCAAGAAGTAGAGGCTGCAAGTCACCTAACTTTTGAAGGAGCTCAGGGAAAAAGGGGTAAAGAAGCTCTTATTGTTCAGCTCCCACTTACAAGTGAGGACATGTGGTATTTGGTTTTCTGTTCCTGCGTTAGGTTGCTGAGGATAATGGCTTCCAGCTCCATCCGTGTCCCTGCAAAGGATATGATCTCATTCCTTTTTATGCCTGTGTAGTATTCCATGCTGCATATGTACCACATTTTCTTTATCTAATCTATCATCGATGGGCAATTGGGTTGATTCTGTGTCTTTGCTATTGTGAATAGTGCTGCAATGGAACACACATGTACCCCAGAACTTAAAATAAAAGCTAAAATTAATTTTAAAAATAAAGAAGTGCGGGGCAGTGTCCATTAATAAAAATAGTAATAACTCATAACCTTCAGGGAAGACATACTACACATAAGCAGCTATGCTAAGAACTTTGTGAGAATTATTTTATTTAAGCCTCAGAACGCTCCTATGTGGTCATATTTCCTCTGCTTATTTGTCCACTCTTATTGCCTCCACTTTACAGGGACAAAAGTGGAGCTTAGAGAGGCTATAGGACCTCGGGTTTTCCAGGAGTGTCACCCAACCAGGCAGTGAAGAGGAGAGCCCCACCCTCCTGGCTGCCAGCCCAGATCAAAGAGAAAAGTATTGAGAGTCTGGGGAGGAATCATCCTTAGAGCATAGCCTGGGGTAGAATGAAAGGCCCAGGGAGAGAGAAGGAGTTAGTGGGGAGGAGGAAGGAGGAAAGGTTGAAGAGGAGAATGAGTGACAACAGAAGGAGAGAGGAGAATTTAGGGAAGTTCATGCGGGAACAGCTTCAGTTTGCTTCTGAGAGTTTCAGAGAGGGAGGGAATAGAGCAGACAAATAAACAGCAAACACAATTTGCAATAATTTTTTCTTCTATTCTGCACACCTCTTGCCTTCCAAGGAGGGCAGATCCAATGGAAGTGCTTAGTTTATTGAGCAGCTAAGAGTAGATGGATGTGATATGAACGTGCTGGTTATGGGAGAAGGAAGGAGAGGGAAAGATGAGGAAAGAAACCAGGGAGATTTGGGAGCCAGAAAGGACAGGGAGGGGGAAGTAACCAGAGGTGAGGTGGCTGGCAACTGAAGACCTTCGGAAGGAGGAAAAACAAAAAAAACAAAAACAACAACAACCACAAAAATCTGAAGGGAATTTGCATTAAATAGTGCTTTGTGATATATGGAATCTCTAGTAAAATCTGTTTGATTGACTCTGCCTTTTTGGAATGCGATAAAGTGCTAAGCGTTCCTTCAACATGGTGTAAAGAATGAGGAGAAAGTGTTCATGGAGACCTGAATTACATGAGATTGGGAGGAATGAAGTTTAAATTTGAGGAGAAAAAAGAAAAATGTTTGGAATCGGTAATTAGGTGCATGTGATTTGTTATAAATTGGAGCTCGTTTAAAGTCAAACCAGACACATTATTTTCCCACAGCTGCTGTAACAAATTACTACAAACCTAGTGGCTTAAACATTACAAATTTATTATCTTATGATAAAATCAAGGAGTCAGCAGGGTCATGCTCCTTCTGGAGGCTCTAGGGGAGAACTAGTTCCCTTGACTTTTCCAGCTTCTAGAAGCCACCTGCATTCCTTGGTTTCTGGCCCCTTCCTCTATCTTCAAAGCCACCTAGGTACCATCTTCCAGTTTCTCTCTGACTCTGACCCTCATGCCTCTTTCTTATAAGGACCCTTGTGATTGCATCAGATTCATCCAGAATATCCAGGATAACCTCCTCATCTCAAGATCCTTCACTCAATCACATGTGCACAGTACCATTTGCCACGTGAGGTAACAGGCTCACAGGTTGCAGACAATGGGACGTGTATGTTTCTGGGGACCCATTATTCTGCCTCCCAGACCAGCTGCCTACTCACAACAGCCTGAGATAGTTTCTTCAGGGTTATTTACTCTGCAGCAATGAATAACTGGAACAGAGTCATCAATTCCAGCTCAGTTTTTCCTGGCTGGTGCAAAGTTCCATGATAAATCTATGCCACCAAAATTCTTGTCACTCAGAAGGTGACAGAGGTGCCAGACTCAAGACAATCTGGTGGGTCAGGGCAACCACGTGCTTCTTCTGGAGCCCTTATTAGTGACTGACTGCTTCTCTCCCTCCATGCACCTTGCTTCAAAATGAAAATAACAGCAATGAACTCCCAGATAAGCATGTTTCCAAAGTTACTATTACATTGATTTTGCCAAAGATATATCAACAAGTCAGCATCACATTGGATGTTAATTTCTGTGGATTTGTTGGTTATATATTGCCTTTTACACATACTTTGACTTTTCTAATCCTTGTGTTACATTCTAGCTTTTTCTTTTCCGGCTCAAAATCTTTTCTATTGTTTCACAAAACTCTCCAGTAAGTGCTAGAGAGCCCCTCACTGTGTTCTCTGCTGAATTCCCCTGTCCCTTATCAATTACAGTGTTATGGACTGAATTGCTCCCCCCACCACCCAGAAAAGTTTGTATGTGGCAGTACTAACCTCCAGTATCTTGGAACGTGACTGCATTTGAAGATAGAACCTTTAAAAAGATGATTAGGGTTAAACGGGATCATAAGAGTGGTGCCCTAATTCAGTATGACTGCCATTCTTATAAGAAGAGGAAGAGACACCAGGGGTGCAACAGACAGAGAGATGACCATGTGAGGACACAGCAAAAAGGTAGTCATCTGAAAGCCGAGGAGAGAGAGCTCAGGAGAAACCAACCCTGCCGACACCTTGGTCTTCGACTTCCAGCCTCCACAACTGTGAGAAAAGGAATTTCTGTTTTCTGAAGACACCTTGTCTGTGGTATTTTCTTATGGTAGCCCTAGCAAACTAACACAGAGGAAAATCGATCATTTCAGAGCTTTGTTTCTTTTTTTTTAATGTTTAATATTTTGTGGGAACATAGTTGGTGTATATATTTATGTGCTACATGAGGTGTTTTGATACAAGCATGCAATACATAATAATCACATCAGGGCAAATGGAGTCTCCATCACCTTAAGCATTTATCCTTTGTGTTGCACACAATCCATTTATGCTCTTTTAGTTATTTTTAAATGCACAATTAAATTATTATTGACTATTGTCACTCTGTTGTGCTATCAAATAGTACATCTTATTCATTCGTTCTATTTTTTGTACCCATTAACCATTCCTACTTCCCCCTCCTTAGTCCTCTCCACTACTCTTCCCAGCCTCTGGTAACCATCCTTCTACTCTATCTCCATGAGTTCAATTGTTTTAATTTTTAGCTCCCACAAATAAGTGAGAACATGTGAAGTTTGTCTTTATGCTCATTATGTTATTTCACTTAACATAATGACTTCCAGTTCCATCCATGTTATTGCAGATGACAATATCTCATTCTTTTACATGGCTGAATAGTACTCCATTGTGTGTATATGTACCACATTTTCTTTATCCACTCATCTGTTGATGGACACTTAGGTTACTTCCAAATCTTGGCTATAGTGAACAGTGCTGCAACACACATAGGACTGCAGATATCTCTTTGATATACTGATTTCCCTTCTTTTGGGTACATATCTAGCGGTGGAATTGCTGGATAATATGGTGGCTCTATTTTTAGAGCTATTCTCCATAGCAATTGTACTAATTTACATCCCCATGAACAGTGTACAAGGGTTCTCTTTCTCCACATCCTTACCAGGATTTGTTATTGCCTGACTTTTGGATGAAAGCCATTTTACCTGGGGTGAGATCATATCTCACTGTAGTTTTGATTTGCATTTCTCTGATGATCAATGATATTGAGCACATTTTCATATGCTTGTTTGCTATTTGTATGTCTTATCTTCTTTTGAGAAATGCCTATTCAGATCTTTTGTACATTTTAAATGAGATTATTTGATTTTTTCCTGTAGAGTTGTTTGAGCTCCTTATATTTTCTGGTTATTAAGTCTTTGTCAAATGGCTAGTTTGCAGATATTTTCTCCCATTCTGTGGGTTGTCTCTTCACTTTGTTGATTGTATCTTTCACTGTGCAGAAGCTTTTTAACTTGATGTGATCTCATTTGCCTGTGCTTGTTGGGTGTTACTCAAGAAATCTTTGCCAATTCCAGTGTCCTGGAGAGTTTCCCTAATGTTTTCTTATAGTACAATAGTTTCACAGTTTGAGGTCTTAGATTTAAGTATCGAATCCATTTTGATTTGATTTTTTTATATGGTAAGAGACAGGGATCTAGTTTCATCCTTCTGCATATGGTATCCAGTTTGTTTTTTCTTTCTTTTCTTTTCTTTTCTTTTCTTCCTTTCTTCCTTCCTTCCTTTCTTTCTTTCTTTTCTTTCTTTCTTCTTTCTTTCTTTCTTTTGAAACAGGGTCTCACTCTGTCATCCAGGCTGGAGTGCAATGGTGTGATCACAGTCTGCTGCAGCCTCTATCTCCCTGAGCTCAAGTGATCCACCCACTTCAGCCTCCTGAGTAGCTAGGACTACAGGCACATGCCACCATGCCTGGCTAATTTTTTGTATTTTTTGTAGAGACATGGTTTTGCCATGTTGCCCAGGCTGGTTTTGAACTCCTGGACTCAAGCAATCCACCTGACCTCCCTGTGTGCTGGGATTACAGGCATGAGCCACAGCACCTGGCTGAGTTTTCTCAGCACCATTTATTGAATAGACTGTCCTTTCCCTGGTGTATGTTATTGCATTTGTTGAAAATGAGTTCACCATAGATGTGTAGATTTATTTCTGGGTTCTCTATCCTGTTCTGTTGGTCTATATGTCTGTTTTCATGCTGGTACCATGCTGTTTTGGTTACTACGGCTCTGTAGTATAATCTGAAGTCAGGTAATGTGATTCCTCCAGTTTTGTTCTTTCTGCTCAGGATATCTTTGGCTCTTCTGAGTCTTTTGTGGTTCCATATAAATTTCAGGATTTCTTTTTCTATTTCTGTGAAGAATGTCATTGGTATTTGGATATGGATTGCATTGAATCTATAGATTTCCTTGAATAGTATGGACGTTTTAACAATATTGATTTTTCCAACCTATGGACATGGAATATCTTTCAATCTTTTGTGTCCTCTTCAATTTCTTTCATCAATATTATATAATTTTCATTGTAGAGATCTTTCACTTCTCTGGTTAGGTTAATTCCCAGGTATTTCATTTTATTTGTAGCTATTGTAAATGAGATTACTTTCTTGACTTCTCTTTCTGATTGTTTGCTATTGGCATACTAATGCCTGTAATCCCAGCCTTTTGGGAGGCTGAGGCAGGCAAATCACAAAGTCAAGAGATCGAAACCATCCTGGCCAACATTATGAAACCCTGTCTCTACTAAAAACACACACAAAAAAATAGCTGGGCATGGTGGCGCACACCTGTAGTCCCAGCTACTCGGGATGCTGAGGCAGAAGAATCACCTAAATCCAGGAGGTGGAGACTGCAGTGAGCCGAGATCACGCCACTGCACTCCAGCCTGGCAACAGAGCGAGACTCTGTCTAAAATAAAAAGAAGTACATGCTACTGATTTTTGTATGTTGATTTCGTATCCTGCAACTTGACTGAATTTGTTTATCAGTTTTAATTGTTTTTGATGGAGTCTTTAGTTTATTCTAAATATAAGATCATATCATCTGCAAACAAGGATAATTCAACTTCTTCCTTTCCAGCTTGAATGTTCTTTATTTCTTTCTTTTGTCTGCTTGCACTAGCCAGGATTTCCAGTATTATGTGGAATAACAGTGGTGAAAGTGGGCATCCTTGTCGTGTTCTAGATCTTAGAGGAAAGGATTTCAGTTTGTTCCCATTCAGCATGACAGTAGCTATAGGTCTATTGTATATGGCTTTTGTTACGTTGAGATGTGTTCCTTCTATACACAGTTTTTTTTTAATTGAGGGTTTTTATCATAAAGGGATGTTGAATTTTATCAGATGCTTTTCTTAGAATCAATTGAAATGATCATATGGTTTTGTCCTTCATTCTGTTGAGATTATGTATCACACTGATTGATTTGTGTAAATGTTGAACAATCCCTGCATCCATAGGATAAATCCCACTTAGTCATGATAAATGATCTTTTTAATGCGCTGTTGAATTCAGTTTACTAGTATTTTGTTAAGGATTTTTACATCAACGTTCATGAGGTATATTGGCCTGTAGTTTTCTTTTCTTTTTTTTTTTTTTTTAACATGTATTTTCTGGTTTTGCTATCAGAATGATATAGGGCTCATAGGATGAGTTTGGAAGTATTCCCTCCACCATTATTTTTCAGAATACTCGAGTACAATCGGTATTAGTTCTTCTTTAAAAGTTTGGTAAAATTCAGCAGTGAAGCCATGAGGTCCCAGCCTTTTCTTTGCTTGCAGACTTTTTACTACTGCTTCGAACTCGTTACTTGTTATTGATCCATTCAGGTTATGGATTCCTTCATGGTTCAATCTTGGTAGGCTCTCTGTAAGAATTTATCCATCTCTTCTAGGTTCTCCAATTTATTGGTATATACTTAGTTACTCATAGTAGCCTCTAATGATCTTTTGAGTTTCTGTGGTATTGGTTGTAATGTCTCCTTTGTCATCTCTGATTTTTATTGGGTCTTCTCTCTTGTTCTTAGTCTTGTTCTTAGTCTTGTTCTTAGTCTCATTAAAAGTTTGTCAATTTTGTTTATCTTTTCCAGAAACCAACTTTTCATTTTGCTGATCTTTTGTATTGTCTTCTTCTTTTCAATTTTATTTATTTCTGCTCTAATATTTATGATTTCTTTTCTTCTACTAATTTTGAGGTTGGTTTGCTCTTGCTTTTCTAGTTTTTTGAGATGCATCACTAGGTTTTTTACTTGAAGTGTTTCTACTTTTTTAATGTAGGCACTTATAGCCGGTAGCCAGCTTCCCTCTTAGTACTACTTTCACCACATCCCATGGGTTTTGGTATGTTTGATTTCCTTTATCATTTGAGAAATTTTTAAATTTCCTTCTTAATTTTTTTCATTGACCTACTGGTCACTCAGGAATATATTGTTTAATTTCCATGTGCTTATATAGTTTCCAAAATTCCTCTTATCTTTTATTTCTAGTTTTGGTCCATTGTGGTCAGAGAAGATACTTGATATTATTTCATTTTTTAAAATGTTTTAAGACTTGTTTTGTGGCCTAACATATGGTCTATCCTTGAGAACGATCCATGTGCTCAGGAGAAGAATGCATATTCTGCAGCCTTTGGATGAAGTGTTCTGTAAATAACAATTAGGTCCATTTGGTCTATAGTGCAGATTAAGTTTGATGTTTCTTTATTGATTTTCTGCCTGGATGATCTATCCAAAGCTGAAAGTGGAGTATTGAAGCCTCCAGCTACTAATGTATTGAGGTCTATCTCTCTGTTTAGTTCTAATAATATTTCCTTTATACATCTGGGTGCTCTGGTGTTGGGTGCATGTATATTTACAATGGTTATATCCTCATGCTGAATGAACACCTTTATGACTATATAATGACCTTCTTTGTCTCTTTTTACGGTTTTGATCTTGAAATCTATTTTGCCTGATGTAAGTATAGCTACTCCTGATCTTTTTGGTTCCCATTTGCATGAAATATCTTTTTCCTATCTTGACAGCGCTTTGTTTCTGTCTTTACACAAACTCCCGGCCCTGTTGAGTACATATGCCTCCCATCTCTTCTGATATTGTTACTTGATTTCTTGTTACTGTTTTAGTAGCTTTATAAAGTACCTTGGGTGGTTTCTGAGTCCTACAAATAAACTCATTTCTAGAGTTTCTCCAGGACATGAAGATTCAAAACTGGATGTGATGAACGAAAACTTCATACATCTTGGTGAGTGGGTGGGAGAAAGAAGAGAGAGGCATGGGGAAAAACAAATCCAAGATGACTCAAAGATCTGAAACTCAAAAGACTAGGGCAGAAAGAAGTCAGGGTCCAGTTACAATGTTCTGCCTATGGCTAGCCAGTTACCCCAGCATCGTTTATTGAATAGGGAATCCTTACCCCCATTGCTTGTTTTTTTCAGGTTTGTCAAAGATTAGATGTTGTAGGTGTATTGTTTTATTTCTGGGTTCTCTGTTCTGTTCCATTGACCTTTGTATCTGCTTTTGTACAGGACCATGCTGTTTTGCTTACAGGTAGCCCTGTAGTATAGTTTGAATTCAGGTAGTGTGATGCCTCCAGCTTTGTTCTTTTTGATTAGTGGTGCCTTGACTATTCATGTTCTTTTTTGGTTCCATATTAATTTTTAAATCTTTTTTTCTAGTTCTGTGAAGAACCTCAATGGTAGTTTAATAGGAATAGCATCGAATCTATAAATTGCTTTGGGCAGAGTGGCCATTTTAACTATATTGATTCTTCTTATCCATGAACATGAGATTTTTTCCATTTGTTTGTGTCATCTCCAATTTCTTTGAGCAGTGTTTTGTAGTCTTCCTTGTGGAGATCTTTCACCTCCCTAGTTAGCTGTATTCCTAGGCATTCTGGAGGGCTGACAGCAAGTTTTGTTTCAGATGGGTTAACTTGGTGATGATCTTAAGAAAATAGATGGACATAGCTGGGTGTAATGAATTTGCACAACCAGAGGGTGAGAATAAGAGTGAGATATGCCCAGAACTTTGGGGGGCTGAGGCGGGCAGATCACGAGGTCGGGAGATCGAGATCTTCCTGGCTAACACGGTGAAACCCCGTCTATACTAAAAATACAAAAAAATTAGCTAGGTGTGGTGGGGGCGTCTGTAGTCCCAGCTACTAGGGAGGCTGAGGCAGGAGAATGGCGTGAACCCGGGAGGCGGAGCTTGCAGTGAGCCGAGATCGCGCCACTGCACTCCAGCCTGGGCGACAGAGTGAGACTCCATCTCAAAAAAAAAAATTAATAATAATAATAATAAAAGAGTGAGATATGTTATTTATTTTAACATTCAGAGTTTCCCTTCAATGAAAATACATGACAACAGAGTAAGAAGTTCTGGCTTGGAAAGAGCTTTAAAGGCCAAGTTGAAGATATGTGGAAGGTTATGCTCTGTATTGTGAGTTATTTTTTGAGAGAGCGTCTCACTCTCTCACCCAGGCTAGAGTACAGTGACATGAACACAGCTTACTGCAGTCTTAACCTCCCAGGCTCAACAGATTCACCTCAGCCTCCTGAGTAGCTGGGACTACAGGCACATGCCACAATGCCTGGTTTGTTTGTTTTTTTCTTAATTTTTTTGTACAGACGAGGTCTCACTATGTTGCCCAGGCTGGTATCAAACTCCTGGGCTGAAGTAATCCTCCTGCCTTGGCCTTCCAAAGTGCTGGAGTTACATCCTTGAGCCACCGCACCTGGCCTTGTACTGTAAGCTTTTCACTTACCCATTCATTAATCCATTTTCCATTTTTCACTCGTTCATACACTTGCATTTCTTCACTGATTAACTGAGCTGCTGGTGCATGCCAGACACTGGGCCTACAGCACATACTGCACATTTTGGCAATAACTAAAGTGAACTCATATGAGTGAAGGTGTTGCTCAAAGTTGAGAACAGAGGAAAAAAAAGAGAAACCTCCTTGTCAGTGTGCCAAGGAGGAGGCAGTACTCTGTTATTTCAGTAAATATTTATTATATAAGTGAGGCAAAGAGTCTGTGAGACGTTCCCAGAAGTACCAGACTATTCCAGGGAAATGAGAAAGGTGAGGCTTCCACACAGGCCAAAATTGTAAAGGCTAAGTTCAGAACAAAGATTAGGAAAATATTGCTGTGTGTTTTCTCAGGATTCATTTGCTTTGGCAAGGTAGCAGGAAATTGGAACTACTTTAGGGTTCTCACACAGCTAAAATATAATACTCATTGCTCCTAACCATCCTAGAGGACACTTCGTCTCCCCCAACTCTTTCTCTCTCTCTCTCTCTCCCTACCTTCTTCTTTGTTTATGCCTCAGGCCAACCAAGACTCTAGTCAAAGACACATAGCAGTTAGTTTTAAGAAAGTTACTGAGTTAAAGCCAGGAAAGGGAATGTGATGGACAACTATATTTGTCTAGGAAATGCGAAGAACCCCCTCCCTGACCAAATCATTCTAGAACTGATATTCACATTACCAAAAAAAGCACAAAACACAAAAGTCAAGCAAACAAACAAAAACAGCATAGTCATACCCTTTATTTTAAGAAATTTTACTTAGAATTAATTGATCCAACAGTGAAGAGTGGTACTCCTCTATTTGAAGGCAGGATCCTAGGATCCAGAGCCCATCCCTTTGGCTTCCCTCTCACCTCTGCAGTGACCCAGTGACCCAAAAGTCAGGTCGATGGATCTTCCCTAAACTGAACAAGAGCCCAAGGAACCCCAGTTTGAAAATGTCTGTCCCAGAAAAGAGGGCATGCTATGACACGCATGGGCATTTTTTATGAAAAGGCAAGACTGTTCAGCCCTTGACTCAAGTTGTGTACTATTTGTTCTTGGAAACAGAGAGAGACAAACTATCCAGTGTCATCACATCCTGACCTAGCTGGATTGAGGCTGCTCAACACTGGGGACAATCTTCGGGTTAACAATAGCAGGCAGCTTTTGTTTGATGGCACAAACAGAGGGAAGGTATTGCCTACTCAGCTTACAGGGAACTGAACACAGTGTGTTAAATTGACGAAGTGTTGAAAACAGGTTGCCTGAAATGCTGACATTATTTGTAATGTGAGATTTCCTGTACAAATCTACCAACCATGTGTGTTGGCAGTCACATTATAAAGACATATAAGAACCCTAAATCCCCAGTAACAAATGGATGAGTTAGAAGGCAGATAAGAGTTTCTACATGAAAGAATTTGAAAGAAGAGAAAGGTTTTATTGTGATAAGACCAACAGGGTATATACAATTTGACTAATCCTGACCCAACCCTGCCTTTGCATGCCCTGCATTTTTGTTCGCCCACATAGAATGCCATGAGCCATGTCTTGTGATGGGCACCCCATGACCATGTGTGAAAATGCTGACTCACCTCCCATGCTGCTGACATTCACCAGCCTCCCTTTGGATTTTCTAAGAAGAGGCAAAAACGTCTTTGTGACCTCCACAGTTCCAAAGAAGTTCACGGCCATGCATTGTTTGTAGTCAGTCATAAGAAGAAGCTCCCCATCAGTTGGAAAGCCAAGCACCCCAGCATTGTTGATCACAGCCCACAGTCCTGGAGACAGAAAACCATAATGAGTGAGTGTCTGGAAGAGGAAGTGAATAACACAACCTGCAATACCTGGAAGACCATGCAAGAGGTGTTACGTGTGAGCCAGGTCTCCTGGGGGATTAGAGTCTGCCACTGGACAAAGGCAAGAGCCTTAGGGAAAGGGAGTGGGAGTGGGAGGGGAATTCCTGTAACAGGAAGCTAGATGTGCAGAGATGTAAAGTAGAATATTCTGTTCCAGAAACTCTTCAGAATTTACTAAGTGAACCAGCAGGTATTGCAAATTAAGGGTTTGGCAGGAGCCATTATCCTGAAAGGACCTCTAGTCCTTGTTAAGGTGCTTAGATAGGGAACCACTGATAGGGAACCAACAAACCACTGATAAATTCCCCATCACGGGCATGCCACATGGGCGGACCCCAACACGTGGAGGCTCTGTATGTCTAAAGGTTTTTAGGAGATGGATGGCACTGTAGAATGTGAATGCTGTGAAGATGAGTCTCTGGAAAGTAATGGGGAAGGAAAGATGGGTTGCAAGGAGGGCATTGGGATAGCCGAGGTGGAAGAAGGTGAGGGTCTGTGCTAAGTCGTAGTGCTATGCAGTGGTAGGAAGGGGCTGGAGGGTAACTATCCAGGAGGTGGAATTGACAGGACTTGGATCAGTAGGATACAGGCACTGAGGATAAGCTGAGGGTCTCAGTGACCCGCAGGTTGCTGGCTTGAATGACTGGTTAGGTGGTAGAGCCAGTGTCTGAGCTGTGGGATGCAGGAGAGCAAACCGATTTGCAGAATGGCAGCAGGGGGAAAAAAAACAACATTTGACATGTTGAAGTTGAAGCCTCTGGAGTATAAGGGAAGATGTCTGATAGATAACTTTGTATACGTGGAGAAGAAGGATTAGGTTGGCAATATAGTAATAGATTTGGGAGTTATTGGCGTAAACCAGTGTTTCTTGGCCCTGCGCTAACATTAGCATCACATTGGGAGCTTTATAAACTAATGATGCCTGGGATCCCGTCCTAGAGACTGATTTAATTGGGTCTGGGGGATCTGTTCAGTCACACAGGGCCTGGTGCTTCAGAAGGGTCCTGCACGTGGTTTCAGTCTCTGCTGTCACCAACTAACATTCCTAATAATCTTCCGAAATCAAGCTAGGGGCCCCATGTTTTCATTTTGCATTGGGTCTGCCAAGTTAGTTACATAGCCCATCCTGGACCCCAGCATAGGTAATTTTCAAATGATTCTAATGTGCAGTTGGATTGAGAACTCTTGGTATACGGAGAAAACTGCATGGCCCAGGGCACATAGAGTGCGAAGTCTGCAGATGCAACCCTCAGAAGCATTTGTATTTGTGGGGAGACAGAGGCAAAGTTTCATCCAGGAGAAGTGGAAAGAAAGATTGGAGAGCTAGGAGAGCAATGGGGGCTGGGGACCCCAAAGCCAAGGAGGAGAGTATAAACAACATGCTTAAATACTGCAGGGAAGTTAAAAACTGGGTCTTCCAGCAATCCCATTACCGGGTATACATCCAAAGGAATATAAACCATTCTATTACAAAGATACATTCACACATAGATTCGTTGCAGCCCTAGTCACAAAAGCAAAGACATGGAATCAACCCAAATGCCCATCAATGATAGACTGGATAAAGAAAATGTGGTACATATACACCATGGAATACTATGCAGCCATTAAAAAGAATGAGATCATATCCTTTGCAGGGACATGGGTGGAGCTGGAAGCCATTATCCTCAGCAAACTAAAGCAGGAACAGAAAACCAAACACCACACGTTCTCACTTATAAGTGGGGGCTGAACAGTGAGAACACATGGACGCATGGTGGGGAACAACCCACACTTGGGCCTGGTGGAGGGAGGGGAGGTAGAGCATCAGGAATAATAGCTAATGAATCCTGGGCTCAGTACTTACAGGATGGCTGGATCTGTGCAGCAAACCACCATGGCACATGCTTACCTATGTCACAAACCAGCACATCCTGCACGTGTAACCCAGAATTTAAAATAAAAGTTGAAAACAAAAAAAACCTGGGTCTTCAGGCTAATTCTGATTAGCTTTGCCAGATCAGTTAGGGAGGCAGAGTGAGAGCCAACGGCAAATTGAAGGTGAGGAAGAGAATCACAGAGCTACAGGGTTCCGTGGAGCGTAGCCATGAAGGAAAGAGAAGAGGAAGGGTAATGGGTAAAGAAGGACAGTGACCATGAAGGTATTTTTTTTCGAAGCTGGAGACTCTAATGCATGTTGCTATTGCGGACAGAAAAGCAATGAGCTGGGGCTGGAGGAATTATTCATGGGAGAGTGACTGAGAAGTTGGAGAGAATGAGACTGAGGTTTCTGTAAGTTCTGTGTGGATGGGCCCATGTCTGAGTTACTCCGAAGGTCTTCATGTTGATAGAGGCCCCCACACATGGTAGGGGTTCAGCACAGGTGTGCTTCAGGGCAAACAGTGCCCAGAGTGGAGTGGGGGGGCATGTTCAGCCTAAGCCGGAACAAGAGCTGGGCATTCAGGAGGAGGGTAAAGGCACTGAGGGTGCTGGCGGCAGTACCTCTGTCCTGCAGCATTGCTGCAACCTTGCTGTAAGCATCTTTTATCTGCACTGGCTTCGTGATGTCCATTTGGAGCACCGAGAGGCGCGGAGAGCAGGTTCTTCGCAATTCCTCAGCTCCTGGGCCATTTTCATTCAAAACTCCGGCAAATACCGTGAAGCCCAGCTCATCCAGATACTTGCACAAAGCATGGCCAAGCCCGCAATCACCACCTGCATAGGGTCAGGGGAGTAGGGAGTGAGGTCAAACCAGAGTGACAGGAGAAAATATTTAACAAGGAAAACATATTACGTTGTTTACGATTCTCCATGCTCTCTGAAGAGAGGGGTTCCTGAGGAAGTTTCTTTATGTTCTAAGTGGAGAGGTGGGAGGAGAAGCCAAGCCAGACAGATACATTTCCCCATATAAAGAAAGGGGCATAATATAGAATTAGGGGTTGTGAGTGGGCATAGGTGGAAAGAGAAAGGCATGGGGGAAGGGTAGTCCAGGAGTGGCTGGTGGCCAAAGTAATTGGGAAGGAAAACCAAGGCATCCAATGGAAGTAGCTTCAGTAATCTATAATGTGTAGTGTTTGATGTAACTTCACTCACTCTGTAAAACCTTCAGTCAAACATTCATTACAAACTCATACTTTGGACTCGGTTTTGCCTTTTGGAGACACAGGGCAATAACAGAGGCTGCCCATGGGGGCCAGTTCATGCTGGATTATAAAAAGTTCATGGCCACCTGTGTTTCTCACCCTCCTGGGCCTTTTTCCCTATCCATGGTCTGCCCTGAGCCATGGAATAGACGTCAAGCCTAAAAAGAAAGTTACAACAGAAACCAGATAGAAAGCCCTAATTGCATTGCTCTGTGAAAACAGAGACTAATGTAATACACAAAGTATGACTTAAGCTTCTCAGAATTTGAGATGGGAGTATACCCAACCCAGCCAAGAGGGTATTAGGGACCCAGGAAAAAGTGTTTTATACCCACAAGTGCAAAACGTTGATGTCTGAAATTCCTAAGTTGAAGATAACATGAACATTAAATCACCCTTTGAGCTACATACACCATAATAAACATATAACAGTTAACGTCTCTCTTGTTTTAATAAGAAAGTATTTCACATTGCCTGTGTCATGTGATCTTCCTTGGACTCCTGCAGGGATCTCTTGTTGGTAGTCAGACATGCCCGCCAAGAATTGGGAAATAAGGAAAATCAGAGTACATGCAGAGAATCAACTCAAAGATCAGTATGTGAGTGGGCAGGAAAGAGATCTCGCTTCCAAGCTAACAACAGGGGCCTGAAATCTACTGTCTGCAAAGAGAGGGCAGGTGTTCACATACACTATTGATAAACATGTGCAGGACTAAAATCCACCAGTGTGAATTGGCCTATCTTTTGACCCAAAAAGTCTCAGTATTTATCCTAGAGAAATACTTGCAGGCACATAAATGATGTTCTTTACAACACTGTATAAAAGCAAAAGAAGGAATTAACTTAAATGTCTATGAATAGGAGAATGGGTACCTAAATTACGGTACACAAAATGGAATAAGACAAAGCAGTTTTAAAGATGGAATAGAACTATTGACAATGACATGGCTATTGCTCCAAGATGCTTTGTTAAGTGAAATAAAATAATTTGCAGTATAATAATAATTAATAAAATCCAATTTTAATGCAAAAAAGAAGGAGAGTTGATGCCATAAATAGCGAGGTGTGGAAATGTAAAAAAATAAAATAAAATAAAAAAGAATTTGGAAGGAGAGATTCCCTAAGTTTTCCTTAGGAGGACAGGCAGAATGGAGGGTGGACCTTATCTTGTAATGTTTACCATTTTTGCTACAAAAAAGTACTTATTTTTCTTCTGTAATTTCTTTTTTTAAAGGCTATGCTAATTAGAATGGAGACTGGTCAGTCCTCTAAGTGTAGAAAAAGGTGGAAGAGAGAGAGATCCTAGCATGGTTGGCATGTGCGAACACTGCCAGAGAGAGAATGATAGTCATGGCAAAAGGTGTGTGTACTCCTGTCCTTCTGACACCACCATTATGAGATGAACGCCTCTGGTTGCCATCACTGATTGCATTTAACGTTTGCTCCATCTCCTTCCTTCTTATGTCTCCATGTATGTCATTGCCCAGCAAATAGCTCTTGAGTGTAAGTGGTTTCCTCCCTGGGGCTGGCCAGAGGAGGAGATGGTACCAACTGAAACACATGCAAGTGTCTGGACCATGTGATAGACACCTGTCTTAGTGTAAATTAATGCATTAGAATTCTGGTACTAATATATAATATATGTGTATAACCATTTTGTGAGCCCAGTTCCTGAAGAAATGGACCTGTTGCTGGACAAATCCAACTTCTGGATCCACAGTGCTGAGGCCAGATGCTGGACACTGGCAAGTTCACCAGACTGCAGACCAGTGCTGTGTGTGCTCTCCCTGGAATCCCCTAAATACCAGTAGTGGTCAAGTCTGTCTTATAAAATTATTCCCCAAATGTCTACAGTAGAAATTATCCTTCCTATCTTACAGATGAGGAAACTGAAAACAAGAGATGCCAAGATCACACAGATGGTAGGGATCGACCTGGACTCTATTGGATCCTAAATCCAAGTTCATGAGTCACTGTCGTACTGGACCAGCCACCTTCTCCTTCATCTGTGTCAGCAGAGAAGGGAGGTTTGGGCAAGCTAATCCCAGGATGATCCTCTTGTGGTCTGTAAGAAAGGGTATGAATTAACCTGAAAATAACTAACTTTGAACCAGGTTGGAGTTAAAAGTATCTAGAGCCTGGTTATACACACCCTGCTGGGTGAGACCAAGTGTTTCGTGGACAGCCTTTCCCATTTTGTGAGGTACCATACCTTATGCTTCTGCCTTATTATTGGCACAGCTAGATATATGGGGGCCATGGATTTTAAAGCCCCCAGTTCCCCCTAGAGGCTTGTGTGATATCAGGATGCCCAGCATGTTCCTTCTGCACAGAGAAGAAAACTGTTCTGCAGTGCAGAGACAAACACCATGACCTTGACTCTACGGAGCACATAAACAGTCAATCAGGGTATCTGCTGCTCTCTAGAGAGCTAAGAGAGGGGGAAAGGGGTCATCCACCCACTTAGAGCTGCTGACCATGAAGGCATGCAAACTGTCACCTGTATCCAAACCTGAAGTCCATCATCTGCTCCCCAAATCCACCTGAGAATCATGAACTTTGCACTTTCCAATCCTTCCTTTGGCCTTGCATCCCACAAACACTTTGATGTGTTCAACACTGTGTGCCTCCACACAAGATGCTGAGAGCTTCCCAGCTTCCCCTTCCCCACAGGGGTCCACAAGGTTATAATTGTCCTGTGTAACTCCACCTCTTGTCTGGGGCTGATTGGACCAGAGTCAACCAGCTTTTCTCTTTCAGAAATGTGGAATTGTGGCTGCAAGATCCAAAGCAGTGTCCGATACTGTCTGACCAAAGAGGTCATTAAACTCAATAGCAAATGGGGGGACTGGGTGGCTGTCTTCCTTCATGCACATGGAGATATGGGCTAAGTCCTCTTGAAGAGTAACAAGAGGCAAAGCTACAAATAAGAGCAGAGTCTGAGGTCAGATGTTGTCCACAGACATAGACGAGCATCTTCTTGGCTCATGATAGCTTTCCACTCTCTGGTAAACCTCAAGTGCTCTCTTCCCCATGTATGCTTTAAGAAATTCCACATCCTCCTAATAATCCCTCTTCTTTCTCGAGTTAGTTTTAGTGTCTTTCCTGAACATCTTTTTCACTTACTGCAGACACTAAAACTAGTTATCTTTGCTTTGGAAAACAGTCCTCAAAAGGTTAAACATAATGTCACCAGACGACCTAGCAATTCTGCTCCTAGGTGTGTACCCAAGATAAATGAAAATATATATTTACACAAAAACCTGTGCACAAATGTTCATAGCAGCATTATTCATAACAACAGAAAAAAAGAAACTAACCAAACATCCATCAACTAATGAATGGATAAAAAATATGGTATACCCAACAGTGAGATATTATTAAGCCATAGAAAGGAATGAAGTTTCTATGCTTGCTACAGCATGAACATTGAAACCATTACACTGAGTGAAAGAAGCCAGCGTGGCAGGTAAAGGGATGCGAGCAAGGAGGAGACATTGTGATCTTGACTCCTTTTCCTTTGAGTAGAGGATAATTTGTCACATTTTGGAAGGCAGTGCCTTTGAGCAGCTTCATGAGCCTAGGATCTGACTCTCTTAGGAAAGTTCCTTGGAAGAGCCTACAGGTGACAACAGTGTTGAACTTTAGGCAAGCCCTGTGATACTGGAAAATTGCAAAGGTTAAGAAATGTCCCCACCCTTTTGTGTTCTGGGAAACAGCTCACTGCAAAGAACTCCCTTCCCCATATGACTTAGATGAGACTCATAGGTGCCCCCACTTGTTTACCTATGACAAGGCCAGACCCAGAGCCTCCAAACTCCCTTTCTTTGTTTTTGTGGTTAGTTTAACTGCCTGTTTCCACTGGTCAGTCGGAACAAAGTGTTCGTTAACCTAACTTTGGTGTAGAGTCTCTCCTTTCCCCAGGTCCTGGCCCACCCTCAGCCTGAGCCAGCAGACAACTCCTCTTTACAGACCTTCCTGATCAGCCCTCAACCACTGTCTGATTGTGTCACTCTGATCATCCCAGCCCCCAACACCCACTTCTTTCTAACCTTGTTTATGCCTCTTTAGCAAAGCAAAATATTTACTGCCTCATCTTGAGACACTTGCAGATTAAGTGGTCAGAACATTCCCTCTACTGCAATAATCCTTTTGAATAAAGTCTCTCCTAACTAAATCTGAGGTTTTTTTTTGTTTGGCAGTAAATTAATGAAGCCAAAGATCACGGGAGACCATCTGCTTGTGTTTACCCATGAGGCAGTGTGGCATAGGCGAATGGGTGCGAGTCTAGCCCTGCTATTCCTGCCTGTGTAACCCTAGAGAGCCTTTCTAATTACTCTCTGCCTCTGCTTCCTTACCTGTAAAATGGGCTAAATAATGGTACCTGTGTCAGTTAATATTTGTGAAATGCCTAATAGAGCCTATTCCAAACAATTACTACATCAGTCTTTTTAAAAAATAAAACTGTGTCTTTATTTTAATTTTCAGATGTTTCCACTCACAATATTGGTAAATGTAGAGTTTGCCTCTACTGACTGTCAGCTGAACATCTTGGTTAAGACTCAGACTGCCTGATTCTTCTCTTCCACTTACAAGCCTTGGGAAAGTCACATATAACCATGTGGAACCTCCACTTCCTCACATGGAAGGTAGGATTATCATAACACCCCCTCCTAGACTGGCATGGGCAGTCAGCAAGACAGGATTTCGCACTGGCCCAGCGTGTTGTGAATGGCTGTCATCAGTATCGTGGCTGTAACCGTGACGTCATTTCTGACTTATGATGTTAGAGATCAGGCTGTGCTAGGCCTGGTGTCTATGAAGTCCTGAGGCAGCTCAGGGGTCAGAGGGCCTTGAAAAAGTCTGTGGCTAAGGAATCACTCCTTGAGGAGAGGGGAAAATAATTGTATACTCCGGAAACCTGGCAACAAAGCCAGGGCTTTCGTGAGAAGTTGGAAGTGTTTCATAAGAGTTACCCAACAGTGGTGTTTGAAAATAAGCACACCAAGTATGGATTGCATGTTTACCAAGTTCCAGCTAGTTCACATGCATTTACTCACTGAATCCTCTCAATCACCCTGGGGGGTAAGTAATGTTACCATCACCCATTTACAGAGGAGGAAACTGAGGCACAGAAGGATTAAGTCATTCAGCTAAGACACAGCAGAGGTAGTTTGGAGCCAGGCACAGATTAGGATATAAACAACTGGGGTATAAAATATTCAAATCCTCCAAAGCACAAGGCTTAGCCCATAGTGGATGCTCAATAAAAAGCACATGTTGGATGAATAAGCATTGAAGAGGGCACTAGAATATTTGTGCCTTACAAACTGAGAGAGGGTCCTTTGTCACTAGTGCTGAGGGCACCTGACTCATAGTAAGTGCTCAACAGGGCAGAGAAAATGCTGAGGTTGGTGTTAAACTATGTCATTTGGGATCATTCTGTCTCTAGCAGCCTGGAAACCCATCAACTTGGGACAGGCAATGACTACTACAGACCCATTTGTACAAGATTGGAGTGAATTTGAAATAGCAGTTAATTCTAAAAATGTTAATAAAGACTCAGTTTATGTGCAAAAGGGAAATAATGTGAATCACCTTGAATTTGAGGGTATTAGGAATTGTGTAATGTAGTTGCAAAGTGTATTTATGCTACTGCCACATGGGGGCACCATATTAGCTGGTGAACGGAAACACCCCATCATTTGTTGGTTCAAGTCTTAAATTGGGCACGTTGTGAATAACGCGTGTTTGGGAGTTCTTCAGGCCAGGCCTCTTGAATAAAACGCATCCACCCTGTAAATACAGGACTGAGTGCTGGGATGCATGTGCCCTGGAACACAAGCACTGTCCTTTGGAAGCTACATTCAGAAAGAAGGAAGATGGGGGATAAATTTACAAACCTGTAAATGTTTTTTAGTCATTAATAAAACATCATACAAGAAATAAAAGCTCACAGTCAATACTGAGATCAATAAAAGAAGGTATTCTCCATAATCTCACCATATTGCATAACTCTCATAATGTTCATGTTCTTTTTCTTCTAGTCTTTTTTCCTACATATCGTTCTTTAACAGTTATAGCACACATACAATTTGACAGCTGATTTTTAAATTACTATTATATAGACTGGTTTTACATATTTCTACATAGTCTTCAAAGCCATAATTTTTCATTACTATAGATAAAATCGTCCCTATTAAAATACAGCCAAGAGAAATGATGATAACCTGGATTCTGGAGCTGGGAGACCTGGGTTCAAATCCCAGCTCTGTCACTTAACAGCTGTGTGACTTTGGCTGTCACTTAACCTCTCTGTGCCCCAGTTTCCCCATCTTTAAAATGGAGTGACAGTAGGACCTGGGTCATAGAGTTGTTCGAAGGATTAAATAATTTGATATATTAAAGTAATTGGAACAAGGTCTGGCACAAAGCCACTGCTCTCCAGATGTTTATTAAATAAATGGTAACTTTTTTTTTTTTTTTGACAGAGTCTCACTCTGTCACCCAGGCTTGAGTGCAGTGGCACAATCTTGGCTTACTGCATCCTCTGCCTCCTGGGTTCAAGCAATTCTTTGCCTCAGCCTCCCAAGTAGCTGGGATTACATGCACCTGCCACCATGCCCAGCTCATTTTTGTATTTTTAATAGAGACGGGGTTTCACCATCTTGGCCAGGCTGGTCTTGAACTCCTGATCTCATGATCTACCTGCCTCAGTCTTCCAAAGTGCTGGGATTACAGGTGTGAGTCGCCACGCCTGGCCCATAAATGGAAACTTTTTTTAAAAAACCGACACTACACTACTCCTTTCATTGGCTCCCTCCAGTTTCTGGAACCAAAAAGGTTTTCAGATCAGTTCTCTCAGAAGGTCCTCACTGCTTTTCTAGCCACAGCGATGAATCAGCCAAAGATCACAGCTCTGCTTTATGCGTCCTTGCCCCTAAAGCTCCTCCGAGTGCTCCCTTTGCCAATGATGTCTTCAACTACCAGCAGCTTAAGGTGGAGGTGCTTACGGGGTTGGTATCTTCAGAGGCACCAAGACCCTTTCTCATAGTGGAATCTCACTTCTTATGGTAGAACGGACAAACACAAATTGAAGATCTGCTATCTATCAGTAAAAGGATGTGATCTGAATAGGCATTTCATTTGTCCCACACAATGAATTTTGCAAAAATTTGAACAAAGACTCAGAATCGGGAGATTGTACCTGAAAACCCAGATCAATGGTTTCTCTTGATTAACCAGGAGATGAGTCGGCATTCCCACAAGGGACCCATCAGCTGAGGCTGAGGACCTCCGGGGCTCCCCCTCTGATGGGGTATGCACTTGAAGAAACAAGGTTCACTGATCAAGAGCTCTCACACACACACACATTCCCATCACCAGCTTCCCTCAGTAATGCAGCCTACCCTGACCCCATAGCCTTTTGAGTTGGAGATCCCTGACCTACAGTTTCCCACTTACAAAGGTCATCTGAATCAAAGCTGTTTAGCTGGTAGAAAGCCTGTGGGAAACTAGTGGGAAGTGGACTTTCCCCACCCTTTAGTTTAAGACTTAGGCAATCCATCAGATTGCCACCCTCATGTTGACATTGCCTGTTCCCCATAAAATAGATTAAGGTATAATAAAATGTTAGAGAAATACAACAAAACTCTAGCATACTTAGGACTGCCCTGAGGTCAAAATAAAAGCTCAACTCTTAATCCAGGAAGAGCAAATACTTGACCTCCCTCCTCCTTTGCCCTCAGCATTCTTAACGGATAACAGTTGTCGGGTGAGGAGGCCTTGGGAAATAGCTAGATTTTTCATGTCAATTTTTTTTAATGGAAACAAATGCATTTTTCTTGGAACATAACCTTTATGAAGAATTCTCCCATATTCTTGTGATTCCTGTGTTAAGATGAGCAACTGAAGTGCCCGGGAAATTAAACACTTGCCCAAAGCTACACAACGGGAATGTGGTAGAGTCAGCCGTGAAACCCAGGTTTGCTCTTTGCAAAACACATTCCTGTACTGTCCCGGTGCCACTTTTAACTTCTGACACATCTTCCTACCTGTCTTCACCTTCATTCTTTTGTTCCCTCATTCATTCAGATATCATTGTGTTAGGTCCTAAAAACACCCACCCACAGAAGACAAATACTCCCTGGCTTCATGACGCATACTGATTAGGAAAGAGGTTCTCACTCCTCAATCCCACTACAATCTAAAAAAAAGTCAATGCCCATCCCCAGAGACTCCCATTTAATTGGCCTGGATAGGGGTCGGTATCCACTGGCAACAGTTTCTGAGATCTCTTCAGGAGATTCCAAACTTCAGCCAGGATTGAGAGCCACCAATGCAGGAAAGCGATTCTCAACCACAGACAATTTTGTCCCCTGGGGAATATCTGGCAATGTCTGGAAACATTTTTGGTTGTCACAACACAGACTACTATTGAGGCCAGGGATGCTTCTCAACATCTGCCAGCCAACATCCATCCTCAAATATCAACAGTGCCAAGGCTGAGAAACCCTGGTCTAGAGAGAAGATGCACATTGGATAAATAATTACAATATTGGTGAATGTTATTAATAGGAAAGTTCTAGGAATATGTCATAGTTTACTTTTATAGAGAACTCCAGTTTCCTCCTTAAGGGAACACTCATTGGAAAATAATACAGGCAGGAAAGAGAAGAAACTAGGTGATCTCCATCAGAGTACGGACTCTCTTGGGCTGTCTGGTTCACTGTTCCAGACCCCACACCCACTGAGCGCCTGTAGTAAATATTTACCGAATGACAGAATGAACAATTGAGTAAATGAAGAAGTATCACAGTCCAGGCACAACCCATCACCTTCTCACAGTTTCATGTTCTTGCCCTGTACTCGCTCCCTGGACCCATTCATCACCCTCCCTGAGCCCCGCCATCTGTCCACAGTGCCTAAAAATCAGATTTTTTCTTTTAAATGACCTTCATTTTTTAATAGGAACATAACTTAGGAAGGGTTTCTCGATTCTATATTCACAAAGGAAACTGAACTGTACAGATGACTGTAATTCAGCATTCAACTAAGACCTGGTCACCGTGAAAATTCGCATTACCCTTAGGGCACATGTGAACCAACACAAAGCTGATGTGGGAATGGGTGGGGTAGGTGAGCCCTAATGACTTTTGCCCATGTAAGGGGACTAAGTCCAAAAAGTTTGAGAGCCTTATGTTTATATATGTTATCTCACTTTATGCTTGCAACCTAAGGTAAGATGCACATTTTTTAAAAAAACAGATTTTATTTTTTAGAGCAAATTTAGATTTACAAAAAAATCAGAAAGCTAGTACCGAGAGTTCCCAAATACTTCGCATACAGTTTCCCTATTATTAACATCTTATGGCTGGGTGCGGTAGCTCACACCTGTAATTCCAGAACTTTGGGAGGCTGAGGCAGGAGAATCGCTTGAGCCCAGGAGTTTGAGACTAGCCTGGGTAACAAAGGGAGACCCTGCCTCTACAAATAATTTAAAAATTAGCCAGGTGTGCTGGCATACGCCCCTGGCCCCAGCTACTCAGGAGGCTGAGGTGGGAGAATCACCTGAGCCCAGGAGGTTGAGGCTGCAGTGAGCATGCTCATACTGCTGCACTCCAGCCTAGGCGACAGAGCAAAACCCTATCTCAAAAAAAAAAAAAAAAAATTAACAACAACAACAATCTTACATTAGTATGATGTAGTTACATCTTCTACAATTAATGACCCAATATTGATACATTATTATTAACTAAATTCTATACTTTATTCACATTGCGTTACTTTTACCTAATGTCCTTTTTCTGCTGTAGGATCCTGTTCAGGACATTGTGTTACATTTAGTGATCCTGTCTGCTTAGACTCCTGTGGGCTATGACAGGTTCTCAGACCTGACATAGTTGACATAATTGATAGTTTGACGGAGTGCTCATCAGGGATTTTGTAGAACGCCTCTCTATTTGAATTTGTCTGATGCTTTTCTCCTGATTAGACTGGGATTATAGGTTTGGGGGAAGAAGATCACAGAGGTAAAATGCCATTTCATCACATCACATCACATTAAGGGTACATAGCACCCATGTGACTTAAGACTGCTGCTGATGTTGACCTGGAAGATGTTGACCTGGTTGAAGTGGTGTTCATCAGTTTTCTCCACTGCACAGTTGCTTTTTCCCCTTCCCAAGCTGTACGCTTTGAAAGGAAGCCGTTGTGCACAGGCCACACTTAAAAACTGGGGAGTTAGGCTGGGCGCGGTGGCTCACGCCTGTAATCCCAGCACTTTGGGAGGCCGAAGCGGGTGGATCACGAGGTCAGGAAATCGAGAGCATCCTGGCCAACATGGTGAAACCCCGTCTCTACTAAAAATACAAAAAGTAGCCGGGCATGTTGGTGCGCGCCTGTAGTCCCAGCTATTCAGGAGGCTGAGGCAGGAGAATCGCTTGAACCCAGGAGGCGGAGCTTGCAGTGAGCCGAGATTGCGCCACTGCACTCTAGCCTGGTGACGGAGGGGGACTCTCTCTCAAAAAAAAAAAAAGAAAAGAAAAGAGAAAGTGGGGAGTTATGCTCTTCCTTCTTTAGGGTGGAATAGCTCTATACATTATTTGGAATTCTGCACAGGAGATTTATCTCTTCTCCCTCGCTTATTAATTAGTTCAATCACTTATTTATATCAGTTTGGACTCATGAATATTGATTTTATACTTTGGATTATGGCTTACTACTTTGTTGTGTTGCTCTAACTCTTCTAGCTTTGGCTATTTAGAGCTTCCAATTGGCTCCCATAAAAGTGCACATTTTTTCCCATTTTACAGGTGAGGAAACCAAGCTTCAGAAAGAATATAAAAAGTTTCCAGCCTCACTCAAGTAAAAAAGCAGAGGTGCCATTTGAACCCTACGTCCATAAGATTCTAAGGCACCTGTTTTTTTGTTTGGTTGGTTGTTTTTGTTTGTTTGTATTTCCTGTCTAACACATTCTCTCTGAATATAGTCAACTTCCGTGAATCAATGACTAGTGTATATTTCACCTATCGTTGTGAATAGGCAATAGCATTTTTGAGGTTACCAATCTGCTATGTATTATACATTATAGAGAAACTTAATCAGCACCAAGGTTAAGAAACAACATCAACAGCTCACCAGAGATCTCCCTTGTATCTCCTTCCAGTTGTCCCCACCCCTCACAGGTTACCACGATCCTGACTTACAACAGCATAGATCCGTTTTACCTGATTTTTGTTTTAAATAGATGGAAATAGGTATCGGTCCTCTTTGTGGCTGGCTTCTTTTGTTCATTCTCCTATGTTTTCCTGTGGCTTGGTTAATAGAAATTTTTTGTTAATGTTCCAACCATGTATTTCACAAGAATTGCTACAAGTAAAGTAACACTTGTAAAAACACGTTAAGCAACTACATAAAAAGTAAATTTACTTAAGATTAGCATAACACAAAAAAGAGAAAACTAACCAGAGATACAACTAAATTGCCCCACTATCCCAAGGTCCCTTTTATCATTATCTAAGGTTTTATCTAAGTAGGGCAGCCTTACTAATGTCCCTTTTTTTCATGGGAAAGATGCTTCCTGGCTGACAGGATGTCATTCTTGCCAACACATGACCAAAAACTCACTCAGCCGCTTCCAAAATATAATGGTACAAGATGCAACTTGCCAAACTTGAATAAAATCCAAGATGTCTGTGATTTACAGTTTTCTATTTTCTGTTTCATTGCTAATTACCACCATTGACCTAGTTCTTTACAACAGAGATGACAAACCCTTGGTACCTGGGCCAGCTTACACTTCTCATTCCACCATGGACACTGTTCAATCAAATCACCTCTCCCTTAGAATCTACTCACTCCAGTACTCCTCACCAACCACAGAGGAAACCAATTCGCCACCCTCACTCACACCAGAGCATTGTGTTATTTTCTAGTTGGATCCACGCTTCTATTGCATGGTTTTCCGGTTGAATCCAGGCTTCTCATTTCTGCTCCATTCTTACCACATCTCTCCCCAGCTCATGAACCTGCTCTGACACCCACTTGTCTGATAGATGGTGGATACAGTACGCTGTCTGGATGTCAATAACTTCTATCATTTGCCCACTGTGGGGGAGTTTTCTACATTTCCCAACCTTAGGACATACCTTCTATTCTACTTGGGCTGATTTCTTAATCATCTCACATATGTGCTACTTACTCCATCCTGTGTGTTCCTGCCTATTCATTACCTCATTCTTTCAATAGCTCTTTGTTGAGCATGTGCCATGTACTCTTCTACATCATGGGGACACGGCAACATATAAAACCATCCAAGTCCCCATCCCATGAAGCTTAGCTTGTAGGAGGTCATGGGAGACATTCAATAAGCAAATGTATTGGCGTCAGGTGGGAATGGGTGTTTGCAACAGAATAGTGACTGGGTGCCAGGATGCCATGTTCACGGAAGAGTGCACCAGGCACAGGGCAGAGCAGGTGCAAAGGCTCTCAGACAGGAACATAATTCTCAGTCAAACAGCAGAGAGGCCATTTTAACCAGAGCAGAACAATCAAAGAGAATAAAAGGAGCTAAATTACAGCAGTAGTTCAAGGCCAGTCCATGTGGCCTTTAAGTCAGTGATTTTCAGTTCCCCCCCAGGGAACATTTGACAATGTCTGGAGACATTTTTGATTGTAAAAATGGGGATGGGCTACTGACATCTGGTGAGGCCAGAGAGCTGCTAAACATCCCAAAATGCATAGAACAGACCCCACCAAAAAGAACCATCTGGCCTCAAATGTTAAGAGAGCCGAGGTTGAGAAACTCTGCTTTCAGCCATGGGGAAGACCATGAGTTTTATTGTAAAATGTGACGAGAGATATCATCAGAAAGTTTTGAACCAAGGTGTGACTTGAGTTGACTTAGGTTTTAAAAAAAATAGAAATATTTCTACTGGACAGCACCCTTCCCTTTCTGCTAAAGACACTAGTGGGGAAAGAGGAAAAAATGACATCTCAAAGAGATGAAGTGGGAGTGGGAAGAGAAAGCAACATTTCTGGAGGTTGGGAAATCAAGTTGGTGGAAATGGCTAAGTGGTATGTTAAGAATAGGGCAGGGCTGAGCCCGGTGGCTCACGCCTGGAATCCCAGCACTTTGGGAGGCTGGGGCAGGTGGATAACTTGAGGTCAGGAGTTTGAGGCCAGCCTGAGCAACATGGTGAAACCCCATGTCTACTAAAAATGCAAAAATTAGCCAGCTCTGGTGGCACACACCTGTAGTCCCAGCTACTTGGGAGGCTGAAGCAGGAGAATTGCTTGAACCTGGGAGGTGGAAGTTGCAGTGAGCCAAGATCACACCACTACACTCCAGCCTGGGTGACACAGCGAGACTCTGTCCCAAAAAAAAAAGTTAGATTTTAAAAAGAATGGGGCAGTCTAATATTTACAATGTCTGTGATGACAGAGGAGCCCTGAATTTTCTGGAAAGCGTATTACTTTCATCTGATCTATGTGCATGGCTTTTCTTTCTTTTTTTTCTTTTTTTTTTTTTTTCGATATGTGGGTTAAGGTTAAGTGATTAAGGAGAAAGGGCTCTTACATGTTTGGACTGATAACAGAGTAAAGAATGAGAGATGAGAGTTCATCTTCACTAGAAATCACAGCCAGAGGTGACTTGGAGAAAGACAAGCTTGGGAATTTGTAGACATGCTGTTGAAGGCATGGATAGACCTGCCTTAGGTCATCATGTAAGGACTCCAGCACATAATCTCTTGACTTAATGAGCATGGTGACCTTAAGTGATATCTGAATCACTTTGATTATCAGGAACAACTGCTTATTAAATAAAACTGATAATGAACTTCTATCTATGGTTATGCATTCTATGTTAGAACTTCTTTACATAATACAAGAGGGAGATGCTCTACCAGTCCAGTACCATCCATGTCCAGTGTTGTTTGAGCTCCCCAGCAGCAACACAAGATGAAGCTTTCTTTCCATGGACAGCAGCACACAAAGTCTTCTCTGTGCACAGTCTCAGAGTTAATAGAACATCTTTAGAGGTCAGCCACAACCAATGAATTTAATCAATTCACTCAGCTTCTCTCTGCTCCCCCATGCTGGGCTAGGTGCTACAGGTACAATGGTGACCAAGATGGACACAGTTCTTGGCCTCAAGGTCTTACAGTCTAGTGGAGAACTCAGAGTCCATGGCTAGCGCTATGAACTTTCCCCAATCCTGCTAAACGTATCATTGGTTATGTTGGCATTTTTTATCTTAGTTTTCAATCTCTGCTACTTTAATAATAAATAAATAAATAATAATAAATAAATAAAAATTAAAACTCGGGAGAATGAAAAATGATGATATTTCGATCTTCTCTTTTCATTTCTGTAGACTCTGCAGGGGTGCATCAATTGTAGTTTGCTTGGGATGTGTGCCTCTTCCAAATCTTCTCTACCTGTAAGACTTTTGGTTTGGCTTTTTCCCCTGCAGTCTAGGTGACTCTGATCACCAATTCCCTGATGTACGTGGGCTCCTTCTGTTGACTTCTGCATTTGCCATGCAGCCAAAACCTGTGCTACCAGAAAAAAAAGTTCTTAGCAACTTTTAGCTAATAAGTGCTATAGTTGGAATGTGTTCCCCAAATTTCATGTGTAGTAAACTTAATCCCCAAATTCATATGTTGATGGCATTGAGAGGTGGAGCCTTTGGGAGGTAATTAGGTCTAGATAAGGTCATAATGGGGCCCCCAAGAGGGGCTGGTGGCTTTATAAGAAGAGGAAGAGAGACCTAAGCTGGCATGCTCTTGCCCTCTTGCTATATGATGCCCTCCACCATGTTATGATGCAGAAAGAAAGAGCAATGCCAGTACCATGCTCTTCAGTTTTTCAGCCTCCAGAAATGTGAGTGAATAAATTTCTGCTGTTTTAAGGCACCCAGTCTGTTATGCTTTTTTACAGCAGTTCCAGGAGACCAATAAAGTGAACTACCTGTCTCCTACTACATGTGATCTTCAGTAGACTGCCCAACACTGCCCAAGCTAAGAGAAAGGATATTTTTCCCTGGATTGTGAGTTTTGAGCATAAAAAAATAGAGAGATGGGCAAGACCTAGATTCAGGGCCCAGCTTTGTCATTTACTCTCCTAGTGGGACTAGGAAAAGCTAGTTCAAGGGAAATGCATGCCCAGGGTGTAGCCTTCTCTAGAGAGTTTCTGAGCAGGTAGAAAACCTCAAGGGTTGCTCCCTGAGGGAGACTCATGCTATGAGCAAACTAGAACTCACTGACAATTCCATTCACAGGACCCTCTCGCTAGAAACATTTGGATACATGACAGTTCGCTTGCTCTGACCAAGGAGGAACAGCTGCCCATACTCAGTTCCCTGGGTCTAAGAGACACTCAGACAACATCTTTGTTAAATTCATTATTTGCAAAGGCCTGGGCAGAAGACCAAAACAGAAAAAGAGGTAAGAGGATCCAGGCGTAGCTTCTCAATTTTTGGCAAACGAGAATGCCCACCTGAACAACAGAGAGGGGCACAGCCTCCCCATTCCCACAGCCCACCAAGGAAGGACCTGGGATTGCTCATTTTTCCAGGGACCAACCCGTATAAGAATAGTCTCAGCAAACTACCTACAAGACCTCAAATCTCGGATACGACTTGATTCCTGGTCATACACCGCACAGACATTATTTCCTGAGCACCTATGATGTGGTTGGCTCTGTATAAGGCACTGACGGCACAGTGTGATCCTATCCTTGGTGATGGTGAGCCCTTGATAGAGACCTGCACCAGGTGCCAAGGGCACATGAAGAAGCATCCAAAGCCCGTGGGGTCTGGGAGAGAGCAGGGAAGATTACACAGTTAAGCAAACTCTCAAAAGTAGTATCCCCATTTTACAGATTAGTAATCTGAGGCTCTGAGATGTTAATTATCTGACCCAGGTCACACAGCAAGAAGCTGGCAGAGCTGAGAAGCTGCAACTAACGATTCCGAAGTCCATGCTCTTTTTTTCTTTTTTTATTTTACTTTAAATTCCGGGATACATGTGCAGAACTTACAGGTTTGTTACATAGCTGTATGTGTGGCATGGTGGTTTGCTTCACCTATCAACTCGTCACCCTAGTGTTAAGCCCTGCATGCATTAGCTATTTGTCCTGATACTTCCCCTCCCCTCACCCTCACCCCCACCCCAATAGGCCCCGATGTGTGCTGTTACTCTCTCTGTGTCCCTATGTTCTCATAGTTCAGTTCCCACTTATGAGTGAGAACATGCGGTACTTGGTTTTCTGTTCCTGTGTTAGTTTGCTGAGGATGATGGCTTCCAGCTTCATCCATGTCTCTGCAAGGGGCATTATCTCATTCCTTTTTAGTCCATGGTCTTTTTGCACTGCTAGATAATCTCTCTAACCCTGGCGGGAAGGCACTTGCCTGCCTAGCAGTCTTTGTTTGCTCATGCATTCATTCATGCGTGCATGCATTTCTTCAACAGAAGTTTATTAAGCATCTACTGCATACCAGGAGCCGTACGCAATGCTATCATTACAGAATTGAATGAAATAGTCAAGATAGTCTAGTGGGACTATGACACAGATATTTACTAGATAAATATTCAATTTCAAGGTGAGAAAAGTTCTATGAAAGTAACAAATAGGATATGAAGATTGAGAAATACACCTGGAGACTTAAAGCCTGGAGAACAGAGAATACCTGTTCAAGAAGTTAATATTTAAGCTAGTAGTTATCAGTTGGCAGGGATTTTGTCCTCATGAGGCATTTGGCATTGTCTAGAGACATTTTTTCTTATCACAACTGGGGAGCAGATTATTGTGTCATCCAGTGAGTAGAGACTAAACATCCTATAATGTACAGAAAAGTTCCAACGACAAAGAAATTTTCCAGCCCCAAATGTCAATAGTGCCAAGATTTAAAAACAAAAACAAAAACAAAACAAAAGCATGACTACAAGCAGTTAATTGTCATGTCTTAGACTAAGACATGAAGGTGAAGAAGAAGCCAGCCTGTAAAGGGTGGAGGAAAAAGCATTCCCGGTGAAAAGAACAGTAAATGGAAAGACTTTAGAGCTTGGTGCTTCAAGCTAACTAGCAGGGGAGAGAGGTGTGGGATCTGGGGGCTCGGATTCCACAGGGCCTTCTGGTCTTGGGCAAAAGTTTGGGTTTGAATTCTCTACAGCAGAAAGCCTTTGATGGGTCTTAAGCCAGAAAAAGACACTCAACCTACTCTGCAGAGAACAACTTAAAGAGACAAAAGTGGAATCCCAGAGGCCAGGGAGTAGCCCTAGAACAAATGACGGTAGCTTTGACTACATCAGAAGCAGGGGAGGTGACGAGCCGTGGACATATCTAGGTGCAGTTGGAAAGTAATAGCCTCAGCACCGAGAACGAATTGTATATGGGCGGGCAGGGGAGAAGATGGGCAGAGAAATGAGAATGAAGGGGAGTTCTTGGGATTCTGGTCACTACAGAATGCTGGGTAGTGCAGCTCACCAAGATGGGGAACCCTGAGCAAGGGCCAGGTAGGGAAGGGTCCCAAATCAAGAACTCAGTTTCAAGCATATAAAGCGCAAGACATCCAGTGGAACTGAGTACATAAGGTGTTGGAGAGAGAAATTGTTTATACAAGATTTTGAGCTGTGGTTCATTTGTAAAGTAGGGCTGGCTATCCATTAGCTTCACCTGGGACGGAGGCGCTCTAAAGAAACACCAATGCCCAGGCACATGCCTTAGATCAGGTAAACTTGAGCTCTGGGAGTGGGTGCCCAAGCATCATTATTTTTTAAAAGCCCCAAGGTGATTCTGACACACAGTGACAGTTGATATCCACCGGATTCAAGAAGCTGTCCCGAGGTGGAGACCTTCTCTGTATGCATGCAGCCCCACTATGGGGCTGAGAAGCCTCACCTTTGTGCCTTACCAAAGGAACTGTCTCTAGTTTGTGTCTATTTAAAAATTCCATCTCTGCTGCTTCAGTGGTTGGCTGAAGTCTATCTGTAAAAACAATGAACTGCTTGTAGTCTTGGGTGTTCTTGTATTACCTGCAGTTCCAGACCTTTTGTTCCAAGACTCTCTTGTTTATGGGAATGTCAGTCTCCTGATAAAGCCCCAGGGCTGTTTCCTCTCTTTCATTCTTTGGGAGCCAGAATGTTTGCAATCTCTCTTGTGAACTTTCTTTCCGAAATGCTCACAGCATCTTCTGACACCTTGTACTCAAAGCAGGAGATATATTCAGACCTGGCCTATTCTTCAAGGTGCAGTTAAATCTCCATTCCCTTTATTATTATGGGGCACCCATCATGTGACTTGCTTTGTACCTGGCACTTGGGGAAACCATGATGCACATGAATGACATGACCCGTCATCTAGGAGAAAGTATCTCAACTTCAGAGCTATTGACATTTGAGGTCAGGTAAATTTTTTGTGGTAGGGGCTGTCCTTTGCATTATAGAATGTTCAGTGGCATCCTGGCCTCAACACTCAATACCTGTAGCATGTTGTCACTCCCCGCTACCCTATAGGTTTTGACAACCAAAAATATCTCCAGAATTGCCAAATATTCCCCTAGGTAACCAAATTGCTCCCAGTAAAGAACAATTGCTTGAGAGGGAAGAGTATATTAAATAAATAGTCACAGAGAATGCTGATAAAGAATATGAAAGGGTCATAAACAGGAGAGATGTAATTGAACAGAAACATATAAGCTCAACATGGGACTACCTGTTCCAGCCCAGAAAGTAGCCAGGATTATTTTCATCATAATGCGTTCTCTGGTTACTTTATTGTCCTTTGTCTTCTTTGATTTCCTACAGCAGCATTCACTGTTTGTGTACTATGCAGCCAGGCTCAACACTAAGCATTTGGCATGCTCATTTCATTTTATTCTCATAACTATTCTACTGACTACAAGCAGTACATTGTCACATCTTATACAACTACCCTATAACCAACACTGGCACCACAAACAATTGAAGATTTCCTATATAAGTAAATTGCCTTTCTAACCAATAACATGTCATATTAGCCTTGCAAACTAGAACAAAAGCTGCGATGTCTATAGTGTCCACTTTTTCTTTATCTCTTAAGCAACAGCCTCCTAGTTCATCAGTTATCACAATCCTTTTTGTACTATTAATGTCTCTTCTTCAAGTCCTTCCTTCTGGGTCTCCAAATCACTCCCCAAATTTCTCTCTTCCACCAAACTTTTTCTTTTGATCTTCATGTTCCCTGGAGCTAATTCCCCATCTTCTCCTTCCCTTTTCCACCAAAATTCTCAAATTTTCAGAGTTGCTCACTAACATCATCTCCTTGCTGCCTTTGCACTGGGACTCCTTCCTGTGCCCTTTCCTGAAAGAATTCTCTCTAATCGGTATCCCCAAGGCAGTGAAAGCAGAGCTATCAGCTCATCTCATTTTCTCTCTCCTCCATACTGGATGTTGTTTGTAACTATTTTCCTTGGAACCCTACACCACCCAGGTCTCCCTTCCACCTCCTATCCTATAGGTATGAGTGGACCCCACCGCCCAGTGCCCTGTCCTAATCTCTGTCTACACTCGTCTCTCAGATATCTTTTTAGGTTTCAGAGCTTCATTTGTCCTACCTATGTGGAAGATTAATCTAATTTTATCTTCCATCTTGGGCTGTTTCTTGTATTTTAGCCTCATTTCTCCAATTTAATTTGGACACCACCACCTGAATACAACCTTGGCATGTCAAATTCAACATGTCTCAAACAAAAGATATAATATTTTTCGCAAAGTCAGCTCCTCTTCCTCAGTCTCGCAAGACCTATGGTTTCTCTTCATTGTAAAAATCACCCTCAGACCCTCAGAATCATTCTCTACATTCCTTTGTCTATGCATTCATTCCTTGAGCCTGTTGTGGACACCATGTTTTTCACTGGGGCCATAGTGCCTCCCTGCATGGAGCTCATGGTCCATCTGGAAATCCAGGCAGTCAAAAGAAGAATCAGAAAGGGCATATGATGAGAGCCATGATAGGGAGAGTCCAATGTGCAGTGGGTCTCTCCTTTTCTTCTCTGCCTAGGTCCAATAAGACAGCAAGTCCTACAGGGCTTCCTTCATAAAGTCCCTCCAGTTGGCTGCTTGCCCTTCCAACTCATGGCCTCTACCCCAGTCTCCTACATCCTCTTGCCTCTTCTCACTTCTGCCCACTTCTCTGAACTCTCACACATTATACTGTCCTGCAATATACTGGCTTCTTGCCTACCTGCTCCTCTATACTGCAAGTTGATTCAATGTCATGAACGCATACTATTTGCCACTATATTCCCAGTACCAGGCACAGAGTTGCTCAATAAGTGTTGGTGAAATAACGAATGAATGGATTCTAATCCCCTTTCCACACTGCTAATCAGAGTTCTTTTTTAAAACCCTCCTATGCCATTGTCTTCTTCTCTAGCTCTTCCCTAAACTTCATTCTTTAACAACATACCAGGTAGGTTCTGAAGTAGTAATCTAAAGGTAGCCAGGTAACAAACCCCGGGCATGACTGGGAATATTTGGAAAACAGTGACAAGCTTCATGAGCACAGAGCACTTATGATTGCTCACTGGAGAAGTGCCACCCCTGCTAATGGAGGGAGATCAGGAAGTTCCTGGCTGTTCAGTCTTTAGTGTTCTCTGGTGCTATGGGGTAAGGAGTTCTCTTTCTTAAGGAATGAAAGTCAGCTTTGCATAAGATTCTGTGTCTGAATGCGGAAGGTGCTTGGGTCAGCTGAGCAGGTCTGAAAAAGATGGCAGCCAATACCCCTTTCCCTCAAGGGGAGCACACTTGCCATCTACCTTTTTGCACTGCTTATATTATCTTCTTGAGCTAAAAGACCTGCATTTGAATTCCAGCACTGCCAATTACTTATTTGTCACTTGGCCTTAGTTATGTAAACTCTTGAAAAACCTCAATTTCTTCATCGTTGAGTGGGGTTAATAATAAAAACCATTTCATCAGTATCTGGACCATGATCACTCTAGAATAGGGGTATTGAGTATACTGTGTACATTGGCTCCTCTTGTGTACACTTAAAGATTTTCATGATTTTTTTTTTTCCATTATCAGCTCACTGCAACATCTGACTCCCAGGTTCAAGCGATCCTCCTGGCTCAGCCTCCCCGAGTAGCTGGGATTACAGGTGCCCACCACCATGCCCGTCTAATTTTTGTATTTTTGGTAGATATGGGGTTTTACCATGTTCCTCAGTCTAGTGTTGAACTCCCGGGCTCAAGTGATCTGCCTGTGTCAGCCTCCCAAAGTGCTGGGATTACAGGCGTGAGCCACCGTGCCTGGCCCATAATATTTTTTTAAATTATCTTATAAGGCGTTTGTGAGAATTAAATGAAATTAGGCATGGAAAGTGCTCCTTACAGTATCTGACACATAGGAAGCCTCTGATACAAGGTGGCTCTCAACAGCACAGTCACACCACTGTCCTGGCCATGAGGGTTTTGTGGCACCGAGATCATCTTATCCATTCATTGGTTTGTTGTGTTATGTCTTCCTCCGCTAGAATTAAGCTTCATGAGGCAGGGCCTTATTCTGTTTTTGCTCCACACTGTATCTCGAGCGTGCATAGTAGGCAATTGGTACTGAAAACATGAGCTGTGAAAACAACCAGCTTCGGCCCCAGCCACGGCTCACATCAATCACACATCCTGCTCCCAGTCAGCACCCTTCGCTCCCCACCTAAGAGGTAATGCCCTGCCTCATAGAGAGATGGGGACTCAGGAGGCAATGCAACAGGTGAACAGTTTGCCTAGAGCAAAGGTCTTCACAGTCCAGCACCTCCCAAAGACTCTCTGTAACAGAAGAACCAAAAAGACAGCTCAGGGTAAATTATCAGGACTGAGAAGAATCAGGAGAGAAAACACAAGAGGCTAGAGTGGTCCCAGCAGAAGCTCTCAAAGAGGTCAGAGCTTAAAAGGGCATGAACCAAAGTTAGACAGCACAGAGCCAAGGGTCTCAACACTGGAGAAGCATCTGTCAGTGAAAACTGGGATTAAGCTGAGACCTGCAAAGCAAGTCTGCTACAAAAAGAGGGCTTGCTAGCCAAGAAACAGTCAGAGTGCAAAAGAACAAAGGAGCAGGGCACTATTGTATGAGGCTGATGAGGCACATTAATGAATGGCCCAGAAGGCAGAACTCTCATCGCCTATATTCCTTTTGTCTCCTTTGCCAAGGGGATTACTGAACTGGAAAAGATAGAAAATAGGTAAAAATCATTATATTTTATAAAGCAGCTACTACGTATCAGGCAGCAATATATATTCACAATCTTGCTTAATACTTAGAAGAGATATCAATCATGATTCCACTTTATATGTGAGAAAAATTAACCTCATAGAGGTGAAGCAGCTTTCTCATGAGTGCAGAACTAGTGAGTAGTCTAATATCTTCATTTAGATACTGTATATCTTAAGAGGGAAGCTTAAGATGGATGGGGGGCTCACTGGGGGTAAACAGCCCAGTGCTGACCCCATTTAAGTTCACAGTCAAACCTCCCTGGACCATTTTCATACCAGCTGCAGTTTGCAGTTTAGACACAGCATCCGCTATTCAGAGAGTTGATTTTCTTTTCTTTTTTCTCTCTTTTTTTTTTTTTTTTTTTTTTGGACAGAGTTTTACTCTGTCACCCAAGCTGGAGTGCGGTGGTGTGATCTCAGCTCACTGCAACCTCTGCCTCTCATGTTCAAGCGATTTTCCTGTCTCAGCCTCCTGAGTAGAGTAGCCAGGATTACAGGTGCACACCACCATGCCCTAATAATTTTTGTATTTTTAGTAGAGATTGGGTTTCGCCCTGTTGGCCAGGCTGGTCTCGAACTCCTGACCTCAGGTGATCTGCCCACCCTGGCCTCCCAAAGTGCTGAGATTACAAGCGTGAGCCACCATGCCCAGTCAGAAGTGTTGGTTTTCTGGACCTAGTGTGACAGGGGAACACTTCTTCCCCACTTCCTATGCTGTCTGCAATATGGAGGGATAGCTTTCAGTGTGACGTTCCTGGCCCCTCTGGCTCCTCTACCCTCCTCCCCCCAGGGAGGTGGAGCAAAGTATCTGATTGGTGAGTTTGGCAGAAAGAATTGGACATGAACATTTTGCCTGGTGCAAAGGTCTTTTCTCTCTCTAGCAGGAGAACCAAATGACAACTCGGAGGAAATGATCAGGACTGAGAAGGAGAGGAGAAAATCCAAGAGGCCAGACCCTCACGTGGACCCTATTGTCTCTTCCTTCCAACCTCCCAGCCTATAAACACCTGTGCTAAGCCCAGCTGCCCAGCCCAGGCCCCATCTGTGGGTGAGGCCTGAGACTTTTCGACCTTGCCTTGGCTGAGCACCGTTATTACCACATGCCTAAGACCCGTGCTCCAATGCATCTATCAGGAATAAAGCTGATGTCTTAAGCCCCCTGTCTCATTTCTCCATTGGTTCAGAATTCAGGGGAAATTCTGTTTAGGGACTGACCCCACCAAACAAAGCAACAGCATGTGGTGAAGAACCCTGCATCTGTTCTGATTTAATTTCACCTCATTTAGTTCCAGCTGGGTTTGTGTTGCTCATACCAAGATGGTATGTGATATTAACTCTGAGTCAACAGCTCAGAGGAATGTCAAGAAAGAAACTGGAAATGGTTCAGAGGAGGCTAAATAGAATGATGAACGTTCTGGAAACTAGGCCATGGGAGGAATGGTAAAAGGAATGAGAAGATTTAGTTCAAAGAAGATTTGACTCTGATATGATGCAGTCCACATGTTTCAAGGGCAATCATGCAAAATAATACTTTAATTAGATTATGTGACTTCCAAGAGCAGAGTTAACTTCAAGGGAAGAATAGTTCGCTCATTATAAGGAAGATATTTACAACCATTAGCATTGTATAAAAATGAAATAACTTCCACCAATAGGGGGTCAACTCCCTGTCACTGGGATTATTCAAAACCCCAGTGGATGAAATGGGATGATCCTGAAAATGGTGTTCAGGTGTTGGGAAATGGTTGGGTCTGAAATAAAGTTTATCTATATGATTTTTTTTTTTTTTTTTTTTTTTTTTTTTTGAGACAGAGTTTTGCCTTGTCGCCCAGGCAGACAGTGCAGTGGCGCGATCTCGACTCACTGCAAGCTCCGCTTCCTGGGTTCACGCCATTCTCCTGCCTCAGCCTCCCGAGTAGCTGGGACTACAGGCGCCTGCCACGGCGCCCGGCTGATTTTTTCTATTTTTAGTAGAGGCGGGGTTTCACCGTGTTAGCCAGGATAGTCTCCATCTCCTGACCTCGTGATCCGCCCGCCTCGGCCTCCCAAAGTGCTGGGATTACAGGCATGAGCCACCGCGCCCGGCCATCTATATGATTTTTATAAACCCTAAAGTGGCTGAATGATCTGTTCTTGGCTGCTCACCCCTTTCCCCCCAATATCACAAGTGACCTGAAACAAGGAGGGCAGGCCAGGGGAGACCCCTTGCATGTGGCCAGATCCTGCCTGGGGAGCCCCAGTCCCCACATTGCACTTGCTAATGGGAGGGAACATGGAAGCCTCAAAGCTCTATGTGCTCCACTAGGGAAAAGCTTGGCCCAAGACGAGCTTCTTTCTCCCCTCATCCTTCCTTGAAGGAGTCTGTGATAGCCTGAATAAGAAGACAGAGGCCCTGACAGCAAAGTAACCCACAGAAATGATGTCAAGAGATGCAACTGCATAAGCAAGAGAAAAGTTTCTTCTCTGCCTGCTCCTCTCTGCAGGAACCAGAGCAGAAGTTGGAAGCTAACATTTGGCCACAAGAATGTGTTCTGTTTGATCTATGGGATTGTTTAAAATATAAGAAAGAGACCAGATGCAGTGGCTTACACCTGTAATGCCAGCACTTTGGGAGGCCGAGGCAGGTGGATTAGCTGAGTTCAGGAGTTCGAGACCAGCCTGGCCAACATGGTGAAAGCCCATCTCTACTAAAAATACAAAATTAGCTGAGCATGGTGGTGGGTGCCTATAATCCCAGCTACTTGGGAGGCTGAGGCAGGAGAATTGCTTGAACCCAGGAGGAGGAGGTTGCAGTGAGCCGAGATCGTGCCATTGCACTCCAGCCTGGGTAACAAGACCAAAACTCCTTCTCAAAAAATAATAAATAAAATAAAATAAAATATAATATAAGAAAGAAATCATTGCCAACTTGTTTTAAATGGGAGATTTCACACACAAAGATCCACAATTTTCTATTTCCTCTTAAATACCACAAAAATGGCAAAGTGGCAATAATTGACTGGAAATAGGAAGCAGCTGCCTTCTCTAGTCATGAGGTATGTGCTCCAGTTTGCATGGAACTTACCACCCTCCACCAAGTTTTAGACACTGAGGCCAAGTGCGATAGTTCTGGCTCACGCCTGTCATCCCAGCACTTTGGGAGGCTGGGCGTGGTGGCTCACGCCTGTCATCCTAGCACTGTGGGAGGCTGGGCGTGGTGACTCATGCCTGTAATCCCAGCGCTTTGGGAGGCTGAGGCGGGAAGATCACTTGAGGTCAGGGGTTCAAGCCCAGCCTGGTCAAAATGGCGTAACCCCCTCTCTACTAAAAAATACAAAAATTGGCTAGGCATGGTTGTGGGCCCCTGTAATCCCAGCTACTCGGGAGGCTGAGGCAAGGAGAATTGCTTGAACCTGGAAGGCAGAGATTGCAGTGAACCAAGATCGCACCACTGCACTCCAGCCTGGGTGACAGAGCGAGACTCTGTGCATAAAAAATTAAAAAAAAAAAAAAGAAAAGAAAAGAAAGGGAAAAGGATCACAAGAGGAGATGATAAATTTTTTTTAAAACATGCCAAATTTAAAGTTTCAGGCTAAAATTCTGGAAATATGAGTCAGGAGCTCAGAAGAATGTCAGGTATACAAAACCACGATTTGCCAGTCCTCTCTCAGAGGAGATAATTGATACCACAGGAGCAGGTATGACTTTGCTGCTGGGTAGAGAATGCAGCCATATAAGAAGGTGGAGTAAAGACAGAGTCAGAGATTACCTTGGAGGAAGTGTAGGAAGAACCCGGAAGAGTCAAAGGACAAAGAAGCATGGAAATGCAGTTCCTGCAAGGCTAACGAGGCCATGAAAAGAAAGAAAGTATGGTCGGCAGTGCTGGAGCAGAAGTCAAGCTCTGGTGATTAGAAGGACACCAGTGACACTTAGAGAGCAGTTTCAGCAGACTGGTGGAAGCCAGTGGATGTTCTATTTGTGCCACATCCTGGGTAAGCAGGAGCACGCTTAGAACCAAATCAGCATAAAGCCTTGTCCAGGGCAAGCCAACAATTAAGTCACTACAGAACAATGGAGCTTCCAACAGCTCAGCCATGTCACTCTGCCCTTTTTATGCAAATGACCCCAGCAAAAAGAACAGCAAAGGTAAGTACCTAAGTGAGTGGGCAGATTGGGACAATCCTATTGTGTCCAACTAACGACCATGAAAAGGAGAGGACGTTTCACCCACATGGTTGGTTCACTCACTGTGCATTCGCTCATTAACACTGTGTTAGGCCTAACGTGCTGAGAGACTGAGAAGAGGCACATGGTCATAAAAAGAGACCTGGTTCCTGCCTTCAAGCCGCTTGCAGTATAGTTGGCATGGATTTCCATGCAGTCAGAATACTCCCCAGTCAAAACACTCCATCTATAATGCCTGATACAATCATTGTTCAAACTTTCACAAAATTACCCGGGTTATCAAAACCTTTTTTATGCTTCCCTGTAGTAGGTAAAGGTAAAACTTAAACCGCATGATAAGTGGGGACATTTGTTCATGTAAAAATCATCTGGTAGACTGAATTATAGACTCACTAAGGGCCATCCTTTCAACATCCACCATCACTTTGTTGCTCATGCTTCTCCAGCATCTATCTACAAATCTAACCAAGTTCTATTTCATTATTTCCAATTTCCAGTGACACTTCACTTGAACTACCCTTCACTGCTCTCAGACTCAGTTCTGAAGTCAAGCTTAGCACATGGCATGTCTCAAATCATCACCCTCTGCAAACATCCCTAGCCCTGTGTATGGTACTCTTATTTCATCATCCCTCATAAGCATCTTCTACACCCAATCAATTGCCAAGCTCTGTATTAAGCAGAGTCATGGGCACATAACAGATGTTCAATATTTACTTGTTGATTGAATGGACACGTTTTATATCCTGGGTAACCTTTGTGGTCTAATACCAACTATGGATCTAACACTTCTAATGACAGTGGTTAAGAGGATGGCTTTTGGTGAGAGATGGATCTGATCTGGGTTTAGTCCAATCTTGGCTACTTAGTAGCTCAGTGACTTTGGACGCATTTCCTTGTTTACAAATGTGAATTATTAGGGTTGTGAGAATCAAATATAAAATGCATGTAAAGGTTAGAGCACAGAGATGTTATTTCTCTTAGTCTCTTAGTCCACTGTCAATGTTTATCCATCTTAATAATCTAACGTGAAATCCAAAGGAGTCCAAACCCCAAGATGATACCCATGGTATTCAACTTGAGAACCTTATTTGGACTGTTCAGTAATTGCAAGAAGGGATGATCACTCACGTGAGACACTTTCTTGTGAGCATAAAATATTTTCACTGAAAACAGATCTTACTTCTCCTCCTGGATCCGTTCTCCAATATATCCAGTTTTGAAATTTTCAATTAAAAATTATCTAATGCAGCAAGCCTTATTGAGTGCTAGCTGTATTTGTTGTAGCTACTTAACCAATTAGGCTGGAATACCTTCTCACTTTCCCCCTAGAAAACTAATTTTAGATTCTTAACGAGGTCCCTCTTTTTTTGTCAAGCTTTCCCCAGCTCCACACACAAGACCTGTGTCTGCCTGGGATCCGCTTTGGGAATGAACCTGGAGGTTTCTTATGTGCCCCATCACACAGCCACAGTTGGGTGTGGCCGTGTCTTCCCCAGTGGTCCATGAAGCCCTGAGGTGTCTGCTCTGTACACAGTAGATGCTGAGTCGGTTCTCAATATTTGAGATGACTGGAGGGGGCAGGATGAAAGGCCAGAGGATAGAAACTTAAAGTTACCTGTGCATCTCCTGCCAAGCTTAGAGGGTAGGCTGAGAAGGACAACGTGTAACCTCAGAAGAGGGGGAAGGAACTCCAGTGAATGTGTGTCCAAGATGAAGGAAAAGTAGGAATTTTGATCCCATCGCTTGACAGTAATTTCCTGGTCTTAAAATTTTCTTCCCCCTTTGCTTCTGGAAAATGCATGGCACATACTGGGCCCTCAATGAATATTTATTGAGTGAATACATGAATGCTTCTTCTCTCTGTTTGTCAACGTTTTCTTTTGTTCTTTTTGTTCCTTCATGTTCTTCCTAACTACTCAAGCTTTCCCCTCACCACCCCAATACAGTCATTCTCTCTCTCTCTCTCTCTCCCTCTCTCTCTCTCTCTCTCTCATCTGCTAACTCCATCTATAGTAGTATAACATATGCAGGGGTGTGTGTGTGTTTGTGCGTGTGTGTGTGTGTGTGTGTGTGTATTATTTTCCATTTACAGAGGAGAAAACAGAGTCCCAAAATCCAAAACCGAGCACCAAAGTTTACACAGCTGTCCACACAGCTAGTAATAAAGATGCAGCAAATAAGATGCTATTCCCCCAGAACCCTCCCACTGTTGTGTGCATCAATCCATGGTGCACTTTGACTCCCAGCAGCCAGCACCTGCGATTCTTTCCCCAAAGGACCAGAACCCACTTTGCCAGCCAGTGTCCACATGGTGCCAGAAGTGCATGGAATTAAGTCTCCCCTCCTGCCCACAACCAAGGGGGAACAGGGGTGACTGCCCTTAACTAATGATTGACTGGTGTGAAGGCATAAAGACTACAGCTCTCTAGTCTCCAATTGGCACAGCTCTGATGAGTGATCCACACCACCCCACGTCCGCCCAGGGTGATCAAGCCCAAGTGATCTTCAGAGGACTTCTCAATGTCTCACCCTTACCTGGCTTCTTCCTTTTCCCTGCCCATCTTCTCTGGAAACCCTCCTAATAAATCTTTCCCACAAATCCTCACAGAAAGCACTGCCTCTGGGGACCTAGCCTAAGGCAAGGTAGATGCAGGATTCAAACCCAAGCCTGTGTGTCTTCAAAGTTTTTTCCCACTATGTTGTGGTTGAGATGTTATTACAATCGTGTTGGTCTGCTCTTTGTTCATTTTACAGTTATACATTTAAAATGCATCATACAACCCTGTCTCTACTAAAAATACAAAAATTAGCCCAACGTGGTAGCACGTGCCTGTAATCCCAGCTACTTGAGAGGCTGAGGCAGGAGAATCACTTGAACCCGGGAGGCAGAGGTTGCAGTGAGCTGAGATCATGCCACTGCACTCCAGCCTGGGCAACAGATTGAGACCCCATCTCAAAAAATAAAATGAAATAAAATAAAATAAAATGCATCACACATACATTTTAAATATTTGAATGGCCTCTGTGGTTTCAGGTATCTTGAAGACAAATATGTATTCAAACACTCTATGCTTGCTTACTTTTTCTTACTGTAATTATATTGTCTCTGAGGCAACAGACTTTTGAACATCTTAGCAAAATGAAATAAAGGGCTCAAAGGGGAGAAAAAAGTCATTTTTTTAAATTTGTCTTTGTAATTGCCTCTCACCTGGGTCCAAAATTAAATACAAACTAAAAGGAGCTTTAGCTGTTTTGTGTTCTCTTTTAAGTATTTTTATTGTATGAGTAATGTAATCACACCAGAGAAATTTGAAATCCAGGAGAGAAAATAACACGTAAATAGTCTAATCCAACCATTAACCAACTATTTCCTTTATAAACTATTTCCTTTCATTTACAAACTATTTCCAGCACACTAATCCAACCATATACAAACTATTTCTTCCAGCTGTTATCACAGCTTTTTGCCCAGCCCAGGAATCTATGCATTTGACGTGGCTGTAGACTTGTTCCAACCCTGGGATTTCCTGTGTGTTTTCCTTTGGCCCAAGCAGTTTTCCATGTAACACAGTCCTTGTGGCTGTCATTTTTAATGGTTGCACATTGTTATACCCAGAGGATGTACCATATATTATCACCCTTTTTGTTGCTTTTGATATTTAATATTAATCTAAATTAAATAATAAGATTGTGTTGAATGTGCCATTTTGGTTTTGCTTCTACTCTTTTTTTCATATTTCAGATTATGTCTTCAAAATAAATTTCCAAGACTTGAATTATCAGATAAAGGAACCATATGTATGGTTTTGATGTACACTGCCACATTTTTCTTTGGTCCTGCCCCACCACAATGCGTGCTAATCTATGTTATCATAAGCCAATCTGGAACAAAGGTTATTCCAAACTCAGCGTGGCTTCTTCATTCTTTAAAGAGTTGTGGTCTAACAAAATGAATTCATTTTAAATTTCTCGATTTCATACAAAGGTCTTGAGGCCTTGTCTAGGATGATATGAGCACATAGCATTCCTCATAAAAATGACAGAGAACTTGAAAATAACAAAGAACGTGAAAGTGACATTTCAGTCATCCTTAAATATATGTAGTGCTCATCTTAATTCTAAGCTTTCTTCATTGCCATAAGCATTTCATGCAGGGATTAGTCCTTGAGCTTGAGTTGCCTAATTGATTCAATCATCCTCACTCAACACTAAATGCACGGCACCTTTCAGTGGCTGATGTGGGCTCACTGAGTTGGGTGCATATTTTGTGAGCATTAATTAACACCTGCATCTTGAAATGCAGAGGATAAAGAATGTTGACAAAATAAACAAGCAAGAAGGGATTCCCATTTTCTCAGCTACCCTGTGGTTTGCCTGAGCTCATCCTAAGGTTTCATAACAGAACAGGACACAGAACAGGAAAATTGAGACTCTCTTACAAATTTCACCGATAAGCCATTTGAGAATTCTAATAAAAAAGTGGAAAATCCAGCCAGACTCCCAGATACATGATTCCAGGTGATATCAGACATTCTTGCAGATAAACATCCCATTGACTGAATTTTCTCCCTCTAAACTTTCAAAAATTAATTTAAAGAAGCTTCTTTTCTGTGGCTTGTCTAACCCCAACAAGCACCAATTTGCATTTTGTTTCAAGAAAGCATTTTACTTTAACCCAAAAACAAAGTCTGTTTCTCTGCAAATTGTCAAGCCCCAGATTTTCTCCCAACCACATCCCCATGCCATTCTTGCCTTCACCCTGAGGATCATGGTCAGAGGGGTGATGATCTCCCCCAAATGATTCCACAGCTGATTTTTTTTTTATTTGGTAGGGCTTTCTGGGTTAGGATAACGCTGGATAATCCTAATTACAGCCCTATCCAAGCTTAAACTCCATAACCAAGCAAAAATTTTACAACTCAAAGAAATTTAATTTGGCCTCACACTTGCAATGGGGAAACACACACACACACACACACACACACACACACACACACACACAAACAAGGGAAAAACTGGCAGCTCAGCTAACAGGCAACTGAATGTTGGACACGATGCCAAGTTGGTCCAATTAAGAAACATTAGAGGTCTAATGAGGAACAGTTCAGACAGGACACAAGGTTCTTGACAGCAGCCAAGCAAACTGCAAAGTCTCCAGCCCAGGTAAGTGAATCCCTTCAATATTTCAAAACAGCAAGGGACAAGTAGAACTTGGCTTGTAAGCGTTCTTGCATACCTAGGGAAGAAGAGTCCAGGTGGAGAACCTGGCCAAACAATGATGTCAGAACAAAAGTCCATTTAAGCCTAAAAAACAATCTATGGGACATTCCTGGGTACAATAGAACACATGAAATATTGCCATTTTGCCTATTAATATTTATTCCTGGGAAATTTTAACAAAATCATTGTCTGGGTGCACTTCATCCTCTCCTTCCCTCCCACTACCAGCCCCTTCAAATGCACCTCCTGGAAAAAACGGAACGAAAACAGTGTCATGAAAAATACTTGGGTGAGGGCTTTCATTTACTCCATGCCAAGTATTTTATTTTTAAGCCAGATTTGACAAAGTCCTGCTAAGGCAAAGCAAGTTTCAGATCATACCCTCAGTGAAAATTGTAGCACCGTCTGCTTACCTGTCACCAGGACTGCCTTCTGATCCACAGGTAACAATTCTTGGCCAGATAAGTAAGTATACATGAGGAAGCATGACACCGAGAAGAGGATCAAGCCCCAAAAAGGGGACAGGATGAGCAGGCAGACTGCACAGAGGCCTGCCAGGCAGACCATCCAGCTCCACAGCTGCCCTGAGCTCTTCTTGTATTTGCAAAATACTGTCCCACATAGTACTGTGGGGACAGCCAGGCAGATCCATGCTGTGTCCGAGAAGAAAGTGCTCATTCTCAGTGACTTGCTGCACCTTCAAGTGCTCAGGGCCAGTGAGTCTAGCGGGCAAAGGCTGGCTGGAGGCAGCCTGAGTTCTGTGAACAGAGAGTCAAGAAGGGAGGGGAGAAAGCAGCCCCAGCCCCTTTCAACTGAGCATAGATTAAGCATAATCATATTCCCAGTGGGTAATTTAAACCAGTGTGCACTTCAACATAAATACCAAGGCACTTCCTATTTGACCGCTCTCGCCCCTCCCCACCCCCTGCATACACAACACATGCACATACTCACCCACAAACACACACCTTCTATTTTTTTTTAATGACAGTCCACCTCTGGAGCGATGACTAACTGGATAATAATTGACAGAATTTGAACTGCATGGAGAATAACAGGAAGATCCTCTAGCTCACAGGAAAATACTGTCTTCTTCAAGAGCCTGCAGTATGTCTGGGTGCTGAGTCCTTTTTCTGACTCGGGAGTGAGTGAGAGTGTGTGTGTGTGTGTGCGTGTGTGTGCATGCATGCATATAAATATAGGCAATCGATGAAGTTTGGAAAATAGATTCTGGAAGGGAAGGCACCTCTGATCTGGTCCATAGCTTCAGGACTCCTACAAATCCCAACTGAGGCAGGCTGAAGGGTTGGATGGAGAGGGATATGAAAGTAGAGGAAGATATTCCTTGGTAGAGGAAAGTGCTTTGGTCTTGCCTGAGTGGAAACATGCCAGGGAGAGATAATAATGACAATTAACTAATAGCGGCTAATATCTATTGGTAGTTTTTTGTGGCAGAGGCTGTGTATAGCTGCTTATTTGTTCTTTCTCTTTATTGTAAGCCTATTCTATGCCAGCCTCCATTCACTGGGACTCCTCTCATCCTCCTTGAATACAATATCCTTATGAAGTTGATTCTAGTATTATAGTAATTTTACAGGTGAGGAAACCAGGACACAGAGAGGGTAAGAGACTTAGTCAAGATCACACAGCAGTGGAGTCTTGCAGCCTGATCTCAGAGCTGTATGCCCCTAAGCATTCTATTCCACTGCCTGCTTTAGGCAAAAAAAAAAAAAAAAATTAGTGCATTATGTGCTAGATCTTTCCTACTTTCACCCCATTTCAACCTTATAAAACTGTTTGAGGTGGGTGTTATTATTATGGTCAGTTTACAGAGAGAAAAACTGAGGCTGGGAAAAAATAAATCCCTTACTCACAAGCGGCTTAAAAGCCAGCACTCTGCAACTACAGCACCACCTAACCGTGCTAAGCCAGAGAGGGGTCACCGCACCTGGGCTCAGGGCGTGCCCCATGTGGGCCACATGCCTGGCTGGAGGGAGGCAAGGTTGTGATAAAGGCTGGACTTTGGCATAGCTAGAGAGAAACATTCTCTATTTGAGGTCAGTTTCCCTCTATTCAAATCTAATCTTAACTCCACTACTTATTAATTACATAGTCTTGGGAGGGTCACTTCACCTCCCTAGATCTTCATCCCTTTGGCTATAAAATAATATCATATCCTGCCTGGAACAGTAGAAGGAACCTCATAAATGCTAGTGATTCATGTTTTTTAAACAGGAGGAGAATGAAGAATAAGAGGAAGTCGTGTAAAACAAAGTGTCCAGTGGAGTATAGACTTGTCTCAAAACACGTGCTGGAGTTAAATGAGGGGCAGGAGGAGGAAGGGAGAGGATGCCTTTTGTGGATGATGTTGGGGAGGCAGGACTCGGGAAGGAAGGGACCCAGCAGCGTATCCCCTGTAAAGGGAGGTGAGGCAGAGCCCACCTGGGCTCAAAGCCAACTCAAGACCCAAGGGAGAAGGGGTGGGAAGCAGTGTCTTGTGAACCATTACTGTGCTGTGGGACTGTGGGGTTGGACAACAAGGCAGTTATGAGGGTCTGCGTGGAGTGATGGCAACTGTTGTCTGCCCTCCCAGCCACATGGACATTTGAGTCAGGGAGACGTTACCAGCTCCAGGCCAGGAAGCTTAGGGGCAGGGATCTGGAATTGCCTTTGGCTAGCCCTGAACTCTCCCTCCCTCAACAGACCCCAATTCCTTCCTGGGTGCCATCTGAGCCACAGGGCACCTCTCACAATCCTTGTGGCCTCACCAGCCCAGAGCATCCTGGCAGTTAGCTCCGTTCGAAAAACAGCTTCCAGGTGGGGAGACAGGACTAGCTATGGCTCTTCGCTGAGAGTCTTGGCATTTGGTCAGTGGCTCCCACATTTGGGCTGAGCCAAACACCTGCGCAGGCTTCCTGCCAAGTGCACGCCCACTTGAGAGAGGTGGCTTTTCTCCTGGAGGCAGCCCTTGCGAGTTCCCAGACCTACTCTGTCCTGGGGCTCCCAAGGGGAGGGTAAAATCTATGAGCAAAAGCCACCCTCAGGCCACACAGAAGTCCCATGAAGGATACTCCCTGAGCCCTGATGGTGAAGGGGCTGAACAGTATTAAGAACATGAGCTTTCGGGTCTCACAGACTTCTAAATTGAGTTCGAATCCTGGCTTAGCTGTGAGGCACTGGGCAAGTTACCTGCCCTTCCTAAGCCTCAGTTTCCTCTTCTGTAAATTGGCGGTAGGAGGAGTCTTTCTTCCAAGGGCTGTTTTGAAAAGTGAATGACACCATTCTTGCATCGTCCCTGGCACTTACAGGCACTCATGGATGGTAGGCACTTTTCTCATTGTTGAGAGTACCCACTGCCTCTTAGCCTTTTTCCTCTGAGCAGAGAGAGAGGTTCTTGACAGCTACCTCCTCACTCATTTATTTCTTCTTTCAGTTCAGCACTCGGCTGTTTCCTTTGTCATCCTTCAGATATCTGCTTAAACATCACCTCCTGTCACCCAATCTGAGTATCTCCTATCAGCACGCTTTATTCATTGCCTTTGTTGCGCTTAGCTCAATCCACAATTATATATTTACTTTGATCAGTTTAAGAACGTTTTCTGTCTCCCCTACTAGACCATAAACTTCATGAGGGCAGGAACCTTATCTGTTTATTGTTTTTCCTTTACTGTTCACCACGTGCACAGTCCAGTGCCTGGCACATCACATGTACATAATTAATATTTGTTGGAAAAATATAGGAAGAATCACATCTCTATTGAGAGTCTTCTAGGTGGCCAGTTCTGCACCAGCCATGGAGGAATTCAGTAGTGAACAATATAGACCCGGTTCCTGGCCTTGCAGAGTTGAGGACGCAGTGCTTCCAGGAGGCCTGCTGCAGGAGCAGAGACTAGTGGGGGTGCACGGTGGTGGAAAGGAAGGCTATTTACCAGTTGGGGAATATATGGAATTGCAGAATCCCCAGGTGAGAACTAGCCCAATCCTTTCTAAGCCCTGAATGTCCTCATCCCAACCTCAGGGTCAGTCCATCTCAGAGCTACCGCTGAATGAAGATTTCCTGCATCCTATTGAGCTAAATCGTGTCCCTTGTTTGTCCCCACCATTTTGTCGTGAAGCTATTCTCGAGGCCATCATGGCTTGGCCAGTGTCCCCTTGCTTGCAGGCTTGCTCTCAGCCTTCCAGGGAAAAGGAGCCAATTGGACCAACTCATTCTTGCTAATGACGCCAGTGGGTCAATGTGTCATTTCCTCCTGCCAGCAGAGGGGCCTTTTGGAAAATGCCATCTGAAAACAAAACATCCTACCCAAAAGAAAGGATTGCCGCCCCCCCAAAAAAAATTGCTGGGCAAAAAATGCTGGGGAAAAAAAAATGCTGAGAATCCTCCAATGTACACTTTCTTAGAATTGGTGGATGTTGAGTTTAGAAGAGAACTTGAAGAAGGAACTTCCCATCTAAAATGGGAATTCCCTCTGTAACATCCCCACCAAGTGGTCATCTTGTCTATTGCCAGAACATCTCTGAGAACAGGCACTTCACTTCCTCTGAAGGCTGATTTTCCCATTCAAGATGGCTCGGGATATTAGAACATTCTCCTCTAGGTCAAATTCATCTTGACGTTTGTCTTCCCACTCCACGTGGAGTCAGAGGATGTCTTGTTCTATTTCTTTCAGATATTTGAAAGATATTTCAGAGCTCAAACATTTTTAAAATCACATTGTTACAATAATTGAAGAACATTTTCCTATGATGAGGGTAACATAATGACGGCATGATTTGCCAAGCAGAGAATGACTGTGTGTTGATGTCATAGTGACCCAAAGTTCAGGACATGGACAGGGTGGTACCAGCCATAACAGATCATCTCAGGGACATCACAGAGATCTTGTTGGTAATACGAGTTTTTTGTTCGTTTGTTGCTTTTTGAGCATTAGGGTGATAACTAATGTTTGGAGTGTTTGTGATTGCGCAAATATCATGTATTACATATTTATCTATTTTATACAGTGGGCAGGAGTGGGGAGACTAGGAGAAGATAGCCAGAACTTGGGGCTGGACCATGCCTTTTTTCTATCTTTGAAATAATACGTGGTAAAGATGTCTAAACTCCTCAATTATCATAAATTCCAAGTAAGTCAGATCTCATTTTTTTTTTTTTTTGTATAGGGTTTCAGGGATCTGCAGCCACTTCTCAGAATGGCATCCAATTACTTACATCTCCCCTGAAAGATTAGGCCCAGAACTGGGCACAATATTTTCAGTACAGTGCAAAGAACATAGAATAGAGTAAGATTATCACCTCCCCTATCCTTGAAGCTTTATTTTTGCTTATGTGTCCAAAGACTTATTTGCTCTTTTAACAAAAGTGCCCTATTCTTGACTACCACGGTGTTTGTTATCAAATAAAATTCGTTTTTATAGTTTCTGCGTCACTTTTAACTTTTTATAGTAAAATATCATACACATGAGGAGAAATTATCCAAAATATAAATAAATACCCATTCCTCCATAGTGATATAAATACATTATCAGCTAGGTGGATGAGAAGAGACAAATCTCACATGCTGAAGAATTATAAATAATGGACATAAATACTCCTTACCTCAAGGACTTGGAGTGTAACTCCCCATTAAGTGTGAACTACACATGGTAACTTTCTTCCAGAGTGCAGCATGAAAACAGAGAAACAGAGCAACGTTACCACGTAGAAACCAGACGAACACTACCCAGGTAGTGAGGGTCAGCACCAACAATGGCAAATCATGTTGATAGTATGATGTGATTTAAAAAAAAAAAGGCAACTTTATCATTGCAGAACATTCTATGAAATACCCAGCAAGTATTGGGTCAAGGCCATCAAAAAACAAGGAAATTCTGAGAAACAGTCACAGCAAAAAGAAGCCCAAGGAGACGTGACGACTAAATGTAATGTGGAAACCTGAGACAGAAAAGAGACATGAGGTAAAAACCAAGGAAATCTGAATACAGTATAGACTTCAGTTAATAATAATGTATTGGCCGGGCACAGTGGCTCATGCCTGTAATCCCAGCACTTTGGGAGGCCGAGGTGGGCATATCACGAGATCAGGAGATCGAGATCATCCTAGCTAACATGGTGAAACCACATCTCCACTAAAATTACAAAAAATTAGCCAGGCGTGGTGGCGGGCGCCTATAGTCCCAGCTACTCGGGAAGCTGAGGCAGGAGAATGGCATGAACCTGGGAGGCGGAGCTTGCAGTGAGCCGAGATCGCACCACTGCACTCCAGCCTGGGTGACAGAGCGACACCCCATCTCAAAAAATAATAAAATAAAATAAAATAATAAAAATAAAAATACTAATGTATCAGTATTGGTTTATGAATTGTGACAAATGCCTCAGTGTGAGGTCAGATGGAAATTCACATCACAACTTGGTATGTAACCAGGCTATTTGCAGAGTGGTGTGTGTGTGTGTGTGTGTGTGTGTGTGTGTGTGTGTGTATCTGTCTTTCTGGGGGCATGTATATGTGTATAAACCTGTATGTGTGTGCTTGTGCACAGGTGTACGTGTGTGTAGGTGTGCCTGTGTCTGTGTGTGTGTAAGTGAGGGTACGTATATCCATATGTAGGTATGTGGGTATTCGTGTATGTGTGTACATGCGTACATGTATGTTTATGTACACATGTGTGTAGAGTTGTGTGTCTGTGTCTGTGAGTGTACGTATGGGGTATGGGGCGGATGTGGGAAGCGTGTGGGGGTGTCTCCATTCATGTGTGTGTATATGTGTGTGTGCACATGCATGTGTAGATATGTGTAAGGGTGTTGTACAAGTGCACACATGCATAGGTGCGTGGATGTGCATGTGTGCAGGTATATCTGTATATTCGTGTGTGTCTTTGAGTGAATATATGTGTATGTATGTGCAAGTGTGTATGCATAAGTAGAAGTGTCTATCTCTGTATCTGTGTCAGTATATGTATGTGTGTGCATATGTGTACATAAGTAGATGTGTATATCTCTGTGTGTAGGTATATGTGTGTATGTGAATATACATGTAGATGTGTACATGTATCTCTCTGTGCTTAGGTACATGTGTGTATGTCCATGTGTCTATGTATATATAGATGTGTACATCTCTGTATCTGTGGGTAGGTATATGTGTATATGTGTATGTGTGTATATATGTAGATGGGTACATCTCTGTATCTGTGTGTAGGTATATGTGTGTATGTGCATGTGTGTATATATATAGATGGGTACATCTCTGTATCTGTGTGTAAGTATATGTGTGTATGTGCATGTGTGTATATATATATATAGATGTGTACATCTCTGTATCTGTGTGTAGGTATATGTGTGTATGTACATGTGTATATATGTAGACGTGAATGTGTGTATATATATATATATATACCTCTGTATCTATGTGTAGGTATATATGTGTGTATGCATGTGTGTATATACATAAATGTGTATCTCTCTGTATCTGTGTGTAGGTATGTGTGTGCATGTGTGTGTATATTTAGCTGTGTACATGCATCTCTTTGTATCTGAGGGTAGGTATACGTATGTATGTGCATGTGTGTATATACCTAGATGTGTATGTGTATCTCTCTGTATCTGTGTGTAGGTATGTGTGTGCTTGTGTGTATATATGTAGATATATACATGTATCTCTGTATCTGTGTGGGTATATATGTGTGTTTGCATGTGTGTATATATGTAGATGTGTATGTGTATCTCTCTGTATCTGTGTGTAGGTGTCTGTGTGTGCACGTGTGTATGTGTTTGTGCACATGCACTGCCAGCGAGTCAACCAGTCAGTCCACTTCCAACAAGTAGGCCTGCTCACAGCTGCTGGACCAGAGGAAGGCTGTTGAAGGCCGATGTGGGTTCCCTCCTTGCTCCATTACAGCTCTCAAGCCCAGCTGCTAAGCATCTCCTTGGGCTCTGCAGTCTGTAAACTGGGGATAGTATTAATAGTGTCTCCCTCATTGTGTTCTTAGGAAGGTCATGTGAGATAAATGCTGGTCAAATGTCAAGTACAGTGTCTGGTCCAGATTTCTCATTCAATAACACTTGACTTCAGGAACCTCCTCCCGACTGATGGGTCAGAAATTACCCTGACTTGCATGTTCTTTACTCTTCCTATGGGTTTCTATTTGTGGAGACTGCTCCCTAGCCAACTTTGCCTTTATCTGCCGCTTATGACTATAAATCAAAAAATGAAGCAATAAGGGTAGGGTGAGGCAATCCACTGAAATTAAACATTAATAGATTTACCTGATGATTGGCTTTTAGTCCACTCCCTGATTCATCAATTATTTGCTAAATGTTTATTCCGGACCAATAATTAGAGATACAGACCCCTCCTTGCCCTTGAGGCTTGCGTGTGCGTGACGAGTAAGGCACGCTCCTGCATGCCTTTGTGTTCCATACACAGTGAATCAGTGAATTCTGTTAGTAAAACACAGATTGAAAGATCCCTGAACTCTGTCTCGATTTACTCGCTTGGATACTGACAAGGACTCTCTGTCTACACAACTTTACTTCTCCTAAATACATTAAGAGATCCACATGTATAAAAATATTTCTGCCCATGTGTCCCAGTATTTTTCTCTCTCTCTTTCTCTTTCTCTCTCTGTGTCTCTCTTCCTCCCTCTCTCTCTCTCTCTCTCTCCCTCTTTTCTTATTCTCCCTCCTAAATTTCTTAAATTTTACATCCACCATCTCCACTTCCTTTCCTCATTCTTGGAAAGGAACAGAGTGTGAGAATTCTACCCTGAACAGGGGGAGCTCATAGAATGGATGCCCCTCTATTACTAGGCTGAATGTTTTTCCAGCCCCTTTCAACAGCAGAGGGGAGTCCTTGCAACCCCTTCCACATTGGTCAGCCAAGCCAGAGCAACCCTCTGTCAGGGCAGTGATGATAGCGTGACCTCCTGAAGTGGTTCTTAGATGGCGTCTGGAGAGAGTGCTCACTTTCCCTGGTCCATGGTGAGAGGACATCAGCAGGAAGGACAACATATTGAATTTCCGTAAGAAAATTCACCTCACTGAAGGGACTGACTTCAGAGATGATAGCCTTCCTCCTCTTTCAGGCATTAAAATAGCTTTTTGTATATGAGACCACTGTGGTAGGTGATCACACTTAACGGTTGTTGCTGTTTGATGCCCTTACTTGGCAAAATTAAAAGTTGGCAAGCCTACATGACTTCCACAGTTTTGGTAAGAAATCTTAACCAGCATTCAAAGTTCAAAGGTATGGGAGCCCCACTGATGTACAACATGGTGGCTTTGAGTTAGAACGACCTGGGTTAGAATTCCAACTCTGCTACTTAATTGACAATGAGCCCTGCTCTCTCTGCTCTGAGCCACTACCTGCTCACCAATACTGCAGATAATAATACCTAACTTTTATTGGCTATAAGGACAGTCTGTGTAAATGGTCTGTCATGTCACAGTTTTCCATGGCAGCAATTATCACAAGCGTCTTTTTGGTCCCAACAAAAATTCCTGCAGTCTAATTCTTTCTGGTTTCTGTCCTTTCTTCTTTGGTCTTACAACTTGAGAAATAGAAGCTGAAGGCAACTGATATACAACTTTGGCACAGATAGTCATGGCCAAGGTTCACAGAAGGAAACACACTTGTATCTGTATCTCCAGAAGGGATATTAAACCTAGGATGAGACTATTAGAAAGAAGATATTTAAATATTTGGGAGCACAGCTGAATACCAAAAGTAAATTACATCATAAGCCAGATGTTGCAGGAACTTCGTTTTTTTGTTTTTTTTGTTTTTTTGCCTGAAGGAAAAGTTTTAGTTCATAAAGGAAACGATGAGCAGAATTGCTATCACAAAATAGCAATTCATGGTTCATGGTTAATTAAAATGAGCCCATTTGAAAATAATCAAAGATGTGCGCAATGATTTATAAAGAGAGTTGTTCATTTCAGTGTTATTTATCATATGTAAAATGCAGAAACATCCTCAATGGCTTATCATAAAGGATTTGTTATATAAATTACGGTACTTTCATTTGATAGACTGCTATACAGCCATTAAAAATCATGTTGTTGAAAATGATTGCAATATTTTCTAAGCAAGGAGAGCAGGTTACAAAGTAGAATGTATAGTATGGTCATATTTTATGTCGTTATAACACAGATATCAGCTGAACGCTTCTAAACTTTAGGATCCAGATAAGATAGGCTCAAATGCCCAGTTCTATGGTCTTGAGAAGCCTTGCCAAGACTTCTTCAATTTCCTAGGGAACTACCTTCTCACAGGTCCTTCTGCCTCTTGTCAGCCACTGCTTTGCTATGCCATTCTGACTTCAGTGTGAAACTCAACCTCTCTTATCTGCTTGCAAAACAAAATTTATAGCAGTAAAGCTGTTTTTAGTGGCATTGATGTTGAGGTAGGAAAGATGGAGGGGGTAGAAGTACTCATACTCTGTAGTGGTATGAGTAGTGGCCCCTCAAAAGATATGTCCATATTCTAACTCCAGGAACCTGTGAATATGATCCTTGGAGAAACAGGGTCTTTACAGATGTAACAAAGTAAAGGATGTGGAGATGAGATCATCTTGGAGTAGCATAGGCTCTAAATTGAGTGACACATATCTTTATAAGAGAAAGAAGAGAAGACGACAGAGGTAGACACAGGACAAAGGCCACGTGAAGACAGGGCAGAGATTACAGCTACAGTGCCACAGCCAGGGGATGCCTGTGGCACTGTAGCTCTGTGGAGCCACCAGAAGCTGAAAGAAGCAGGAAGCAGCCTCCCTTGGAGCCTCTAGAGGGGCTATGTCCCTACCAACACATGGGTTTTAGAATTCTCTCCTCCAGAACCGTGAGCAAATAGATTTAGATTTCTTTTATTTAAGCCAGAGGTCCCCGTTCTCTGGGCCATAGACTGGTACCAGTCTGTGGCCTGTTAGGAACCAGCCTGCACAGCAGGAGGTGAGTAGTGGGTGAGCCAGTGAAGCTTCATCTGTATTCACAGCCGCTCCGCATTGTTCACATTACCTCTTGAGCTCTGCCTCCTGTCAGATCAGTGGTGGCATTAGATTCTCACAGAAGCACAAACCCTACTGTGAACTGCACATGTGAGTAATCTAGGTTGTGTGCTCCTTATGAGAATCTAACACCTGGTGATCTGTCACTGTCTCCCATCACCCCCATATGGGACTGTCTAGTTGCAGGAAAACAAGCTCAGGGCTCCCACTGACTCTACATTATGGTGAGTTGTATAATTATTTCATTATAGATTACAATGTAATAATAATAGAAATAAAGTGCACAATAAATGTAATGTACTTGAATCATCCCAAAACCATTCCCCCACCCCCACAAAGATCTGTGGAAAAATTGTCTTCCATGAAACCAGTCGCTGGCACCAAAAAAGGTTGTGGACTGCTGATTCAAGCCACCAAGGTCATGGTCATCTGTTATGGCAGCCCTAGGAAACTACCGCAATCACCAAAGGACATACAACAGTGATGTAACTCTACTTACTAAAGGATCCTTTGTCTCCTCTCACCACCACCAGGGAGTTTCCTAACCTCCTAGATACTTCCTTGAGCTTCTCTTAATTCTCTCACTGTCTCTTTAACCTCCTCCTCTTCCTCCCACCCATATTGTTCCACAGACTCAACTTCTCCCTGTTTCCTACAGGGTTGTCATCTCACTTGTCATCTCACAGCCTACTCTAACTCCTACTCCCAAAGTTACAAGTGCCAAATTTACTTTATTCACAGCCTTCTCTATCTCAGTGAGGACAACTTCATCCTTTCAGCAGCACAGCATGCAAGCACTGGACTCCCCTTGACTCTGCTGTTGGAATCAACCCACATCCAATCCACCAAGAAATCTTGCTAGCTCTACCTTCAGAATTTATCCACTACCTGACTACTTCTGACTCCCTCCACTGCTGCTAGCCTAGTCCAAGGCATCATCACCCCCTGCCAGCATTGCAACTGCCTCCAGTAGATCCCTCTGGTTCCACCCCTGTCTCCCAACAGTCCATTTTCAACCCAGCACCAGAAAAAAATTCTTTTCAAAACTTTAGTCCAATCTTATCACTCATCTACTGAAAACCTGGCAAAGCCTCCCGTCTCACCTAGAGAAAAGCCAAAATCCTTAAATGGCTACAAGGATGGTCTGGCCCCTGCAGTTCTTAGACCACATCTGACTTCTACCCCCTCTTTCACTCTATTCTAGTCCCAAGGACCTACTTACTTCTTATCAAACACATGGGACACCCTCCTTGATCCAGCAGTTTCCTCTGCCTAGAATGTTCTTGTCTAGTTGCCTAATTCCCTCGACTCCTGTGATTCCTTTCTTGTATGTCTCCGGCTCAATGCAACTGGCTCCCTCATCATGCTCTGAATTTTCCCATGGAAATGATCTAAATAATAAAACCATAGCAACAATAACAAACTTCATGCTGTATCTGTCTGCTGACAATGGACTGAATGTTTGTATCATCTCAACCCCCAACTTTATATGTTGAAATCCTAACCCCCAATGTGATGGTATTTGGACGTAGAGCCTTTAGGAGGTAATTAGGCTATGGCGGTAGAGCCCTCATGAACGGGATTAATGCCCTTACAACCTGGAGAGCTCTCTTGCCCTCTTTTGGCCCCGGGAGGATAAAGGAAGCCAGCAGCCTGCAGAGCCAGCAGTTCTGCAACCTCACCAGAACCCAATCATGCCGACACCCTGATCGCAGACTTCCCGCCTCAAGAACTGTGAAAAAAAAAATTATGCTGTTGATAAGCCACCTTATGTTGTTGATAAGCCTCCTGTTCCTGTTAAGCCACCTCTGGTACTTTGGAATAGCAGCCCAAACTGAACAAGACACTGTCTATCTATCAAAAACAAAATAAAACAAAATGGTGGTCATGAGTATACTGTTAACATGTTTACTTGAACTGAAATATGAAGTCAATTATTTTTTCTAACAGCTGATCATTAAATATAACGTGACCATAAAACTCAAAAATAATGTAAATACTTTGATTTAGCTGTTTGACTTGACAATGTGAAATGGCTTTGCCAATTATATGATGAATATATTCCAGAACTTGAATGAGTTGTCTTCAGTTACAAAGTTGTCCTAAAATATATTTAAGATACATAAGATAAAAGCATTTTATCAAAAATATTGCATTCACAATATGGTATTATATTGAAATTAACATTAACGCTGTTGTGATTTACCCAACTCTGAGTATACTTAGGGAAACATAATGTCTCGGAGAAAAAAAATAACAAGTATAATTAGTATTCATTTGATATGGGTTTAAACCCACTTTGGTCTAATTTCTGGACACTGAAGATGGAATAATAAATTATTTTGCAAGTAATTGTGTTTACAATTCTCAGCTTCCAGCAAAACTGAAGAAGAACCTAACCTAGTTGCCAGTTGACCATAAAATTTAATTAGGGGCATATAATTCAAAAGGAGGTTTAAAAATTGAGTGTCCCATCTATTCCTAACTCGCTGAGAATTTTATCACAACAGGATGTTGAATTTTGTCAAATGTTTATTCTTCATCTATGGATATGATCATATGGTTAAGCTTATTTAATATGTCAATATTGAGAAATATATTGATGGATTTTTTTAATTGAGTAAAGTTGCTATTCAAATCTAGTTCCATCCCCATCTACTCACTTCTGTGAATGAAAATTCTCAGTGATACGTGTATAAGAATTTTAAAAATAGCAATATAATTCATGCTGAAACCTGTATTTTTCTATTAGTAAGTAGCATTCAAATTAAGATACCTGAACAAATTGGAAAAAACCCACATCCATCGAATTAATACTTTATTTTTATATTTAATAATTTAAAAATTTTATAATAGTATTTTATTTGTTATCTATGACTAATAATTAAAATGTTAACTCAATCCAGAAGAGAATTGATACAGAAGTCTATGGTAACTATGTTACTTATATATGTAAAATATATACATGTTTAGTTTTTTCCTCATATGTATAAACATATATATTCTTTACATGTTTATATTTATATATATGAATGTACGTTCATTATAGAGAAACAGGAGGAGAAATCAATAAGAAACATTCAAGTGTAAAATATATTATAGTGAATAAAATTCTGTGAAGGAAGTAAAATAGAACTGTGGATATAAGAACAAAAAAAAATGTAAAATTTCCAACTGCTAACAAGAGAACATGCTTACGTGTTTTGAAAATGTTGTAATATGTTGGAAGTATTGAACTGCCAAGGTATTTTGATTGATCTGGATATATTTAAAAGAATGATATCATAGTTTATCTTAAAATGTCAATATAATATATGTTAGGTATCCATTATTTACAACCATTTAGACATAAGACAAAAATTTTAGACATCAGCTTTAAAATGTGCCAGGAAGAGCATACATTTTTTAAAAAAAATCCTTTAGGGGTAATAAGCAAAAATGTCTGAAGACCTCTGATTTCAAATACCTTATGGCAAGACATCCCCTCTATTAGTGAAAAGTTCAATACAATATTTTTTTAAGTAATCACCTGGAGTTATCCTGGCCAACAGCGCCCTGGCTCAGCATTCAAAGTCTCTTCCAGGGAGATTACAGGGAACATCAAACTTACCCCATGTACCAACTAAATGTGGTAATGGCCATGTCAGCTGGGGTCTCCCAATTTCCTTCAGTGTACGTGACTGGCTGGGTCCCTATTTACCTGCGCCATCTCCTCTGTTGCTCCAAGTCACACTCCTCTGTGCCCCAACTTCATAGAAACACTCATGGGTCCCTGACACCCCAGCTCCATCATGCTTCATGGCCCACTGTTCCCTCTACCTTTCCTGTCTTCTGCTACCACCCCTTGTCCTCCAAGACTCAACTCAGGTACCACTTCCAAAAGCAAGCCTTCTGTGATCCCTCCGCAGTCCCCAGGTTGGGGTAGGGGTCCCATTTTAGTTCCCATAGTCCCCTAGGTTCTCTCCATCATAGCACACTGAACTTATGGGACTGCAATTCCAAAAATGTAATGGGAAAGCAGCTCACCCGGGGTGGCTGCTAGGAATGCTCATTCCTGGCCTCACTGCGGGAAAGTCTATTTGGACATTTGGAGAGTGGAGTCCAGGAAGCTGCGCATTTAACACACATCCCAGGTGATCTGCTGCAAGTGGTATGAAGAACACATTTTGAGAAATTCTGTTGTCATGCAATTGCTCTCTGACTTGACTGAACCACACTAGCCTCTGAACTTTTTTTTTTTTTTTTTTTTTTTTGAGACGGAACCTCGCCCTTTTGCCCAGGCTGGAGTGCAGTGGCGTGATCTCGGCTCACTGCAAGCTACGCCTCCCAGGTTCACGCCATTCTGCTGCCTCAGCCTCCAGAGTAGCTGGGACTACAGGTGCACGCCACCACCCCAGGCTAATTTTTTATATTTTTTAGTAGAGACGGGGTTTCACCGTGTTAGCCAGGATGATGTCGATCTCCTGACCTCATGATCCACCCGCCTCGGCCTCCTAAAGTGCTGGGATTACAGGCGTGAGCCACCGCGCCCAGCCACCTCTGAACTTTTTGAAGGCAGAGAATGTTTTATTCACCATTATCTCTGCCTATAGTGGCTAGAACACTGCCTGGTATGTAAATGGCACTCCATAAATGCTTGTCGAATGCAGGAACGGGTGAATTAATTCATTAGCCAATACTCCCATTTTCACTGTCTCCTGTATCAAGCCTTGCATTAATTAACCCGTGTCAGCTAAGCCATCACGTTCCTTGGTTGGAGCTGATCTTTATATTCATTCGTTGGGGTTACTTGGGTTTTCTCATATTAATCAGAAGTTATATTTATCTCTGATAATATAAAATATGAATAATTCTAACTTTATCAGCAATTATTTTTAGTTGGCACACACTTTCGGGGTCCAGAGTCCTTGGTGTGCCATAAAGGGTTTAGAGTTCTTGCCCTAAATACCCTGCTACAGCCTATAAACTCCACTTATCTGCCATAGTTTATGTGGCCACCTCCCTTAGTCCAAGAATAAGAGCAATGCAACCCCTTTCACCTTATTGTGGCAGGCGGAGGCACAGTGTATAATCCCAATTATACAATAAACTGCCCGACATTTGTATGGAATCAAAAGAGTCTCTGTCGGGTGCCATGCACCAAGCCTTAGCATCCACAGAAGCTATTCTGGAATAACTTCCCTCCCCTCCTCAGCTCATTCCTCCCCCGTATCTCGCCTGGATGCAGCATCCTGGTTGTCGTCAACCATTCCACAGTGATAGGCAAGAAACGTTTCTGCTGGTATTTTCTCTCTCCCTCTCTCCTTCCACATCCCCAAGGCCCTGTGGTCCATGCTGTGCTTGGTCCCCATGCCCTCCCCTGCATTGTCCCGTTTCTTGTCATGCTCTCTTACCCAAGGCTTGCTCTTAGCATCATCTTATCCCACGGGCCTTCGGGGAGTGGTGCAGGTAAGAGGTGGCTATGGACCCTGGGAAAGGATAAAGAGAGTGAGAAGGCAGCACTGAGGTCTGTCCTCAGGATTATTCCCTGAGAGATTCTCAAACCTCGCAGACTGTCCAGATTAACATGCTGACCCTCTGGGGTGTCACTCTAGTTAGAAGGCCATCAGGAAAACCACAGGGGCAGAAGGAATTGAAAGAGGGACCGGGTCCAAGAGATTTTGCAAAGGGAAATTAAACCCGCCTAAGCATGAAGGGAAAGAGAGGGCATGTCAAAATAGTACCACCAGTGCCAAGTATTCCCAGATATAAGGAATTCACTTTTGGACATTAGGGCAAGATAAATTGAGCCATCCCCGTTAAATACTTTGCAGTGTCAAGTTAATATACATTGCAGAGTTGTCAGCCCAAGATTCAGGGTTGAAACCAAGAGAATTGAAGGGAAATGATGTAGATGTTAAAAGAAAGGCTGAAGGCTGAATCTTGGGTTTTACTCAGTTGGGAGCTAGGAAGAATATACAAAGGGGTCAATAAAAAGAAAACAGAGAAGGAGGGAGAGGAGAATTAAGTAGGAGTAAGAGAAGGAGATGGCCAGCTGAGAGTAAGTGGGAGAGTGTTAGTTAAAGGAGAAAGAATCCCAGCACCTGGGGAGGCCAAGGAGGGCAGATCCCTTGAGGTCAGGAGTTTGAGACCAGCCTGGCCAACATGGTGAAACCCCGTCTCTACTAAAAATACAAAAAATTAACCGGGTGTGGTAGCGTGCACCTGTAGTCCCAGCTACTCGGGAGGCTGAGGAAGGAGAATTGCTTGAACCTGGGAGGTGGAGGCTGCAGTGAGCTGAGATCGCACCTCTGCATTCCAGCGTGAGTGACAGAGTGAGACTCCATCTCAAAAATAAAATAAAGTAACTAAAGGGGAAAGAGTCTACAGGAAAAGGGGAGAAGAAATACTGCCAGTGACAGAAAAATTCAAACACATGACAGACAGGGTTTTTTTTGCAAAAAGGAAATTCTAAAGAAATGGTAAATTTTAATTTGTCTTACATAACTGAATCCCTAATGAAACATCTGTGCTAGAATTGCATTTAGTATCAGATAATGAACCCATAGCATCCACAGTACTGCTTTTAGTTTTGTAGATGCATCCGAATAGCACACACGTTGCTTTCCAAGAAACACCACCTGAACGTTCCTTACAAACAAGGAGGAGAAATAAAGGGAACCTCATCTCCATACCACGCACCGCCTATTAATATTATATTGCACTCCCATGGTCTCTGGGGGAGCAAAAACATTTGGGTGTGCTGTGGGTTAGGTAAACACCCACTAAATATTGATGCATGCATAATTAGAATGACTAAAATAATTCTGGCATAAAATTACCCTAGCAGTCAGGGGAGAGACAAAATGAAGTAATTTGATAGTGAAAATTAATACAAGTCGACTCTCAATTTTCAATGCAGCTAATTGAAAACCACTTATTATTCAAACCTCATATTCCTCCTTGTTTGTACTTTTTTGCATTGCCCTGAGAGAAATGAAGGCAAGAGGAGGGTCCCAGGGGAAAAGCTGTCATATTGAGATAGTGAAACAAGAGACTCATGCTTATTTTTCTAATTCAGTGGCTCCTCAATTTTTAGTCACATTGATGTTTCCCCCTATGACACACATCCATGGACATGTCCAAGGGGATAGGCCATCCTCTCCCATTCAAACAGCATTGAAATTAGAATGAGATTGACATTATCATAAGTGTAATCTCTTTTGGGATAGCCTTATTAATATATAATTCACATATCATACAATTTACCAATTTAAAGTGTACAAATCAGGCCAGGTGCAGTGGCTCACACCTGTAATACCAGCACTTTGGGAGGCCGAGTTGGGTGGATCACCTGAGGTTGGGAGGTCAAGACCACCCTGGGCAACATGGTGAAACCTTGTCTCTACTAAAAATACAAAAATTAGCCAGGTGTGGTGGTAGGCGCCTGTAATCCCAGCTACTTGGGAGGCTGAGGCAGGAGAATCGCTCGAGCCTGTGAAGCGTAGGTTGCAGTGAGCTGAGATGGCGCTATTGTACTCCAGCCTGGGCTACAAGAGCGAGACTCCATCTTTAAAAAAAAAAAAAAAAAAAAAAATAGGGAACAAATCGGCGGCTTTTCCAGACTTGTGCAACCATCATTACATTTCACTTTAAAAAGTAACCCATTAGCAGTCACTCCCCATTTCACCCCAAATCCCCTAGTTTTCAGCAACCACCATTCGGCTTTCTGTCTCTGTGGGTTAGCCTATTCTGGACATTGCCTGCAAGTAAAATCATACAACATGTGGCCTTTTATGAGTTGTTTCTGCAACTGGCTAAGGAAAACATGAGTGGAATGTTTTCATGGTTCATCTGTGTTGTAGCATGCATCAGGATTTCATTGCTTTTTCTGGCTGAATCATATTCTATTGCATGAACATGTCACATTTTATTTATCCATTCAACAGTTGATGGATATTTGGGTTGTTTCCACTTTGGGGCTATTATGAATAATGTTGCTCTGAACATTCCTGTACAAGTTTTGCACATGTAATCTTGAATATGAGCTATAACAAGAGCAGCTAACATTGCCCAATAAGTGTCTATGGGGAATACAGGCACCGTCTTGTTTCATCAGCTCAGTACTCCAACGTGCAGAGCCAGGATCCAAATCTCCATCACTCTGTCTCTAAAGGCTATGTTTCTAGTCTCCTTACTTTATTTCCTCTAAATCTAAAGATTAGAAAAGGGAAGTCATTCATTACTTCAAGTGAATTGCTATCCTACAAGTAAGACAGTAGTTATGACATTAGTTATTCCAGTGGTGCCCCACTTCCTTTCCCCTACACTTATCTGTGCATGCCTACTGGACCTCCAAATGTTAGAACCTGCATGGTTTTGCGTTGCTTTTGTTATGGAGAAACTGGAAGTGATGGGGAAGAAATCCACCCCACGCATATTTTCAACCAATAACCAATACGTGTTAGTGAATAAATAGTGAACAACCTCAGCCAGCAGGTAGAATAACACTGAGAAGGGTGTTTACTGCGTTTCCGAGTTTCTCCAGAAGGATTTACTTTATGGAACGATTAAGCCCCCAGCAGGATTAAGCTTGGTTGTCCTCAGCGATAACTGATTTCCTTCCCTTCCCTGTCTCACATCTCCACCCCCCTACTGGTAGTTTCTGGGATCACCTCCAAAATAAACTACTTGTCCTTGAATCTTTGTCTAAAGGTCTGTTTCTGGCAGAACTGAAACTAAGATATGGTGGTTATTTCTCGCAGTTGAATCACACCAGGATTCCTTGCAGAGACTATTCTGAGACACATCAATCCCTCGTAAGGGGAGGTCCCACATCCAAGAAGGAAGTATTAATGGGTTTGTGCATCATTTTTTGAAGAGGATTCAAAAGAAGCAGGTTGGGAGTAGATGTCTCTTGGAGGATCCAGGCATTATGGAATAAGTATCTTTTATATTCAGGTTGCTGAAGACCAATAGGGTATATGCAACAGAGTGGATGATAAATATAACCACTGCAGTTGTAGTACCTAGGTCTGTCTTAACTCTCACTGCATTGTCCCAGCACTTAACATGATGCTTGATACAAAGCAGGTGCCCAATACATGCTGACTATCATTTAATAAAGTTATTCTTTACAGACCAGTGAGAAGAATACATCTTCAGAGTCTTCCATCTTTGAATACATCCTTCTTTCCTGGCACATGTTGTTCTACTATCTTGTATTAGGATAAAGGCTAGACTACTATAAAAAAAAACCCTCAAAACATAGTGGCTTAATACAGAAGCCAACACATGTAATAAAATTGTAAAAAACGAAACACAGACACATGCACACGCAAGGGAGTACAAGTAAAACGGGAATTCTTTATAAGATCTATCAACTGCATCCAGGTCAATATCTTGGTTGTGATATTACACTACAGTTTTGCAAAATGTTATCATTTGGGGAAACTGAGCAAAGAGTATGCAGGAGCTCTCTGTATTATTTCTTACAATGGCATGTGGATCTACAATGATCTCAATAAAAATTTTTATTAAAAATGTATAGTATCATACATAACAGTACTGGTAATCTAGAATGGTGAGCCTAGTGAGACAGTTGTACTCCACAAGGTCATTCAAAGACCCAGGTTCCTTCTATCTTGTTGCTCCTATATCTCCTAGGGGTACTATCTTCACCTACAGGGCTGGAGCTGAGTCAAATCTCAGTGTCAGTCCACAGGAGGGGAGAAAAGAGGGAAATGAATTTCCTCTTAAGCATTTCATCCAGAAATGGCATGTATCACTTCCACTCACATTATATTGGCAAAAACTTAGCCACAAGGGCACATCTAGCTGCAAGTGAAGCTGGTAAGTGGAGCTTTTATTCTGGATGATCATATGCAAGTAAAACACTATTATTATGGAAGAAGGGAAAGACATTTTGAGTAACAACTGGCAATCTTCCACAAAGCACAAACTGATTTCGTTAATTGGTATAGTGAGATGTTATTTGGTGTGTGCCAAAAATCCCTTCTTTGGGGAAAACCATGTCTGACACGTTCTATACTAACCTTTCTCTATCCAGAGCCAAGAGATAAGGAGACAGGACTCTATGATGTCTGAGGCTCGACAACTAGATCCACCTTTTAAGCTTCCAGTTACAGGAGCCAAGCATCCCTACTTTTGATTTATCTATATTGGGATGGATTTCTATGATTTGCAACCCAAAGAAACCTGATGAACATAGTGGGTATCCTTACTTCTCAATTCCTGAAAACAGTGAGACAAGAAAATGGCAAATATAAGCTTTACTGTCTCAAAGGGTCCTTTGTGTCCTTCTAGGAGAGCCCCTAATGCTTCAGCACTGAACACAGAGCCCTTGCCAGGACACTCACAATAACATGTAGGTTTAGTCAGCACTATTTAAACACTTAGTTTAATCAGTACTGAGAGAGGCAAGGGTAACAATAATGAATTATTTCAAAAGTTTTTAATAGGAAAAAAGAAAAGCCATTGACCCAAATAGTATGCTTGATAATTCTTAATAAGTGCTATAAATGCTTCTAAAAGAATATTAAGTTGCTTAATTGCTGAATAAATGAAATATAAACATTATGTTACTTGGAGAGTTCTTTAATATGTAATGAGGAAAACCATTTTATGAAATGTACTGCATGTGATAAATGCTTGTTTTCTTTTCTAAAATCAATTATTGAAGCCATTAACCACTGTTTAAATATAGCTCAATTTTTTTCTGTCTATTCCCCTTTATATTTTTTTTATTAGTGAAAGAAAATAGGTTTATCTAGGAAAGACAGCTGCATGGTGAAATAGATGGAATGTGGAGGATATGGGAGTCAGAAGCCTTGGCTTTTTTTTTTTTTTTTTTTGAGACAGAGTCTCACTCTGTCGCCCAGGCTGGAGTGCAGTGGCGTGATCTCGGCTCACTGCAAGCTCCATCTCCTGGGTTCACGCCATTCTCCTGCCTCAGCCTCCCAAGTAGCTGGGACTACAGGTGCCCACCACCTCACCCAGCTAATTTTTTGTATGTTTAGTAGAGACAGGGTTTCACTGTGTTAGCCAGGATGGTCTTGATCTCCCGACCTCGTGATCCGCCCGCCTCAGCCTCCCAAAGTGCTGGGATTACAGGCGTGAGCCACCGCACCCGGCCAGAAGCCTTGGCTTTTAATCACAGGTCTGTCATTTACTAGTTCTGTGACCTTGGGTAAGTCACTTAAACTCACCTGATTTCCAGATGCAGTGTGGAACTATTACAAGGTTTCTCTTACCCACCTCAGAGAGTTGTAGTGCTACTACTACTAAGTCATAGCACTTTTAGGGCAGTGCTTATCAGCCTTTACTATACATAGGAATTACCTAGGGATTTTGCTGAATACAGATTTGTATTTATTAAGCCTAGAATGGGATCCAAGACCCAACATTTCTAATAAGCTCTCAGGTGATGTTGATGTTACTGATCCACACTTTTGGATAGCAAAGTTCTCATGTGCCTACCAAGCTCACAATAATTTCCGTTCTTTAGAAATGACCACAGTTTATAGCAGTTCTTGTGTCCTTTTGCCACAGCTGACAATGGTAGAGGTGATTTCTGATCCAAGCTGGGCCAAAAGAAGGTGTCGTTTGCAAGCCTGGGATTTTGAACAGGGACAACCAGAAATGTGACATATATTCATTTGCTGATTCATTCACCAGTAAAAAAAAAAAAAAAAAAAAAAAAAAAATTCTGTCTCTATGCCAGACACTATAGTAGGTAGTGGAGATACACCAATCAATCAAGCAGGTCTCTGCACTCACGGAGCTTTCATTATAGCAACATGCAAGATAATTTCAGATGAGCTAAGTGCTGTGAAGAGATTGAAGAATTTCAAGGGGATGCAGGAGACTTTAAGTGAAAGTGTTGGGGAAAGCCAAGCTCTTACTTCCTCTTCTGTAGTGACCTTGGCAGCCAAGAGTTGAACATGATGGCATAACAAATGGGGGAAGCCTGGGTCCCTGAGTGATTATGTGGAGCACAGCACTCTTCCCCTTCCCTGCAGACTGAATTGGACTGTGATCGGAGTGAGAAATAAAATACTGCACACCTGTGAGTAATTGTGACAGCAAACTGATCTTTCTGAGATGCATCCACTGCCTGGACATATTATTGGGGGAAGACAATACTAAACAAACACTGATATACAAACTCACATTGAAGTTAATTTCTTTCTCCAGTCATTTCTGTCTTAGATCTCTTGGTCAGACCTTTATAAAATCAACTCACTAAATTATGATGGAAGCTAAGGAAGCAATTATAGAGTTTGTAATTTTCCTTTAAAACACGCCTGATTATATTTTAAAAGAGTCCTCGGTGGCACAAGAATACTAACATTTAAATTCACCATTTCTCATGTTTATCCACACACTCTAAATCTGGGTATCCCTCAGAGGATCCTGTAATTCCCCAAAGGAAGTCTGTCTTCTTTACTGCATCCTCAGTGGGTCTTTTCTTCCTTAGCTGCTGGCCTCAAGAGCATATAGCTGGTCTCTCAGCCCCCTGAATACCCTTCCTCTTCTCTTCTAATTTTTATGTATCCTAAGCAGCCACTGCAAAGCTGTTCTTTAAGACTGCTTAGCACAAGAAGTCTCCTGTGACTTATGCCTGCCTAATAGGTGAGGACAAGACAGGCAGGAAAGCCAGAGCATCCTATGAGAGAGGCCAGTGCCAGGGACTGGCACTTCTTGATTTCTTCACCTGGGCTTCATTAATTTTTATATCCTAGGACTTGAGCTTTGTCCTTGTGACTGTGTGTGCTTAGTGAAAACTGAGCAGTAAATCAGGCAATTGATATGAACCTCTCTGAGTCTGCCTTTGGTACCAGATCTATCGGCAAGAGCACCACATGAAGTCAAAACTTCCATCCTCCAAGACACTAAAATGAAATCCTCCCCAGCCAGGGGTCCATTCCAGGATGCATGTCCATACACGTGTACAGTCTGCAACCATCCACAGAACCACACTCATGATGAGGAGACAAAAGATGGGCCTCAAAAGGAGACCTCTGAGTGAGGATGCCAACTTTCCTTTCTGCATTCCTTGGTTCCTTCAGCAACAAAGATTAGTCTTGGCATCACTGCCTGCTTGGCGACCAGAACAAAGAGAAATAAGGAAAATTAGGGACACAGGAAAACCTATGGGCACACATAGATATGGAAACTCAGAGATAATAGAAACTTAAAGAGATACATGGAGAGTGAATATTCTGCCTCCCTATAGAGCCTTTTCCATCATCCATCCACCCAAGCAATGCTGACCTGAGTGCCTATTTATCAGGCACTGGTCTTGGCCTTGGGGATAAACAAAGATGGAGGTGAAAGTCTAAAAGCAGACACTGGAGGTGGGAAGAGCAGTTGACGTGGCCCTAACAGGGTTCCCACCACGGCGGAACGCACAGACAGGGGACGTGGGGGAAGACGTGACCCTAAAAGGGTTCCCGCCACGGCGGAACGCACAGCCAGAGAACGTGGGGGAATTCATGAAGCGAACCTCCTGCTACCTCAACGCCGGTGAAGGTGAAGGAGACACCTGCGCGTCATAGAGACTCCGAGACCTCCAGGCTTCCTAGAGAGGCCCGGAAGTGGCTCCAGGAGGCAGGTCCGACGGCTTCGGCGCCCCAGCTGTGGTGATGGGTAGCTAGGAGGCCTGGGCCTCTCTGCCTGCTGTAGCCGTCTGCCGCGCCCTTGTTCCTGCAGCTGTGAGTGGGCCTGGGCTGGGGTTGGGGGGCCGCCGCCCTTCCGCGGGGACCCTGGACCGCCTCGGCCTGGAACGCGACAGGTGGCGGTCCCGGGGGTGGGGGACGGTGGTGAATGACTGAGCAGGGTGGCGGGAAGGAGTATCCCCTTTCAGATGTCTTCCTGATCCCAGGGGACCGGGCGCAGCTTGGCTTTCTAGAATGTCGCCAAGGCCTCAAACACTGGCCCTCCGCATTTTTTGTTTTTAAGGACATCGGGGCCCCAAGCTCCGAACTTTCCACAGGTGGCTGGCTATACTTGATTCCTGTCTTTGATTTTCTGCACACTTTGGGAGAACGATTACCTCCTCTTTATCACTTGGTTCTGGTTTGCCACTTAAAAGTGGCAGTGACAGGTTCCCATTTAAACTGCATGTATTTGTTGGGAAAAGGTAAGTAGGTTTAAACAAAACCTTATAGGCTAGTCATAATACCAGATGAATCAGATGTGACAGAAATTGTGGAGGTGGAGTGAGCCCTGAAAATCTGAGACGGGTCTCAGTTCATTTAGAAAGTTTATTTTGCCAAGGTTGAAGACATGTACCCATGACACAGCCTCAGGCGGTCCTGACGATGTATTCTTAATGTGGTCAGAGCCCAGTTTCGTTTTCTACATTTTAGGGAGACATGAGACAAGAACAGATGTAAGATGAACATGTTTTTCGGTCTGGAAAGGCGGGACAACTCGAAACGGGGAGGGGGCTTCCAGGTCATAGGTAGGTAAGAGACAAATGGTTGCATTATTTTGAGTTTGATTAGCCTCTCCAAAGGAAGCAATCAGATATGCCTTTATTTTAGTGAGCAGAGATACATGAATAGAATGGGAGGCAGGTTTGCCCTAAGCAGTTCTCAGCTTGACTTTTCCCTTTAGCTTAGTGATCTTGGGACCCCAAGATTTATTTTCCTTTCACAGTGATAAGATAATGACCTAAGCGAATCTGTATTGTCCCAGCCTTATTGTGCGGCATTACATGTAGTGGTTAAGAGTCATACAGACCCGGCTTCAAGTCCTGAACCCTGCCCAACCCCTTATGACCTGCATAATTTGTGGGCAAGGTTCCTAACCTCTGATCTATTTTCCTCATTTCTGAAAGCTGATGATAATACTAGTAACAACTTCGGAAGATTGTCCTGAGGCTTAAATGCTAAACCTTTAAACTACCTGTATTAATCCATTCTCATGCTGCTAATAAAAACATACCCAAGACTGGGTAATTTATAAAGTTAAGAGGTTTGATGGACTCACAGTTCCACATGGCTGGGGAAGCCTCATAATCATGCCAGAAGGCAAAAGAGGAGCAAAGTCACATCTTACGTCTTATATGGTGGCAGGCAAGAGAGCTTGTGTAGGGGAACTCCCCTTTATAAAACCATCAGATCTTTTGAGACTTATTCACTATCAAGAGAACGGCATGGGAAAAACCCACCCCTGTGATTCAGTTACCTCCCACTGGGTCCCTCCCAGGACACGTGGTAATTATGGGATCTACAATTCAAGGTGAGATTTGGGTGGAGACACAGCCAAACCATATCATTCCGCCCCTGGCCCCTCCCAAATCTCATGCCCTCACATTTCAAAACCAATCATGCCTTCCCAACAGTCCCACAAAGTCTTAACTCATTTTAGCATTAACTCAAAAGTCCACACTCCAAAGTCTCATCTGAGGCAAGGCAAGCCCCTTCCACCTATAAGCCTGTAAAATCAAAAGCAAGTTAGTTACTTCCTAGATACAATGGGGGTACAGGTATTGGGTAAGTATACTCATTCCAAAAAGGAGAAATTGGCCACAACGAAGGGGCTACAGGCCCCATGCAAGTCTAAAATCCAGCGGGGCAGTCACATCTTGAAACTCCAAAATGACCTCCTTTGACTCCGTGTCCCATATCCAGGTCATACTGATGCAAGAGGTGGTTTCCCATAGTCTTGGGCAGCTCCACCCTTGTGGTTTTGCAGGGTACAGCCCCACTTTTGGCTGCTTCCAGGGCTGGCGTTTAGTGTCTGCTGCTTTTCTAGGTGTACGGTGCAAGCTGTTGGTGGATCTACCATTCTGGGGTCTGGAGGATGGTAGCTCTCTTCTCACAGCTCCACTAGGCAGTGTCCCAGTGGGGACGCTGTGGGGTGGTTCCAACCCCACATTTCCCTTCCATGCTGCTCTAGCAGTGGTTCTCCATGAGGGCCCCACCCCTGCAGCCAACTTCTGCCTGGACATCCAGGAGTTTCCATACATCCTCTGAAACCTAGGGAGAGGTTTCCAAACCTCAGTTCTTGACTTCTGTGTACCCACAGGCTTAACACCGCATGGAAGTTTCCAAGGCTTGGGGCTTGCACCCTCTGAAGCCCCAGTTTGAGCTGTACCTTGGCCCGTTTTAGCCACAGCTGGAGCAGCTGGGACGCAGAGCACCAAGTCCCTAGGCTGCATAGAGCAGGGGGACCCTGGACCCAGCCCAGGAAACCATTTTTGCCTCCTAGACTTCTGGGCCTTTGGTAGGAGGGGCTGCCAAGAAGGTCTCTGACATGCCCTGGAGACATTTTCCCCATTGTCTTGATGATTAGCATTTGGCTCCTTGTTACTTATGCAAATTTCTGCAGCCAGCTTGAATTTCTCCCCAGAAAATGGGTTTTTCTTTTCTTTTGTATCATTAGGCTGCAAATTTTTCAAACCTACACTCTGCTTCCTCTTGAATGCTTTGCAGCTTAGAAATTTCTTACCCCAGATACCCTAAATCATCTCTCTGAAGCTCTGACTTACACAGATCTCTAGGGCAAGGACAAAATGCCATCAGTCTCTTTGCTAAAACATAACGAGTCACTTTTGCTCCAGTTCCCAACAAGTTCCTCATCTCTGAGACCACCTCAGCCTGGACTTTATTGTCTATATCACTGTCAGCATTTTGGTGAAAGCCATTCAACAAGTCTCTAGGAAGTTCCAAACTTTCCCACATCTTCCTGTCTTCTTCTGAGCCCTCCAAACTGTTGCAGGCTTTGCCTGTAAACCAGTTCCAAAGTCACTTCCACATTTTCAGATATCTTTACAGTAGCACCCCACTACCCAGTGCCAATTTACTGTATTAGTCCATTCTCATACTGCTAATAAAGACATTCCCAAGACTGGGTAATTTATAATGGAAAGTAGTTTAATGGACTCACAGTTCCACGTGGCTGGGGAGGCCTCATAATCATGGCAGAAGGCAAAGGAAGAGCAAAGTCACGTCTTACATGGTGGCTGGCAAGAGAGTTTGTGTAGGGGAATTTTCTTTTATAAAATCATCAGATGTTGTGGGACTTACTATCATGAGAATAGCACAGGAAAGACCCGCCCCCATGATTCAATTACCTCCTACCGGGTCCCTCCAGGACACGTGGGATTTACGGGAGCTACAATTCAACAAGAGGCTTGGGTGGAGACACGGCCAAACCATATCACTGCCTAACCCATAATAAATAATAAGTGTAGCCATGGTTGTTGCTGTTTTTATTTTAGGGCGGAGGAAACAGAGGTTCAGTGAATTGCCTAGGGTAACACAGGGAATTGGTGGAAGAGCCAAGTCTAATGCCCAGATTTCCAAACTGGGAGTCTTAACCCTTCATCAGTGCTACCTGTGCCACATGGGAGAAGATGGGCCACCTCCAATTCATTTTCTCTGGGAACTGCAGGAACCACAATGAGGTTGCAGAATGTGTTAACAGTGAAAGCCCTCACAGGACTCAGGTCAGTACCAAGCACTTCAGGTAGGGGCTCTGCACAGCCTCGAGTGCTGCTGCGTTAAGATGAACTGTAGAGTCAGATGCACCTGGGTTATTGGTACAGATCCCTGCTCTACCATTTGCTAGCTGTAGGACTTGGAGTTAGGCACTTTGTGTCTCTGAGCTTCAGTTTTCTCACCTGTAAAATGGAATTAACAAATTAGTACTCATCTGAGAGGGTTGTGAAATAATTCACAGACAGAGTGTTGCACAATGCCTGGCAGAGAGTAAGTGCTTAATAAGTGGCAGTTGATATTACTTCAATTACTAGATATTAATTCAATTACTTGGTATTACTTCAATTTATAGACGTGGCAAACTGCTGACCTAGTGAAGAAGAAAGTACAAGTGTAGTACTCCTTGCAGATAGGACAGAAAGAGGCATTTGAAGAGCTTGCAAAATGTTCACCCCATTTATATTTACTGGGTCTACAATCTGCTAGATATTCCTTGTCCCTATAGATATTGCCAGTCTGTACTCACATGGCATTTATACTGTAGCTTGGGAAACAGATGGGAAATACCAGTTACAAAATTATTTCATTTCTTTGTCATCAGCATTGTGAGGAATTGCAAGGCACTTGTGCCACAAGTATCTAGGCAGAAGTTTAGGTAGCCGAACAAGATTTGAAACACCTCAGGTGATGACCCTGAATTATAGACAGCTGTCCTGCTACCTAGTTATATTCAAAACCCTGCATAAATACCCATATCTATTACGAGTATACTGGTTTTCACTTAACTCTATGCCCTTAGGTAATTTTCTTCCAAGGTGTGTTTGGCCTTTTGGTTTTTTGTTTTTTGTTTTTTTTGAGATGGAATCTCCCTCTGTCGCCTAGACTGGAGTATAGTGGTGCAGTCTGCACTCACTGCAACCTCCATCTCCCAGGTTCAAGCAATTCTCCTGCCTCAACCTTCTGAGTAGCTGAGATTACAGGTGTGCATCACCACGCCTGGCGAATTTTTTCTGTTTTTAGTAGAGACAGGGTTTCACCATGTTGGCCCAGCTGGTCTCAAACTCCTGACCTCAAGTGATCCACCCACCTCAGCCTTCCAAAGTGCTGGAATTACAGGCGTGAGCCACTGCACCCAGCCCCTTTTGAATTTTATATGTCACATCTCTTTTATCTGTATCAGAATTCTTCTCCTTATCCCTCTAACTGCATATTTATTTTTATTGTTTTGACTTCCTTGTATTAAACACAAGTAGATAATTTTCAGATCATGCATGGAATTTGAACAGCACCATTTCGTAAGCCCTCTAGCATGAATATATTTGCCAGATCTCAATATAATAAGAATACAGTTACCTTTTACCTCTGGTCAGCACTTGTACAGTGATTTAAAACACGTAATCATGGGGTTATAGTACTTGGAGATATTTTTTCTCTCTCTTAAAGTAAATACAGTTTTTTTATTTTTATGGTAACAGTCTTAAATTCCCGCTGTTCCATACTTTCTATTGGTGAAATGCTAATGACACCCATATTTCTATATTGCATTATGATACCAGAGGGCAAGTAGCACAGTCATCTTGAACTCATAGGGATGAAGGAACGGTGTGCGTAATCAAAGGTTCTTATTTCTGATCTTTAGCATTTAATTAGGTCTTTTAAAATGTAAAGTACTCCCAGTCATCTTTTATTAGTTTTTTCTCATAACTTCCCTTGAGATGTCAACTTTATTACCCTCGCTTTACCTTAGTATTCTCAAGAGGTCAGGTGGATTTTTAAATTTAATTTTTTTTTACTGTTTGTAATTAAGGTTTTTTTTGTTGTTTCTTGATCATGTGCTTAACTTTAACCTGTATCCACTAAAATGACTGCTCAGGTCGGATGTAGCCCTCCCCACCAGGGGAGAGCAATTACTGAACAAAGCCACATTTTGGAAGGACCTTCAAGCACTTGCCATTATAAAGGCAGG